>NC_000017.11:50060980-50685980 GCF_000001405.40 Homo sapiens | reverse complement strand
CAAGTGATCCACCTGCCTTGGCCTCCTAAAGTGCTGGGATTACAGGCGTGAGCCACTGTGCCTGGCCTTGTTTTAGTTTTTGAGGTCTGGGGAGGGTGCATGAGTATGGACTGAATATAAAAATGAAAATAGGGAAGAGGAGGAGGAGGAGGAGAAGATGGAGGGAAGGGAGGAGGGGAAAAGCTGACATTTTACAGGAGCATCCAAGCGAAGCGCTTTTCCTGTCATCACACTGACCCTAACACTGCTCTGTCCAGGTGGTAGCCACTGGCCCCATGTGGCTATTAGCACTTGAAATGTGACTAGTCCAAATTGAGACATTCTGTAAATGTGAAATATACACTGGATTTCAAACTTGTAGGAAGAAACGCAAAATATTTCTAATACTTATATCAATGATGTGTTGAAATAATATTTTAGATATATTGGGCTAAATAAGTTATAGTATTACAGTTTATTTTGCTTGTTTTTCCTTTTTAAAAAGTGTGGCTATAAGAAAAAAACATTAGCTTCATATGCATGACTTGCTTTGTTTTTTATTGGGCAGCATAATGCAAAGAGGTTTGGACTGTTATTATCTGCCTTTTAGAGTGAAAGAAAAGTAGGCACAGAGAGGTTAAGCAACTAGCCCCAAATCACACAGCTAGCACAGGTATAGGTATCTCCAACCTTTAGACTCAGTAAGAGGTGACTACTGGCCCCTCCAGTGCATAGCCCAGTGGCTGAGGACATAAAATCTGGGGCTGTAAGAAAGCTCTGGAGGGGAGAGGGCTTCCTCAAAGGGTTTTGGAATCTCCCAGAGCTGGTTCAAATCCCAGACCTGCCTTCTCCCAGCTGTGCAACTTAGGTCAAGCCCTTTACCATCTCTGAGCCTCAGTTCCCTGACCGGTGAAGTGGGATCATGGACCACCGCTGGGGCTTGTGTGAGGAGTCGGCGGGGCAGTACACCATGCCTGGCACACGGAATATGCTCAATACGAAAGGACAGCCCTGTGCACATCCGGGCTGGCCTCATCTCTGTGTCATTGGTGTCAGGTTTCCCAGCACCCGCCAGGGTTTCCCAGGGAGGGTTGCAGTTCCTGACCTCTGCACTCCCAGTGTTTACCTGAGATTCTCCCCGCCCTCTGAGCACTGGAAGTCCAGGCCTGCCGGCTGGGAGCTCACAAACGTGTGCAGGTGGGACAGCTCCAAAGCCCACCAAATGTCCTCCTCTGAGTAGCTGCCGAAGGGGTCCAGGTTCATGCGCAGGGTCCCCGAGAACAGGATGGGGTCCTGGGGATACAACGTGGCCTCAGAGGGAGGCAGCTTAGGCCCTATGAGGAGCCATAGGCCCCAGGTCCAGGGAAGAAGAGAGGGATTAAGGTGGCAGCATTCCCACTCTGTTTCCAGCTCCCCAGAGGACACAATGGCCAAAGAGATAGAAAATTGCCTGTAGGGGAGTGATAAACCTCAGCTTTGCCAATCACGAAGACCTCTGTTGAAGCAGGAACCAGAGCCACTAATCTGACTCCAAAGTGTCCACTCGGCAGAAACAAAAAATACCCCGGAGGAGACAGAAAAAGTGAAATGTAATTAGAGCTGCGCAAAAAGACCAGGGCAGAATGTCTCGGGGGAAGGGGTTCTTGGAGGGGTCCTTCCCCATGTGCTGGCCCAGGAGGTCAAAGGACAGGGCCTGACTGGGCAGGGTAAGTCTGAGCTTTCCAGATCCATGACGGGTGGCTCACTGATGGCTCTGCTTCCTGCTGTCTGTCCCTCCCCACCTGCCCAAGCCTCTGAGACTGGGGTCCCAGTCTCCATCCTAAAGCTACAGAACAAGGTGGGGCCTGCCTCCAGGGCCGTTGGTGAGTGTGGCCAGCCCATGCCAGGCTCCTACCTGCGGGATGATGGTCAGCTGAGAGCGCAGGTCATGGAGGCCGATGTCTGCCACATTGAGGCCATCAATGCGGATTTCACCCTTTGCCGCCTCCAGGATGCGGAACAGGCAAAGGGTCATGGAAGACTTGCCAGCCCCAGTGCGGCCCACGATCCCCACCTGGGCGGAGAAGGGAAGGGGCTCTGAGGGGGAAGCTGAGAGGTCAAAGGCGCATCTCCAGGACTCTCCTGGAGGCCGAACAAACATGTGGCTGGAGCACTTGTGCTCTCAAAAGACCCAAGCTCCCCACAAGGGCTGTGGCCATGTCTGCAGGCATGAACACACACGCAGGCCCGCCTACCCCACGCGTACCTTCTCGCCACCGTGCACATGCAGACTCAGGTCTCTCAGCACCAGGTCTAGGCCCGGCCGGTAGCGCACAGAATAATTCCGGAACTCCACCTCCCCACGTGGGGGCCAACCTTCGGGAGGGCGGCTGCCTTCCACCACCCAGGGCGCCTGGCAGGAGGGGCAGATGGGGTCACATCAGCTGCCCAGTGAAGCCCTCTTTCACCTTTCGGTCTCTCTCCCCCAAGGCCCCTCAATCCTCCCCAACTATGGTCCCTGGGAGGGTCCTTGGCACCCCTGTGGCTCAGCCTTGTGTTCAATGACTCCTTTATCCCTCTGACTTTATTCCCCACAGACCTACTCCAACACTCCCCTGTCCTTCCCCTCCCAGTCTCCCTGCTTGCCCATGTTCCTTTTTTTTTTTTTTTTTAATTTTTGAGAGACAGGGTCTCAATCATGGCTCATTGCAGCCTTGAACTCCTGGGTTCCAGCGATTCTCCTCCCTCAGCCTCCCTAGTAGCTAGGACTACAACAGGCACATGCCACCATGCCTGGCTAACTTGTTTTGTTCTGTGACAAGTTCTTGTTCTGTCACTCAGGCTGGAGTGCAGTGGTGCAATCATAGCTCAATGCAACCTTGAATTCCTGGGCTCAAGCCATCCTCCTGCCTCAGCCTCCTGATTAGCTAGGACTACAGGCCTGTGTCACCACACCTGGCTAATTTTTTAAAGAAAAACTCTGAAGAGACTGTGTCTCGCTGTGTTGACCAGGCTGGTCTCGAACTCCTAGCCTCCAGGGATCCTCCTGCCTAGGAGGATTCCCAAAGTCCTGGGAATACAGGTGTGAGCCACTGTGCCACACCTTATATTCCTTGAAGTGCCCTCCCTGCCTGCCCTAACTCCCCCTCTCATTACCTTTACCCATTCATTGTTACTGGGTGGCAGCCCAGTGCCAGGCAGTGGGGACACAATGGTACCCCATTGAAACAGTCCTCACCCTCGTGAGATTTATGTTCTAGTAGAGGGAGGCATATAATCAACAGATAAGCAAATCTATACAACGCAAGAAGTGATGAGTGCTGGGGCCAAGAAGTGCTTAGTGTTGCTGCTTTATACAGGGTGGTCAGGGAAGGCTTCCTGGAGGAGGCAGACTTTAGTAAAGACCCGAAGGAGGTGAGGGAACAAGCCAAGTGGATATCTGGAGGGAGGGCATGCCAGGCAGAGGGAACAGCAGGCATAAATGGCTCTAGGTGTGTTCTGGAGCACACTGGCAAAGGCAAGAGGTAAGAGGCTGAGGTAATGGTGGCTCCATCATGTAGGGCCTTGCAGGCCATTTTAAGGACTTTTTTTTTTTTTAACTCTGATTAAGATGCAAAGCCATTAGAGGGCTGTACACAGAGGAATGACGTGATTTGATTTTTTTTTTTTTTTTTTTTAAATCTCTTGGCAGCTACAAGCAGAATAGACTGGCAGGGCATAAGATGATGGTGGCTTTGAGATAGGATTGGCTACATAATTTGGGAGGCCCAGTGCAAAATGAAAACCTGAGGCTTCTTGTTGAAGAATGATGGAGAATGTCAAGGCACTGACGGCAGAGCATTACTCTAAACGCGCAGTTCTTCCGGGAGTGGGGACGCTGTGACTATTCCTGTGGAGCCAGCCCTGCTTCGAGGCAGGAGAAACCACGCGGCCAGAGGTGAAAAAGCAGAGCAGCAGGCACAGATTGGTCTCTCAAGGAGGCGTCAGAGAACGGGCCGTGGGGTTGAGGGCAGACATTTATAGGATACAGAGACAGGAGCATGGGTATCCATGCAGGAACTGGGCTGCTAGACATGAAGCAGGGGAACTGGAAGCTCCCAGACAGTGAGGGGTGAGGGGCCAGAGGGTGATGCCTGGGGAAGCCAGGCTGGGGTCAGGCAGGTGGACTGGCGGGTGCAATGCAGGCCACGGAATCCACGAGGACTCCAAGAAGAAGGGAGAGGTCATTTTATTGGGACGTTGCTAAGAGGTTGAATTAGACGAGAACAGAAAAGCGTCCCCTGGATTTGGAACCAGGAAGGTCACTGGTGAGCTGTCTCCGTGGAGCGAGGGCCAGAAAGAGGACTGCAGGAGGCAGATGACATCAAGGCTGATGAGGAAGCGGATGCAGCTTGTAGAGACCATACTTTAAACCATGCTTCATGACAGAGGAGAGCAGAGAAATGGGGCAGTGGAGTGCAGGGGGGAGGGTTTGCGTGTGTGTCTGGAATGGAAGATGTGATGGAATATTTTTGCATGTGGATGGGAAGCGTCCAACAGAGGGAGCAAGAATGACAGGAGATGGAGGGCGGGACTGAGGAAGCCAGGTCCTCAAGCGGCCATGAGAAGAAATGGAGGGGCTGGGCTTTGAAACAGAAAGGGATGATTCCTGCTAAAAGTGAAAAGGAGACAACGGTGAAGGAGACACAGGCGGGTTTAAAGACTGAGAGGCAGGAAGGTTGAGGGAGTTCACGTCTTAGAACCTACTTTTTATGGAGGTGTCAGGCAAGGTCGATGGCTGAGCAGGAGGGAGATGTGGGGTTTGAGGACAGAGATTATTCAACAGAATTCTTTCTGAACGTGAGAACATGGGCTTCTTGGGGAAGCAAAGCAGGAACATGCAGCCGTGGTGTGTGGTTATAAACTTGTCAACTCAGTGATTTTTCTCCTGCAAGCTTTTTTTTTTTTTAGACAGAGTCTCACTCTGTTATCCAGGCTGGGGTGCAGTGGCGCAATCTCGGCTCACTGCAACCTCCACCGCCTGGGTTCAAGCGATTCTCCTGCCTTGGACTCCCAAGTAGCTGGGAATACAGGTGTGCACCACCACGCCCAGCTATTTTTTTGTATTTTTAGTAGAGATGGGGTTTCACCATGTTGGCCAGGCTGGTTTTGAACTCCCGACCTCAAGAGATCCACCCACCTTGGCCTCCCAAAGTGCTGGGATTACAGGCATGAGTCACTGTGCCCCGCCTCCTGCAAGGTTTTAAGTGCTCAGTGCAGGCATGAAGAAGGCAGATTGGTGGGCTCAGCTGGGGTGGGTTTTGGAGGTGAGTACAACTGAGAGAGAAGAAAGAGAAGGGCAAGGCAGGTGAGAGCGTTTGTGTTGGTGGAGCATAGACTCTAGGCTGGCCGGGGAGGGAGGTGAAGGCAGAGAAGCTGATGGACAGAGACACAAAGGGGGGTCATGGGATTGGGAGTCCCAGTGAAGGCAGACTGCTGTGACAGTGGGGGACTTGGAGCATGAGAGCGAGCAGGATAGGAGCGTGGGCCAAAGATGGGATGCTTGACACTGATGCTGCAGCTTCTGGGCATGAAGAGGGCTAAGGTGTGACCATGAGAGGGGGCGGTGGAGAAAAGTCTGGAACCCCCAGTAGGGAACAACTCCTTTTCCCCAACAAAGGGCATGCTGCCCCACCTCCACTCCTTTGCCCAGGCTGGTCTCTTTGGCTGGAATGCTCACCTTCCCACTGCCCACCCCACCATCTTACTTAGTCTATCAAAGCCTGTCCATCCTTCTCATCTAAGCTCGTCTCCCCTGGTCACCCCAGCTGAAGGATCTCCCTCATCTGCCCTCTCCAGGTGCACCACGCCAGAGATCTGGTCATCCACTGCAAAGCCCTGCAATAGGTCTTACCCCTCCCACCAAATCAGAATCACCTAAGGGCAAACACCGTCTTGCTCAACTCTGATCTCTCTACACCTCCTAGCATAGAGCATTGGTTGATGCTCAGTAAGGAGTGAATGGGTAAATGAATGAAGAGCCCCATACGTGGCAGGCCCTGATGTTGAGGGAGAGAGAGCCACCAAGCTTTCTTCCCCAGCTACTTCAGATTCCCCCTGTCCCGGGCTCATGCCAGTACCCACCTCTGTCTCTGTCTTGGAGTACTCCTTGACCCTCTCCACAGCCACGATGTTAGATTCCAAATCTGACATCATTCGTATCATCCAGTTCAGAGCAAATGTCACCTGGCCAAAGGGACTGGGTTATACGTATGGCGATCTCCCCTCCCCACCGTAATGGCTTTGGGAGGAGTTCAGACTCCTGGATCATGTGCCCATCCATGGGATCCTAGCCCATGGATGACCCAGGTGGGCCTGGATCAAGCCCACAGGCATGCCAGCTGGGGCTGTAATCACGAATGACTCCCTTGGGCAGTGACAGTGCAGACTTAACCAAGGACCACCTCGCCTTGGTTTCTGTTTCTCCAACTTTAATATGTATAAGACTTCCCAGAGAATCTTGTTAAAATGCAACGCCGGATTCTGTAGTCTGAGGTGGGACTTGGAACCTGAGATTCTTCATTTCTAACAAGCTCCCAGAGGATGGTGATGCAACTGGCCCATGGGCCACACTTTGCGTACCAAGGAGTCTTGATCAAAGTGCAGAGTCCTGAGCCCCATCCTAGGTCTACTGAATCAAAATGTACATTTTAACAAGTAGATTCATGTGCACACTGACCTTTGTGAAAATTGACCTTTCTGGATTGTTTTTTGTTTGCCAACGCGTTCAAGGTTTGAGCCACCTGAGGTATTAACAATGTGATCTGCTTTACAAAAATTCCGTTTGCAGTTAGGTGACTCTTTGACAGTACAAGCTGGCATCAGGATGACCTGCCTGACCTGCAGACCAGGCTTCAGTCACCTCGTCTGTGTACGTTCTCTGCAAGCATGTGAACGTGAGCGAGCGGTATGCCAGCCCTACACTGTCCTGACCTGTCACATGAGCCTACAACTTGCCCAGAGACAAGAGAAATTCTGTTTGTCCTTTGGGGCTAAGCTCCAAGATCATTTCTACAACACCCCAAAGCAAGAAAACTCCTCTGGACTTTTTTTTTTTCTCTCTTGAGATGGAGTCTCGCTCTGTCACCCAGGCTGGAGTGCAGTGGCGTGATCTTGGCTCACTGCAACCTCTGCCTCCCAGGTTCAAGCTATTCTCCTGCCTCAGCCTCCTGAGTAGCTGGGATTACAGATGCCCGCCACCACGGCTGGCTAATTTTTGTATTTAAGTAGAGATAGGGTTTCACCATGTTGGCCAGGCTGTTCTGGAGCTCCTGGCCTCAGGTGATCCGCCCACCTCCGCCTCCCAAAGTGCTGGGATTAGGTGTGAGCCACTGCACCCAGTCCCTCTTCTGGGCTTTTAAAACATTTTGTTTCTCCAGCCACAAAGACCTGCTCAGCCTGCAGCACAATCTCCTGCTGATGGGGGTCTCTCCAGTTGAACTGTGAGGTGTCAGGCAAGGTCGACGGCTGAGCAGGAGAGAGATGTGGGGTTTGAGGACAGAGATTATTCAACAGAATTCTTTCTGAATGTGAGAACATGGGCTTCTTGGGGAAGGAAAGTAGGAACATCCAGCCATGGTGTGTGGTTATAAACTTGTCAACTCAATGATTTTTTTCTTTTTTTTTTTTTCTCACAGTCCTTGAGAACAGACCCTGTGGCTGGTGCCCATACTGAGCAGGGAGGGGCACTCGGGAGATGCCTGGAACACCTGTGTGGTTTCTGTCCCAGTGGTGGCCCTGCCCTGGGGTCCAGGCCCTTCATACCTGCAAGGAGTAGGACACAGAAAGGCCCACCAGCCCCGGGTTCAGGCTGCTCCTCCCGATGACGGCAAATAGTGCAGCAAAGAGCACCACGCAGTTCCCCACGAACTCCACTCCGATGCTCAGCCACCTATGGGGGATCAGATGAGGAGGAAATGGGGCAGGGGCAGGGCAGGGCCAGTTTTCTGCTTAGGGGAAAGGAGGGACAAGGACCCTGAACACCAGAGAGCCTGCTGGGAATTCCTGGAGGAGCAGGGAGCGAGGGAGGCGGCTTCTGACCGGTTGGAGATGATGTAGGGGTAGCAGCTTCTCTGGTTGGCATCCACCTTAGTATCACTGATGATCTCAAAATCCCGGCTGCGGTTGTAGGCCCGGATGACACTGGCACCAGTCACTGTCTCCGAAAAGTGGGAGTAGATAGGTGAGCGGCTGACTGATTCCAGCCGCTTCAGTTGCCGTGATGTGGCTGCATAGAAGCGCTGATGGAGGGAGAAGGAGTTTGGGGTCAGGGCCATGGAACCCCCAACTCAGTCCTGCCTGTCTCTGAACTCATCCATTTTCAGATGAGTCCTCCCAGCCAGCCTCACTCCCACCACGAGACATCGCTGCCTTCCCCCACCTCCAAGGACCCAAGACTTGGGGCCTTGATGTGTCATTCACTCCCTCCCTCTGATCATCTCTGCTTCAACCCCACAACAACACGGCTCTGCCTCCAGTTTCCATCCTCTCCTCTGTGGCCTCAGATATCCAGGCTATACAGGATGTCTATCTGATTCTCCCCTAGCCCAGCACAGAGCACAGCCTAGATCATGGTCGCTATACCCAGGTGTTGAGCATCTATCCCCGGGAACTGACTAATTCATTACAGAACAGGAGTTCAGTGTCTGCAAAGGCCTTTTACAGTTAGCTGTATCTGAAGGTTATCAACTCATCTATGTTAAACGCATGCATACACGTATGTTTAGATATGTATAAAAGGAAGGAAAGGATAATGTGTCCCAAACTGTTGACAATGTTTTATCAAAAAACAGCCAACAGGAAGGCCGGGTATGGTGGTTCCCACCTGTAATCCCAGCACTTTGGGAGGCCGAGGTGGGCGGATCACTTGAGGTCAGGAGTTCAAGAGCAGCCTGGCCAACATAGTGAAACCCCATCTCTACTAAAACTACAAAAATTAGCTGGGCGTGGTGGCGCATGCCTGTAATCCCAGCTACCTGGGAGGCTGAAACAGAATTGCTTGAACCTGGGAGGCGGAGGTTACAGTGAGCTGAGATCGTGCAGCTGCACTCCAGCCTGAGCGACAGAGCGAGACTCGAGATTCCGTCCCCCCCCCCCCAAAAAAAAAAAGCCAACAGGAAAGTCCCAGTGCCAGCTACAATGTATAACTATTTCATTTTATTCTCTCACCAACTCCATGAGGAAGGTCTATGAGTCATTCTATTTTACAGGTGAGGCAAATGAGTTTCAAAGAGGTTAAGTAATGGCTCCCCTAACATAAATGTTAAGCAACGACTGCCCCTAACAAAACTCTGTAATGTTGGTGGCCTGAAGTGTCCCACCCCTGCTGCCCCCGCCCATGTGTTGCCCCGCCCCAATAACACCACGCCCACACTGGAATCACGCCCACCCCACACCTGCACTAAGGTGTAGAGCACAGCCAGGGGCAGGATGACCACAGTGAAGAGCGGCGTGCTGGCCATGATGACCACAAGAGTGGAGATGGCGTTGAAGAAGGAATTGAGCAGCATGAGGATGACAGGGGCCAGAACCTCATCAACGACATAGATGTCCTTGGAGAAGCAGTTCAGGATGCGGCCTGATGGTGTGGTGTCAAAGAAGGACTGTGGCGAGCGTATCTTGTTGTGCAGCAGTGCCTGGTGCAACACACGGGCAGCCTGGATGCCACCCGCTGCCATGGCCATGGCTGCCAGCATCACCAAGAACCCTGTTGGAGAAGGCAGAGGGCGCTGGCTCACCTGGACTAGTGAGCGGGCACAAAGGGGCAGAATCAGAGACACGGGTTGACCAGAGTGGGTTAGGGAGGCTTGGATGCAAGGGCACGGTTTGGGGGGCCTGGCAGCCCAGAGAAGAAGGGATATTGGAGCCCCTTCTGGACACCCCCACAAGCTCACCTTGCAGAATTCCTAAAGCAGCATAGACGCCCAGCCTCAGGGAAGTGTTGTTCTGTCTACTGTCTGCCATGGCATCATTTGTCCAGGCACTGAGCCACACATTGGCTCCAATGGCAGCCGCACTTTGACCCACATACAGGAGACAGATGGCCAGCGTGGTACAGAGCCCCACGGCCTTGGCATAATCCCAGAACACACTGAGCTCCACCTGTAGGGAGCAGCCATGGCAGTCAGGGACAGGGGACTCCATAAACCCTGGGGCTGCTGGGGCCTGCCTGTCCATCCCCTCCAGCCCCTCTTGCCCCACCGACTCACAGTGCCAATGGCTGCTTTCTCCTCCTGGGTCAGTGCCCCATCTGCCTTCGCCTCTGTCACCTGCACCTTCTCTGATGGACCCAGGTGCCTCCGGGGTACAGGCCGACCCTGTCCCTCCCCATCTGAGGACAGGGCACTCAGCTGTCTGTGGAGGCAGCTGGTCAGGCCCAGGGAGGGGGCCTCAAGCACCCCCCAGGACAGAGGCTGGGAGTGTCAGGGAGAAACCTGCACCCCATCTGGCAGGGCCTGGGGAGGCCTGATACAGCCTCCGGGAGGGCTGGGAGCTCTCAGGAACTCACCTCATAAACTGCTTCTGGACCACATAGGTGACTGGATCATTGTCTGTCAGATCCGTGTGGTTGCTGAGTGTGTCTTCAATCAGCAGTGCCTCCTTATCCTCTGCACCTTCCAACGCTGCAGTAGGGTGGGAGGAAGGAGATAGGGTTCAGCTAGTTCTCCCTGCAAGCCCCTGGTATCTCCCATTCCCCACTCTAATGAAAGGGGTTCAATGGACAAGCATGAAAATAAAATGAGGGGGATTGAAAGGGCAACAAGAAAGACTTGGGTTAAGCAACAAGAAAAACTCTCTTCACAAATTATGGAGAAACGGACTCAAATACAAGGGTTAGGAACTTGGGCTCTGGAGTTAGACTGGCTGAGCTTAAAACTCACGTCCTTGGTCGGGCATGGTGGCTCACGCCTGTAATCCCAGCACTTTGGGAGGCTGAGGCAGGCAGCTCACGAGGTCAGGAGATCGAGACCAGCCTGGCCAACATGGTGAAACCCCGTCTCTACTAAAAATACAAAAATTAGCCGGGCGTGGTGGCGGGCACCTATAATCCTGGCTACTCGGGAGGCTGAGGCAGGAGAATCGCTTGAACCCAGGAGGCAAAGGTTGCAGTGAGCCAAGATCGCACCGTTGCACTCCAGCCTGGGCAACAGAGTGAGAAACTGTCCCCAAAAAAAAAAAAAAAAAATCTGCATGACTGTAGGCTTAAAAGAAAATGTGTCCAGTGTGTGAGCGAGGGGCACAGCACTTGGTAAATGCTCAAGGCACGTTGGCTGTATGTATAGCCATAGGCAAGAAAGCCCAGGAAAAGGTCTGTGAGCCAATCCAGAATTGGGGGCTGGGGAGCTGGGTCTGGGCAACAAGGAGCCAGGGGCATGTTGTGAGCCCAGAGACGTCAACAAGCTCCATGAGGACTATAATTTTTTTGTTTGCTCACTGCTATAGCTTAGTGTCTGGAACAGTGCCTGTATATAGTGATTGTCCAATAAATTTTGGTTGATAAATAAGCGGCTTTGCTAAGCACTTGCATACTTGCCAAACTATTTATCCATGAAGCAGCCTTGCCACACAAGCTGGGCCTGGGCCCTCCTATGCTTTCAACAGATGGAAAACAGGCTCTGAGATCGGGCAAGGTGGCTCACACCTGTAATCCCAGCACTTTGGGAGGCCGAGGCAGGCAGATCACGAGGTCAAGAGATCGAGACCATCCTGGCCAACATGGTGAAACCATGTCTGTACTAAAAATACAAAAATTAGCCAGGCGTGGTGGCGCATGCCTGTAGTCCCAGCTACTCGGGAGCCTGAGGCAGGAGAATCACTTGAACCTGGGAGGCAGAGGTTGCAGTGAGCTGAGATTGTACCACTGCACTCCAGCCCGGCGACAGAGCCAGACTCTGCCTCAAAAGAAAAAAAAGAAAGAAAGAAAGAAAGAAAGAAAGAAAGAAAGAAAGAGAGAGAGAGAGAGAGAGAGAGAGAGAGAGAGAGAGAGAGAGAGAGAGAGAGAGAGAAAGAAAGAAAGAAAGAAAGAAAGAAAGAAAGAAAGAAAGAAAGAAAGAAAGAAAGAAAGAAAGAAAGAAAGAAAGAAAACAGGCTCTGAGACCGGGGCGGAGGATCTGAGTTCCCACAGTTAGGGTAGAGTAGGATGGAGGAGGCAGTGGGACCCGACTATGTCCAGTTTACTTTACCTCTGGTGACTGTCACACAGATGGCCCAAGTTTCCCAGAACCTGCCTGGCACAACACTAGGCCAGTCTAGACACACTCAGAGACCCCAGACAGGGGGAATGCTGGGAAGGCATGGGAATCAGAGGGCCCAGGATGGCAGATACCGGTCCAGCTGTCCTCCAGGTGCCCTTGGTCCTCATCGGGGGCATAGTTGCAGAGAAAGTTGGCAAAGGAGCCGTTGCGCTGCAGCAGGGCTGGGTACGGGCCCATCTCAGACACCTGTCCATCAGCTAGCACAATGATGAAGTCTGTCTGGGGCAGGAAGCTAATGCCGTGCGTCACCAGCACTCGCGTCTGGGGAGAAGGCAGCAGGCTCTCACCCCTACCACCCTCCAGCACACCCCTGGCACAGGCACGGAGCCACAGAGTGAGTGTGAAGTGTGCCCATGTGCCAGGGAGCTTGGACAGGCACATGGGTGACTCACCCTGTGCTCGCCACAGCCTGCTCAGAACCTCGCAGGTGGGGGAGTTGTCCCCACAGGTTTCTCCTGATGCCCAACCCACATGCCCACTTCTTGCGCCCCCCACACCTCCAAGTCTCATCCAAACCCCTCAGCCTCTCACCAGCTCTCTCTTCGGGCCTCAGATCTCACCTTAGCCCCCTTAGCCTCTGGCAGGCCTCACCTTGCCTGCCAGCACGCCTTCTGGCCCGATGACGTGGTCAAAGATGTGCTTGGCCACATGAGAGTCCACCGCGGACAGTGGGTCATCCAGCAAGAAAATATCGGCATCACTGTAAACAGCTCGAGCCAGACTGACCCGCTGCCGCTGGCCCCCAGACAGGTTAATGCCCTGGAGGGAGGCGGGGGGTGGGAAAAATGGGGTCAGACAGGCACAGGGAGACAACGGCCTGTCCACTGTTATTTGGGATGGCAGATTTTTTTTTTTTTTTCCTGAGATGGGGTCTCACTCACCCAGGCTGGAGTGCAGTGGTGCGATCTTGGCTCACTGCAACCTCTGCCTCTCGCGTTTGAGCAATTCTCATGCCTCAGCCTCCCGAGTAGCTAGGATTGATTGCAGGACCACCATGCCTGGCTACTGACTAAAATGTTTTATTTTTTATAGAGACAGAATCTCCATATGTTGCCCAGCCTGGTCTCCAACTCCTGAGCTCAAGCAATTGGCCCACGTCAGCCTCCCAAAGTAAAGTGCTGGGATTACAGGTGTGAGCCACTGTGCCTGACCAGAACAGCAGTCTTCTGAATCTATATTTCACATGGGGCCTAGTCTGTCCCTGCAATGCTGTGAGGGACAGAGGTAAAGGGTAAGTCCTCCTGGGGCAGGTGAGGCCATTCTGCTCCATTGGTCACCACCCTGCCCAGCTTGGTGTCCTGCCCAACCCATCTACGGATAAATGGGCACACAAATGTGTATATACCTATAATGAAATATCATTCAGCCTTACAAGGAGGGAAATTCTGACACATGCTACAACATGGATATGCCTTGAGGACATTATGCTAAGTGAAATAAGCCCGTCACGAAAAGACAAATGCTGGATGATTCCACTTACGTGAGGTACCTAGGTGATATGGTTGAAATATTTGTTCCTTCCAAAGTGCATGTTGAAACTTACCCCCCAGTGTGGCAGGATTGAGGGGTGGCATTTACCAGGTGATTAGGTCATGAAAACAGAGCCCTCATGAATGGTTGATCCATTTATGGATTAATAGGTTGATGCGTGAATGGGTTACTGGGGGAGTGGGACCGGTGGCTTTATAAGAAAGAAAGAGAAACCTGAGGTCGCGCGTGGTGGCTCATGCCTGTAATCCCAGCAATTTGGGAGGTCGAGGTGGGTGGATCATTTGAAGTCAGGAGTTCAAGACCAGCATGGCCAATATGGTGAAACCCATCTCTACTAAAAATACAAAAATTAGTCGGGCTGTAGTTGCGTGCGCCTGTAATCCCAGCTATTCGGGAGGCTGAGGAAGGAGAATCGTTTGAACCTGGGAGGCGGAGGTTGCAGTGAGCCAAGATCACGCCGCTGTACTCCAATCTACAGTCTGGGCAACAGAGTGAAGCCTTGTCTCAAAAAAAAAAAAAAAAAAAAAAAAAAAAAAGGAAGGAAGGAAGAGAGACCTGAGCTAGCATGCTCGGTCCCCTTGCCATGGGATGCCCTGTATGGCCTTGGGACTCTGCAGACTCCCCGCCAACAAGGAGGCCCTCTCCAGATGCAGCCCCTGGACCGTGGACTCTTCAGCCTCCGTAACTGTACAAAATACATTTCTTTTCTTTATAAATTACCTAGTTTCAGGCATTCTCTTATAAGCAATAGAAAATGGACTAAGATACTAAGTAGTCAAATTCCTAGGAACAGAAAATAGAATGGTGGTTACTGGGGCCTAGGGGCAGTGGGGAATGAGGAGTTGCTTAATAGGCACAATTTTAGTTTTGCAAGATGAAAAGGTTCTGGAGATCGGTTGCACAGCAATGTAAATGTACTTAACATTGCTGAACTGTACACTAAGAAATGATTAAGTTTTTTTTTCTTTTTTTTTTTTTTAAGACAGAGTCTTGCTCTGTCGCCCAGGCTGGAATGCAGTGATACAATCAATCTCAGTTCATTGCAACCTCCGCCTCCTGGGCTTACGCAATGCTCCTGCCTCAGCCTCCTGAGTAGCTGGGACTACAGGCACACGCCATCACACTCGGCTAATTTGTTTGTATTTCTAGTAGAGATGGGGTTTTATCATGTTAGCAAGGCTGGCCTTGAACTCCTTACCTCAAATGATACACCTGCCTCAGCCTCCCAGAGTGCTGGGAGCCACCATGCCGGGCAAGATGATATATTTTATGTTATGTGTGGTTTTTACCACAGTTAAAAATTGTTAAAAAGCAAAGCCCCAAATTTTCCCCAGTGTTCCATGTTTTTTAGAGTAAAGGCCAAAATCTTAACCAAGGTAATCAGGGTTCTGCCTCTCTCTATCTTTTCCCTCCATTTCCCAACTCCTAGTCATGCCAGAGAACTCCAAGACCCCATACAGGGTTCCATGGCCCCAGACAGAGCTTTCTGGCTCCAGACAAGGCTCACTCGGTCTCTTTGTTGAGTTCTCTGATTCTCAGTGAGGATTTCCCAAGCTACCTTAACCATTCAACTCTGCAGGCATTCCTGTATTCCTTCCCCGCTTTATTTTTTCCACTGAGCATTTATCTAACATATTATATATTGTACTTATTTATCTTACTTATTATCTCTTCCTGCCACTAGAATGTGAGCTATATGAAGGTAGAGATATTAGCCCGGCATTTTAGTATTCACTACTGTATACTATTTCCCAGAATAGAGTGGGTGCTTAATAAATATATGGTAAATGAATGAACAGATACATGATGAGCTCCTCCTCCTCAGTTGTTAAAACTGAGGTCAAAAGTGATGCTTAAGGCTAGGCACGGTGCTCATGCCTGTAATCCCAGCACTTTGAGAGGCTGAGGCGGGGGGATCACTTGAAGCCAGGAGTTCAAGACCAGA
The DNA here is from genome assembly GCF_000001405.40 of Homo sapiens. Taxonomy (NCBI): domain Eukaryota; kingdom Metazoa; phylum Chordata; class Mammalia; order Primates; family Hominidae; genus Homo; species Homo sapiens. Next base: position 50,670,293 of record NC_000017.11, on the reverse strand, counting down.
TGGGCCAACATGGCAAAACCCCGTCTGTACTAAAAACACAAAAATTAGCCAAGTGTGGTGGTGCGCACCCGTAATCCCAGCTACTCGGGTGGCTGAGACACGAGAATTGCTTGAACCCGGGAGGTGGAGGTTGCAGTGAGCCATGATCTGCGCCACTGCACTCCAGCCTGGGTGACAGAGCAAGGCTCTGTCTAAAAAAAAAAAGTGATGCTCAGCCAGGTGCAGCAGCTCATGCCTGTAATCCCAGTACTCTGGGAGGCCAGGGTGGGAGGATCTCCTGAGCCAGCCTGGGCGACATGGCAAGACGCTGTCTCTAAAAAAAATTAAAAATTTAGCTGGGTATGGTGGCATGTGCCTGTGGTCCCAGATACTCAGGAGGCTGAGGCGAGAGGATCACTTGAGCCCAGGAGTTCCAAGCTGCAGCGTCCCATGATGTCACCATGGCACTCCATCCTGGGCAACAGAGTGAGGCCTTATCTCAGAAAGAAAGAAAAAAAAAAAGTGATGCTCTTCCTTATGTAGGCTCCCTGCTGTGCCCTCCCTGTACCCTGCACAGGCCTTCAGCCTGGCTCCTAGAATATTCAATAGTTCCTACTTGTTCACTAAACAGATCTGCTAATAGATCTGTTTCCCCAGTGCCTGGCACAGAGTTGGGCATAACGTTACACCAATGTGTGAATGAAGGGATGAATATATGGACCTGGGCTGGGTTGAGGTGGGCAGCTCTATGCCCTAGCCTCTTAGGGATGGAAGAGGACTCTGTACCTTCTCTCCAATCTCTGTCTGATCCCCACCAGGCAGCATCTCCAGGTCAGCTAGCAAGGCACAGGCCTCCAGAGTCTGCTGGTAGCGCTTGGGGTTCAGGGCTTTGCCGAAAAGCACGTTTTCCTGAAGAGTGCAGTTCTGGATCCATGCCTGCTGGGGCACATAGGCCACGGAGCCCTGGCCACAGGAGAAATTTACCTCGGGGCTTGCCCAAGGCCTGGCTGAGCCCCACACCCTGCCCAGGAGCCCCTGCCTCTCTCACCTTCATGTGCACTTTGCCTTCTAGCTTCTCCATCTCTCCCAGCAGGGCAGACACCAGGGAGGACTTCCCACAGCCCACAGGCCCCACCACGGCCACCAGTGCCCCTTTCGGGACCTGGATGTCTAGGCTGGGGGCAAGGACCCCAGGAGTCCAGTTAGAGGCAGGGATCAGGGTTTTGGTCTCCAACCCTCCACCTGCAGAACCAAGCCCTCCGCCCTTCCAGACACCCCCCTGGCAGGCTGAAGCTCTTCCTGCATTCTTGGTCAAAGGCTTTGCAGGGTGCTGCTATTGATCTGAACTTCCAGCCCACCGTGGGCAGCTGGGAAGGGAGTGGGAGAAGCTGGTACCTGTGCAGAGTGGGGGGCAGGTCCTGGGCCCAGGTGAAGGTGCCACTGTGTATGGTGATGGCATAGCCTGAGAGGACCAAGGTGGGCAGGGTCAGGGAGGGAGCTCAAGGGATGGGGTAGCCTGCAGGGAGGCTGGGGGGCAGGGGAAAGGAGGACAGGGGAGGAGCCTGGGCCATGGGGAGGGGATCCTTGGGAAAAGGGAGGAAGAAAGGGATGTGGGGAGCCCTGTGGAGGAGGGCGGAGGAGAGCAGAGAACCCGGAAGAGGGAGGAGGTCAGAGTCGAAGCAGATGTGAACAGAGGAAGAAGAAAAGGGGTCAGGAGAGAACAAAGGAAAAGCTTGAAACAGAGGTTTTTCTGGAGCAAGGACTGGGGCAGGCAGCCCAGGTAGGGGCTCTCTAGACCTGGGGAGATGGTCTTTCTTTCCACACTCTGGGGGTCAAGTTCCTCTTGGCTCAGGAATTGCTGGATCCGTTTCAGAGACACACTGGCCTACGGGAGGATGTGAGTCAGCCCTAGAGACTGTACTTTCCCAACCCCCAACCCCTACCCTCGCCCCATCCCCAGCATCCTGGGCTAGGCAGGACCCCCTGAGGGCCCAGACACTAGCACTGGGGTCCCTCCCACGACTGAGTCTTCCATGGCTCCCACTGCCCAAAGAGAAAGTCCAGGTTGGTAAGAGGAGGCTATCTACAGAACTCAGGTTTCCAGACACCCGACCTGACCACCTGTGACTCCAAATGACCCCTGACCTTAATGACCTCATTCAACCTTGAATAGCTCTTCATAATGCTAGCAACCTTCCCTGAATCCAATAACTCCCCCTGATTATCCCTTGCCCTAAGTGACCCTTCCCTGACCCCAACAACCTGTTCCAACTCCAGTAGAGCCCCCAGCCCTACCCAGGGTTACCTGAGTCAGGTTGCTGATTAACTGGGGCAGCATGTTGAGGGGAAGTCTTAAGATATTAAACAAGGACACAGACACAAAGGCCTTCTCGGCGTCCAGCACATTGTTTGGGTCCACGTACACGTACACCCAGAGGGTGATCAGGGTCACCTGAGCAGCGTGGAGGTGGTGTCAGGGTAGAGTCCAATGAGCCCTGGCCATGCCTGGGCACCCAGAGCCCTGGAGGCAGGGACCCAGCCCTGTGCCAAGCCTCACCAGGAAGGGGCTGCACATCCAGGTGAAGGTGGTTGTGGTGTGGAGGTAGGCCGCCGTGCGCAGCAGCTGGAGCTCACCCTGCCTGATGCCCTCCACCTGCTTCAGGAAGCTGGGCTCCCAGGCGTACAGCTTCAGCACCTTGATGCCGTTCAGGATCTCACTCATCAGCTTGATGCGCGAGTCCTTCAATTTCATTTGCTTTACCTGTGCAGGCAGAAAGAGTGTCAGTGGCACACCTGCTCCCTCCCCTGACCTCCTGCTCACAGGGTCCTACCTTCCATCCATTCTCATCCATTGCAGCCATTCCACGCTGCCCACCATTCCTTCTCACAACTCCTTGCTGGGCCTGTGCTGTGCCTTGGCCTGGAATGCACAGCCCCTGCCTCCCTGTGTCCTCTGCCTGACAAGATCCATCTCCACCCTCAGTGCCACTGCACCGGCCTCCCCAGGCAGCATCCTCTGTCCCCTGCCCTGGGTTTCTTCTCCTACTACTTCTTTTTCTTCTTCTTATTATTATTGCTAGTATTATTTATTTTAGAGATGGTGCCTCACTGTGTTGCCCAGGCTGGACTGCAGTGGTACAATCATAGCTCACTGCAGCCTCAAACTCCTGGGCTCCTTTGATCCTCCTGTCTCAGCCTCCTGACTAGCTGGAACTACAGGCATGAACAACCATGCCCAGCTAATTTTTAAATTTTTTTGTAGGGACGAGGTCTCACTCTGTTGCCCAGGCTGATTTCAAACTCCTGGCCTCATGTGATCCTCCCACCTTGGCCTCCCCAAGTGCTGGGATTACAGGTGTGAGCCACCACACCTGGTCCCCTTCCCTGGGTTTCTAAAGCACATTGCACTTTCCTTTTGTTCCATAACCATTCCTTTACATATATGTTTCTCTAATCAGACTGTGAGCTTCCTGAGGGGATGGACTATTTATTTCTCTTTGTTCTCCAAGACCTTAGCCCAAGGTGTGGCACACCAGATTAATGTATTCATTCAACCCCTATTTATGGAGTGCCTACTATGTGCCAGGCCATGGGCTACGTGTAGAATTTGTCACGATGAATTCAGACAAGGCCCCTGCCATGATACAGCTGACGATCTGATGGGGGAGGCATACAATAAGCAAACAATGATCTGAATAAATGCTTAATTATTAATCATTATGTGTGTTCTGATGGGAAATCACAGGATCCTGTAAGAAAGTAATGAGGTGATGGCAGGGAAACTAACTTAGACTGAGACTGGGCAGTCAGGGTGGACTTCTGGAGGAAGTGACTTTTTTTTTTGAGACGGAGTTTCGCTCTTGTTGCCCAGGTGGGAGTGCAATGGCGCGATCTTGGCTCACCGCAACCTCTGCCTCCTGGATTCAAGGGATTCTCCTGCCTCAGACTCCAGAGTAGCTGGGATTACAGGCATGTGCCACCATGCCCGGCTAATTTTGTATTTTTAGTAGAGACGGGGTTTCTCCATGTTGGTCTGGCTGGTCTCGATCTCCCAACCTCAGGTGATCCACCTGCCTCGGCCTCCCAAAGCTCTGGGATTACAGGCATGAGCCACCGTGCCCAGCCGAGGAAGTGACTTCAATGCCGAGAGGTAAGGGAAGGAAAGGAGTTAGGCAGGCAAGAGGGGGATGACAAGCATTCCAGGCAGAGGGAATAGTATATGTGGTGGCCCCTAGAGGTACCCTGAGCTTGGTGCTGTGGAGAAAAGAAAGAAGACCAGACTGGCTGAAACTTGGCCAGTCCGCAGGGGGTGAGGACTTGCAAGGTAAGCAGAAGCCTGCTGAGTCTTCTTAGGGGGTTTGTCATTTTTCCTATGGGCAGTGGGAAGCTAGTAGACTTCAATAGGCCAGGTGTGATGGCTCACACCTGTAATCCCAGCACTTTGGGAGGCTAAGATGAACGGATCACCTGAGGTCAGGAGTTTGAGACCAGCCTGGCCAACATGGTGAAACCCCATCTCTACTAAAAAAAAAAATACAAAAATAAGCCGGGTGTGGTGGCATGTGCCTGTAGTCCCAGCTACTAGGGAGGCTGAGGCAGGAAGATCGCTTGAACCCGGGAGGCAGAGGTTGCAGTGAGCCGAGATCATGCCACTGCATTCCAGCATGGGTGACAGAACGAGACCCTGTCTCAAAAAAAAAAAAAAAGAAAAAAAACACTTCAAGAAATGTTTGCAAATAGTAGACTGAGTGACTGGCTATTCATGCTTAGCACAGTGCAGCGGGAAAACTCCTTGTTAGACCAGGATAGTCAGGTTTGAGTCCCAGCCCTGCCTGATTCTGGACTGCCATTATTTCTCTAAGCGTTGGTCTTCTGCTACAAAATGAGAATGTCAGTAAAACCCTCTGAGAGCTGTGAGGGAAGAGTGAGCTATGGTTTCTGCAAATGGCTAGTAGCCATCCATACTCAGGAAGCAAGGTAGTTGGGAGGCCCCAAGGTTAGTGGACACCTTCCCCCAGGCAGCCGGCCGGGTGCTGCAGGCAGGAGGATGCACCTCTGACAGCACCTACCTGGAAGGCGCGCATCTTCACGGCCACAGCTCCGTTGAGTGGAATCAGCAAGACCATGAAAGCGACTCCAGCCAGGACAGAGGGACCTAGGTTCTGAGGAGGCACCGGTGGATAGATGACACATAGGGACAGATTACCAAAGTCTACAGAGAGAACCCAACAGGCAAACAGAGGCCTGTTAACTTGAAATGTGTAGATGGGCAGGAAGCAAAAGATGGTGGTTGGCCAAACAGATAGAAAGTCAGAATGACCACAACATTTGTAGAAGCAGCCAGCCATTAGATAACGACGACAGGGACAGACAGCAGATATAGAAGGGTGTCCAGACACACAGGAAGGCAAATATAGACGATGACAGCCAGAGTCACACCCACCTCCCTCCAAGACTTTCTTTCCTCCCTGGCTTCTGCAGGAAGGATAGCAACAGATGTTGGGAAGATTCCTTTGCAGACATCAGCATCCTCGAAGTCCTATCCCTCCATCCCCACCAATGCCTAGGGAAGCTCTTGTGTCAATTCTTTTTTTTTTTTTTTTTTTTTTTTTGAGACAGAGTCTTGCTCTGTCACCCAGGCTAGAGTGCAGTGGTATGATCTCGGCTCACTGCAACCTCTGCCTCCTGGGTTCAAGCGATTCTCCTGCCTCAGCCTCCTGAGTAGCTGTGACTACAGGCACCCGCCACCACGTCTGGCTAATTTTTGTATTTTTAGTAGAGATGGGGTTTCACCATCCTGGCCGGGCTGGTCTCGAACTCCTGACCTCGTGATCCACCCGCCTTGGTCTCCCAAAATGCTGGGATTACAGGCGTGAGCCACCGTGCCCAGCCAGCTCTTGTGTCAATTCTATATCCCCTCTGCTAACCCAGAATAACCCTCCTTCTTTTTTTCTGTTTTCTTTGTTTCTTTTTAGAGACAAGGTCTTGCTATGTTGCCCAGGCTGGAGTGTGGTGGCTATTCGCAGGCACAATCGTGGCGCACTGCAGCCAGAACTCTTGGGCTCAAGTGATCCTCTTGCCTCAGCCGCCTGAGCAGCTGGGACTACAAGCATGTGCCATGCTCCCAGTTCCAGAATAATCCTCTCTTGCCACTTCTGCAGCATGTCAGAGGAAGGAGGCAGAGGTCAGGGTTGGAGAGTCACCTGCCAGAGGAAGTAGATCGCCAGGATGATCTGCAGGGGTGCTGACCACAGCAGATTGAGGAAGGGGGCAAGGTCCATGAAGCGCTGGGCATCCACTGACATGAGGTTGACAATTTCCCCCACAGTGGACGCACGTTTGACTGAGTTGGTGATAACCAGAGCCTGCAGGTAGACAGTAGTGGGTGGACTTGGCTGCGAGCCTCTTGCAAGCTGCCCAGGGCCAGCCTTTCCCCTGGGCCCTGCTCCAGCTGACCTTCCTGTAGATGACACCCATGATCCCAGTACGAAACTTCACCCCAGTCACAAAGATGTAGTGGTAATAGTGTTGTAAGATCAGCGACTGCATCATGGAGCACAGGAACATCAGCCCAGCCACCAGGAAGCCCCACCAGGAGGGGGCCATGGGGTTGGAGATAAACCTGATCAGGATGCTGTGGGGAGGAGAGAGGAGTGAGGTGGGCAGTGCTGCCCCCATGGCTGCTCCCTCCTCTGCTGCCCTTTGCTTTTACCCGCAGTCTCCACTGCACCCCTGGCCTCTGAAACCTCCACCCCCTCCAACCTCTTGGGCCAGGGAGGGTCAACCCAGTACTGCCTCAAGACCACGACCTCCTGGCTCCACTCTGCCTTCACCTCGTTCTCTATCCACCATGGACCCTGCTGCACGCCCTATCGATGACGCTCTCACCACCAGCCTCACCTGCCTGCCTTCTTACCTCCTGACATATGGCGGGAAGAAATGCCACGTTTCCATTGACTGGACTTCCCTGCTCCTTCTCCTAGGCTGCTGGGGGCTCTAGATTCCGCCACATGACCACAAAGACTCTTGCCGCTCAAATCCACCTTTCCAAACTCAGTGGCCCCCAGCACTGCCTAGCAACCTTCTCTAGGTCCCTAATCCGCCCCCGCTCTTGGGGCCTTCTTCACCTCTCTTCTCTTCCCTTCAGGCCCATCCCAGCCCCCCACCCCTCTCAGCAGCTACCTGCCTTCTTGCTTAGCCACCCATTGAGAACTCCCTGCCACCCACAAACTCCTTGCCACTCACAAACTGCCCTCCAGTGGCTTGTCCTCCTTTTTCTGGTGCTCAGGCTGTCGGAGGCTGCCCCTGCCCCCGAGCCCTGGCCTTCCTCTGCCTCCTCAGGAACTTGCTGCGCTGTTGCCCCCTTTGCCGCTGAGCTTCACCCTGGCCACCTCTGCTGGAAGCTCTACACCTTCACCTATTGACATGACCGAGTCTCTTCATTGTTGGGACACTCTCCTCTCGACTACATGGAGCCCTCCAGCCATAATCATAGCCAGGCCTCCCCTTCTGTGATAGCTTAAGTTGTGTCTCCCAGAAAGATATGTTCAGCTCCCAACACCTGGTACCTGTGAACGTGGCCTCATTTGGTGAGGTCATATTGGAGTAGGGTGGGCCCCAGTGGCCCCAGCCCAGTGACTGGTGTCTCTCTCTCTCTTTTTTTTTTTTTTTTTTTTTGAGACAGGGTCTCTCTCTGTCACCTAGACTGGAGTGCGGTGGTGCCATCACAGCTCACGGCAGCCTCAACCTCTCAGGCTCAGGCAGTCTTCCCACCTCAGCCTCTTGAGTAGCTAGGACTCTAGGCGTATGCCACCAGGCCTGGCTAATATCTTAACTTTTTTGTAGAGACAGGGTCTTGCTATGTTGCTCAGGCTGGTCTCAAACTCTTGGGCTCGAGAGTTTGACTTCCAGCTAGCTGGGAATCTCCCCTTGGAGGACCCACCAGCACCACTGGCCCCACATGACCAGACTCCATCCACCACCTTGCCCCCCACCCAGCCTCCTCCTCCCACCGAGCCCATCAGCTCAGCAAAAGATCCATCGTCCTCCAGTTACCCAGGCCAGCACCCAGGTTGCCTGGCACTCCTCTGTCTCTCTGGCGCACACGCCCATCTCCCAAATTGCTCCTGAATACTTGTCTCATTCCTGGCCTGGACTCCATCTGACCGGGTTGGCCCACTTCCATCCAGCCACCCTGCCCTACATCCCCCACACTCCTGGCAGGAGATCCTTGAAGCCAGATGCCCCTCCCTGGCTCAGATCTTTCAAGGATATCCTTAGCTCTCCCTCTCTCTGTTTTCCTGCCCCTCCCTCTCGTTGCCATTTCCTCTGCCACTCAGAAACACCTGAGTCATGCTGTTTCAGGGCTTTGTGACTAAGCTGAGGCTGAACTTTCCCCTGTTTCTTCACCTACTTGTCTCTCCAAATTCGTTGACCTCCCAAGCCAGTGGGTGCTTCCTGCTGCATCCCAGGCTGGCTTCTTTGCCCCTCCCGGGGTTTTCCAGACACCCGAGAACACTTCTGCCCCCACTGAATTCTAATTGATTTACACGCTGGTTTCTCCCATAAGACATCAAGACCCTGTCTTATTGAACTCTGTATCCCTAGTATCGAGCACCATTCTGGTACCCTGGAGGTTCAATAAATGTTTGCTGAACAAATTAATGCATGCACGGAGGGGCAAGGAGGTGGGGACTTAGCTACTAGGCAGCTCTCCTTCCCACCCTCTCATTTGAGAGCTCGTTCTAGTCCAAGCCATTCCTGAGACAGATGTTAGAGCCTGATGGTGGGGACAGAGCACCTCAGTCGGAGCTCAGAGTCCTGGACTCAGACCTGATTCCTTCTTTGCTGTGTGCCCTTGGCCAAGTCACTTCACCTCTCTGAGTTCCTGCTTTCTCATCTGTGACATGGGAATGGGGCAATTCCGCATAGGATTGTTGGGAAGATTTAAAGACCCAATGCTTGTTAACGTACACACCACGGTGCCCGGCACATAGTATATGCACAGCAATTCTAAGTTGAATGTGAGTGAGGAAACAAGTCAGGCAATGCCACTTGCCAAAGGTCACACAGAAAGTGGAGCTAGCCTCCCTGGTTCCTGGTCTGGGGTTCTTTTCACTGTACGTTGTTCCTTCCTCTGGGCTAGCCAGCCAGCCCTGCTGCCCAGGGCAGGGCTATAGTGAGCCGGAGTGTGGAGAGACCTGAGCAGCTGTGGATTGATGAAGGAGAGCAGGTCCTGGATAAGCTTGAAGCAGGCACTGATGAGGAAGCTGGAGCCGAAGGTGGCCAGCAGGGCCTTCAGGAAGGAGGGCTTCCGGGGCCTGGGCCGGGCACCCAGCAGCACCTCGTCCTCGCCGGAGGCATTTTTCCCAGGTGCTGCTGAAGCCTTGTGTCTGGTCCAGGGAGGAAGGAGCAGTGGGTTAGGAATGGGGACAGGGGCTCCAGGAAGCCAAGGGCTAGGCTGGGCTGGCTAGGAGTGAGGAGGAGGAAGGAGCTGTTTTCTTGGCTCTCAGAGCTGGGAGGGGAACAGACAGCATAAGAATTGCACAAGCGACTCTGTCCTCAGCTGCCAGAGGGCATCTGAAGGGGTGGCCAGACTGCTACCACAAGGACTCTAAAACCCAGCTATCCCCCCAGTCTGGCCCTCTCCCCGCCTCCCCAGTGCTGGCTCCAGGGAGGACGCCAAGAGGGAAGGTAGATAAGATCAAGGATGGCTGTTGGTACAGCCACCGGGCAGCTGAACAGGGAGGGGGTGGAGTGGCATGGAGGGACTGAGAGGGGGTGCAGCAGGCAGACTGGGGGCCCATAGGTCTTCGTGGAGGCTCCAAGCCATGAAAGCCAGGATACTGCTAACCATGCCCAGCCCCAGGCTCCTCCAACAGCTGGTGACAACCGGAAGCTCCGGGCTGAGCAAACATTGAACTCCTAGGCCTGGATTGTGGATGGGAGGAGGGAGGGTTCAATCCTGGGGTCAGAATTGGGTGGAGAAAGATGATGCTCAGCGTCAGCTCTCTTGGTGAGGCAGTTGGCCAGAGACAGGTTTGTGGTCCTTGATAAGAGGCTGACAGTGGGAAGACCCCTCAGGGGAAGATCATCTCATTCAGCCGCCGCCTCCAGACAGGAGGAGGCAGAATTGGCAGGGGTGTGCTGGCTCCTGGCCCTGGAATCAGCCCTCTCAGTCAGGCAGGGTGGTGCAGTGATATGAGGAGAACCTCTGGGGCCAGCCGGCTCCATGTGGATTCCAGCTCTGCCACCACCAACTTGGGGACCCTGGGAGGCCCTCTGTTAAATTTCTGTGCTTCGGTGTCTCCATCTGTTTTTGTTGTTGTTGAGAAAAGGTCTCACTCTATTGCCCAGACTGGAGTACAGTGGCACAATCTCAGCTCACTATAGCCTTGACCTCTTGGGCTCAAATGATCCTCCCACCTCAGCCTCTCAAGTAGCTGGGACTACAGGTGCACACCACCATGCCCGGCTCATCTTGTTTATTTTTTGTAGAGACAAGGTCTCACTATATTGCCCAGGCTGGTCTTGAACTCTTGGACTCAAGCAATCCTCCTGCCTTGGCATCTCAAAGTGTTAGGATTACAGCTGTGAGCCACCACACCCGGCCCCAGTGTCCCCATCTGTAACACAGGGACACTTGAACCTACCCTTTAGGGCTGTTGAAAAATTAAGTGAGTTTATTTATATCCTTAGGATGGGACCTGGGATGGAGTAGTTGCTCCAAAGTGCCAGCCATTCTCCTGCCCCCACCAGAGCTGGGAGAACTAGCGCCATCCAGGCCTAAGCTTCCCATAGAATGGTCCCGAGGCTGCCAAGAAATCACCTGGTCCTGCTCTGCTTGCCACCCCAGCAATGCCGCCCTCCAAGGTCTACCAGCGTCCTCTGCAGGAGATCTGGGGTAAGCGAAGGGGCTGGGTGTTGGGGCAAGGGGAGGGCCTCACCGTGCCGTCTGCTTTTCCTGCTTCCTCCATGCCTCCAGCAGCTGCTGCACCACCATCTGGGATCTGTCCTCTTCCTTTAGGGACCAGAGGTCCTTCTCCTCCAGGGGATGCCGGTAGCCATAGATGGCCATCCTGGGGGGAGGTGAAGCCCGGCAGGCAGCCCCGCAGAGGGTCAGGGTTTAGCAGCCTGGAGCCAAGGGTCAGTGTCTCCAGGGCCCCAGGGTCTCCAGAAAGGAGGGTCTCCCTCGGGCACTGTGACCATGAAAGGTGTCTCCTTCATTTCCTCAGTGAATAGGCTTGAGGTCACTGGCTCTCCCTCCGAAGTTCCTACCACTACCCCCTTCTCCTCCTCCTCCCCAGGTGTCCCATCTCCTCCCCACCCCAGGCCCTGGTGATGGAATCCACGCTGCCTGGGGCCCTGGGTGAGGACGAGGCCTGGGCAATTTGGCCCCAGCCTCGGGTGCTTCCTCAGTGCTGTGGGGTTAATGAGCTGTCACCCAGGTCACAGACACAGTTATCCTGCTCAAGCCGCTCTGAGGCGCAGCCAAGGAGATGACAGGCTGCAAGTTTATCACAAACAGAGGAGCTCAGAACTAATGACAGTCTTCTTCCAGCCTCCTGGGCCTGTCCCCACAGCCTGCCAGATGCAGGGCTGGCCTGTAGCCTGGGGGCGGCACTGGGCCAGGCCAGGCCTCTGCATTTGGTCCCCCTCCCAGACCACTTCCCTACCCTCATCTGCCCTGTGCCCACTGCGGTGGGGGGTGGGATAGGTGGCCAGCCCGGTCCCTAAACTGCTGCCCTGCTCCCCTTTCTCCATCTCACCTTCCATCCCTCCCCTCCCTCTGGCCTGGCTGGTGGAAGAGCCAACTCACTTTGTGAACCACCAGAAAAACAGGCGGGAGAGAAAGCCAGCGCTGGTCTCAGGGTAGGGGTTCTAGAAGGCGAGAGAATAGGACGGGGGAATCAGGAGTGCCCACCACCCTCTCAAAGCAGAGTAGGGAAATGGAGGGGACCCTTGTTCCTGCTCCAAGCCCCAGTTTACAGATTGTGGGGATGACCTCTCTCCCACTTTGAAAGGAACTGGAGGGGTTGGGGGCTGCTGGTCAGAGTTGGGCTGAGGACTCAGCTGTGGAGCCCCCGCACCCTCCATGGGAAACTCACAGGGTCGACATTCTTTGCGGAGAAAAATGGAGGTTTCTCCCTGAAGCAGGCCAAGATGAGGGCAGAGAGTACCAGGGCAAAGTGGATGTAGAAGGTGGTGAAGCGGAAGGGGTCTGAGATCTCACCCTGGGTGGGAGAGTGGAGGGGCGTCAGAAGCACTGGAAAAGCCTGGGCCTGCAGCCCCTGCCCTGCGGAGTCCCTTGGGGCATCAGTCTCCTCTGGGGCAGGAGGCAGCACCTGGGGGCCTCCAGGTCCCCACTCAGAGGACTCTGAGAGATGAGGAAGGATCACAAGGGAGCTCTGGTTCAGCGAGGACCAGGTGTGGCACCTGTGCCAGGTGTGGTGCCATCACCTTACCTACATGACCTTGTCTAACTGGGACATCAGCCTACAGGCAGGACAGCTCATGACGCCCTTTCTGCAATTAAGGAAATGAGGCTCCAAAGGTTTCAGCGACCCGCCCGAGCCCACATGGGGAGTAAGTGGGTTGTTCACAGCCTATGTTCTTTGCTACTCTCCTTGCCTGCTTCCCGCTGAGATGGAGAAATGGGAGGCACTAGGTTGGCCTGCAGTGTTCCATCCCACCAGCCCAACATCACAGCCACTGAAGATCAAGAGGAAGGCCAGGAACTGAGGGAGGTGGGAAGAAAGGAAGGGAACATGCTAATGGGACCTCTAGGTAAGCCAGAACTCTTCACACTTGTCTGCATACATGTGTTCATTACACAGGCACTGACTGACACCCACGTCAGATATTGCACTTGGTGGGTGGGTGCTGTGGAACAGCCCCCTACCCTCACATGATGGTCCAACAGTGGTGGCATCTTGGCTCATTCCTGTGTTACACTGGTGCCCCCTCCTCAGCCTGCTTCCAGGTAGAAATGTAGCAAGTGGAGAACAACACAATTGTGTTTGTACTTGAAGCCTCGAGGGAGGGACCTGGGACCCAGCAGTGACTTTGAACCCTGAGGTCACCCTCCTATCAGGGCTAAACCTGGCAGGTTCCCCTCTCCCCCAACCTTACCTCTGCCTTGGCTAAAAGGATCTTGGAGCGGAATGGGACGATGGCGCAGACCACACACAGGAACCAGAAGATAATGAGGACCCCCGAAGACTGTACGCCCTGCAGCCGCTCATACTGTATCAGCAGGGTGGCCAGCAGCTGTGCAGGGAGGGCAGGGAGGCCCGGGCAGAACACACACATCTGGACCTGCCTCCATTTCTCCCCATCCCACATGGCCAGAAGTTTCTGGGGCCACCCCCTTCTTCTTCCCATTCCCAATATGTCCAGCCCTCTCCTCAGAGCCCACAGTTTCCCTATCACAGTCCACAACCCAATGGAGACCTCCCCCATCCACTTTCCCAGGGCCCCACACTGACCATGGTGACCCCCACCACCAAGGGGGTGACAAAGAAAACAGGGGCAGGGGCCCGGCCATGGACCAGGCCATGGAAGGAGTAAAAAAGGTCCGCCCAGGAGACGCACCACAGCAGGACACCCAGGACCTGCGAAGAGAGCACAGGTTGGAATCCGCATCCCCAGAGGCAAGGACAGTCCTCACTGGGAAGGGGTCTTTGTACCTGAAGCCACCAGAATCCACTAGACCTGCCTGGGACTGGCACTGAGGTCTGGGAATGGAGCTGACCAGAAGCTTGCTGGAGGTGGGGAGAGTGTTGCTGAACTTACTTAAACTTTCCCAAGTGGGGAATATGTCAGCTGGCTGTATATATTCTCAGTTGTCAGATTCCCATGACCCCAAGCAGGTCAGGTGAGACTGGGGAACCCAGTCCAGCCGAGGAGGTGGGAGAGGGCCTCATTAAAACCAGAATGCTGGCTGGGCACAGTGGCTCATGCCTCTAATCCCAGCACTTTGGGAGGCTGATCACCTGAGGTCAGGAGTTGGAGACCAGCCTGCCAAAATGGCAAAACCCCATCTCTACTAAAAATACAAAAATTAGCTGGGTGTGGTGGCGCATGCCTGTAATCCCAGCTACTCAGGAGGCTGAGGCAGGAGAATCGCTTGAACCCAGAAGGCAGAGGTTGCAGTGAGCCAAGATCATGCCACTGCACTCCAGCCTGGGCGACAGAGTGAGACTCTGTCTCTAAATTAATTAATTAATTAATTTAATTAAATTAAAAAATAAAAGCAGAATCCCCAGGGCCCAGCCCCATCGGTAGGAGATCCCTGAGCCACTGACCATCTTGAGCTTGGACAGGTGGGAGAGGATGATGTAGCCACGACAATGGTGCCGCAGGTAGAGCAAGTAGCAGGGCAGGGCGACCCACAGGTAGATGCAGGGCACCCAGGCCAGCAGGGAGTTCTGGAAGCAGGGAGTGAGGTCCGGGTTTTCTGTGTGCACAGACAGGTTGGAGTCCTGGGGACACAGAGAACAGTTTAGTGCTGTGGCAGCCCCACAGAGAATTGGGCTGCCTTGAGGAAGATGGCTTAGCTGGAGAGATGTTCCATCAGAGACAGGGGTGGAGTGGAAGACAGGTGAGGAGGAGAGAGTACACAAATGAGCAGTTGTCGTCCCAAGTGTGAATTCTCCAAGGACGCCATGGCTGCCCCCATTTCCTTATATTCTCTCTCTTTCTCTCTAATTGAGGCATAATTTAAGGGCAACAAAAACTGCACCCAATTAAAGTGTACAATCAGTGAGTTTTGACAGTTGTATACACCTGCAAAACTGCTCCCATGTTACCTTATGGTCCTCTGCAGTTCATCCCTCCCAGGCTCATTTTCTTTCTATCATTCTGGATTCCCACTCTTTTTTTTTTGTTTTTGTTTTTTTTTTTTTTTTTGAGACAGAGTCTCACTCTGTTGCCAGGCTGGAGTGCAGTGTTGCCATCTTGGCTCACTGCAACCTCTGCCTCCCGGGTTCAAGCGATTCTCCTGCCTCAGCCTCCTGAGTAGCTGGGACTACAGGCGCCCACCACCACGCCTGGCTAATTTTTGTATTTTTAGTAGAGACGGGGTTTCACCATGTTGGCCAGGATGGTCTCGATCTCTTGACCTCGTGATCTGCCCGCATCGGCCTCCGAAAGTGCTGGGATTACAGGCGTGACGGCTGCGCCTGGCCCTCACTCTTTTTTTTTTTTTTTTTTTTGAGATGGAGTCTCACTCTGTCGCCCAGGCTGGAGTGCAGTGGCGCAATCTCGGCTCACTGAAAACTCCGCCTCCCAGGTTCACGCCATTCTCCTGCCTCAGCCTCTGGAGTAGCTGGGACTACAGGTGCCCACCACTACGCCCGGCTAATTTTTTTTTTTTTGTATTTTTAATAGAGATGGAGTTTCACCTGTGTTAGCCAGGATGGTCTCGATCTCTTGACCTTACGACCTGCCCGCCTCGGCCTCCGAAAGTGCTGGGATTACAGGCGTGAGCCACTGCGCCTGGCCCTCTCTCTTCTTTAAAACTAATTTTTAATTTTATCAAAGTGATATATACACACAGTTTAAAAGACCACTTTCTCTTAAGGCCTTTCCCGGGTCAGGGATAGGGAGATTCCCTGAGCCTTAGCTGCCTCTCTTCTGAAATGGAGGTGACCATCCACCGGCCCACCTGTACCTCACTGGGTGGATTTGAGACTCACAGGAACCAAAGGATATGGAGAGTCTTTGCAAATTACACAGACTAGAGTGATCAACTCTCCTAGTATGGATGGGACTTCTCTGGTTTTAGCACTGAAAGTCTAGTGTCTTGGGAAGCTGCTTGGTCTTGGGCAAACCAGGATGGTTGGTTACTTTACTGGCTCTGACAAGACTGCCTCTTACCTTTGACTATAACTACACCTATGAACTTTTTTGGAAAGGGATGGGGGAATACATTCATTAATAAACACATGTTTTACTGAGATTGTTTCCTCCAAGGCCACTAATGTACTAATCTGTTTCTTATGTTCTTTGCAAAGCATTAGATGTTTTTTAGAGATGCACAGAAAATATCAACAACAAGAAAAACCACCCACAATCTCATCCACCTAGAGACATCTGTTACCTGAGGATATAACTATTTTCTAATTGCCAATTCAAATAATTATTATTTTTATTTTTATCAAAGTTATGCATGCTCATACATCTTTGAATTTTCTTTTTTCTGTTTCTTGGTTGATTTGGTTTGGTTTTGTCTTTCAAGCTGGAGGTGTTAAATTAGATTAAATTTGGCCTTAAGCTGCCTCCTTACATAGTGAACTGAAACCCAACTTAATATGTAAACAAACCTAACATGAGAGTTTCTTGTAACAAGTAGCTGAGTCTCAGCCAATCATTGCAACTGAGCTTTCAGCCAATCGCAGACTGCAAAGTGCTTAGACCTGTCCAGATAAAGCAAATGCCGAGTTCTAAATAGGCTATTTCTATGTGTCACTTTTTTTCTCTCTGTAAGTACTACTTGACCACATGGTTAGGTGGAGTTCTTTGAGCCTTTACTGGTTTAGGTTTTTTTTTTTTTTCTTTTGAGATGGCGTTTCACTCTTGTTGCCCAGGCTGGAGTGCAATGGTGTGATCTTGGCTCACTGCAACCTCTGCCTCCCAGGTTCAAGCCATTCTCCTGCCTCAGCCTCCTGAGTAGCTGGGATTACAGGTGTGTGCCTCCACGCCCAGCTAATTTTTTTGTATTTTTAGTAGAAATGGGGTTTCATCATATTAGCCAGGGTGGTCTTGAACTCCTGACCTCAGGTGATCTGCCTGCCTCAGCCTCCCAAAGTGCTGGGATTACAGGTGTGAGCCACCACGCCCAGCCGAGTCTTTACTAGTTTAGCATGCTGCTGAATTCATGAATTGCTTATTTTTTCAAATAAGCTCTGCTAAATTTGTCTAAAGCTTTTCCTTTTTCTTTTTCTTTTTCTTTTTTTTTTTTTTTTTTTGAGACAGTCTCGCTCTTGGCCCCCACGCTGGAGTGTAATGGCGTGATCTCGGTTCACTGCAACCACCACCTCCCAGCTTCAAGCAATTCTCCTGCCTTAGCCTCCTGAGTAGCTTGGACTACAGGCGCCCACCACCATGCCTGACTAATTTTTGTATTTTTAGTAGAGATGGGGTTTCACCATGTAGGCCAGGCTGGTCTTGAACTCCTGACCTCAGGTGATCCACCCACCTCGGCCTCCCAAAGTGCTGGGATAACAGGCGTGAGCCACCGTGCCCGGCCTAAAGCTTTTCTTTTAACAGATTGGTGTCAGAAGTGGGATCGGAAGTAGAACTCCAGTGACCCTCAGGAGCATTTAGTGACCAAGTAAGGGTACCTGACAGGGCACACTGTGCCAATTGTTCTCTTGTAGCAACTGGAGGTCATGGGTGAGTTCTATCTCAGATTCCAAGCTTCAGGAATTTGTGTTTTGTGTTCTCCAAGTTTATTTGAACAATTCTTAGACTGGGTCAAGTAGGACTGGGTCCAGGAGCAAATCAGATCTGATAATTAACTGAAATGGATCCAGTTAAAAGCCTCAGGCAGGTGCCTTTTGAAAGTGAGTTCCTCCAAATCTAAGGAGTCTGGGACTCCAGAGTCTGAGACGCCACTTTCTGGGACGGTGGCTAACTTCATGAACAACAATTATGAGGAACATGTGTATTTTTGGAAAAATGGGTTAACTTTGCTGAGGACAACTTAAGAGTTACAGTGGCCACAGTGGGAAAGTTTTGACCTAGATAAAACTGTTCACTTGCAAGGTGCATTAGAAAAGAAAGGTTCAAAAATGCCACAAAAGCAATGGGATGCATTCTTTAATTGATACACAGAGGCATCTAAAAGATTAAATGAATAAAAAATTGCCTCTTTATAATAGGTTCCTTACAGAAATCAAACAAAAAAATCTTAAAAGCTCCTTCACGAATCTTATTCAAAAGCTTTAGTCATCTGGGCAAGAAATCTTGTTCCATTGGCCAGAAGAACAATTTGGATCCAGATAGTCTTTAATAAATTCAGGAGTTTTATATTACTGTACCTGGAACATGGCTAAGATATTTAAATGAAAGCTGTAAGATCTGTTGCTGTTTATGTTTATATAAGTCTGTATGTATGATACAGGTATCATAGTTTCTTATCTCCTTTTAATGCTCCAAAATTAAATTATGAAAGAGCTCTATTTTGTTGGCTTTAAGAAAAATAAGTGCTTGTATAAATGAAGTATTCTCTCAGAAAATTAAGAACTACCTCAAATACTTTTGCAGCTCATCTGACTTGGGTAATCTTTGGCAAATAAGAATATTGTTGGTTTGACTGAAACAGACATGTTTTCATAGTTTTGGGGATTAAATATCATAAAGATGCATGATTTCCTATCTAGGTTTACTGGTAAAACAAGCTTATGTTGTCTTTATATTATAAAATTTGTCAGCAAGAAAAACAAAATGATGACTAGTTGTTTATTATCTCATCTTTATAGGCAATCCAAGCATAAGTGTTGAAAATAAGTGAGTTAAATGAATGTAAGATAAAATTCCCATGTAAAAGATGTCCTTCCTATACCAGAAGGTTTTATTATTACTTTTTTGAAATAGGGTCTCTATCGCCTACTCTGGAGTGCAAGTGGCAAGATCTCGGCTCACTGCAACCTCTGCCTCCTGGGCTCAAGCAATCCTCCCGCCTCAGCCCCGCCAAAGTATCTGGGACTACAGACACAAGCTACCACATCCAGCTAATTTTTGTATTTTTTGTAGAGATGGGGTTTCACCATGTTGCCCAGGCTGGTCTCGAAATCCTGAGGTCAAGTGTTCCACCTGCCTCAGCCTCCCAAAGTGCTAGGATTACAGGCGTGAGCCACCACGCTCAGCCACCAGAAGGTTTTAACACTCTTAGCATCAAGAATAGAAAGTTGAGGAGGAGGGAAATCTGTACAAACAACAATTTAGTTTTCAGGCCTCACAAAACAAACAAACAAAAAACCTAAAGGGATACAAATGAAATTTTGCCTCCTTTACAGTTTATTTTTACAGAGAGACTTAAAGACATTTTGGACCATTGAGAAACATGTTCTGTGCCACACTGACAAATTGTACTATGAGAAAGCTCATGCTTCTAGACATTATGGTTCATAGATTTACCAATCTACAGCTGGTGTGACACACAATTCACAAATGCTTACTTTCTAATGTCCATGGAAATTAAGGTCACTAAGGGTTAAGAATTCTTTTTTTTTTTTTTTTTTTCTGAGATGGAGTCTCGCGCTGTCACCCAGGCTGGAGTGCAGTGGCTCAATCTTGACTCACTGCAACCTCCACCTCCTGGGTTCAGGTAATTCTCCTGCCTGAGCCTCCCCAGTAGCTGGGATTACAGGTGCCCGCCACCACGCCCAGCCAATTTTTGTATTTTTAATAGAGACAGGGTTTCAGCATGTCAGCCAGGCCGGTCTTGAACTTCTGCCCTCAAGTGATCTGCCTACCTCGGACTCCAAAGTGCTGGGATTACAGGCATGAGCCACTGTACCTGGCCGGGGTTAAGAATTCTAATTAATATATGTAGCTACAATTACTAGAAACAATAAGGGGGAAAATCTATATGAAAATATACAAGGAAGGTAAGAAAAAGGAATATATGAAAAAGAAATATACAAAGGAAGCTAAGGAAAAGCTATAAGACGTGAGGATGTTTTGTTTTGATAACGGAAAAAGAGAATAAATTTTGTCCTAAAGTGAAATGACTGATTTTTCGAAAATGAGAAGAGGAAAGTATAGGACAAAAAGTGAATGGATATAAGAGTTGTAGGAGGTTTGTGGAAGATGAATCTTGTGAAAGAAATTTTATGGGTGATCAAGCTGGTTAAGATTAGGAGGTAATTATTTACAAGTTTTTTAAGAATAAAAGTTAGCGACCGGGTGCAGTGGCTCACGCCTGTAATCCCAGGACTTTGGGAGGCAGAGGCGGGTGGATCACTTGAGGTCAGGAGTTCGAGCCCAGCCTGGCCAACATGGTGAAACCCCATCTCTACTAAAAATACAAAAAATAAGCCGGGTGTGGTGGCAGGCGCCTGTAATCCCAGCTACTTGAGAGGCTGAGGCAGGAGAATCACTTGAACCCGGGAGGCGGAGGTTGCAGTAAGCAGAGATTGCACCATTGCACTCCAGCCTGGGCGATAAGAGCTAGCATTAATATCAAAATTACACTGATGCAAAACTAGAATTTGGTTCTCTCCATTAAAACAACATGGTGTTCTTAGATTATTGGTCTGATCATAATAGGAAATTGTAAAATGTTTTTCTTTCTCTTTAGGTAGTTGGCCTAGAAAACAAAGATTCTGTGTTCTACCCAGATAATTTCCTGTGCTTCATGCTGTCTTTGTTAGGTTTTTGATCACTTAAGAAAACTGAGAACTCGCTATTAAAACAGCTAAGCTTTTTCTACAACTATGTAACTTTTTGTATATGCCTCCGAAGTCATTTAATGAACGGCTATTGTTCACAGTGACCTGTGATCCTATTAAAAAAATTTATTTTATGTGTTGCCTATTTCCTTCCTTCCTTCCTTTCTCTCTCTCTCTTTCTTCCTTCCTTCCTTCCTTCTTTCTTTCCCTTCTTCCCTCCCTCCTTCCCTTCCCTCCCTCCCTTCCTTCTTTCCTTCCTTCCTTTCTCCTTTCCTCCCTTCCCCTCCCCACCCCTCATCTCTCTCCTCTCTCTCCTCTCCTCTCCTTCTTTTTTTGACAAAGTCTCACTCTGTCACCCAGGTATAAAGCTGACTCCATACATAGTGGACTGTAGCATAATTCAATATGTAAACAAACTGCAACGTAACTTGAGAGTATATTCTTACAATAAGCAGCCAAGTCTCAGCCAAATATAGCAGAATTTTCAGCCAATCACAAGCTGCCAGATCATCAGAACATGTCCACATAAGGCAAACACCTCATTGCACCATGCCCAAATAAGGCAAATACTGATCTGTCGCCAATCAAGCTGTTTCTATACATCAATTCCTTTCTCTGTCCATTAATACTGCCTGCCCATACTGCTGGGTGGTAAAACTCTGTGAACCTCTACTGGTTCAGGATGCTGGCTGATTCATGAATTGTTCTTTGCTCAGATAAACTCTGCTAAATTTAATTTGTCTAAAGTTTTTATTTTAACAGAATTTTTCCTCAAATGTGTGGTGACTTTTTTTTTTTTTTTTTGAGATGGAGTCTCCCTCTGTCGCCCAGGCTGGAGTGTGGTAGTACGATCTCAGCTCACTGCAACCTCTGCCTCTGAGGTTCAAGAAATTCTCCTGCCTCAGCCTCCCGAGTAGCTGGGATTACAGGCACGTGTCACAATGCCCAGCTAATTTTTGTATTTTTAGTAGAGGGGTTTTGCCATGTTGGCCAGGCTGGTCTCGAACTCCTGACTTCAAGTGATCCGCCTGCCTCGGCCTCCCAAAGTGCTGGGATTACAGGCGTGAGTCACTGCACCCGACCTGTGGTGATTCTTGCGGCTTGGCTGTCTCAATATTTTGGAGTAAGACACTAAAGAGTTGGCTGCTCTGTGTGTTGGGGGCAGGTGGATTTGGGACTGGATCTGGGACTCCTCAGGGCAATCTGTGAACAATGATGAGTGAGAGTACCAAGGACCAAGGACCAAGAAACAGCTACTGAAGACAGAGTACCGAGGACCAAGCTTATTGGCTGTTGGGCTTCACTGCAGAGTGATCAAGTAGGAACCTGGTCCTTTAGGGAAGACTCCCCCAACAACTGGAAGAATCTGGAGGTCTTTTCTCTGGGACCAATTTAGGAGTGAGGGCTGAGGGTTCTATCCTTCAGTATGCAGACTTTTACTTAATTCCACAGAATAAACTGCTGGTCTTCTGTGAGGTGGCTGGAATTTGCCTGGCTTTGAGAGGAGATGGATAAGTATCTTGGGTGTTTCATCTCTCCTTATGCATTCTCCTAGCAGCCGCTGCTTTCAGCCCTGCTCTTCCCCTTGCCTCCTTCAGCCCTCCAATCCCCGAGCTTTTACAGACTCCAAATGGCCTTTGGTTTCAGTTGTTCTCTGCTGTGTCAGTGATCACTCCTCAACCTGTTTCTCACTTTCCAAAAAGGTGTTAATATCTTGTCTGCTGTTGTCTCCTCTTCTCTTTGTCCTTGTAGGTTTACATTCTTTATTCCTTACTGTCACTTTGATGGAAAATCAGGAAGGACTGGAGATAAAGTCTTGTGTTCAATCCACCCTATAGAACCAGAAGTCCTTCCAACTACAATTTTTTTTTTTCTTTTGGGCAGAGTCTTGCTCTGTCTCCCAGGCTGGTGTGCAGTGGTGTGATCTCAGCTCACAGCAACCTCCGCCTCTGGGATTCAGGTGATTCTCCTGCCTCAGCCTCCCGAGTAGCTGGGATTACAGGCTTCCACCACCACGCCCGGCCAATTTTTGTATTTTTAGTACAGACGGGGTTTTGCCATGTTGACCAGGCTGGTTCTCAAACTCTTGACCTCAGGTCATCCACCCGCCTTGGCCTCCCAAAGTGCTGGGATTACAGGTGTGAGACACCATGCCCAGCCTCCAAGGGCGAATTAAATAGACCCGTTTCAGACTTTATGCAGGACCTCCCTGCAACAGTGTGGGCTTCCCCCATCTCTTGGAAACTACTCTTTCCTGGTCTCCTGGTTTCTTGGCAAGCATTCCTTGCTGTCTCCTTATCTTCCTTCCAGTTCACCCTGTGGACATGGGCCCTAGCTCCCAAGTTCAGACCTTGGTCCTTGGTGCTCTCTCTCATCATTGTTCACAGATTGTCCTGAGGAGTCCCAAATCCAGATCAACAGCTCAAATCACCTCCTGAGCCTCAGCGCCTACTTCCTGCTGCCTCTCAGATGGCGTCACCATCTGTCTGCAGCCACCTCATATTCAATACCTCTCAAAGTAAGATCCTTCACTCCCTGCCAGAACCAGCCCTTCCTTTGGCCTTGCCTGCCTCTGCCAAGGGCATCACCATTCTGCCAGCTACCCTGACACCTGTAGGGACATAGGTCCTATTGATTCTTGATGGAAGCATAGTAGCTGGACAAAGAGGTGTTTGAGACTTGGCAGGGAAAGGTTAAGCACCTTGGCCAAGGTCACACAGCTTAAAAGAACTCACACTTGGCCGGGCACAATGGCTTACACCTGTAATCCCAGCTCTTTGGGAGGCTGAGGTGGGAAGATCACGAGGTCAGGAGTTCGAGACCAGCCTGACCAACATGGTGAAATCCCGTCTCTACTAAAAATACAAAAATTAGCTGGGCGTGGTGGCAGGCACCTGTAATCCCAGCTACTCGGGAGGCTGAGGCAGGTGAACTGTTTGAACCCGGGAGGCGGAGGTTGCAGTGAGCTGAGATTGTGCCACTGCACTCCAGCCTGGTGACAGAGGGAGACTCCGTCTCAAAAAAATAAAAAATAAAAAGAAGAAGTCACACTTAAGCTGTGTGATCTTGACCCAGGTTCTTAACCTCTCCCCTCTCTGGGCCTTGGTTTCTTTAAGGGTAACATTGGGATGATAATATCTCTTACCTGGTTCCTCCCACCTGGCCCCTTGGCCAGACCCTCATCTCTTCATGAGCAATTGCCATAGACTTCTGGTCTCTTCCCTTCAGATTCCCTGGGGTCCCAGATCCTGCATGGTTTTCCCCTTCCTTTCTGGCCATGCCATCACAGTCTCTTTGCTGATTCCCCTGCCTGGTGCAAGAGGGTCCTGGAGCTCAGTCCTTTCCTCTTCTCTGCCTCCTTCCTATCTGCACTCAACCTCTTGGCAATCCCATGCAGTCTCATATGATGATATGATGTACCATCTATATGCCAATGACTTTCAAGTCTATCTCTCCAGCTCATTGCTCCCCAAATCTCCAGCTCCATATCTAACTGCTGACTTGACATCTTCACTCCATACACCCTACAATAGCCTGCATAGACCTGCACAATGTCCCTTCCCCCAACCCATGACCCTCTCCCCGCCTTTCCTGCTTCACTCCAGCCACTGGCCTCCTTGCTGTTTCTAAATGCACTTGCTGCTCCTGTCTCAGGGCCTTTGCACTTGCTCTTCTCTCTTCCTGGAACACTCCTCCCCCAGACATCCTGAAGTCTTTCTTTCTCAATGAAGCCTACCCTGACCATCCTGTTTAATACTGCCACCTGTGTCCCACCCCTGTATTCCCAATTCTCCCACCCTTCTCCGCTTTTTCTTTTCTCTATAACACCTATCACCTTTTGACATGATATATAATTTACTGATTTATTATATTTTCTCTCATCTTTTCCTTTACTTGCTGACATGTAAGCTCTTTGAAGGGAAGAACCTTTATTTTATTTATCTATGTATCCTAAGTACTTAGAATGGTGCCTAGCACATAGTAGGTGCTCAGAAAAAAGATTTGCTTAAATAAATCAAATATTTATTGAAGACCAGGGACATTGCCCAGTGCTTTGAGAGGCCAAGGCAGGAGCATCACTTGAGGCCAGGAGTTTGAGACCAGCCTGGGCAACATAGCAAGACGCTGTCTCTACAAAAATGTAAAACATTAGCCTGGTCTGGTGACAGGCACCTGTAGTCCCAGTTACATGGAGGCTAAGGCGGGAGGATCTCTTGAGCCCGGGAGTTTGTTGCTGCAGTGAGCCATGATTATGCCACTCCACTCTAGCCTGAGCAACAGAGCAAGACCTGGACTCTTAAAAAAAAAATACACACACACACATACACGTTTATTGAATAAATGAATGAAAGAATAATAGTATACCATCCCTTTAAACTTTCAGTAGCTCCCTACTGCCTAGAAGGCAAAGTTCAAACATTTTACTATGGCATTCAAAGCCCACAGCTGGCCTTGAACTATCTGGCTATGTGAACTGTTGAATAATCTATATGCTTGAGTTCTGAGTTCTCCCATCTTTTTTTTTTTTTTTTTTTTTTTTTTTTGATGGAATCTTGCTCTGTCGCCCAGGCTGGAGGGCAGTGGCACAATCTTGGCTTACTGCAACCTCTGCCTCCCGTGTTCAAGTGATTCTCGTGCCTCAGCCTTCTGAGTAGCTGGGATTACGGGCGTGCACCACCACGGCTGGTTAATTTCTTTCTTTTTTTTTTTTTTTTAAGGCCAAGTCTCGCTCTGTCACCCAGGCTGGAGTGCAGTGGTGCGACCTTGGCTCACTGCAACCTCTGCCTCCAGGGTTCAAGCGATTCTCCCACCTCAGCCTCCTGGGTAGCTGGAATTACAGGCACATGCCACTACGCCAGGCTAATTTTTGTTTTCTGTTTTTTTGTTTGCTTGTTTTTGAGACGGAGTCTCGCTCTGTCGCCCAGGCTGGAGTGCAGTGGCGTGATCTCGGCTCACTGCAAGCTCCGCCTCCCGGGTTCACGCCATTCTCCTGCCTCAGCCTCCTGATTGGCTGAGACTACAGGCGCCCGCCACCATGCCCGTCTAATTTTTTGTATTTTTAGTAGAGACGGGGTTTTACCGTGTTAGCGAGGATGGTCTCGATCTCCTGACCTTGTGATCTGCCCACCTCGGCCTCCCAAAGTGCTGGGATTACAGGCATGAGCCACTGCACCCGGCCTTGGTTTTTGTTTTGTTTTGGTTTTGAGACGGAGTCTCACTCTGTCACCTCGGCTGGAGTGCAGTGGCACGATCTCAGCTCTCTGCAACCTGTGCCTCCAGGGTTCAAGTGATTCTCCTGTCTCAGCCTCCCAAGTAGCTAGGACCACAGGTGCACACCACCACACCCAGCTAAATTTTGTATTATTAGTAGAGATGGGGTTTCACCATGTTGGCCAGGCTGGTCTGGAACTCCTGACCTCAAGTGATCTGCCAGCCTCAGCCTCCCAAAGTGCTGGGATTACAGGGGTGAGCCACCATGCCTGGCCAAGTTCTAGCATCTTAAGAAAACAACTCATGGAAGGGGAGTGATCTGCACTCCCTGCTTCCTTTCCCCAACCTCCCCAGCCTGCCTTCCCTTCTTCCTTTTTTTTTTTTTTTTTTTTTTGAGACGGAGTCTGGCTCTGTCACCCAGGCTGGAGTGCAGTGGTGTGACCTTGGCTCACTGCAACCTCCACCTCCCGGGTTCAAATGATTCTCCTGCCTCAGCCTCCTGAGTAGCTGGGATTACAGATGCCCGCCACCACGCCCAGCTAATTTTTGTATTTTTAGTAGAGACGGGGTTTCACCGTGTTGGTCAGGCTGGTCTCGAACTCCTGACCTTGTGATCCGCCCGCCTCAGCCTCCCAAAGTGCCAGGATTTCAGGCGTGAGCCACTGTGCCTGGCCTGCCTTCCCTTCTTAATCCCATCTGGGGCAGCCCTCTGCCCTCCAGTGCCCCTGCCCACCTGCGAGATGGCTCTTCCCAAAATACAGCTTTGTGCCTCTTGCCTCATGCCCACAAACCTGCAGTGACTCCTGCTGCTCATGAAGCCACATCCTAGCACCCAACCTGGTCCTCAAGACCCCCCCCATGGCATCTCCTCCCACCTCCTTTCCCATTGCTCCCTTCCCCCACAGCCAACTCACTTCATCCTAAATCTGCTCTGAGATTCTTGCTCCTACCCCCTTGCTCAACCTAGTCCCTCTTTTTACCACTTGTCAAAATCCTAACCTAACCACTCCAGGGAGGGGTGACAGGCCTGGCTGAAAACCCACCTTCTTCATCTTGAGCACCCTTCCTCCTAGAGAGATCCCCTTCCCTGGAGCGTCACTCTTGGCCTTGACAATGTTTGGTGAGGGCCTTGGTGAGTCAGGCAGTGGGCTGGGTTCTGCAGATACAGTGGCACGTTGGGCAGGCCTATCCCTGCTCTGTGAAGCATGCAGTCAGGGACATGCTGCCTGGGGGCATTTCATTGAAGGCCCAGGTGGGCAGAAGTTGTACCATGTACATCTTGTCCTATTCAGTATTCAGTATTCAGTAGTCCTATTCAGTATTCAGTAGTTGCTCAAACAATGTGAGCCAAGGACCCACATACTCTTGCTGAGTCTCTGACATGCTGGCCCAGGCCTGGACACTGGGTCACAGGACACACCTCTAGGCCTGATCAGGTACTCCAGTTAGTTGCCATCCAGATAGCCTGTCCCAAAGCTGCCCTGAACCCAGATCTTCAGGTCTCTGGGCCGGAGTGTACATCCCATTTCTCTGGGCCCAGCCAGAGCCTCATCTACATGGGGCCTCTCTGGGGCACCCCAGCCTCTGACCTTTCCTTGCTTTTCCCTGGCAGCCAGTTAAGTGAGGAAAATAAAGGCCCCTAATGTTTCTCCCGCATTTTATTACTGCACTTACCTAGTTGTTATCTGGATGTTGTCTCAGAACAACTTCCAGGGGTATATAGGAGGGGCACTGTTAGGCCCAGTGTACAAAAGAGAAACTACACCCACTTTGGCAACAGGTTCAAGGACACCCAGCAGTGTGTGGCCGGGACAGGCACCCAGGCTTTGTGATGCCACACGGGGCCATTGACTCACAAGGGAGTGTGCATGTTGAGGACAGGAGCCCAGGCGTGGGGACATGGTGGGAATCGCTGTGTGCACTTGCAGGCCGGTGGCATGGCTCTGTAAGGCGGGTGGGGAGTGGCCACAGGAAGAACCCAACCCCGATGCGGAGAATCCAGGATGGCTTCTGCCACTTTTGAGCCATGCAACTGTTGGTGAGCCCCTTCGTGCCCTTGAACCTCAGTCTCCACCTGTGAGTAATGGGAGTGATGACAGCATCTGGTCACCTCCCCACAGCGGGGAGAAGGTGAGGGAGAATGAACAGCAAAGCACTTCGATGGCAACGGGACAACACTCAGGGAAGCGGGTGATGGAGCCTCCAGCTGTCAGGCCCGTGTTTTGGTTTCGCAGACACCTGCTCTGTGGCAACAACCAGGGGACTTTGGGGCTGTGAGAACTGGGTGGCTGCTTTGACCCTCAAGGGCATTCAGCCTGGGCTCCTTTCCTTGAGATAAGCATGTCCCACCTGGGCAGGGCCCTCCCTAGGAGGCAGGGGGTACCCGCCCACACAGGCCCTCACCCCTAACTCCCTATTTGGTTCACTCCAGACCCTGAGCTAGGACATCAACTATGGGACACGTCATACAAAACACGTCCAGAACTGAGCTCTTGGCCGTCCCTGCCTTTCTAGCCTGCCTGGCCCGGGGATGGCAGTTCCTTCCTCCTGTCTCTCTTCCCAGACCAGAGTCCTTGGAGTTGCCCCTGATTCTTCTCTTTCTCTCACATCCCACATCCGGTCTCTCAGCAAACCCTGTCCATTCTACCTTCAAATTACAGGTTGAACGGCATGACAGTGCCACATTCAACTGTTCTTTTTTTTTTTTTTTCCCCACTGTAATCTTGACCTCTTGGGCTCAAGCGATCCTCCTGCCTCAGCCTCCTGAGTAGCTGGGACTACAGGCATGTGCCACCACGCCCAGCTAATTTTTTAATTTTTTTGTAGAGATGGGGTCCCACTATGTGGCCCAGACTGGTCTCGAACTTCTGGGCTCAAGTGATCCTCCTGCTTCGGCCTCCCAAAGTGCTGGGATTACAGGCATGAGCCACTGCACCTGGCCTTTATGATTCTTGTTTTACTGCCTCTTCCCACTAGAGTATATGCTCCACGAAGACAGATTCTTTAGCTCTGTATTCTGCAGTTGATGGTATTTCCTGTTGCTTAGAGCAGGGCCTGGCACAGAGAAGGTACTCAATAACCATCTATTGAACAAAAGAATGAATAAACAAATGAATAGATAAATGGAGGGTGCCAACTCCAGCCGCAGCCTCTGCAGCTTCATGCCCAGGAACACAGTGTTCTCTCCCTGGTACCAAGGCCACAGTTCTTGGCACCCAGAAGGGTCTCCAACTCAGTTATGTGTAAAATGAAGGTGAGGACAGGGCCAGTGAAGGTTATTCCCTGGACCCTGTAACACTCCCTGAATCCCTGCAGGGCAGGATGACGATCCCTACTCAAGGCTCTCCTCTCATTCCCGCTCTGAAGAGCACTGCTGGGAGGTGAGAGCTGAGCCCACAGCCCCCTCCCCCACCATCACCCACACAGTTTCCACAGCAACAACAGCTTCCTTAATAATGCGATTAAACAGCTGGATGGGGCTGATAAGGGGTAAGGTCCCACATCCAGAATGGACCACGTGGCAGAGGCCCCCTCATGGCAGACTTCATGGTCACTGAAGCTGAAATCACTGCAGACTCATACAGGCGATGGGGGCGGGGGGTGAGGACCCCGGAGCCCTCTGCCCCAGCTTTGCCAGGGACTTCCCAAGCCCTGGGGGCCCCAGGCCTGTTGACAGTCTCTGTCATGAGAAGAGTCATTACTTCCCTATTCCTGTGTGGTACTGGAGAAGGAAGCCACCACTGCAGGGCAGCTCCTGAAGTCCCAGATAGGGAAGGGATGAACAGACAAGACCATTGACTCAGCAGCAATGAAGGCGTGGAGAGAGCAAGGACACGTGCTGATCCCCACTCACCCTCCCTCAGCCTTTGGAAGGCCTGGGGGCAGGGGTCAAAAACTGGCTGTGCTGTAATCCCAGCACTTTGGGAGGCCGAGGAGGGTGGGTCCCCTGAGGTCAGGAGTCTGCGACCAGCCTGGCCAACATGACGAAACGCTGTCTCTACTAAAAATATTTAAAAAAATTATCTAGGCATGGTGGCGCATGCCTGTAATCCCAGCTACTCAGGAGGCTGAGGCAGGATAATTGTTTGAACCTGGGAGGCGGAGGTTGCAGTGAGCTGAGATCACGCCACTGCACTCCAGCCAGGGTGGCAGAGCGAGACTCCTTCTCAAAAACACAACACAACACAACAAACAAACAAACAAAAACTGGTTGTGCTGCGCCTGCTGGCCCCTTGCAGGGATGGCTCACGGGCTCAACTGGCCAATGTGCTTCTGGAAGGGGCTTTGGTTCACTGAGCTCCTGCTGTGGGCCAGGATGATCATTTCACGCTCATGACAGCTGACACCCAGGGCTGATGCTGGGATTAGACCCAGAGAGTTTTGTTCCAGGGCCCAGCTCCTTCCCACAGGATTAGTGTTTCCTGTACACCTGGTAGGACTCCGGCATGATGTCCCACCCTGGGGATAGAGCACTTGCACCCAGATCACCTTTCAGCCATGCAGCCCATTCTCATATCACCTGCTTTTTGCAATTATTCTCACAGAGCTGAGGGAGCAGAGCGGCTAACACCTGGGTAGTGGCCTAGCTGGGGTTCTGGGAGCCCCTGACTAGAAACCTGAATATCCAGTTAGGAGAAATCTGGCTGAATGCGGTGGCTCACGCCTGTAATCCCAGCACTTTAGGAGGCTGAGGTGGGCAGATGACTTGAGGTCAGGAATTTGAGACCAGCCTGGCCATCATGGTGAAACCCCGTCTCTACTAAAAATACAAAAATTAGCCGGGCATGGTGGTGTGCACCTGTAATCCCAGCTACTTGGGAGGCTGAGGCAGGAGGATTGCTTGAACCTGGGAGGTGGAGGTTGCAGTGAGTTGAGATTGTGCTACTGCACTTCAGCCTGGGCGACAGAGCAAGACTCTGTCACAAAAAAAAAAAAAAGGAGAAATCCAAAATCCAAGCCTAGAGTTAGGCTCTCATTCACTATCCCACCCTGCCCCCTGCCAGCCCCAACCACTGCACCGCAGTACCAGAAACAGAAACAACTTCAGTTCGGGAAGGGGAGGGGCCCAGCCACCCCAGCAATGGCATACCAGGTCTCATTTCACCCCCAACTCCCCAGGGATCCTGCCCCAATGGAGAGGACTGAATACAGTCCGGGTGCTCTGGCCCTACTCCGGGGTGGCTCAGCTGGTCATCCCTGCCAAGTCCTTCCTCCCTGGAAGCCTGCCCAGTGTTTCAAGACCATTTCCCTGTCTGGGGACTACAGGCGGGCTTGGCAAAGCTCCCTCCTGAATGCCACTTCCCTGACTCACTTCCTTCCCCGTATCTCTCTGGCCCTCAGGGACCTAAGGCCCAGGTGAAGTGGGGGAACAGCAGGATTGAGGAGAAGCCAGCCTGAGGCCACAAGCAATGAAATGCCGTAGCCAGAAGCCAAGAGCTCAGAGGTCAAAGCCATCCAGCACTGGGTTTGCTTGCAGCAGCTGAGATGGAGGAAAGGAGCCCCGGGAGCTCTGGCCTTGCAGGGAGGACTGGGTTCCTGAGGGGAGGGTGAGCTATGGTGTCTGCTAAGCGGAGGAGTGTCTACCTCCCACTCAGCTTCCCCATGGATGTGCAGGACACTGTCTTCATTTGTGAGTCAAAATACATTGGCATAGGAGCCTTGCCCATTACTCATACATTTTTGTGGCTGCCTACTAAGAAGGCAGAGGAGACCCTGATACCCAGGAGCTCTAAGCTTTGAAGGGCCCTAATCATGCATAGCCTTCGCCCCCAAGCCCAAGGCTCATCCTTCCAAAATTGGGCAACTCCAGACCTGAAGCAGGCCCCAGAGCCCACCTCAGCCCTGCTGGAGCCCAGAGAAGGTGAGTCATTTGCCCAAAGTCACACAGCTGGTGAATAGCAGAATTGGGGCTAGCTAAAACAGAGCAGGAGACACAGGGAGCTGAGCCTCCAAGGGACCAGGGATCTGCCCCTCCCTAGGATGGGTAAACAGCTAAGGGAACAATGAGGTCACCTTTCCCATGTGGGCCTAACCAAGGGGAGACCCAGAGGCCTCTACCAAGAGCTGCTTCTAGGCAAATTCCGTATGTAGAGCAGGGAGAGAGCCAGGGAAGGAGGAGTCCAGAAATCTCAGAGGAGGAACTAATGAATCCCCACTGGCCGCATCTTCCCTCTACCCAGTCACAGAATCTCAGGACCCCACCTTCTTTCCTGGCTTGAATCCTCTCTCCAGCATCTCCGCCAAGCAGTCACTAACCATGTCCTTACATACCCCCCAGTGACAGGGAGCTCACTACTTCTCAGGCGGTCCTTGCCATCTTTGGATGGCTTTCATGGTCAGGATCTTCAGATTTCTAAGCTTCCTGGGGCTGTCAGATCAAGGCTAATTCTGCCAACAGGTGTTTATCTGGCGGGGGGTAAATACCTCCAGGCCCTTCCTCCACATACTCCCTTCACCACCCAGGTGCTCCCAACCTCTGTGGTTCAGAACAGAGAGGAATCCTGCAGGCAGAGGATCCCACCTCCTCCCTTGTTCTGAGGCACCTCTGGCCTCCTGAGTAGTGAGGTGGTTTAATTACACAGTTCACTCTTTTGGAATTTATTTCCACAAAAACTCCCAAGGCACATTCAGGGAAGTTGGTAACCTGCTTCAAAGTCGATATGGGTGAGAGAGAGAAGGATTCACACAAATCATTCACCTGGCAGGTGGTGTGTGAGTACACAGATGTGTGTACACATGTCCCAAGGGGCATGGTCCTCTCCAGTCTCCTACCCTCAGACTGAGCCAGGAACAGCTCCCAGCTCCCCAGCAAACAGCTGAAATGGGAGCCACTGGCCCGACAGCCCTACCAGCTCTTTCCCTGCAGGTCTTCCCACGTCTGACATTTTCTTCTAACCCCATTTTTCTTTCTCCTCCCTCTTCCGGGGAATGTCAGAACTTGCCACCCATAGAAAACTTCTTAGTTCTTAAAATCATTCCACATTCCCTGTCTCATTTGATCAGAAAAATCTTGTGAGGTGGGTAGGGGTTGGGTTATTTCCCATTCCACTGGTGGAGAAACTGAAGCTATAAGGATGAGCTACTGAGCATCTTGGTAGATTAAATGAGCGGCCCAGAGGGGCCTGAACACCCCACCCCCTCCTTGCATTTTCACTCCTAGTTCAGGTACTTCCGGGCTGCCCTGAACCACTTCCCACAAAGTGGGTCACCCACAGGCCCCTAAGGTAAAGGTTCAGGGGGAGTTGTGCCTTAATAATACACCATGCAAATGAGATGCAACACAGCACATCACAAATGAACAGCCCAGAACTCCAGGCCTTTTTTGTAATTAGGCTGTGGCAGAGGATCCAGCTTCCAGTGTAGACTCTCTCTCCTTTCAGCTGTACAAACCCTGTCATTCCCTCAGAGGATGAGCTGGGAGCCTCCTTTCTCTCTCCACGCTCCTTCCCCAGTCACCAGCCACACTGGGTGCAGCCTGGAACAGCTTTCAGGAGCCAGAAGAGAATGTGAAAGATGTTTAGAGATTGGGGTGGGAAGGGGGGTGGTCAGTTTGCCATTTAAGGTATCCAAGCAGAGATCTCACGAGGGCTTCATAATGTAGATGAGCTGACTCCCACTGAGCCTGCATCCTCAGAGGAGGTGTGTATAGCTCACGAGCATCAAGGAGAAGTGCGCGGGCCAGAGGGCCCAGAGGCTCAAAGGCTCACAGCCAGGCAATGGCAACCCTGTAACCACAGCCCCGGGGTCCGGTTTCCCAGCCCAGCACTCTGTCTTTGATTGTCCTGTGACCTTCACTCCCTTGGCCTCAGTTTCCCCAGCTCTACACTGAGGGGTTGGACTCGCTGCTTCAAACTCCCAAGCTCCCACTTTCTTGGATTCCACAATCCCATGTTAAGGTAGAGCCAGAGGATGTCTGAACATGGGACAAAAAGGGAGTCCTGAATTTCCCAACTCTGGGGTCCAGGAGACCTGTCTCTGTAGAGTCCTAAGCTCTCAGGGTTCAGGAGGCTACCCAGGAACAATGAGCCCTTGTGCCTGAAGCTTGGGCACAACTACCCTCTTGATTTTCTGTTTGGCATCCCAGGCACCACAAACCTGCCACGGTCATACCAGCCTGGCCCAAAGGGCAGTGAAAGGAAGTGTGCTCATGAGGCAAAGGCACAACCTCTGGACCCTGGTGGCAAGTGGCCTGTCCATGCTGAATAATACATGAAGTTCCTGTGGGACTGGGAAAGAAGGGCAGTGGCAGAGAAGTTGCACCATCTCGGATTAACCTTTGGGTCACCCACAGAAAAAGAGAGAATCCCAAATATGCCTTTTTACAGTTTTTTTTTTTACCTCCATTGCCCCAAGTTTCAAAAAATCCATATAACGCCTTCAGCCCATTCTAAACACAGCCCAAGAGCATAGCTCCAGACTTATACACCTGTGCACACACGTGCACAGCACGAACTCTTGGGTAACACCCCACGTGCCTGCGTGTGTGCGTACACACACAAAGGGCATATATGTACAAATACTCAAAATAGGAAAAGACTTAGAGATTGGGATTCACAAGCCCTGGACACCCCTTTAATGACCACAGAGAAGCACCTTTAATCTGAGCTCCCTCTGTAAAACGGAGACCACATGATCACTTGCCTCATAGAGGCAAGTAAGTTTTGCAAGTTGGTAAGAAAGCTCCTAGGCTGTATGCACTTAGCTCACCTGAACTGTGCTGGAGGCTGGAGTCAGCAGGCTGAAGAGCAGCCTGTCTTAGAAAGAGATTTGGAGTGAGAGTCACCAAAGGCTTGATTTTCTTTTCTTATTTATTTATTTTTTTAGAGACAGGGTCTCACTCTTTCGCCCAGGCCACAGTGCAGTGGTGCGATCATAGCTCACAGTAATCTAAAACTCCTGGGCTGAAGTGATCCTCCCACCTCTGCCTCCCAAAGGGTGGGATTACAGGCGTGAACCACTGCACCTGGCCTGTAGCCTGTTTTTCTATCCCAGCTCTGCCTTCATTGAACTGGGTAACTTTGGGCAAGTCCCTTCCTCTCTCTGGGCCTCCCTTTCTCCATCTGTGAGAAGGGAGTTGGACTACAGGAATCCTGACACCCTGCACCTGTCTCCAGACTGGGGTCTGCTTCTCCCTTCTGAGTCCGGAGTGGTGGGGATGGCCTGCTCTCAGACCTCAGTCTTACCTAGAGAAAAGAAGGTGGCAGGAAACCTTCCTAAGAAGGGTGGGACACTGCACAGCCGGCCTCCCAAAACACCTGGTTGAGCAGGTGCTCTGGATGCCCTGGGGGCAATCCATGCCCAGGTGGGCAACCGAGTCCTAACCTGAGGCAGATGCTGAGGGAAGACCCTCCATCAGGAACCCGCGGCTGATTGCGAAACGCCCCTTCCGCACCCGACGGAGGGGCTGGGATGGAGCCGACTCACCCAGCCACGCACTGTGCCTTTGCGCCCCAGCCGCGCACTCTTCCTCACTTTCCCGGGCTCCCCAGTGCTGCAGCCGGGAAGGGCAGAGCAGGGCAGGTCCCCGACACCGCGTGGGACCCGGCTCCGGGCGGCGCAGCCAACCTCCCTCCCGAGCCCATCGCCCCCTCCCGGGCGCCCAGGCCGTCTCAGGGGCTCCGTCCCGGGATACCTGCCGGCCCCGCGGGAAGGCAGGCGGCGGGGACCGGGCGAAGCCGGCCGACCCTGGCCCCCGCGCAGTGACCCCGGAGCCCCGCGCCTTACCCAGAACTTGGAGCCGAGCTCCCCGGAACCGCACAGGGCGTCCATGGGGCCGAGGCGCGGCTGCAAGGAAGGCGAGCGCGGTCGGACCCAGCGGCGGGCAGAGCGGGCGCCGGAGCCGCCTCCGCCCTCCGCACCCCGCGCTCCGCCCGGACCCGCCCTGCCGAGCCCTACCCCAGTGCCTCTGGGTCCGGTCTCCCTGCCCCCGTCCCGCGGGTTGCGACAGCGCCTCCCTGGGAGGGACTTTGGGGCAGAGGTGGGGGGGCCCTTGGCACGGCGACAGCCCCTGCGAGCGGCCCCTGGGCCAAGCCAGGGGGATGTCTCTCTAAATACCGAGGCTAACAGTCCAGGAGTCGAGTCTATTTCCAAGGGGGAACTGGGATACACAGGCGCTCCCACTCCCGAACAAGTCCGTGGGGCCGATGAGTCATTGAGTAGGGGACGTAGGGAGAGGGATTTAACAATCTTTCCTAGTAAAAAAGGAATCTTTGAGAAGGTCACGTTCCTCTCCGGAGGTCAGTTTCCTCATCTGTAAAATGGGAAGGGCTTCTGTGCTCAATCAGGAAGCTGACCTCTTCCCCATCAGGTTCCAGAGACCACTGGCAGGCGCCACACGGGGAGCACACGGGGTGTGCTCCGCGGGTGTGTACCCGTGAGGCGGGGGTGGGGGCCGCAGCATCGTCCAGCGGGGGCCTCTTATGTCCTCTTAAACTGCTGCCCTCTTAGGCTCTGTGGCTCCCTGACCTTGCCACATCACCTCGGCACGTCTCTGGGCCTCTACTTTCACATCCGTAAAATAGAGACAATCATAGAAGAGAATCTTCCTCCCAGGGTTCTCTGAGGATTGAATGGAAAGGGTAGGCAAAGCGTATTTCCTGGCACACTTAGTGGGCACCCAACATGTGTGAATTCCCTCTGCTTCAGCCTGATCAGGGTTGGGGGGGGAAGGACAGGTGAAGCCCCAGGAGGAGCCCCACGTGAGTGTCCTCGTCCTCGTCCTCCTCCTAAGGCTGAAACTCTACATTCCTGATCTGTAAAATGGGCTTGTCAGTGCTCTCCTTCTCCTGCTTGCCTCAGCTCTCCTTCTCCCGGTATCCCCTCAGATGCGGGGATCCCTCCATCTCTCAATCCCGCTGTTGCCCTGTCTTCCTTAACACAATCCCAGACGCCAACTCAGCACCGCTTGTTGGGGCTCAGAAGGAATTCTCCCTGGCAAATCTTTCCCTGGCCCTTCTCTTCCCTGCCTTTGCCCACAGGTCTGTCCAGTTTCACCCCGGTGACCCCTTTTCTGGCCCTTGTTCTCAAGAGAAGGTGTTTCCTTCCTTGGCTGCTCAGCGGCAGGTGTGGGTGGGAGCCAGTAAGAGTGCAGAAGGGGCAAGCCACCTCCTATCTCTCTGGGCAGCCAGGAGGTCACTAGAAGGGAAGTCTCCTTGGCTATAGGCTATCAGAACCAAGATCTGGCTGGGCATGGGATAGGGGTGGGAGTGGAGAAGATTCCCCTTTCCCAGGCAGTCAGACCAGGGACTTCTACCCCTCCACTGGGCAAGTTCTTTCAGCCCCTTCTTTGTCTGCCCTCTTCCTTTCCACTCATCCACACATACCCTCCCTCTCCTGTCCCCCTACCTTCATCTCTGGGCAAAATACTTTACAGAGCTTTACACCTTGTTACGGCGTGCCTTGGATTATATTTAGTTATGAAGAGTCTGTCTTCCCTGCTAATCTGAGAGGTCCCCAAGGGCAGGGACTAACTCAGTCCCCTCCAATCCCCCTCCATACCTTTTATACACTGTGTGATCTCAATAAGCTCCTTGATGCCTCTGGGACTTCATTTCTTGAGAAACGTGGACAGGGTGATATCTAAGCTCTCTTCCAGCCCTGGTGGGCCAGGCTTCTATGGCCTAGGCAGCTGGGAACCTTCCTCCACCCCTTCCATGACCCTGGTCATGGCTTCATCAGCACCCACTGCCCCTGTGTTTTGACCTTGTCTACCCACCGGCTTCCTCCAACTCTCCCTCCTCTCCCATTCCTTTTCTAGGGCTTGTGGGGTCATAGGCACCAGATTGCTCTGGGCTTGAGGAGACCTGGGGACTTTCCTTTAGGGCCCTTTGGGAGGTGAGCTCCCCAATCAGACCTCCTTTCTGAGATGGAGAGCCCAGAACTAGCCTGAGCTTCCGTCCGGGACTTTCCAGCCCCACAGTTGGCCAGGCAGTGCACTGGCTGGAGCTCTAGTTTTGGGCTAGGACCCTTGGGTTCTGGCTTCAGCATCGGAGCTGAAGCACCATCCCTTGCAGCCCCAGGCTTTTCTATCGCTATTGCTTTCCCAAGGCTATAGCACTGGGTTGGGCACTCTGAGGGCGTGGTGGGGGCCCTTAGCGATCCTCACCTTCCCCCATCTCTCTTGAGGTATTGGGGCTTTACCCCTCCAGGCCACTCAGGAAGTGTGTCCCCTTTCACAGAGCCCTTGAATAATAACCACAATATTTCTAGGATGTTATTGTTTTGGTTGTTCTCACCAGAGCAAGAAATCTGAGGCCCTGAGACACCCTACAGCTTGCTCAGCGCCACAGAGCTTATCCCAGCACACGCAGGAGGCGCCCCACGTCTGCCGAGGAGACTGTTTCTGCGCAGTCTCCTTGAGCGGGATGCACTTCCTGTATCTGTCTTCAAGGCTGCTTGGTGCACTCTCCTACCTACACCCTACCTCCCTTTCTGCAAGTGGCAAACTTCTTCAAGAGTTCGCTCAAGCCCCCCTCCCCGTCAAAGCCTTCCTTGGACCTCCCCAACCCAGTCCTGGGCTAGGAGGCTTCCCCCACTTGTAATCACTGATGTCTTGCTTACCTCCCCCAGAGGACTGTGGACACCTTGAGGGTAGGGACTGAAGTTTGTTTATCACTGTATCCTCAGCACCCAGGACAGTGCCTGGAGAAGTTGGTCCTCAGGAAGTGTTGTTGACTGATTAAGCAAACACCTCATTTCCTAAGAAGGAGTCATAGGTAACAAGGCCACTGTGGCATTAAGTACAGTCCCAGCAGTGGGCACTGCCCACTTTGCTTTTGAGTGTTCAGAACCAAGATGGTTCTTGCTGGAAGGGCTCCGGAGAAGCAGTAACGGCCTTGTGGGTTGGGCTGCAGCAGAGAAATGGACCAAACCTCCCCCAGCCTTCATGGCCCAAGCCCCATCCTCCCTCCCCAACTGACTGCTGCTCCAGGCAGGATGGATGGAGCATGTGCGGTGCCTCCCCCGCAGTGAGTGTCCCAGGGGAACCCGGCGTCAAGGATTTCCTGGCAAGGAGATGGAAAGATAAAATAATTGCAAGGTACAGCTCAGAGCAAGCATGACAGCAGAGAGAAGAAAGCAGAATGGGGGCAATGGGGAGACCCAGGCACAGGAAATGCTCCGAAGGGAGAGAGGCAGGTTGGAACTGACAAGACAGAGGGGCAGGGTGTGGAATAGCAAAGCTTCCCCTCCAAGCACTGCCTGATTCCTTTTAGCCCCTTGCGGCTCCTTGGAGGCTTGGAGCACCCCCAAACCAGGCTGCAGCTCCCACGCCCCAGCCTCCCCCTTGTCCTCTCCCCTGAAGTGGGGTCTGCTTCCTCCAGACCCCAGCCTAATGGTGGCCCCACTGGCCCCACTCATGGCCCTCAGTGAGGCTGCCCCTCTGCCGCCAACCTGCACTTGATCTGATTTGGCATGCAGGGGAGAGTGCTGGCTGCTGTGCCCAATTCTGGAGTTTTCAAAGCAAGAAGAATTAATTAGCTCTGTGGGCCACAGTTCGCAGATCCCACACCTGGAACCAAGGCTAAGACACACAGTTTCAAAATTCTTAGCAGAATTCCCTTTTGGGGCTTAGCTGGAGCAGCTGCCTCCTTGACCTGCCTTGCTGTGCCCTGGAGTGGGACTCCAGGCCACAACTCAACTTGCTTTGAGAGTTCGTTTCCCTCCTGGCAACCATTGTCCTGGATTAGCCCTGAGTCTCCTAGCTTTAGCCAAGGGATATTGAACACCGTGGGCTCAGCACTCAGATGGCGGGGATTCCTGTTTGGGCTTCTCCATACACAAAGTCCTTCACTGGGCCCTGCAGGCCTGCTTCCTCCTTCTGAGGTTATACAGGGCACCTGTCCCTAGAAGGTGTCCATCGGTGTTGGTGCCCTCTCCCTGGCTTGGTCCCTTTGCAGGAGGGGCACCAGGTGGCACCAGGTGAGGGTGCCCTGTGCCGCCACCTGGTGTCTGATGCCCTCATTGCACTGCTGTTGCCAGCCCCACTCCACGGGCTGCTCAGCTGGCCCAAGGGAAGAGAAAATAGGCCATGGGGCACCAGGCTGTGGCAGGTGGGGACTAGGGTGGAGATAGGAGTGAAAGCTGTTTGGAAAGTGGGTGAGGTTTAGGTAGGGCAGGGTTAGAGGAGAGGAAGAGAGAAGAAGGCGGGATGGGGAAAAGAACAGGTACCATGGGGTTCAAGGGCAGCGTTATGCTGCGGAAGGGTGGAGCCTGGGAACCCACAGTGATTGCAGAGCTACCCTTGGCCAGCTCTTGGACAAGCGCCTGGAGCTGAGGGATGCCTTCTCCTGTGATTGAACTCCTCTCACCACCATTCCCTATGGCCAAAAGCTGGTGGCCCACCAGGTGGGAGGCTGGGGGCCTCTCTAAGCCTCTGAGTTTGCCATGCGGGGAACACGTGTGCATATTTGTATGAACGTGAATGTGACTACTTTGGAAAAGCGCCCACCAGCAAGTCATTTTTTGAGCAGGATTCTTCCCATCGTGCCCCATTTCCTCCACACTGAGAAGAGACAGGAGTAGTGTGGGCTGGAGGTTGGCCAGACGTAGGGTCAAATCTCAGCTCTGCCATCTCCTGGCTGTGTGACCACGGGCAATTCACTTAACCTCTCTGAACCCCGCTGCCTCATGGAGAAATAGCAATCAGACTTCCCTTGCTAGGGTGTGTTGAGGAGTGAGAGACTGCATATGAGCCTCAGATTTGTTTTTATCCCCAGCTCAGCTCACTCCTCTTCCCAGTCCCCACCCCCACACAGACCTTTTCCTGGAGTCTTGGGGGTGGAGGAAGCAGAAACAGCCAAGCTTGAGGTGGGGGCCTACAGCCGCTGTCACAATTTCTTCTGAACCCCGAAGGGGAAGGCTGAGGACAAAGGCACCAGGGTAGATATTCCTAATTCTAAAAGCCCCCACATCCCTGAAGCCCCTAGCCAGTTCCATTCTGCCCCTGGAGTCCTCATCCAAGACCTGCTGCCCCCACCATCCACTCCCCATCCCAGCCTCCTTCATTTTCTCCACCCCCTACCCCCACCCCTTATGTATCCCAGAGCAGCATCAAATAACCACCCAGACAAGCAGCATGAGGTTAGCAGTTTGATATTATTATTAAGATCCAGCGGCAGCTGCTTTTCCACCTCAAAACCCTTTTAATGAGACACAACAGTTTCCATCATTGATAAAGATTTTACATCATTGGGGGGAGAGGTCACAGTTTTCTCCCCGACTACCCCAAAATACCCGCTTTGACTCTGTTGTTAATATTTCCACATCACTATCCAGAGGCTCCCCTCCAGGCACTGCCCTCTTCCAGAGAAACCCTCCAGGCCACAGAGAGGGCTGCTGGGGAGGGAATAGGGGAACCTTTTTGTTTTCACTGGGCTGGTCCCTGCAGATCTCTACAGAGCAACCCAAAAGCATAGTAAGTTCACCCCAAATTCCTTGGTCCCTACTGGGAAGAGGAGGCCAGGGGAAGAGGAACGCACAAAGAACCAGGCATGCTAAGACTCAACCTAAGCAACTCTCCAGTACTCTAGTGCTGCTGGGCTGGTGGTCGGGAGCGGGGAGAGGGGGTGCTGGAAGAGTGGGGAGGGGTAGGAGTCCAGCTCTCTGGCTTCACCTTGACCCAGAATCTTCTAACCACTAGGAGAATGAAAGATCCCAGAACCCCCTCCCCATACCCTCCAACGTCATTAGGGAATAGACAGCTATAGAATTCTACAAAAATATAAAAGCTTAGTCTGCAGATCCAGGTGACAGAACTCTAGGAATTTTGTACAGCTTTGCTTTTTTTATCTTAAATGGCAGCTCCTACAAGCACTCCCTCTCCCCACCCAAGGAGGCCAGAGGAAAAAGTTTGACATTATTGCACACCCTAAAAGGATAAAACCAGGCTTTGGCTTCAAGGAGCGGTATGAGTTCTGTCCAAAAGAGCAATGAGAAAAGCTCTCACCCAGCTTAGAAAACAATGCTGGACAACGCCTCCAGGTCCACTCGCCCGGCAGCCTGGTGCCCCCAGCTCCCAGTTGACCGGATCAGACGGTTTGTGAGCGAGCGTTGCCACTGAGGTTTCAAAAACCCAATCCAATCCTGGGGTTTGAAGGCCCTGGGGGCGAGGGGAGGGGGCTGTTCAAGGGAGTGGGATTGGGACAGATGTTTGGGAGGTGGCTAGGTGACAGGCTGGCTGGACCCATGGTCACCACCTCTTGGCACCAAGATTTCAGACAAGAGAATATTGTCTGCAGTAGCACCAGACAGGTGGCCTGGGCCACGCCACTCCCCCTCTTCCTGTCTGCCTGCCCCTGGCCACCTTCACACCTCCCTCCTCCACTGGCTCCCGCTAGGCAGGCAGCAGCAGCAGTGCATGTAAACATCTTGAGCGCTCGCTCATCACCGCCCAGGGGGCCAGCTCCCCACTCAGCACCTGGCCTCTGACCCTACCACCTCCACCAGGAGGTTGCCTCTGGACGCCCAGCCCTGGACTCTCATCCTCAGGAAGCACAGCCCACTCCGTTGACACGGTTTAATTCCATTGCGGGCAGGTGGACGAGGTCCCCATCGGACAGTGCCTGTAATGCCAGTCAGCTAAGCCCGCCCCCAAGGCAGGAGGCTGAAGTCCAGACAGCTCAGGTCACGCATCCAGCCAGAAGTGTGGCAAATCCGTGCTGAAGCTTCAGGAAGGAAAACCCAGAAACACTTCCCCCCTCCCCCACCAACCCACAGATCCAGATCTGCAGCCTCTGAGGCAACCTCCCCCAGCCTCAGTCGGCCCCATTAACCAAAACAGCTTCATTATGCCAATTTCCAGCTTTCAATGTGCGGCTGATAGCTGTCAGCAGAAATAAGAGTTAATCTGGAATTACTCCCATTCACTGAGCTGCCTAGCTAGAGGAAGCTGTAAAGCTTTGATAGCAGCAGAAGAGACCCTGCCTCCCCAGCCTGCACCAGGCGGAGGGGCTCCTCCTCTCCTTCACGGCTGGGGAGGGCAGGCTAGAGGTGCAGCCTTCCACAGCAAGGGGTTCAGGTTCTCTCACTCTCAGACACACACACTCTCACACTCATATACACACACGCACTCATATACACAAACACATACACACTCATACACACACAAAGAGGCAGCCCTGAAGCTTCCCTCCCCGCCGCCCACTCCCCATCTCCAGGATCTCTCTCTCATCAATGCCATCTGGACGTGCCTAACTCTCCATCCCTTTTGCTTTTACTCTGGACCGTGATTAGCTTTTTATTTAGGAAAATTACTTTATTTTATATATATATAGATAGATAGATAGATATGTATGTATGTATATATAAAAAGGTTCCATT
This sequence comes from Homo sapiens, assembly GCF_000001405.40. Classification (NCBI taxonomy): domain Eukaryota; kingdom Metazoa; phylum Chordata; class Mammalia; order Primates; family Hominidae; genus Homo; species Homo sapiens. The sequence continues at coordinate 50,627,388 of NC_000017.11, read as the reverse complement.
TCACTTGTAAAATCTCATTTTTTCTTTTTCTTTTTTTTTTCCCTACAGAAAATGATGACGAGGTTAAAGGAAAAAATAAGTTACATTACAGTTTCCAAAATGGTTCTCGCTCTCCGCTGAAGATGGGCCACCGTTGGGGCTGCAATGTGCTCGCGGTCCCAGCTTGTGCTTTGCAAGAAGAGGGAATATAACTAGACTGTTATTTTAGGTTAAAATAGCCAAGAGACAGACGCCTTCGCCTCAAAAATATTCTGAGACACATAAAAGTAGAAGGAAACAAGTCTCTTCAGTCACAAAATGTCGTACATCCCGCATATACTAGATTCAATTAATTTAATAAAATAGAATATACATAGAGATTCTGCACAAACGTATTGCTTTCTCCCAACAGCTTCTGGTGTCGGGAACCTCAGCTGCACCGGGCCTCTCCTTCTGCCTGGAGCCAGAGTTGCCGGGGCTGCTGCTTTTAACTCTCTTTGGAAGTTCTGCTTGCAGGTACCCAGAGCCACTGAGGCAGGGAGGAGCGCCTCCGCCTCCTTGGTGTCTATATGGAACTTTTGTCAGGAATATAGCCCAGGAGGAGGAGCTAGGACTTGGCACCCAGTGGAGAAAGGTGAGTGGGAAAGTGGGGCAGGACTCAGGGGTCCAGGTCTGCTGGGTCAGAGGATAAACCGGAGAGACTCAGCACATCTTTCTTTGGGGAGGGCGAGGCAGCCATGCTGTCAGGGGGGCCAGAGGCCAAGGGATCCTTGGAGTCGCTGGACGGAGCCCTCCTCCGGAGGCAGATACCAGGGCTGGGCGGGGTCCGAGGACCTTGGCTCTCGGGGGGGTCTATGGTGATACTAGGCGGGCTGAGTTTTTTCTTGGGCCGGCTCCCAGGCCCCCCAAGAGGCTGGCCCCCAAGGTTAGAGGGGTCTGTGCCCAGGTGGGGTTGGGAGCCGCTGTCCAGGCAGCTGACGGCGATAGAGTGTCTCCTCTGCTCATCCAGCCAGGACGTAGGCCGGCGCTGGCAGCTCTGGGCCTCCACGCTGTAGCACTTCTTCAGGTCCCGTGGGGATGGGGGCTCCTCCTGGCCGCCAGGGGGCAGGAGGTCTCCTGAAATCCAGCTCAGCTCCGTGTCCAACTCTAAGCTGCTTCTGGTCTCTGGAGGGCCCTTGCCCCAGTTGGGTTCTGGGCCTGGGCAAGGGGCTGGCGGGGTCATGTGCTTGGAGATCTTGCTGTGGCTGCGGGAGTGCTGCTGTGCCTGGGTACTTGACTGGCCCCAGAAAGAGTAGGCCCGGGCCAGGGGCGGGGAGGGCCCACTCACCTCTGCCAGCAGGTCTTCCCGGCTGCCCAGACCCTGAACGTCCAAGGAGTCAGTCCTTATTGCTGCCTATATGGGGTGGGGGAGGGCTCAGCCCAGCAGTCTCCTCTCCAGCATGGACTAGCCCTCCTGTCAAGCTGGCTGTGCCCCCTGCCCACCACCACCAGGCACAGCAGGACTATCCTAAGCAGAGGTCCTGGTAGCCGCTCTTACTAGTAGATAGGGGTCATTGCAGCCTGACCTCTGTTGTCCACCATGCCTCCTCTCTCCCCACTAAACCCTGTCTTCCCTCCCCCATGCTCTGGTCTCCCCTAAGCCTGCAAGAATCGCTCTCTCTGCAGCCCCTGCCTCCTGGGATATGAGAGAAGCCAGGCCATCTCTGCTCACTGAGCTGGCTCCTTCACGCCTCCCCGCCTCTGCCTAGACTTCCCCTTTGGCTCTGAATACCCTTCCTGATTGGCAAGAATCCCTCGATTTTACGGACTCAGGTTCTCTGTGACACAGTGTGTGACAGTCTCTGTCCCCAAGTAAAACCGACCCCTTCCCCTTCTGTGTCCCTGCTGCCCTCCACACATAGGTGTCTGGCAGCTGTGAGCTGAGGCTGCAATGATCTGATGGCAGGCATGTCTCCACTATTAGACTGTGAGCTTCAGGGGGCAGGGGCTGTGTCGCCAGTGCCTGGCACACAGAGGCTGCTTAGTGACTATTTGCAGAATGAATAAGGACTGTGCCTGCTCCCCCAAGCATGTGGGATTGAGATTCTCATGTGTCCACGCTCATGCCTCAGGACACACACATGGCATGGGCTGTGGCCTTATCACAGGTGGGCTCTGGGGCCGGGCGCGGTGGCTCACGCCTGTAATCCCGGCACTTTGGGTGGCCGAGGCGGCCAGATCATCTGAGGTTGGGAGCTCGAGCTCAGCCTGACCAACATGGAGAAACCCCATCTCTACTAAAAATACAAAATTATCCAGGCATGGTGGCGCATGTCTGTAATCCCAGCTACTCGGGAGGCTGATGCAGGAGAATCACTTGAACCCAGGAGGCGGAGGTTGCGGGGAGCCAAGATTGTGCCATTGCACTCCAGCCTGGGCAACAAGAGCGAAACTCAAAAAAAAAAAAAAAAAAAAGAATCTGGGCTCTGGAAGGTGGGCCCTAGGCTTGGCCAAAAGTGAAGACACTTAAAACCTGCCTTGTGCCCCATAGCTCAGTCCAAAGTGGGGAGAAGAATTGGGAGGCAGCTCTGGTTGGTGAGGAAGGAAAGACCAGAGACTGGGGTTCTACCTCCGACCAGATAGGCATGACCCTGGGCAAGCACTACCCCTTCTGGTCTCCAGGCCTCCTCAGTGGAACAAGGAACTGGGTGCAAATTTCAAGAAGGCACAGACCACTTCTGCTTTGCCCAGTACTGTGTCCCTGGTATCTGCAACTGAGCCTGGCACATCACTGGCACACAATAAATATTTGCTGGAAGAATGAAAGTGTCAACACAGGTCATCACCAGCAGCAGAGGGTCCAGCCCCCAGGCCTGTGCCTGCCTTTCCACATCTGCTCACCTGGCGCCTGAGTGGCCTCTGAGCCAAAGGGGAGCGTCCTGGTGGGGGCAGTTTGGGGATGGTGCCCCAGGTTGGGGCGCTGTGGGGCTGGAGCAGATGAGGTGCATCTTTGGGAAGCTGCAGGATGTAGCTGGTATCTGCTGGCTGGGAGTGAACGGACAAGACGGAGCCTGTGGAGGGAGGGAAGCGGGGGAGGGGTGGGGGGAGAGAATGGAGCTGGAGGGTTCAGGGGAGCAGGTTCTCACCTGAGCCCTCCCTTCCACTCTCTCCCCCTCATCAGGGCCTCTACCCTTACCCCCTGGACTCAAAGCCATTCCCCCAGGCTGGAGGCTCCCCTGAGGTCAGAGATACCTCTTTGGCTGCCTCAGTTCCCCATCCCCTCAGATCAGGACTGGCTTAGGCCAGGATGGAATCTCCCTGTGTGAGCCAAATTGGCCTGCTCTAGCCCTGGTACCTGACTGAGCTTTGGGGAGCCCCCAGCCCCTGTGTCCCAGGGGCCCCTCGGCAGTGCTCCCATGCCGACACATGTAGCTGTCATTGGGCAGAGAGTGCGTTCGGCTGACCCCAGACTTCCGCACAGTCAGTAAGTCTGGTCCTGGCAGCTCCGTGGGGTGGGGCTGCATCTGCAAAAGGAACAGGGGAGGGAGGTGGAGGAAGAGGGTGTGCGTGGGTTTGGTAACTGAGGCAGCGCTGACAACAGAAAGCAGCAGCGCCCCCCGCCCAGCCCTCACCCCCGTGCCCTCCCAGGACAAGGTAGAGATGGGCATGAGCATGGCTGGGGAGAGGGGCAGACACATGGATGAGCCCTCCACACGCGGGGAGGAAGCAGGTAGGAGGGGGTCTGGGCAGCCGGGAGAGTCTGCAGGCCCTGCCCCCCACCCCCTGCAAAACTGCACACATTGTATCACCTTTAAGCTCCCACTGTGGTGGTGGAGGGGCGGGGAGGTATCCAGAGAAGGGAGAGCAGCCCCCAGCCCCCAGCCCTGCAGGTGGCTCACAAGCTGATTCTAAAGGCCCCATTTAGAGGCTCTGAAGGGAGTCCCGGTGTCCACAGGGATGGGCTGGGGCCCTGACCCAGAGCAGCTCAGGGGAGGATTAAAAGCTAACAGCAGGCCAGGCACAGTGGCTGGTGGCTCATGCCTGTAATCCCAGCACTTTGGGAGGCCAAGGTGGGCAGATCGCTTGAGCTCAGGAGTTTGAGACCAGCCTGGGCAACATGGCAAAACCCCATTTCTAAAAAAAAAAAAAAAAAAAAAAAAAAAAAAATTAGCTGGATATGGTGGCGTGGCACCTGTAATCCCAGCTACTCCAGAGGCTGAGGTGGGAGGATTGCTTGAGCCGGGGGGGTCAAAGCTATAGTGAGCTGGGATCATATCACTGCACTCCAGCCTAGGCAACAGAGTGAGACCCTGTCTCAAAAAAAAAAAAAAAAAAAAAAGCCAACAGCAGCCCCTACGACCCTGTGCTGTCAGTGGGGGAGGTGAGGGGGAGAGGACCCTCCCAAGGAGCAGGGACCAGGCAGCTCAGGAGAGCTTGCAGGTTGCAGGCTGTTCATCCAGTTCTTACAGCAGCCCCAGGTCCCAGCACAGGGCCTGGGTTGGGTTCAGGTGAGTTGAATGGCAGATGACCACCAGAGGCATGTCACAGCTGGCTCCCTGACCTCCACTTTAACCAATAACTCTGGCAGGTGAGGGTGGAGGCCAAATTCAGCTGCTCCCTTAGTGGACAGACTCGGGGTGGGAGTGGGGTTGTTGCTCTGTTTCAGAGAAGGGAGGTACTCAGCCTTGGACTCCAGCATGAGGGAGCCTAGTTTGTTCTCAAGAGGTTTCTCCATCACTCTGTGACCCCCTTCCCCCTGAACCCTTCACCCCTTGTTCCCAGGGAGGCTGTAGGGGCCCTGTCGCCATGCAGGCCCAGCCAGTTAAATAGCCCCAGCAGGCCTGAGGATGGCTAAGTTGGAGGACAATCTTATTTTGCTTCCCCTCTCAGCCCCAGGCTCCACTACTGCCAGCCACCCAAGACCCCTAGGGACACCCCAGCCGGTGGTCCAGTCCCTGCCTCAGCTGGGCCCTCCTCTGACAACAGGAGGGGAACAGTGGAGAGGAGGGGGCTGCTCACAGTCAGAAGGGACGGGAGCTGGAGAAGGGAAAGGGTAGGGAAGCTATCAGAGCACAGAGAAGCCCCATTCACCCCACTGAGTTTGGTGAAGACGCAGGGACACACGGGGACAGTGACGGAGGAGACAGGAACAGCGCTCCAAGTGAAGAAGGGCATGGCAGCGGTGGCAGAGATGCGGCTCTCACCCACCACGTGGTGTGAAGGTCTCATGTTGTTGGGGGGTGGGGTGGGGTGGGGAGGAGGGGAACAGGCACAGGGAGGGCTGGCTTGCACAGGGCTCCAAATTCATAGATTGACTCTGATGACACCTGTTTTGGGCCGTGTCACTCCTGGGTGTCTGGATTCACTTTTTCATAATGGCTGCCGCTGCTCCTATACCCTTCAGGGCAAGGCCCCAATTTAAACTTATCTAATCTCTTTGTCCCCAGTGGGGAACCTGAAGACCTTGTGCCAGCAAAGCGTGGGCCACCGAGGTCCTGACAGTTGATGCCTCTGGGTGGAGCCTGGCAGCAAACTGAGAGGAGGCGGCCCCAGGACCCTCCCTGGGCCGATCTGGAGCCCTGCAGCCAGTCCAGCCCCGGGGGTGGCCGGGAGCAGTGAGGGCAGTGTGTATGTACATTGCTCTCCAGGGCACTAAGTAAGAGTGTGTGCATGTCATCAGGCAAAGAGTCATCCGTCAGAGCTAGAGAGCAGGACGGTTCAGACACAATCTCTGACGTCAGAGACAGAGCCTCCATCTCAGCTAGAGGGATCTAGACAGGGAGAGAGATGATCAGGCATGAGAAACCAGGACAGCGCACACGCGCGTGCACACGCACACACGCGCTCTCTCTCAGTCCCCACTTCCCCCTTTTCACGAAGCACAGGGGGGCGGGAAAAAGGCATCCCTTCTCTCTCCCCACCCTTTCCCCAAACAAGCTGACAGTGCCTCCCCGCACCCACTTCAACCCCCTGCTCTGATCAGAGAGGCTGCGGCAGGCACTGAAGAGCCAGAGCAAACACTGACAAAGCGAGGAGACACAGAAACGCATTCTAAAGATACCCCAGGAGCCTCCCCAGCCCCTCCCACACTACCACCACCCAGGGAGGGAGCGGGAGGACCGAGGGCTTGCGACTCTCAAAAAGATGATACCAAAAAAAAAAAAAATGAAGAAAGGCCAGCAAAGCACTGTCTCTCCTCCCGGCACAGACAGAGCGGCACGGGGGGCGCCGGCGACAATGCCACCAATCTGACGGCTGTTTTCTGCCTATTCTCTCGGCTTCCAACAGCCTGGCAGGACTTGGCCTGCCCCCAGATTCTGGCTTCTCCCCTCGTGGGCCCTCCTCCGCCTGCCTGCAGCCCGCCCGCCCTCTCCAACTTGGGCTCTGGGAGATGTTCTCCCGTTAGCCTGAAGTGGGCGCACTCGGGTGGGCTGCCACACCATCTGGCTGGCTCACCTGGGACCCAGGGGGTTGCCTCAGTGCCCACAGGATGCTAGGGGACAGTTGGACCGTCCCTCCCAGAACCCCATCACCTTCCCATCGTGTCCTCTTCTCCCACAACCTTTCCCTGTGAGCCTCTTTCAGGAAGGGGAGGCCTCGGAAAGGGACTCACTTTCCCACTGATCATTCTAGGTCATTGCCAGATCTGAGACTGAATCCCAACAAGAGGCAAGGTCCCTTCCCACATGAGGATCACTGTCCATTTTTCTGGGATCAGGCTAAAGGCTTCCTAAGAACCTGCCTGCCCCACCACCCAAAAGGGCCTCTGGAGGACTCGGCTTTTCTATCTGCAGCTGACACCTGTCTCCACTCCGGGTCTGCAGCCTCTCACCTAGGTGGAGGGAGGGTGGGGCCCTCTCTCACGTGGTAGTGGGTCGTGGTGAGGGGATCAAGGGGAGGGGAGGAGGGCAGGAACAGCCCAGAAAGCAGAAGACCTGGAATTAAATGGGACTGGGGGAGAGGGCCATGTGGCGCTGTGGGAAGGGGCTGGGCTTGGGCAGGAAGCCAAGTCCTATTTCACACCAAGTTCTCAAAATCCACTCCCAGCTGGAGCCTTCTATCTCTCTCAGGACAGAAATCAGTGGCTCCTGACAGCACTCACCATGCCCAGTGGGCTCCATGGCTTAAAAAGCCACCAAACTGAGGACTGGCAAGTGTGTGCTGGACACGAGCAGATAGAGAGACTGCAGCTTGGCAGCGGGCTCCCTGGCCACCTACACTGTCTCTGGAGGCCTTCCTCCCTGGATCTGATACCTCCTTCCCTCCACCCCCTAAGGTCCCCCTGCTAACTTATCTTCTGCCCCATCCCCTCTTTTCTCTTCCAGATTCTTACAAATCCCCTCTCCCCTCCCCAAGCTCCTCCTCCACACACCCTTCTCATCAGAGGGGCAATCTCAGCAGCCCTGCCTTCCAGCTCTTTTCTGGAGGTGATCTCAGTCTAGAAGAACCCCTGACTGCCTCTTGCACTCAACTGAGGCTCCAAGGCTGCACTTTCTACAGATACCCAGTGGGCAGGAACACTCCCAGCTTCCCCAGAAGCATGGCACAGCGTGGCACAGCCCAGCACGGTCAGGGGAGAGGGCACAGCACAGGGGCACAGTAACCTGTGGGTCGGAGCCTCCCAGGCTGGGGGCAGAAGGGAAGGCAGAGGGCTGGCCCCCTGGGCCTGCCAGCTCGTCCATCAGCTTCAGCTCCCACTCCAGGGAGCCCTGGATCAGCAGGGATATGGTGTCAAACAGCTGCCTGTCCTGGGGAGCCAGCCCGTAAGGGGAGCCGGAGAGGCAGGGGAGCAGGGGTCAGAGGGCAGTGATGGGAAGTGTCGTGGAAGGGGATTGACAAGAGAAACAGAGGAGAAAGAGGTGACACCCAGACAACACACATGCACATGTGCACACACACAAAAACACACACAGCAACAAAGAGAAAAAGAGGAGGGGGTGGGGAAGAGGGAAGGCGAAGGAGGAAGGAGAGATGGGAGATGGAAAATGAGCAGAGCCCACGGCGGGGGGAGAGAGAGAGAGCGGTAAAGAGAAGATAAAAGGATGGAGAGATGGAAGAGAATCAGGCAGGTTAAAGGGTGGGTAGGAAAGAGATTTGGCAGTTGGGCAAGGGTAAGAAAGAAACAGGAAGGAAACAGAAAACTTAGCCTTGAACCTATGAGTCAGGAAGGGGAGGCCAGACCAGGCTGGAGGAGCAGGGCATGGCTAAGCTGGCCCGTCTGCTGGGGTGGCCCTGTGGGGTGAGTGTGGGCAGCCATCCCTGGGGAGGGGCAGTGACTGCTCGCTCAGCATCCAGGACGGAGGGCGGGAGCCTCCAGGAGGAGCCTAGGGTTTGTGTGCTGCCCGCTTGGCTCCCGCCCACCACCCTCCACACCCTTCTCCTGCCCCAGCTCCTCTCACGGCTGGGGTGGGTGTCTGCTCACCGTGGGGTGCTCCAGGGAAAAGTGGGAGGCTGATCTCGCGTGGGCCGCTGGGTGCAGAGCCCCAGGCTTGGGGCTGTCGGGGCTGTCGGGGCCCTCGACCCCAGGCCAGAGGAAGGGGCTGCCCAGTGGCGAGTGGGGCTGGGGGCTGAGGGTCTTCATCTCCAGCTCCAGCTCAGCCTCTAGCTCGGCCTCCTCCTTGGCCTCCTTGTTGCTCTCCTCCAGGTGCTTCATCAGCACGGCGATCACCACGTTGACTAGCACGAACTGGGCCGTCAGCACGAAGGACACAAAGTAGATAGGCGAGATGACCGTGTTGTAGCAGGTGGACTCCTGGTCACAGTCCCGGAGGGTGTCCTGGGGAGGGTGGAATAGAGGGGTGAGGCTGGGGAGGACAGTTGTTGGAGCTGTTGTGGAAAATCAGGTCACTGGTGTCACAGAGCATTGGAGGATGGGAAGGAAGGGGAGGAGGAGGGAGTGTTTGGGGGCAGAGGAGCACTACAAGTGTGAGTCAGAGCATGTTCCTGGGAGAGGGAGTTCCAGAGTGTTCTAGCACGGGGGAGAGAAGGTCACATGCTTTTATTTGTGGCCAATTCATCTTCCCAAGGAATCCTAGCTCAGGAAGTGGGGCTGCCTCCCTGGAGCCTAGGCCAACCCTGGGCCCTTACCTTCATAATGCCATTCCAATTGTCACCTGTGGAGACTCGGAAGAGGGTTAGGAAGGCCATGCCAAAGTTCCGAAAGGTGGCATGACGGCCCAGGCCCTCACAGGGGTGTGTCTCGTCACACTCTGGGGGAGGAGGGAAAGGGGGAGAGGCCCATGTTAGTCCAGGAGCCCCCTGGTCTCCAGCCCTGGCTCCTCCACCCTCCCCTACCCCAACTCACCCAGGTCTCCAAAGAGCTCCACGCCCAGAGCTGCAAAGATGAAAAACAACAACATGAAGAGAAGTCCCAGGTTCCCCACCTGGAAAAAAGGAGAAGAAATAGAAACGATGCCGCTGGGTCTCCCAGTCAGCTTCTCTGAGCCCCTTCCCTCTGGAAAGCACCTCCCCCTCCCCAGAGGCCCCCCACCTCCCGGCTACCTGGGGCAGGGCCTGCATCACCGTGTCCAGCAGCGCCCGCATGCCCACAGCCATCTTCAGCAGCTTCAGCACTGCAGAACAGGACAACGTCATGAGCTGGCCTCTTTGGGTCCCCGGCCAGACAGCTGGCAGAGTCAGGACCAGGGCTGGGCTGGGGCTGCTGGGATGGCCATCTCCGGGCCAGCCAGGTTGCATCCCCATCCTCAGCCCTGTCTCCAGCCTCCCTTGGCAGAAGCTGGGAGAAAGACCCATGGGAACCCACAGCCGCCCAGGCCTTGACCAGCCACAAAGCCGACCCTTGCTCTCTCTCCCTGGGCTGGTCACCCTAGGAGGGCAGGTGCGTGGGCTGGGCACCAACCTCGGGCAATGCGCAGCACCCTCATGATGCGGATGATGGTGGGGTTGATGGGCAGCGAGGCGTTGACCTCGATTTCCTCCAGCGTGATGCCCATGATGGACAGCAGCACAATGGCCAGGTCCAGCTGGTTCCACCTGGAAAGCCCAGAATACAGCTCCCTGAGTTGGGGGAGGGGGTTCCTGAAGGAGGGGGCAGTCGTGGCACAGAAAGACAGGGCTTGAAAGGAGGGCAGACATCAGCGGGTCCAGCCTCCCATCCCACAGAGAAGAGGCGTGGCTTATCTAAGGCCACACAGCCAACTGGTGGCACGAGTAGGACTAGGACTTTAGCTCAAAAGCCTCTGCTTTTCATTTGTATTCATTTGCTTTTATTTTTAATTTAGCACTTATATGGTGTTCACTATGCACCAGGCACTTTTAAGAGCTTTACAAATAGGAACTCACACCTGCAGTCCCAACACTTTGGGAGTCTGAGGTGGGAGGATCACTTGAGCTCAGGAGTTCGAGAACAGCCTGGGCAACATAGTGAGACCCTGTATCTACTAAAAATAAAAATAAAAAATAATTAGCTGCGTGTGGCAGTGGGTGCCCGTAGTCCCAGCTACCTGGGAGACTGAGGTGAAAGGACAGCTTGAACTCAGGAGGTCAAGGCTGCTGTGAGCCATGACTGAGCTGCTGCACTCCAGCCTGGGCATCAGAAAACAAAACAAAACAAAACAAAACGAAAAACACCCTCAAAACCAAATAGGAATTCATAATCTCACAACTCTGTGATGTGGATACTATTATTTTCTCTCATTTTACAAATGAGGAAACTGAGGCACAGAGAGGTTAAGTAACTTACCCAAGGCCACCAGCTACTAAGTGGTGAGACCAGGATTCAAATCCAGTTCAGGCAGTCTGGCTCCAGGCTCTGTGCTCTTAAGCCCCAGGCTAGGTCACACTGATTTCTAGCTGCCAGCATCCCCCAGGCCCTGTCTTGTCAAATTCTCTCCATGCCTTCCCATCTCCTGGTCCTGGAGACCATGCCTTCCCATCCCCTAGTCCCCTACGTCAGCCACAGGGTGGGGGCTGAACCTCAGGAATTAAGAAAAGTCTTAGACACTAGGTCTTCCTGGGTATTTCCCCAAGAGACTCATTCCTTTCTATCTCTACGCAAGTCCCCAAGACCCCCCTTTTCTCCGTTACCTGTCCTGGAAGAACCGACGGAAACCAAAGGCCACAAGTTTGAAAACTGACTCCAAGACAAAGATGACAGTGAAGATGTAGTTGCAGATCTTCAGAGCCTCATCCAGAATCTGGCAGGGATGGGGGCAAGATGCAGGGTCCCTTAAGGCCCAGGGCTGGGGCTTGTCCCCCCGCCCCTCCATCATACCGCCCAGGTCTGAGAGGCAGGGGAACTCCAAGGAGCCCTGTCTTCTCTGTTCCCATCATGATGGCTGGCCATTAGCCACCAAACCCCAGAAGGGAGTAGGGCACTTATTCACATGAATGAATCAACCTTATGCTAAAGGATCTTTCTCCTTGGGAGATGGTGAGGAGATCACATGAGAATGTACTAGATGACACGGCATGCCAGGACTGGAAGGGGCCTTGTGCATTACAAATTCAACCCCCTCATTGGATGGACAGGGAAACCGACGGCTGGAAGGCAGCCAAGGGAGGCTGACTGGAGAAGTGGCAAGGTCACAGGTGAGCTCTGGAGCTGGACGTTCGCTAGAATCTCAACTCCAGAAGGGCAGGCATCCATCTGCCTTTTTACCCTCAAAGATCCAGAGCGCAGCTCATAGTAGACGCTCAACATTTGCTGGATGAAGAAACCAGGTCCTCCACTCCCTTTCTGTGTGACCTTGGCCACATCAACTAACATCTCTGAGCCTCAGTGTCCTCATCTATAAAACAAAGATGATACCCACCTCCAAGGGGCACAAGAGGAACCCATGTAGTGTGCCTAGCACTTGCTTGGCACAGAGGTACCCTGGCTCAGGCTGTGTTAACCTTGCCCAGAGGTTCCTCAGCTGGAGGTGGGGGGGCCAGATGGCTGGTCCACTCGCTCCTACCTGGGGCTGCTGGTAGTGCTCCATGGCCATGGTGACCACGTTCAGCCCGATGACACCTGTGATGAAGAGGTCCAGGTAGTGGCTGGTGCACAAGTGGTGGACGAGGAGCCGGAAGCGGGAGTAGTCGGAGTAGTAAGGTTTGCACTGGGCTTCTGATGGGGCAGGGGGAAGAGCAGAGCAAGCGTCAGGCCCCTGCCCCCCGCACCCCTCCACCCCCAGTCCCTCACAGCCACCAGCCTCTAACGCCAGAACTGAAACATTCCATAATCATCACCATCCTCGCCCTCCCCACGCTGCCCCTTGGTGGGGGCAGCCGTCTGGGCGTGTCCCCCTCCAAGCATCTGTTGTACTGGCTGCAGTTGAGGGCAGGATGGATCAGGACATGCAGAGCCCCCCACCTACATTAGACGCCAGGTGAGCCCCCTCCCCTAGGCAGCCTCCAAAATCCACCAGCCCCTCATAACACCCTCGACTCAGTGTTCCGCAGCAAGGCCAGATCGATACGATGAAAAACAACTGGTCTCCTCAGGCTCAGAGGACGCGCCATCAACGGGGAGGCAAAGGCTTTTGCTCCTTCACCAAGCTCAGCCCCTCGGGGGAGCAGAGGAGATTACACAGAGCTGGGATTTGGAGATAAAACCGGAGATTGGAAATTGGACATCTTCTTGGCTGGCTGCACTGACCCACCCAGAGGGCCTCCAGAAGGCGGGGCCTGGGCCTCCTGTACCCTCATGTCAGTGAGAGCAAGAGGGGAGGCCTTGGGGCTCTGCTCCATCCCAGACTCAAGCTGGGAGGGCCCCACCTGTTGGACTCACCCAGTTTCTAATGAGGCACTGCCCAGCCTGCTCCTGGGTGTTTGGGCAGCCTTAGACTGCAGGCTGGGCTGGAAGCACTGTCTGAGATCTGTCAGAGGCATAATATTTCTCTCGTAATTAGTGAACCACTTAGTTATGAAAATCACAGAGCCAGAAGGTTGGGCTGCCAAGGAGGCAGAATAAATCTGGGGGCAGGAGATTTCAGGGGGGCCCTCTTCCAGGTGCTGAGGAAGGGCCAGGCCAACTTGGGGCACATGTTCTTGGGAGGAAGTTGACAGATTGGTCTCCCACGAAGCCACAGAGAAGGAAGAGGCTTTTCACGGGGAGGTGTGTGGCAGCCTCAGGTCCCAGACAGCCCTTCCCCGTCTCAGGAGGTCTAGGGGGAAGCCAGCCAGTGAGGGCTGCCGCCTCTGAGGCCTGAGCCAGGGGGTAGCTGGCTTAGGGGCAGCAGGAAGCTTTGGGCCCAGGCCAGCTCAGATGTAACTGTCCTTTCCCATGCACAGGACCATTGAACAGAGAGGTAAACTGAGGCAAGGAGCGGCCTGGGGTGGGCCCCCACCCGAGGCTGAAGGAAGAAGAGCACCCAGGTATTGCACATCCAGCCTCGTGGGCTGCCATGCTCCTGGCCCACCTGGCCACTCTCCAGCATCGGCCTTGAGGTGTGGATGACCACGGAGCAGACAGTCCCCGGCACTCTGCTGCGCCTTAGGCATGCATGAGGCCATCTTCCTGTTTTCAGAGATCGGCCAGCCAACTGTGGCTCTGTTTGTTCGAGAACAGAGCCCCAAGAGTGTGGGGCTGGAGAGCCTGGGGCAAGGGAGGACAGGAGGCTACGGGTCATCCACACCGCGATGGTGGAGGGTGGGCCGGGTGGGCCGGGCCTCTTCCTTCCTTCCTTGAGTACCACAAGAACCAGAGGGCGCTAGTCGCCCTGCATTGCCTGAGCAGCCGGAACATTTTCTCTGCATTAATCTCCATAAATGCCGAGAGCACCCGATCCCATTATGCTAAAATATGAATGGAGAATTAACTAAAATGTTTGAATACAATTAGGTTAGAAAAAGCGGCTCCTTATTAGCCCCATTATTAGCTGAGACAATGTAGAGGAGAGGCTGGGAGAGTTGCCCTCCTCTCCCCGTCACCCCAGCCTGACTCTGTAGGCAGTTCCAGGCCAAACGGAGCAGCTGCTCCCACCAACTCTGGCCTTGCACTAGGAGTCTGTGGGGTGGGTGGGCTTCAATTCAGCCGGGACCCTCCTCCAAGAGGCCCAGAAGGAAGGCGGGGCAGGAGGACTGAGGCAGGGCATCTGCTTATAGACAGGTCCCGGCCCCTGAGGTCTGTACAAACACCCCTCCACCCTGGCCCCTACCCCAGACGGCAGGTGCTGAGGCTGCCAGAAATCCCCCATTAGAGCACAGGTCCAAAGAGTACCAGGCCAATCTGATCAGCATCTCCTCGGGCAACCCCTTTGTTTTTCAGAGGGAGAGAATGAAGCCAGGCAAAAAGTGACTCATTCAGCTAGCTACGAGGCATGACCGAGCTGGACCCGAACTTCCAGCCCGAGTCCCTCGCCAGTTGCCAGGTGGGTACAGACACAAGGCTTTGAGGCCTTGGCCCAGAGGACACCCCTGGATGGTCTGCCCAAAGGCCTCCAAAGTTGGGGCCTGGCGATGCCACCCTCCTTTGCTGCTCTCTGGACCTCGGCTCTGCAGGCAAGCACCCAGGTGTGGAGAAGAAATAGAAAGCCCCTGGGAGGAGCCTTGGGCAAGCCTGCTGCTTTGAGAGCTCCAACCATAGTCCAGGAGGAGCCTGGACCTGTGGTCACTGATGCATTGGTAGCTGTGGCACCACCTCCCTGCCTCCCACCAGGATGAGCTGCCTTAGGTGGAGAAAATACCAGAGTCAGACAGTGGGGGGAAGGGCATATCTAGGGCAGCCCAGGTCCCCACTTCGGGGCAGGGAGGGAGGAAGGGTACAGAAGGAGGGCCGCAAGGCAACAGGCAGTGAGTTAGTAGGAGTCACAGGGAGCCCAAGGCATGGCCAGGGCGGAGGGTTTGCAAAGGGGAGTGGCAATGAGTAGGCAGAAGACAGGGGTCACTCCCAAGGACACAGGCCCCCCACGGCAGAGGCCACACCTTCAGCTGCCGTGGCCAGGCCTGATCACTGGGTCCCGGCCTGGTGGAAGGAAAGAGGGTGAGTGAGTGAAGGTCGACGCCACAGGTGGCCAAGGAGAGTGGAGCTGGTGTTGGAGGCTTAGCCGTCCCGTGGGGCAGCCTGATGACCCAGCAGCCCCGGTCCCTCCCTCCATCTGGGAAGCCGGGGTGGACCCAGGCTTCTGGTCAGGCCCATTCCCCAGATAATCACAGGCTCCGCTCTTCTGCCTTTCCCTAGGGTCTGGCTCTCCCGCCCCTGCTGGGAGCAGCACCAGGACAGGAGTGCTAGCAGGGAGGTGCGGTGCACGTGTTTGATTCTCAGCAGCCCTGGACTGCGTTTGACTCTGTCCCCATCACCCTGGTGGGTAGATCAGTGCATCTGCACTGCTGTAGGAGAACCTCTGGGGTAAGCCCCAGGAATCTGTGTTTATGCTTTCCAGGTGATTCTTATGCACATGGAAGTTTGAAAAGCTCTGGCATAGGCCACGCAGAACTCCAGGTCCTAGGAAGTGGGATATGGGATGACCTGAGCCCTTGTTCGGGGTCTCTGAGTCCTCACCAACAGCCAGGGAAGGTAACTGGTGTACATGCCTGCGTGTGCCACCCCAGGATACAGTGGGGTCTATCCACTTCAGGAGCACAGCAGAAGGTACCCGGAATGGGAGTGCAGTGCAAGGGTCACGAGAGTGTTTAGCACTGAGTGGGTGAGTCACGTCTTAGGAGCCATGAGAGTCTGCATGTGTTGATTTCTGGGATAACACCCAAGGTGGAAAAGTCTCTGTGGGCTAGCCCTGTGCTAGGATGTTTTGGGGTGAGTGTGAAAGTGTGCACACTTCAGTCTACAGACCAGGTGGGCCCGTAAGGGAAAAGCTGAAGGCCACTTCTTCCCTCCCTCCCCTCATCCCCTAACAAGTCAGGAATTTGCAAGACAGCCTGATGCAGAGATGTGGGGACCCTGGCAATCCAGACACAAACCAGCCAGAGACTCCTGAGCCCCAGAGAGGCAGTCTCTCAATGCCAAACACCACTGCTTAGCATCATGGGGCCATAGCGCTGAGGGCCTCAGGGATGACCTACTCAATGGGGGCTCAGGGGTTCTCTCTTGGGTGGGTCCCTGAGGCCCCACAGATCATGACACCCAACATCCCCAGGGCAGCATCTGCCTGATTCTAGCTTCCAGAGGAGTGGGGAAAGTGGAGCCGGTGGTTCCCAGACTGAAGTTCCAAGCCTGCAGCAGCCATGGGGGTCCTTATGTTCTCACTCTCTCTCTCTCTTTTTTTTTTTTTTTTTTTAAATGGAGTCTCGCTCTGTCACCCAGGCTGGAGTGCAGTGGCGTGATCTCGGCTCACTGCAACCTCCGCCTCCCGGGTTGAAGCGATTCTCCTGCCTCAGCCTCCCGAGTAGCTGGGATTACAGGCGTATGCCACCACGCCCGGCTAATTTTTGTATTTTTAGTAGAGACGGGGTTTCACCATGTTGGCCAGGCTGGTCTCAAACCCCTGACCTCATGATCTGCCCGCCTCAGCCTCCCAAAGTGCTGGGATTACAGGTGTGAGCCACTGTGCCCGGCCCTTATGTTCTTTCCAATACTTCAAAAAGCTTGAAAGAAACCCTATACTTTGCCTGTGTTAAGGCCCCACAGACTAATTTAATGACGAAATGGTCTTTCTTTGCCATCATTTAGTGTGTAACCTTCTGCAGCTCAGAAGCTGTGATTAGCAATTAGATGCGCCTCTGATTAGTAAAAATGATGAAAGAAAGTCATTATTGAAGTGCTCTTAACTTCATAGACAGCCTTCTAAAGTGTGAAGTCTGTTGGAGGAGATGATAACTGGGGGCCTTGGGGATGAACAGCTTGGGAACCACCAGCTGGAGACATAGTGTTATGAGGCCCCACAGCCCTGCCACGGACTCCATGAGCCTCCACACCTCCATCTGGGGGCCAGTGGGGGAGAGGAGAGCAGGGGACCGAGGGACCATGGAGGGTGGGCTGGACCAGGAGAGTCTTCCCAGAGACATGGCTCTTGAAAATAAGGACCCAAGTCACTCCCAAATCTTTGGCTTTTTTTGGAAGAAGCTCGTGGCCAACTCAGGCCTTTGATTCCCAATTCCTGCTGTTTGTAGCGATGACGCAGCCACCGTGATCACTTGACTATTAATGAGTCTGTTCAATTATTCATTGTTACATTTTTAAAACAAATCCTTCCCCTCTCTGCTCCTCTCATCCTGCTCCCTTGGATCAAAGTCTCCCCTCAGACAAAAGGAGACAGGAGAGATTTGCAGCTCTAATAATCGACCGGTGAGCTACAAGGAGGAGGCACAGGAGGGAAGAGGTGGCAGGAGGTGGGGAGCTTGGCCGGCCAAGGAAGCCCTTGCTGGGAAGGTGGGCTCTCCAAAGGGCGTCGGCAGAGAGGCCTCAGGCCCTCGCCTCCCGTCCAGTTTGGCGCAGGCCTGCGGGATGCTGCAGAGCCCAGCGCTTCAGCCCCTGCCCTCTTGGGGGCCCCAGGGACCCTCACCCTTTCACCCCAAGAGGATAGAATCAATGAGCCACGGGGAGGGAGTGAAGAGCATGTCCCCACACGCATGAGCCCACACCCCAGACGCAGTACCTGACGCAGCGCTGGCTGAGCTGCCGGAAGCAATTACATCGTCCAGCATTAGATCTAAAAGAACGAAACACGACATTGGTCACTGGCCGGACCAGGTGCGCTGGGCAGGGCCCCTCAGGGGCGGCTTCCCCTCAGCTCCCACCTCACTCTGCCTATGGGTGGGGTGCGCTGAGCCCATTGGGTGGCTGGCTCTGAATGTCCAGCCCGAAGCTGGGGGCACAGGGCACTTGAGGAAGACAAGCAATGTGGCTAGCTGGTCAGGGTCACGGGGCAGGGAGGCACCGGGAGGGGCAGGCAGCCGGTCATCAGAACAGATGTCCGCTTCTCCTGCGTTGTGGCCTCAGCTGCACCTGAGACAGCTACAGACCCCAGAAGGGGAGCCAGCTGGGCAGGCAGGGGCCACAAGTGCCGCCTGCCAAAAGAATTCCATCTGCCTGACTGTGAGGTGGGGGTGGGGAGGATGGAGCAGGAGTGGGACGGTGGCCACAGGGGACACTGCACCTGCTCAGCTGCAGATATCCACAGGGAAGCCGAACCCGGACCCCTACCCTGAGCCGAGCAGAAGGCCTTGGGGGTGCTGATAGTGAGGGTTGGGGACGTGGAGAACGGCACCTCCCATTGCTGCCCAGAGGCCAGTGTCTCCCCCACATCCTGGAGCAGCTCCCGCTCTTCACAGGGAACACAGGCCCCCTCCCACCTCCACCCTCGTCTGCAACTCCCACACTCTCCCCCCGCCTCAGAGTGCCACTCCCAGGCCGAGGGAGATAGAGCTGAGGGCAGAGGGGAGGCAGGGGCACGGCAACCCCTCACTCATTTGGTGGTACTCACATGTGAACACACCAAAGGAAAACTCAGGCCACCGCACCCATCTTATCGGCGGAAGGAAGACGATTTGTGAAAAGGTGAAGAGAGCATGGGAAACCCTCACCCCAAACAGAGAGAGACACACAGACAGACACACAAAGGCTTAGATAAACCCACACACAAAGACACTTAGAGAGACGTGGGCCGTGACTGAGAGAGAGAGAGAGGCGCGGAGATTACGCTGTACCAGGCAGATGGGAGCCCTGGAGCCCGGGAGAGAGGGAGACAGGTGCAGACGCATCTGGGGATGCCCCAGAAACAAAGGGGCCTGGGCGCCTGCTGTGTCTCTCACATCCTTCCTGGCCTCTGTCTTCTCACTTAGTCTCGGCCCACCCATGGCATAAGGGCATGAGGACGGACGGATGGGGGCTTCACCCACCCAATGCCAAGAGATGCTGGGGAGCACAGGTGAGGAGGTGAGGGGCTCCAGGGCCCCAGGTTATTCCAGAACTTCCCCAAGCCAAGGGGAGTTTTCTTTTTTTGTTTTTGTTTTTGCTTTTTCTTTTTTTAAGTTTAGCAGAAATATATATATATATATATATATATCATGGTAGAAAGTTTTGTTAGAGATAGGGAGGGAGGGGTGTCTGGGTTCTCTTTTACGCTGTTGTCCATTACTGAGATCTGCTGAGGCTTTGCTCGGCAGCTGCAGACACTAGGTGGGTGCAGGGTTGAGATGCTTGCTGCCCACCCTGGGCCTCTGGATGCTGGCATGGGGCAGTGGAGCAGCCAGTGAGGCTCCTCTGAGAGTCAAGCTCGGGGAGGCTGGGTGTCAACCTCCATTTGGCATCATCTGGGGAGGATGATGCTGAGGTCCTGGGAGGCCCCAGGGTGGGGACAGCTCCCCCTACCCATGGGGCTGAAGTGGTCTGCTTCATGCTCGCTCTAAAGGCAGACATGCTCTTGGGGAGAAGGAGGTGAGGAGGGGGGTGGGAGCCTCTTCTCCCTGCCCCCGGCCCCAGCGCCCAGCCCCCTGCAGTCGCAAGGCCAAGGTCAAGCACGACCCAGAGAGAGGTGGAAAGACTACCGACCAGCCATCTGCTTCTCCTTACTCCTTCTCTTTTTCTCCAGTCTTCGTAGGCGCTTCTCCTCCCGCCGCCGGGCCTCCTCTTCCTCCTGGTGCTGCCGACACTTGTGGAAGTTCTCCACCACCACACCCACAAACATGTTCAGGACAAAGAAGGCCACAATGAGCAGGAACGAGATGAAGTACAGCAGCATCCAGGGGTTGTGGTTCATGATGGGCTGGCGGGGAGCAGGAAGGACAGGCGGAGGCATCAGCCCGAGGGCAAGCTGTCTTAGGAGCTGCCCACAGCCTGGGTTCCTGCGAACCCAAATAGCTACAGCCGCCTGACAGGCGATGGAAATGAATGGTGTGGGTTTGATGTGAAGCAGTAGGGAGGGGCGGGGACTGTGGTAAAGGGGAGAGTAGATTCTCCATCCAAAACTGCCTCTTTGTTCTGGCTGACTCCTGCCTTGAGGGAATGCAAGCCCAGTCTTCCCAGATCTTCAGACTTTTCCTGAGTAGACACAAATCTGAATTTCTGTGTAAAACTCACCATTATTTTTTCTTTTTTTAGAGACAGGGTCTTGTTCTATTGCTTAGGCTGGAGTGCAGTGGTGCGATCACAGCTTATTGCAGCCTCAAACTCCTGGGCTCAAGAGATCCTCCCACCTCAGCTGGGACTCCAGATGATACCACCACACCCGGCTAATTGTTTTTATTTTTTGTAGAGCTGGGGGTCTTGCTATGATGCCCAGGCTGGTCTCCAACTCCTGGCCTCAAGTGATCCTCTTGCCTAGGCCTCCCAATGCACTGGCATTACAGGTGTGAGCCACTGCACACAGCCCAAATTCACCAGTTTAAAAATATTCATCACTAATTCAAAACATGTTAAACATGTTGTAGACCAATAAAACATGCCCAGATTTGGCCCACAGGCTACCAGCAACAGCCTCTGCTGTAAAATATGATGCTTCTTTCATGGCATTTTGCCACCCTGCCTTGCTCTTTCTGTCCTGGAATCAGCCCATGCTGAGTGACCTGAGCCCACAGATGGATCCTGCCCACCTCAGCCCTACCTGCTGGTCCACGCCCACAGCATCCAGCCCATCGTACATGATGTCCACCCAACCATCCTTGGAGGCCAAAACGAACAGGGACATCAGGGCCTGATGGGGAGGAGGAGAAGGAGACATTTGAAGTCTAGGATGTGTGGCTGAATCACCTATCACCTGCCCCCAAAGTGCCTCCTGCATCAGCTCCAAGTACCCCAGCCCTTGAGGGGTCAAGCTGGAGTCACACTCCAGGCTCCAGGAGAGCCCTCCCTCTCAGGGTTCCATAACTGAGCTGCAGCTGGAGGGGCCCTGAGAGATGGTCACACCCTCTGCCCTCCGCCAGGTAGGAGAAGGGACACAAAAACCCTGGAAATCCAGAAACCAAAACCAGAGTGGGTCTGGGAATCAAAACTGAGCGAGCAATTTCATTTTCTGCATTTCTGTTTCTGCAAATATGGAGTGAGGAAAGGAATTATCTTGACAATATATCCGTCCCTTCCACCATGTTAAAGAAATATACACATCATCTCATTGCATCCTTATTGTGACCTCCGAGGAGATTCTATTATGACTCCATTCACCAGTTAATGAAACTGAGGCCCTGGTAAGTCAGCTGCTCCAGGTCATTGAGCTGACAATGGTGGGGTCAGGATTTGCACAGGATTCACATCCAGGGCTGCCTGCCCCCACTGCCACGTGTGCTTCCTGCTCCACCATGTAGCTCTGTGGCCCTGGGCAAGCCCCTTACCCTCTCTGAGCCTCTGTTTCTTCATCTTTAAGGACGGCTAGAGACCCCATGGGCCCACTTTTTGGGGCACTGTGGGATGGACTGGGCTTTGCGACATGCTGGTGGTTAGACAGCAGAGGGTGTGAAGGGCTGATCTCTTCGTGGAGCCCACCTCCACCGGAGTCAGCAGGTATCACTAAGCATGGCCCTGTGCCCCCTCCAGCCTCCTTCACCACAGCCCCACCTCTGAGCCTGGGGCTCACCTGGCCAAGGTTGTCAAAGTTGTACTTGTGCCGGACCCACCGGTAACTGGCCTCGGCACAGTCCGATTTATTGGTGATGTTCCTGGTATCCTCGCCCTGGCACACGAAAAACTTCCCTTTGAAGAGCTGGACACACATTCCCAGAGACAGAGAAAAGTGAGCTGTGACCACAGGAAGCCCAGGACTCCTGAGCCCCACCCCCACGCCAGCCTGGGCACATTTTGAGTGAGTGTGGGGTGCTCTGCTCTGGGGCCAGTCAAGTCAGGGAAACACTGACAAGAGTCTCCCCTGCCGACACCCCCTTCCTTTCCAAGAGTGGGGAGGAAAGGTAATCGGGGCGGGCAGTGGGAAAGGGTGGAGGCGGGTAACAGTCATTCATCTTCCACCAACGGTTAGGCCAGGCGTGTGCCAAGTGGGAGTCCCCAGCATCATCTGGGAACATGCTAGAAACACATCTTCTCAGGTCCAGCCCAGATCTGCTGAATCATACACTCTGAGGTGGGGGAGCAGCGATCTTTTAACAAGCCGTTCTGGTGATTCTGACGCAAACTCAAGTTTGAGAACCACTGAGCTGGGCATTTAATTCTCACAGCAGCTCTGGGTGGGGGAGTGGGTATCATCAACCCCACTTTACAGATAAGAACAACGGAGGCTCAGAGAAGTTAATCCACTCACTAAGGTCCCATAGCCAGCAGGTAGCAGAAAGGGAGCTCGAACCCAGGTCTGTCTGATTGGAAAGCTCACCCTCATTCCATTATAAACCAGGCTATGACCACTAGTGAAAAACGGAAGGCAGGACCAGGGGGCCTGAGCAAACTGCTCAAAACAGACCTAAATCCACCGGAAGGACTGGGCTCAACAATGCTTCACTCTACTGACCCAAGGAGGCTGGGAAGTGAGGAAGGGGAAGGGCACTGGGTGGGAGTGGGGAGGGTGTACAGAGAGGCACCACACAGCTTTGGTAAATGCACCCCAGCCTGTTCCCTAGGGCTAGAGAATTTCTAGGAAGTCAGGGAACAGCCCCCAACCCAGGGCAGAGTGGACATCCCAGGAAGCCAAGGGAACGAGGGGCGGGGAGGGGAGGGTGTAGCCACCCAGGGGCTCCCACGCTGCCTGAACAGCCAGCTGTCTACCCTGCAGCTGAAACAGCTGGAGCCAAGGGCCCTGGAAGACTATGATGGAGGGGCTCCCCGGCCCCCTGAGGCGTCTGCTGAATCCTGCAGGCAGCTCTGGCTCTTTCTCTTCCAAAGCCAAGTCTCCTCCCTGGGCCCAAGGCCAAGTTTCCCCAGCAGCCCCCACTTCCTGCCTCGTCTGGGGTCTGCACCCGCCTGCCTGCCAGCACGCTGCTAACCTGGCCCAGCTGTCTGGGCCCTGGATCCCCAGACCTGGCCTGCAGCCCACTGTGCTCGAGCCGGGAAGGAAGGGAGGGGATCCCGGAGTAGACCGCGGGCCAGCGTCTGTGCTCAGGGAGTGCGTGCAGAGGGCAGGAACAGCAGCCTGCGGCTCCCATGGCCTGAAGCCTCTCGGCAGCCCCGGTCCTCCTTGGGGCCTTCCTCTAGGCTCCCACTTTTCTTTGAAATGCCCAGGAGGTAAAAGGGCCTAGAGCCTGGAGGGAAGCGTCCCTGCTTATTCCTTTCTGGAATGAAGGCAGCAACAGCAGCTTGAGCCATAGGACCCAGGGGCCAAGGGGAAGGGCCCTCTTCAGGCTTTCACCCACAGCTGGCCCCCAGAACCCCACACACCTGCACCCCCAAGATGCCGAAAATGATGAAGAAGGCACAGCAGATGACTACAATGTTGCCGATGGGTTTCAGTGAGGACATCAGCGTCTCCACCACCAGCTTCAGCCCCTGCGCCCGGCTGATCACCCTGGGGAGGGGAGGGAGGGAGGTGATAAGGCTTCCCCCAGCCCAGACCCTCCCTTGTCCCTTGACCCTGCTCCCCACCCCCAACCTTGACCACTGGTCCCTTCCTGGCCTCTGGTGGCAGAACACAAGTCCTCTTTTCATGGGACCCCTGCCATCAGGACCCCTATTGTAATCTCTCAAAACAAGTGGCAGAGATCCCCATGCCCCACATCTCCACCTCCATCCCAGGATGTCAAATGTACGACCTGTTTGGGTTGGGAGTGGGGAGGATTCAACTCAAGTGAGGCGTTCCCTAGAGATGCAGTGTATTGTGGGTTGGGGGCACCAGGAGATAAACTTGTAGGGGAGCAGGCAGAGAGGGGAAGGGGCAGAGGGAGATGGACTATCACAGTCAGGGAAGCATCGCCATTAGTCCACATCATCCCTATTAAAAAAAAAAAATCTGAGTTGGGGGTGGTGACTGGCTGATTGGAAAGGGATTCCTGAGAGGGTGGATCCCTGGTCAGGAGAAATGTCACCGGGGGGTGGTCACTGGCAGGCGCCTGAAGATGGGGAAAGCCAGCAAGAGGAGCCTGTCACCTCACGGGGAGGGGCTGAGTGTCACCCCTAGAGGCCACACAAGGGAGAGCCGCAGCTGAAGACTGTGAGAGTCCTGCTCGTGGCCCCTTGTGCTGTGTGCTGCACAGGGCTGCAGTCACCTTACATCACATGGTGCAGCGGCCCTGAGGAATATGTCATGTTGAAGAGGAGGAAAGCAGGTGTGCACCTGGAGGGAAATTACTGCGGCCGTAATCTGAGTGTTGTCTGGGGCGGGGACAGGATCGCCTGTGGGGGTCACAGACAGGATGCTGGCCTGTGCAGGCTTTTGTTTCGTGGCAGGGAGTGCTGGCGGTGGGAGATGTCCCTGCGGAGGGGGCCACCTCTTGGAGGTGTTCCAGTGCTGGGGAGGGAGTCACCTGAGCGGGCGCAGGGTCCGCAGCAGCCGCAGCACCCTCAGCATGCCCAGGATCTTGGTGCCGCTGTCAGAGACCATGGACACCAGAATGTCGATGACGGAGATGAGCACCAACAGCCCGTCCAGCACGTTCCAACTGCTCCGCAGGTACGCCTGCTCCCCGAAGCACCAGCCCAGTGCCACCACCTGGGGACCACCGCCACGTCATCGGCCGCCCTCCCTGCGCTGCAGCCAACCCTCCCACCCTCAGCCCAAGCTGTCTCCACCCCCACCAGGAACCAGAGGTCCCAAGCCAACACCAGCCCCCATCACCTTCACTGTCATTTCAGCCAGAAAGACTGCGGTGAAGATGTAATTGGAGAGGGTCAGGAAGATGCGTTCCTGCAAGAGAGGGGAGGCAGGGGTTGCCCGCCAGGAAGCCCCCACCCTTGGGCCAGGTCTGCTCTGCATACACAAGTCAAAACCTGCTTCTAACATTTGACTCAGAAAACGACCCCCACCCTCCACAACAATGTAGATCACGCCCCTCTCATACACGCACAGAGCCAGTGCCAGGCCCCCTGACTCCCCTGCAGCTCTGTGGACAGTCACACCCCTGTCTGTGACCAGAGCTCCCCGCCCCCACAGCCACTTAGCCCAAGGGGGAGAGGATCTGCACTGCAGTGCTGTGATCTGCGTCCCACGTCCTAAGCCCTATTCCCTGGTTCCTTTTAAAAACTGGGGCAGGATCTCACTTGATCTCTGACCCTTGCCTGCCATCCCACCCTCTTCACTTGCTTTCCTGCTGTGCACCCCAGAAATGGAGCAGCAGTGGAAGCTGGGGTCCTGACACAGACTCTGCACCCCCAGGCACAGGCTGGGGCAGGGCAGGGAGGAAGGCCATCTAGTTCCCTGGCATCTGTGGACTGAGTCCCTCCCTGGGTGGCCAGGAGGCAGGCGCAGATCTCTAGAGAGGTGGCGGGCAGGGTGTGAGCACAGAGAGGAGGGAAGGAGAGGAGCAGGTACAGTGACAGAGCTGGAGATGGAGAAGCTGAGTGGGAAGATGGTGAGAGAGACGTGGAGACAGTGACATGGTGACAGAGAGCTCTACAGCAGGGCCTCAGGCGGGAGGCAGCCAAGGCTGGAGTGCAGCCAGCGCCCCTGCCTTACCCTGTGACTCCGGGTGTGAGGTCCCCAGTGCGGGTGCTCTCTCACCCGCCTAGTCTTGGGCTGCTCCCGCCATTCCTCAGGCTCCCTCCACCCCGACCCTAATAGAAAACAGAAGCCCCAGCAGCGCTGAAATCTAAACAATGGTGTGGGAGATGGCAAAGAGGGATGAGAGGCAAACCCTGGCCACCTCTAAGCAAGTGGTGCAGGATGCCGTGAGCGGAAACACAACCACCCCCCACCCATCCTTCTGGAACCAGAATTGCTGCCGACAGCGAAGGGCTATAATGCCAGGCTAGGAAGAGACAGCTCCCAGGGTGAGCTGGGCCCACCCTGAAGGGGTTCGACCCTGGGGCGGTATGTCCAGGGCCTCTGGCTCTCCTTCTGAGAAGGACTGACAGGTTCGCAGCCAAGCAGAAGTGACCCATGTCCCCACTATGGCCCCTGAAAATCTACTTGGTTTTGACCTGGAAGGATGACCAGGAGCAAAGAACGGCTTCCATGGCCACTCTGCATGCCCCCGAGGCCCTGAGGCAGACTGGGCAAGATGCCTCCCCATCTGCACACAGCCCCTGCACCGCCCCAGCACTCCCCGACTCACGCGTGTGCCCCACAAGGCTCTGGCTCATGAGAAATAGCCTGGAATGAGACAAAGCACCCAGCTGGGCTGATGTATCATAGAAGGGAAACTGAGGCAGGAGAGGACACAGGGGGCATCCCGGGGACCAGGATCTGGTGAGAGACCTAAAGGAGAGTCCTGGCCCCCTCGTTCCCTGCTGTGTGACTTGCAGGTCAGCAACTGTGGCCTCCTTGCCTCCCTCACTGGTCCTGAGTGCAAACCCCAGGAGAGGCCTTGCCCTGAGCGGGGCTGGTGACTCACAGCGCTGTGGGGGTCAATTTTGGGGCGCTCCATGGCGATGGTGATGCAGTTAAGGAAGATGATGACAAGGACCACGTGGTCGAACATCTTGTGGGTGATGATCCGGTGACACAGGAGGCGGAACCTGCCCAGGCATGGAGGCAACGGCTGAGAGGGGGAGGCAGGGCAGGTGGCAACGAGAGGCACCGCCCGCAGCCCCTGCCCCTCCAGTGCCCTCCCAGCTGAGGCCACCCTGCTCACACCCCAGGCAGGGTGCCACTTCTCAAATCCCTGACAGCATCACCAGCGGTAATTTCCCGTGAGAAGAAGAGGTCGGGACACAGGTCAGACCCCTGCCCTGTCACTTACCTGGACTGAGGAGGGAAGATGTAGGCTGACCAGGAGTCTCGCTCGAGGCAGCAGGCAGGGAGTCGGGCTCGGATCCACGCGCGGACCCGTTCCCCTTTGCTCTGCAGAACAAACACTGGAGTATGAGCAGGACCAGGCCTCCAGGTTCCCCGGCTCCTGGCTCCTCAGCAGAGTCACGAGCCTCACTCCTTGTCTACCCTCTCCCACCTGGGGCCCAAGCTCTGCCCTGCCTCTCTTCCTTTATTCCTAAAGCCACCTCCTCATCTCCCTGTCAACCTTGCCAGGCCCCCTCCCCATCCCTGAGGACCCCTTGCCTCTCCACCTCCTCCCTCTCCTCCCCTGCATCCCCAACCCCGCTCTCCCCTCTCCCCACCCCTGCCTCCAGCCCAGCCCCCTGCCTGTCCTCCCTGCTGAGCTGGGAAGCAGCATCAGTTATCAAACACTGGCCCCACACAGCTGTCTGTTCAGAGACACACCTCAGCTGAGGAGACACTGGCCCTGCTCTTCACATGCTAACCCTGAGGTCACTGCACCCCATCCCCAGGGGGAATGGTGGTGATGAGGGGCTGGGGCAGGGGCACATGGGTATGGATAGAGTGGGAAGTCATGGCTTGTGATGAGGTTGAGACGAGAAAGGGGGATGCGGGGCATCAGTTTGGAGAGATGAGTGATGGGTCTTTCTGAGTCACAGGGGGAGGGCCATGAAAGATTCATACACATCTGTCCAAAATCATTCATATCCACCAAGGGTGGCAGAGCCGCAGCCCCAGGCATAGGCATGACAAGGATCTGGGGCTTGGCAAGGCGGGCAGAGGGAGAAAAGGGATTGTTTGGAGCTCGGTTTCTAGGTGCCCCTTGATATTCCGTGGGCTTGGAATGGTAACTCCCTTATACCCTGCCAGGCCAGGCACACCTCCCCTCTTTCAAGGTCAGGGGTGAGGGGTCACTGTGCCCACAGGGGCCTCACCAGGTTGCCCTCGTCATCGGCGTCATCCCCATCCAGTGGGGGGTCATCAGGCCGCAGGGCCCGGGCCAGGCGCCCTGAAGCCGACTTGCCATTGCAGTCCTGGTGCTCAGAAGCAGACCCTCGGCCACTGGCAGTGCGATGCAGCCCTGGCACCTGCAGTGTGTCTGGCAGGTCAAAGGAACTCTTGGCCTCCCGCTCCAGGGACCCCCTGTGGCGATGGTCACTGCCCGCAGGGCTGGCCCGCTCCTCTTCTGAGCTCTCCTCTTCATCCTGGCTCTCCTGGCCTTCTCCCGACAACAGGGACCGCCGCTCTCCACTTGGGCTTCTCCGCTTCAGGCTGGGTGCACGGCCGAGGCTGTTCCGGCTGGAGCGCCTGCTGGTCCAGCTGCTTGCAGCGCTCCAGGGGCTGTGCGGAGAGCTGCGGGCGCTGGGCTGTGGGTGAGCAGGGGAGGAGTGGTCTCAGGCAGGGCCCAGCAGCCCTGTCCTCTCATGTGCACCCGGTCTCCTGGGAGCCTCACTGGCATCACATCAAGTGTAGGGATGTGAGCAGGAGCTCTGGACTCTGATGCCTGGGTTCAGATCCTGGCTCACCCCAACCAGCTGTGTGACCTGGGGCAAGTTATTAAGCCTCTCTGTGCATCTGTTTCCTCATCTGTAAACTAGATATGGCAATAGAGCTCATTCCTCATTTATTTGGTGAGAGAAGTGTTATCATCAGCTGAGTGGCAGTATATATAATGGGGTGAAGAAACACAACTCAACAGCAAAAAATCAACCCAATCTAAAAAATGGGCAAAGGGCCTGAATAGACATTCCTCAAAAGGAGACACAGGGCTGGGCACGGTGGCTCACACCTGTAATCCCAGCACATTGGGAGGCCGAGGCGGGCAGATCACCTGAGGCCAGGAGCTCGAAACCAGCCTGGCCAATGTGGTGAAACCCCATCTCTACTAAAAATAAAAAAAATTAGTTGGGCATGGTGGCTCACGCCTGTAATCCCAGCTACTCAGGAGGCTGAGGCAGGACAATCACTTGAACCTGGAAGGTGGAAGTTGCAGTGAACTGTTGCGCTCCAGCCTGGGTGACAGAGTGAAACTCCATCTCAAAAAAAAGGAGACACAGATGGCCAACAGGTACATGAAGAAATGCTCAACGTCACTAATCACCAGGGAAATGCAAATTAAAACCACAATGAGTTATCTCACACCTGTTGGATTGGCTATTATGAAAGTGATGAAAGATAACAAGCGCTGGTGAGGATCTGAAGAAAAGGGAACCCTTGTGTCCTGTTGGTGGAAATGTAAATTAATACAGCCATTATGGAAAACGGTATGCAGGTTCCTCAAAAACCTAAAAATAGAGTTGCCATATGACCCAGCAATTCCAGCACTGGGTATTTATCCAAAGGATTTGAAATCAGTATGTGGACGAGATACGGGCATTCCCATCTTCATTTCAGCATTATTCACAATAGCCAATATATGGAATCAACCTAGTATCCATCAATGGATGACTGGATAAAGAAAATATGGGCCAGGTGCAGTGGCTCATGCCTGTAATCCCAGCACTTTGGGAGGCCAAGGCAGGTGGATCACTTGAGGCCAGGTATTTGAGACCAGCCTGGCCAACATGGTGAAACCTCATCTCTACTAAAAATACAAAAAATTAGCCGGACATGGTGGCACATGCCTATAATCTCAGCTAATCAGGTGGCTGAGGCAGGAGAATCACTCGAACCTGGGAGGCAGAGGTTGCATGCAGTGAGTTGAGATCGTGCCACTGCACTCCAGCCTGGGCGACAGAGCGGAAAGGAAAAGAAAGAAAGAAAGAAAGAAAATATGGCATACATGCACTGTGGAATAATATTCAGCCTTAAAAAAGAAGACTGTCATTTGTGATAACATGGATGAACTGGAGGATATTATACTAAGTGAAATACACAAGGCACAGAAAGACAAATAAATACCATATGATCTCACTTATATGTGAAATCCAAAAAAATTGAACTCATAGAAGTAGAGAGTGGAATGGTGATTAGCAGAGGCTGGGGTTGGGAGAGGTAAGGATGGGACCAATGGGGAAGGCTTAGCCAAAGGATACGAAGTTTCAGTTGGACAGGAGGAATCAATTTTCGAGATTTATTGCACAGCATGATGGCTATAGTCAATAATAACGTAATGCATATTTATTTCAAAATTGCTAAGAGTAGATTTTTAAATGTTCATGCCACAAAAAAAATAAGTATGTGAAGTGATGCATATGCTAATTAGCTTGATGTAATCATCCCATAATGTATGCATATATCAAAACATCACATTGTGCCCCATAAATATACACAATTAGTATTTGTCAATTAAAAGCGAAATTTAAAAAAATTAAAAATAAATAAAATCATGAGAGCATGGGCACCAACACTAGCCTCCTGGATTAAAATGCTGGCTCTGCCATTCCCTTCTGCAATCTGAGGCTCAGGCCCCCTCTGTAAAATGGGGATCATTGTGGTACCTACCTCCCAGGGTTGGTGTGAGGATTAAATGCATTTAGAATGCTTCGGAGTAGTGTTTAGAACAGTGTCTGGCACAGAGTCAGTACCTAGATGAGGGTCTGCTATTATTATTATTCAGTCTTGAGGAGGTATGGACACCCCACCTCCATTTTACAGAAGCAGATCAGAGCGGTGGCGTCTTGCCCGAGGTCACTCAGCTAGGGTACAGAAGAGGTCAGCTTAGGCCCTGTTTTCAGCCCCCAGGCTAGGGCTCCTACCCTGGTTTGCATCACCGGCGCAGATTCCCCAGGGGCTTGTCCAGGCACACCCAGGCCCCATCCAGCCCATGGGGCAGGGGCTGTGCCCTTGGACCCGCCTGCCTCCATCCTCTCTTCCTCCTGTCCTCCTTGGAATATCTCCCACCATCAGGGTACCCACATGCACCCCCTACCGGTGACTTCATCTCGTGGGCCGCCCCAGGCTCTGCCGACCCGCTGCTGCTGGTGCGGCGCGACGCAGGGCCCAGCGCCTCGCCCAGGCCCGTGCTGGTGCTCTTGGGCAGCGACATGGGTGTGGCGGCCGTGTGGATGATGAGAGGCGGCAGCAGGCTCTTCCGCAGCTCCGGGTGCTCTCCCAGGGACACCACTGCACGGGGAGAGAGGGAGAGATCCCGAGTCCACACAGGGCTGGCCCAGGGCCAAAAGTCGCACCCCAGGATAGGTACTCACAGGCCAAGCACTTCTTCCTGTCCCCATCACCATCCAGGCTGGGTGAGAAGAAATCGGGCTCTGATTCGGACTTGTTGGCATCTCCCTAGGGCAGGGGAGCAGCGGACCATTAGGGATCCGGCCAGGCTTGGGTGGTTGGGATGGACCGGGCCTCCCTCTCTTCACACACGCACACCACATATAGGCCACAGGAACCAGCAACCACGGCACGAGACATGCACGGCGCAGGCCAGACCCCCCAGGCTTGGGGCCCGAGGCTTCCCAGGGCCCCACCACCTCTGCCTCTCCAGCCACACCTCAGAAAAGGCCACAGCTTATGTGAGCCCACAGCACAACCAGCCTGGCTGAACGGTCACCAAGGCTGGCTGGGGAGAGAAGGGGTAGCTAGGTGGCAGGTGGCACAGGCCAGAGGGGGCTGGGGACCTGGGGACCTGAGTGAAGTGGTCACTAGAGCCTCTCTTGCAAAAGTTCACTGGAGGCCCTTTGCTTTCTCTCCACGGCTCCCCTCCCCTGAGCCTCAGACTCGAGGACCCTGGAAGGAAATTGAAAGACCCCAGACAGAACAGCTCAGCCCGAGGACGCCACTTCAGTCCCTCGGTGTCTTCCCTTCATCTTCCCCAAGTCCCGGCCCCCTCCCTGGCCCCATTTTTACCTCTCTCCCTGTCTCTGGGACAGTTTTTTCTTTCTTCTTAGCAGGTCAGTAGGTTCCCCAGTAATTACATACTTCTCCTTAAGAAGTTATTAAAAAATACTTGATTGCTACTTTTGATAAGGACATAAATATTGGGTAATTGGCATCTCAGGGGATCATTTTCATTAACTCAGTTTACAGCCCTAACGAGGCCTTTAATTATCAAGTGGGATCTCCAGGGGGCTGCTCGGGATATGCAGCACCATGGGGTCCCACAGGAATGCTGGCTTCGCCCCGAATTCTGGTGCTGGGGCAGGGAACAGCAGAGCACAGGCTCATCGTGGGGCCAGACCGGGAGCCAGCCCTGACAGCGCCAGCCGGACCCAAGTGGGTGATGAAGGGGCCAAAGGCTCAGAGGTGATTTAAAATATTGGTACATTTTGGCAAGAGCCACATCCCATCCCCACATCCTCCAAGGACTTGTCCTGAGCTGAGACAGCTTGCGGGGTCTCCAACAGGGGCCTGGGGCAAGGGGTGAAGGGGTGGGAGATGGGGGAGTATGGTCTACGGCCAGATCTTGACTCCACTGAAGCCGGACGTCTGGGACTCCTCCGGGACCTCAGCACAGGCACGCACACACGGGGTGCCCCACACACGTGCACACAGAGGATTCTAAGTCCCTTCCTTCTCCGGCCCATCCACCAGTCTGGCAGGGATGGAGATGGTGCCCTTGGTGGGTTGATGGGGGCAGAGGCAAGGAGGTGCCTCCCTTCCGTGTCCTCAAGGGGGAAGGGACTTAAAATCGAAGCAAACCTCACAACACCAATGACCATCACGGCTATGACAGGTTGCACAGCAGCGGAGCGTGAACACGAGCACAGAGACACGGAGGCGGAGTGGAGGGGCACGGGCATGGGGCACGGGAGGCATGCCGGCTCATGATCGCGTACCTACCCCCTGGGAGTCGACAGGCAGCTGAATACAGCTTAACTGTCCACTCGCATCTTCCCGTTTGCTGATTTCCTACAGGGAAAGGGGGAGGCAGGGGAGGGCTGCTGGTCACAGGCGCTCGGGGCCTTCAGATATCGGCAGTGTCGAGAGAGGATGAAGAAAAGGAGGGGCGCAAACCCCACAGCAGGGGAACTGAGAGACACGGGGAATGGGGGGGCAGAGAGGGGACAGAACAGCCTTCCAGAATTCAACTACAGGCCCTCAGGCCAGAATGAATCTGAAGGGTGAGTGCAGAGGCCAAAAAGATGGGGACAAGGGCAGGTCCCCCCATAATCCTAATAATAACAGCCACCATTCATTAAGGGTGTGCCTGGCATGGGAAACTGCCTCCTTAACACCAGCTGGCTTCCTTGCAAGGTAGGAAGTGGGTTCCAGGATCGCCATCTTACACAAGAGAAACCCGAGATTTGGAGAAGTTGCGGAAACTGCCCCAAATCATACAGAGTAAGAGGTGGATCTGGGCCTGGAACCCGAGTCTGTGGCTCAGAACACCACTCTCCTCTCACCGGTTCGGAGGCAGTGGGCTTGGGGAATGGGTAGGAAGCAAGGAAAGGAATGGACGAAAGTCAGAGTCAACACGGAGCCAAGTCAGGCCTCATAACGTCTCATGCTCTCAGCTTAAGTCCCTTCAGATCAGAACAGATCCAGCTGCTCCGTTTGAGATGGGATGTGACAAGTAATGCTGAGATGATGGCTCTGATGTTATTTAGTATCAATTAATGGCCTCACACAGGGCCTGCTGCCTGTTCATTTAATTAAGTGTGTGAATGATAAATACACAGGGATTCAGGGCGCTGCCCCCTGCAAGTCAGGAAATCACCAGCCAAGCAGGCTGTGTCCCTGGACCACCCCCTCCTAGCTCTTGGCAAGGTAGCAAGGCCAGCAGGGGGGCTACCCTTGAAGCCTCCTGCTGGGGAAGCCCACCAAAATGGGGGCAGCCACTTCCTCTGCCAAGGTGGGTTGTCTTATTTGTCAAAATAAAAACAAAAATCCCAGGCCACCACAACAGCAAAACCAGACTCCCCTGCCAGACCGTGGGGCCCCCTGAAACCTTACCCAGGAGAGGGCAGGTGCCTTGGAGTTGTCCAGGCCATGGGCATCGAAGGACACTCCCCAGCCCTGCCCACCACATGCAGGACAGGGGAGCAACTGGCCCAGCCCCTCCCATGGGCACTCCGGGGCCACAGTCACTGCCCACTCCCATGGAGAGGGGATGTTCTTAAAGTCCTTTCTCCATCCCACCCCAGGCCTGAAGCATCCCAGCCCAAGACACCGCATCCTGAGTGAGACCCTCCCTGCAAAGGTCCTGATACTGCGAAGGTTGGGGAGGGTGTGGCTGCGTGGGCCTTGTTGAGCCCTCACACTGGGGCAGTCCCAGGCCCCCAGCAGGGCCAGAGTGACCAGGCCGCCCCAGGGCCAGGCTGCGCTCATTCCCACACTCTGGCTTTGCTGTTGCCTAGCAACCAGGCCGCTCAGCTGCACTCAAGTTAACAAGGTGTTTGCTGAAAGGGCTGAGTGCTGGGGAGGGGGCCATCTGTGCTGGGCACCTCCAGACTGCCTTGGCGGCTGAGTGGCAGAGGAGGGGAGGGGAATAGGCCCGCGGTGTTTTCCATTTCCCTCCACAGAGTTGCACGGGAATTTTTCTGAGGGAACCGTGGCTGGCAGGAGCTGCCTTCAGAAGGGGCCAGGGGGCCCGGTCCTCACTCAGCTCCTCCTCTTATAGACCCTGAGCAGCAGCAGAGTGAGTCTACTGGCTCTTGTGGGAGTACTGTGGTGCCCCTTAATTCTTCAGGCCTCAGGGAACCCCCAAATTAGTGTCCCATTCCAGGGAGCATACCGGCGTCCCTCCCTCCTTCCCTGCAAGAGGCACAGCCATCACCAAAGCCTCCCCCACCAGCTGCCCTGGCTGCCCCACAGGAGGGAGGAAATGCGATAACGGATAACTACAGACTGAAAAGGGTAGCGGGGAGAAAGACCAGTGTGGGACAGATACGCTGCACCCCACCAACCCAGCCGGCCCACAGGGAAAAGCCCTCCCTTGAAAGACTGGGAAAGAGTCGGAAAATAGATTTTTGTTTTTCCACCGTGTGCCAGGTATTTATAGACCAGGCCGCAGCGGGAGTTTCCATCCGGGTCACCCAGAGAGAACTGGACCAAGAGCTTCTCCAGACCCAACCTGGAGCGTTTCTAGGTTGGGTCAAACTGCCCTGTTTGAAGCCCCAGCAAGCTGGGGTGGGTCTGGGGGCTCGGGTGGGAAGAGAGGCAGAGCTGAGGGAGAGGAGGGGGTGCAGCCCTCTGGGCAGAGGCTGCTCGCTGACATGGCAAGGGCAGGATCAATGTAAATCAATATTAATTGATGACGCTGCCTGTGACGAAGGTGATGGAGCCTGGGCTGGAAATAGGACGCTCATCTCTGCCATGCCCGTAGCTAATTGGGCTCATTTCTCACCCTGGGCAGCTCAGCCCTGCTCTGGTCTTAGTGGCATCTTCATCTGCTCAGTCAGAGCTCAGATAACTTGCACACAAGCCTCCTGCACCCCTCGGCTCAGAGGGGTCCTCTCCGGGTGTTCCATAGAGCACTGTGCTCAGGAGTCCAGCTGCACCACAGGCAGACACTTATCTGGTCTGCCTCTCTGGGGAAGGGGTCTAGCCAACTCTGAAGGGGATGTCTACTCGGTAGCTAAGCTTTGGTGGAGGGACCCCAAACAACCACCCTGTGTCCCATGTGATGAGGGGCTGCACGAGATCTGGAGCCTCCCGCCCTGGTCCACCCCGGCTTAGTCTAAGAGGCTCTTCCTGTGGGACTTCCCAGGCCCCCAAAGTTGGCAACAGAGGGAGGAGGCTCAAGACAGGCAGCCAATTGGAAGTGGGACTGCTGTGGGCAGGGTGAGGTGGGCAGAGCAGTGGGTTACCTCCGCCTGGAAGCCCTCCACCAGAATGGCGACCAGCAAATTGAAGAGCACGTAGTTGCCGAAGGTCATGAGGGCAATGAAATAAAGGGCCGCCCAGGACGACGTGGAGGCCATACCATTGTAGAGGACTTTGTTCCAGTCCTCCTGGGTCAGGATCTGCGGGCAGAAGACAGGAATCAGGGCCTATACTAGGGGCACCTGACGGCCCCTGTCCACGCCCTGCCCTGTTACCCTCGCACCTGAAAGACAGTGACGATGGCCCAGAGCAAGGAGTCAAAATTCTTCCGGTCTGGCAGGGTGTCCCCATCCCGCTCAGAGGCAAACTTGCAGCCGAAGAGATGCATGCCCAGGATGCTGTGGGCACAAGGGGGCCACAAGCTAGGGATCAGAGCCCAGTGCTCCTCACCCCTCAGGCCCTCCTGCCCCCAGCCTGGCCGGTCTCTCAGCCGGCAAGGTGCCATGCCGCCCTCACCTGAAGATGAAGATGAAGAGCATAAGCAGCATGCAGAAGGTGGCCACGTTGTCCATGGTCTTCATGAGCACCACCAGCTGCCGCTGCAGCGCCGGCAGGAAGCGCACCAGCTTCAGCACACGCATCAGGCGGAAGGTCCGCAGCACCGACAGGCCGCCCCCCTGCTGGCCCACGATCTCCCACACGCTGCAAAGGGGGCAGGCAGCCTGAGCCCCCTGCACCTTCACCCTCTCCCCCTACTCCCTCGGAGAGGACTCAGTAGCACCCAAGGGCCTGGCTGGGTGGGCACGTCGAGAGAAAATGGGGCACAGGTGGGCCCCCAGACCTCTAAGCAGGAGCCTCCAAGATAGTGAGGATTTGGGTGACAGCCCCGGCCCCCTCCGCCCTCTCCTCCCTGCCAGAGATCACATCCTGGCAGTAGACAACTCCCTCCCTAAATCTGGCCAATGCAACTGCATCAAGTTATGGAATATTTGCTTTGTTCTCTTCTAATGAAATCTAAAGCCAATTCCAAAAGCAATAAAGTGGTTCTCCTGGCCCCAGGCCTTGCGGGGACGGAGCACTTTCCCAAGGTCTTGGAAACCCTAAAGCAAGTTGCTGGTGTCTGAGATGATTTCCAAGCACTTTTCGAGCCGGGCAGCTGGCTGGGCCTCATACCTCTTCCAACTCCTCTAAAGCCAATCTCACCCTCGCCCATCCCAGGCCTGGGTGGGGTCAAGGACAAGAGGTAGAAGTGGAGAGAGGAGACTAAAGAGGGGCCTGGGCAATGAAGAGGTGAGCCCAAGGTCAACAGGAGCAAGGTGGGGCCAAGAGAGAGATGGAGGGGGCATGGGGACACAGAGAGCCCCCCACCTAGGAGGAGTGGCAGGTCCTGTGGGGTCAGTGGGGCCTGACTCCAGACCCCTCCACCCCAGGGGAATAGGTGGCATGGCCCCTGGCCCCAAGCCACCCCTGCTACCATTCCTCAACTGAGAGTCAGTGCCGGGGGGTAGTCATACCTGATGACCACAATGACACCATCGAAGATGTTGTAGGGATTCTTGATGTAGCCAAAGGGACCATACACAAGCAGCTTCAGCAGCATCTCCAGGGCAAAGAGGCTGGTGAAGACGATGTTGCTGATTTCTAGGGCGTTGGTAAGCTCCTCGGGCTGCAGGGCAGGGTGGGATGTGAGGCAGCTGGCTTATCACTGAGCCCCTCGATCCAGTCCTCCAAACATGGGACACCAGGGAGAGGAGGAGCAGGAATAGCAAGCTTGTGCGGAGGGGTTGCTGGATGCTCAGGCCCATGGGGAGGACCCTGCCCCAAAGGCTCCAGGAGGAAATGCACCCAGGGGCAGGGGCCCCAGGAAAGGGCCACGTGAAACCCATAGCCCCAGCTCTGGGTCTCAGATTCAGGGGCCACAAACTCAATGGGAGGCCTGTGGTGTGGGTTCCGCCCTATCTCCTGCTGGGAGCTGCATGGCCCATCTTGACCTAGGCTACAATGCAAGCCTAGCGGGCCCAGGCCAGCAGCATGACAATGCTGGCGGATGTCAGAGGGCGATCGCCAAGGCCTCACAGGCACACCCGGTCGTCAAGCCCCACACAACGTCACATGTATTCCACAATTACTCTGTGGACTTGGCAGCTTTCTCTTGGACAACAGTTGGCTACTCTTGCTTCCTTCCAGACACACACACACACACACACACACACACACACACACAGAGAGAGAGAGAGAGAGAAAAATGCACGCATTCCCAGTCACACACATGGTGATAGGCAGAAGGAAGACACGCAGACACCCAGGAAGGGTTGTCACAGTTGAGGAGACACCTGGAGCCTCAGCCTGAGCCCGGGACACCCGGGTTAATCCTCAGCCTATCCTGTCACTCACTCTGTGACCTTCAGCAAGATTCTCAACCTCTCTGGCCAAATGTGAAACACCAGAGGTAATTCCTTTCATGCTCCCTACCCGAGTCTGGGACTGGGACTGAGGATGCACCCTAGAGTCCTCAGAAGGACGAATGACGAACCCTGTCTCATCTGCCATTCCAGCTCACTAGTGACCTCGCTTTCAATATGAAGTGCCTAGCAATGCACCAGGCATTAAAGGAGCTGCAAAAACATGCCAGCCACACGCCCCGCCTCCCAGGAGCTCAGTGTCTGCTAGAAACACGTTGTACACACACAAAACGGCTGAATAACCACAAGAGGCCTTAAATGCTTCAGTGCCAAAATAAATTATCCAGGCAGCAAGTCCGGGAGTTCAGGGGAGAAAAGGTGAGGGGTGAACACACAGAGAAAGGCTTAGTTGGGAGAGAGGCAGCACTTGAATGCCTAAGGGTTTGTGGAGTCTCCCCAGCCAAGGGTCTAGGTGGTGTGGCACGGGGTGGGGGGATCATGAGCAACCTCAGCCTGGTTCTGGTTGAAGAAGGGAGGGGTGTGGCCAGGCAGAGGGCTGGGGAAGCAAGAAGAGATATGGTTGGCTCAATGGACCCCACTGTCCACCTGATGGATGTCTGGACAAACTAGGTGTCTGGCCTGGAGGGCAGAGGCCAAGTCCATAGTAGCTGCTCAAAAAGTATGGGTTAATGAAACATTCAAATGAGGCACTCATTCCATCAGACACCTCTCCTTGCTTCTCACTGTCTCGCTGGCCAGCTGCCCAACCAAGCCTGCAGCCAGGCCTGAGGACACCCAAATGTATCCTAATGGCCCTAGTTTGTGCAGCCAGCTTGGATGGGAGGTGAAAAGACTCGGAACAAGGGGCTTCTGACTAGCAGGTGAGCGGCATTTGGGAGCCTCGGGGACAACAGTTACTCAGAGAGAGATAAACTTTCAGACTGTTCAAAGGCAGGCCTGGGGGCAGAGTCAGGGCCAGCAGGCAGGCAGACAGCCAGCTATGCAGAGGGGGAGTGGCTGTCGTGGGGGCCAGTATGGCATGGAGCCCGTTGCTCCAGCAGATCTCAAGTAAGTCGTAGCTCCGTGGATTGTGAGTGGGGGCACTGCCACCTGACCTGGTTAGCCCGGTCACACAGGGCCATTAGTGTCTCCGGCGTGAGCACAGTACAGGAGGTGGGGCGGGGCCAGGATCAATGCATATAAAGCCCTGGGCTCAGACCCCACCTGGCTAAGTGGATCCCCCCACTCTGTACTTCCAAGTCCGGTCTGCCAGGGAGCGGGAGTCGGCAAACCCTCCTCCCTGTCACTCTGCCACTCGCCGTGTTTTCGGGCCTTGGATTAGATTAAAATGAACATGGACCGCACAGGTATGATGTTCAAAGTCACAGGGCAGGAAGAGCTGGGGTGGGGCCCAATCCCACATCCCTCTGACTCCAAGAATATTAGACAGTCAGGATTCAGAACCAAGCCACGGTGATGGTGAGGGGCTTGTGAATCCAGATACACGGTGGACTGGATACACAACGTGTCTTCTAAAATTATATTCAAATCAACAGAGTTCTAGGAATAAAGACCAACTCGATGTGAAGACACAGCTGAGGTACGCTTATAATGGGCAAATTTCATGGCATATAAACTATACCCCCAAAAAGCTGCTAAAAATAAAAATTAATGAAACGTTCTTTTAAAAGTTGCTGAAAACACAGTAGCTTTTGATGTCATGTATTTACTCAATCAGTGAATTCTAAAAGTCCGACTACTACTGTGCGTGGAGAAGGAGACTGTTCTCTTCACTCCCCGATGTTATCCACGGGGCTCTCAGGAGTCTGTACTGATGGCTTGTGGACACGTGCACACCTCACTCTCCTGCACACCACCGAGAGGCTTATGGAGAAGGATGATGCCAGGCTCCTGAGAAGCCTGCCGTCCCATAAGGCTTGCCTCATTGAACTTTGTCAAGGGCTGTGCCAGCAAAGGCTGGAACCCCTGTTTTGCCCAGCCAAGTGACTCCAGGCCTGGAAAAGCAGGGCAGCCTGATGCAGGTGGAAAGGGGCCTGGCGCACTCCCTCGGCCCTGCCTTGCTCTCTCTAGTCTCCCTGCAACACTTAGGGTAAATGCCACTTCTTCTCCAGGGCCCCGGTATTCCCTCCAGTGAGCCATGGAAAAAGAGCCCTCCTCCCCCAGATAGCCAGGTCTGTCCAAGTTACTAAATTGGAGGCTGGGAACGATCTGCGAATGCAGGACGAGGACATAGAGACACAATCTTAGCAACAAAGTTGCCCCAGGGACCAGAGCTGTAATTACGGCTGAAAAGGGGCAGGGGTGGAGCCAACATCTGGCAGTGCCCACCACAGGCCAACTAGGCTGAAGACCTCCTCGTGGGATTTCATTTCCTCCCTGCTCACAACAAACGAGGGAGGGCTGTGAGCCTCCTAGATAGTCTGGGAAACTGAGGCTCCGAGGGGTGTGGTGCCTTGATGGAGGTCACATCACCCTCCTGGAGAGGTGCAGAGCCAGGTCCGTTGTGCCTCCCTCTACATCTCTGCCCTCAAGACCTTTTCCACAACATCGCCCCCACCATATACCCAGACAGAGCTCACACAGAGAGCACACAAACTCATCAGGCTGGAGCCAGCCACCCCTCACTGGCCACCCCCAGCTGTGGAAGTCCCTTCCCAGGTCTAGCCTGCATCCTTCCTGCTGTTCACAGATGTCAAGGCCCAGTGGAGGTTTCGGTGAAATGAGGCCAGGCAGCCTGAGCTTATCCCACCCAGAGGTCCCAGGTCTCTTGTCTGTGCTGATGTTGACTGTAAATCTCCATCTCCCATTTCCTAACACCTCCACTCCCCTCCCCTCCGGCTGTCACCTTGCAGCAGCGTTAAGCTGCTCAGTACTTCCCAGCACCGGGGCTCCCCAAGCCTCATAGCTGCTCCATCAACTAGCCCTAAAAGTGCCTTCTGTGTGCCAAACACTGGTGTTAGAAAGGTGCCACCAACTCTGAGACTTTCTTCCTATGTGACCTTGGGCAATTCCCTTTGCCTCTCAGATCCCCAGTGGCCTCTTCTGTTAAACAGGGTAACACTACCTCCTGGGAGGCTGCTCTACAGAACAAAGGAGTGAAAGGCTGTGAGAAACCCCAGCCCCAGGGCCAAGCTCACAGAAGGCAGGACCGATATCTGCAAGGCTGCAACTAAACACCACACTGGGGGCAAAACCCAGGAGCCACGGGAGCTCAATCCCGGCTGAGGTCAGTGGGCCAGTGGGGAGGACAGCCTGGGAGGATGTCCATGGAGGGTGTCCCCAGCTGGGGACAGCAAGGGAAGGGGTGTGCAGGGCACAGTGCAGAACCAAGAATCAAGTTGTCTGCCCAGATCAGAGGGTGAGAGGGGCTGGTGGGAGAGAAGGCTACAAGGTCGGCAGGGCCAGGTGGAACAGCCTTCCTCTGCTCCCTCTGGACAAGTCTCTGCCTACCACGCTGCCACTGAGGCCCTGGGGGCGGGTGGGAAGGGAGGAAGGAGATGTACAAAGCAGTGTATGAAGAAGATTAATCTGGCTGCAGTGGTGGCAGCGTGTGGACGGCTTGGAGGGTAGAGACAGAAACCAATTAGGATACTGCAGCAGTCCAGGCAGGAGGCCTGAGAGCCAGCTCTGGCAGACAGTGATGTGCCTCTTGCAGAGAGGGCATGAGGGGCTGGACAGGCCTCGTCAGAGCTGAGCAGAGGCTTGGACCAGTCACTCGTGCTCTGCCCAAGCCCGACCCCAGCCAGCTGCCATCGCCCCAGCTTCCACCTGCTCCACTGACCCTGAAATCTCTGCTCTTCTGTTCAGACTCCTCAGCTCACCTCACCTCTGCTTCTGATGGGCCTGCCTGCTGCTCCCACCCACCCAGGACAGGGGCACAGACAGGCTGCAGTGAGGCAGTGAGGGTCACTGGGTCAGTGGGAGGCAAGTCTTCAAGGAGGTGTGGGAAGTC
Organism: Homo sapiens; assembly: GCF_000001405.40. Taxonomy (NCBI): domain Eukaryota; kingdom Metazoa; phylum Chordata; class Mammalia; order Primates; family Hominidae; genus Homo; species Homo sapiens. The sequence goes on along the minus strand of NC_000017.11, from coordinate 50,585,761 downwards.
AGGGAACACCTCGGTGGCAGGAGGTTTCCTGGAAATCTCACAGGCCTCATCATGTAGATCATGGTCCTGGTCTTCCCCAGCCCCCGGAAGCTCTCCAGTTTGGATCCCCCCTCCTGTGCCCTCCTGCCCACTGGGCACACTGCTAGGTGTCATGGTGCCCCCAGGGCCTCCTAATCAGAGGCAGTGCCAAGGAGAGGCTTTAGCCACAGTCACTGCCTCTCTGCCCTCAGGGCAACATTCCTCAGAGTTCATTCTACGCTTATTCCCCCCACCAGCACCCCCACTCCCACCTCTCCACTGTCATTGGGGTGTAGGTGACATGATATTTCCCAGCTCCCCGAAGCCCTCAAAAGTAAACACACAAGCTAACTAGGCACAGCACACTCACGGTGCCCACTCAGCTTCAAGACAGCTGACCCAAGGCCCCTGCTACTTAAAATTCTGGAGCTATAGCCAGGCATGGTGGCAGGTGCCCGTAGTCCCAGCTACTGGGGAGGCTGGGGTGGGAGGATCGCTTGAGCCCAGAAGTTCCAGGCTGTAGTGAGCCATGATCAAGCCACTGTATTCCAGCCCAGGGGGCAGATCAGGATTCCATCTCTTAAAATAAATAAATAATAAAATGCTGGAGCTGCAGCCCCTGTGCCTTGTCCACCTGCACAGCGTCTAGCCCATGGTGGGCCACAGTAGGCCACATAAAGGCTGCCCTTCTGACGAAGACTTTCAAGAGCTCCTGCCCTGCCCAGCCCCAGCCCAGGTAAGTGCCCTTGCCCTCCTCCTCTCCTCTGCGGCTCTGGAAGTGCTGAGTATCGCTAGAGAGAGGCACGAACATGTGCTGACTGGACAAGTGATTCCCTGTGGGTGGTGGCCCCATGGCTGTTTCATGCCTTTATTCACAGTCCCTGGTTCCTCCCTTCTTAGGTCTCCTCTCTCCCCCAGGAGCTGCCTCAATCCTTCTGGACTCTGCAGCCCCCAGCCCTACTCCCCACCTGGCCCCTCGTTGCAGGCTTACATGGGGGGCTCCACGTCCCTCCTCCAAAGAGCTCTGTGTTGTGCATCCCACTGTCTCTCTTCCTCTCCTGGAAGGGAGCCAGCCGTTCCTCCACCTGCACTTTGATTCTTTGATGTGCTCCCCCGCCGCCCCCCTGTCACCCCCTACCCCCGCCCCCGGCTCCCCTGGGCCCTGGCCTATCAGTTATGCCTGCATCCATTACTTCTCCAATCTCCTTCCCCCGTGCCTAAAAGCAGAAAGCTTCTGTGGGACTCCAGACTCATTCAGTTCTGAACTCTGGGCCCCACAGCTCCAGCTCTGTCCAGGGACCCTCTTCCCAGCCCTCCTCTTAGTGGATGCCTCAGCAGCAGCTGAGCCTCCCTTGGCTTCCCCGACCCTGAGCAACCACCTCTTCCCCTTCCCAGTGCTCATTTCACCGCCTCTCTTCCCTCAGGCCAGCATTCCTCAGAGTTCAGTCTAAGCCCGCTCCCTCCACCAGTACCCCCACTCCTACCTCTCTGGCTGTCACTGGGGTGTAGACGACACTAAACAATCTCTCCAAGCCCCTGGCTTCTCATCCAGAGATCCAGAGCCTGCCTGATCTCCCTCCTGGGATGGCCCACAGCCATCTCAAACTCAGTGCATCCAAAACAAACCCTCTCGCCTCCTCTCCCAAACCTGCTCCTTCCCGGGTGGCGCCATCATGCTCGGGATTCTGCCTTAGAAACTTCGGGTTATCTAGGATTCTTGCCCACCCTTCCTCCCTCTGGACACTAAGGTGCCCCGGCCCAGAGAACCTGCCAGTGAAATTGCGTCCTACCCACAACCCCTCGTTCCCATAGCTATGGCCTTACTTGGGGCCCTCTTTGCCTCTGATCTGAACAACAGAAATAGCCTCTAGGCCCTCCTCCACCCAGCCTGCACCAATGGGAAGCACCGGCTTCCTCGCTGGGCTAACATCAATCACTGCTCAGACACCTCGGGGCCAGGGCAGGGAGGAAAACCTGACTGTCCTTCAGAGCATCGAGTGCCACCCTGTGCATGTGCCTTAATCCCTCCACCTAGATCTCTCTGCTCCTACCCACCCCTCCATCTCCCACCTCCCCCCACCCCCACCACCCAAGCCACTGTCAATTCCATTCATCTTTCGAGGCTCCGTTCAAAAGCCACCACCTTCGTGAAGCCCTTCCGAAGGAGAGCTGGGGATGAGCAGCTCTCCTTTGTCCCCTGAAGCCTCTCTTGCGGCATTTGGCATAATCATCCATGAAACAGAATGACTTTTCCACCAGAACCTACATTTCTTGGGTGTTTCTGGCTCAGCCCCCAACCCCCTGATATTCTAATATTCTATTCTAGTGTGCTGTGCACAGGATATGCTCCCCTTGTTTGCAGAACTGGGAGAGCCTGGAGCCAGGGGATGCCTAAAAGAACAAGAGAACACCTTAGCAGACATCTCCAAAACAATGCCCCTCTCCCTCCCACACCAGATAGCCTTTGAATGTCTGGGGCCAGTCAGCTGCAAAGGATCATCCCCCAAAGCTCTGCTTGGTCCTCAGCCCTAGCTCTTCAGCCAGGGCTCCTCTATCTGGAGACCAAGGGACTGGCTGGGGTGGGAGGTGTCCATCAACCTTTGCCCTCAAAGGCCACATTTAGGGTGTCCAGGCATATGGGGATTTTCTGGGGAGAGGGTCCCCAGCCTTCAGCAGAACTGAAAAGGAGTCTATGACCTCCTTCAAAGTTCAGACTTACCATATCTGGACCACCTCCTCCTGCCCCACCCCCAGCTTCTCTCGCCTTGAACAGCCAAACTCACTCACTTATAAATAGAAACCCTCTCTGGACATGTATCTGGAGTGACAGGATGGCCCCAGAGTGTGAGCAATGAGCAGAGTCATCACCTGCCCTGTCCTCTCTCAGCCTGCAAGGCCATCTACCCTGGTCCCTCCCCTTCCTCTCCCCGTCTACAGCCCAGGAGACCACTGGGCTACATGTAGCTCCCCTCTCCCCATATGCTGTTGTCCCTCTTCTAGAACATTAGACTAGCACCTGTCCCCCACCCCACCATGACCCAGAGCCAGGAAGGAGATGTTAGGAAGCTCCTGTGTCTCCAAGGCCCCACTCCTGCACTCCCCTCTTCCTGGAGAGGTCTGGCCCCAGTGCAGAGCCAGGCAGGACACAGAAGAGAAGGCAACTTCTTTTCTGAGCTCCGACAGCCTGCTGGATATGGTCAGGATGGCCCGCAGGCACCTTGTATGCAACATGTCTCCCAGCCCACATCTGCTCAAGCCACATTGCTCCCACCCCAGGTAGAAACCTGGGAGTCATCCTTGCTGCCTCCTCTCAACCCATGTTTCCAACTGATTGGGTCCTGCAGATCCAGCTACCAGCCAGCTCTCCCCAGCCCTCTGCTCTCCATTTCCAGGGATGAAGATGTAGTATGAACTGCCTGGACCACTGCCGGAGCCCTCATACTGTGCCCTGCCCTTCACCTTCACTGGCTATGTCCTACTCTTCCTTCAGACTCAGCCCAGAGGTCACCTCCTACACGGAGCCCTCCCTGAATTCCTTCTCTGGTCTGGGTTAAGGGCTCCTCCTCCACGTATCCCTCTCTGAGCATGTGCCACATCAAGTAAATATGACCGTTTACTTGTTGTGACCTCTTTAAAAAGAAGGACAGTGCCTTGGGCCCAGTGGCGTGCTGGAGCTGTTTCTCACTGGCTTGGGAGAACCAATTGTCCACGTCTCTTCCCAACCCCACATTCGGTGGAATCGTGTTGGTAGCTTAAAACCAGCTATGGTGGGAGCATTTACACCATGGAAATTGGCAAATGCTACAGATCAGGACTTTATTATTTTAGAAGGGCTAGTTGTTAATCATTTACCAGCAAATCACTGCTTAGGCCCAACTCCAGTGCAAAAGGATGAATTGGAAAAAGGTTCTGGACTCCATGTACCGCCCTGAGCGGATGGGGCACACATGTAGGCTGGCCCCATATCAGATCACACTTCGACATCAGGTCATTTTCTTGCTCTCTCCTCAGTCTCCTGGGTTCTTGTCCTTCTCACCAGCCCTCTGGGCAAACCCAATCCTGCCAGTTCTCCTCCAGCTGGTGGTTAAGGGGTGGAGGAAGCAGGAGACAGAGGACAGCATGGGGCCAGCCCCGGGCGGGGTGGGGTATCACATATAGGTGCTTCCTCAGTCAGGAGGATGGTGGGGTAGCGCAGGTTGGGGGGACGGGACAAGCGAATGATGAGTCAGCCAGGGGATGGTGGGAGAGGACAGGGCCTGGGGAGGGCAGCGGTGACGGCCAGGAGGGAGGGCAGGGACTCCTCCTCTGGCAAAGCACCAGCAACACCCTTTCCAGTGCCCGCCCCCCCATCCAATCGATTCCGGGATCAATGGACACAATTGCCTCATTAAGGGCACCGCAGGGAAGCCGTGAGCCTCCTCATGCAGCCAGCTCCAGGGGAGTCTCTGTCTCCCCATCCCACCCCGTCTCTGCCCTCATTTGCATCTGGGACTCGGTCTCTGTCTTCAGCTCCCTCTCTGTGTCTCTGTCTCCCTGTGTGTCTCTGTGGCTCCATTTGTCTCTGTCTGTCTCCGCTGTGGCTCATCTCTCCCTCCATATCCTTTCTCCCCTGCCTGCGCGTCTCTCTTCCTGCCCTCCTCCCCCGTCTCCATCTTGCCCTCCGTGCCTCTGTCTCGCCCCCATCAGTCTCCTCTCTGTCTCCCTCTGTGTCCCCATTCCCCCATGTGTCTCTGTCTCCCTCTCTGTGCCCACTCTGTGTCTCTGTCTCAGCCCCCCACATCTCCTTGCTGCCTTCCCTGGCAACCCCCCACTCCCAGCCTGCTCAGGCTCCAGGGCCCAGATGGCGGGACGTTCACGCCGCAGTGCCTGCAAGCACAGGGCCATGGCAGCTTCTGGGACTTCTTACTCTCCGCACCCCTGAGCCCGCTGGACAGCTGTCAGTCATCTGCCCAGCCTGCTGGGGACTCCCGCTCACCCCCATGGGGCCCTCAGCACCAGGTATGCGGACAAAACCCTCCCTGGAGCAGACACTGCTGTCACTGAGTGAGGCCTCCCTGCTGCTGAGGACTTAGTGGGAGCCCTGGGCTGTCTCCGCCCTTCCTCAGGAGCCTGAGCAAGAAGAAGGTGCAGGCACCCCTGACTGACGGCTGCTGCCTTCTCTCCAAAGGGGCGTCCTTCTTGACATCTAACTGAAAGCCCTCTTACCAAGGCTTCATCTGCCCTGGGTCTGTGTGACTCAGCTTCTTCCCAGTGCAATCAAAACCTCCACCAGCAGCATCGGCTGGGCAGGGACTGCTGGGTGCTCCCCCCGGGGTAGGGAGGGGGCACTGGGGAGGTGCCCCCTGGGGGAGGGGCACCTGACCATGGCCGGAACAGGGGTGAGGGAAAGGAGGCTGAGGTTCAGGGAGCCTGAGTAATGGGAGGTTAGGGGCTGTCACCACCTGGGTCCCGGAAGCAGAAAATGCTGCCCACCCCCCACTGCCACCAATCTGGCAGAGTGGAGCACCTCTCCCTGGGAGGCTGGCAGAGTTGGCATGTGCACACACACCCACACCCACGTAGCCCAGACACAACATGCCCACCGTGGTGTCAAGTGCGCCCACCCGCTGGCACTGCAGCCAGGGTCCCACTCTCTCTCCACCTCATGGCTGCTTGGAGGGGGCCCTGTGGAGGTTAGAGGAAGGGACGCCAATGTGTGATGGTGATGGGGAGGGGTGCACCTGGCCAGGTCGAGCAGTCTTGGGTAAAAGCTGGGTGCTCGAAATATTGCAGGTGCAGAGGTCAGTGGTGTGGGGGCGGGCTTCGAATCCCCCGGAAAAGTGAACACCTCACTGTCTGCTCCAGACCCGGCTTGACCTGTGCCCCTCAGCCTCAACCCAGACCTCCCAGCATGCCTGTACCACCCTGCCTGTACCACCTTTTTGAGATGCCCCTTTCACAGGGTGCTGTGCTGGTGTAAGAGCCACTCCACACCACTGGCCCCCTCCGCCTCTGCTCCTGATTGGGAGGGTGCGGAGGTGGGGAGGTGCATGGCCTTCGTTCCAAACCAGGGAAGGTTGGGTTCTGATGGCCCAGTGCCTCCGTGCTACCCCAGGGAGGCCAGAACACCCAGGAGAACAGAGCCTGGGAGGACCGTGAACTGCAGCACCTGCTTGCTAGCCTCTCTCCTTTTCCAAGAATCAGCCACAGGGGTGACCTGAAAGGCCAGACTGGGGGGAGGGGGAGCGACTTCTGGAAAGAACCCTGTGGAAGAGGGAGCCAAACCCAGTTGTGAGGACCCATGGTGCCTGCTTGGACCCCCAACAAGCGGGCATCTTCAGCTCATGATGGGGGATCAGTGGGGTCCCCCAGGCTACCCTTTCTATCTCTGCATAGCTCTGAGGGTTAGAAAAGCCTCCTCCCCCTCAGCCCAGATCCTATTGCTTGTAGCCATCAGCCCCACAAAACAAGCCTGCTTCCTCTTCCACATGACAGCCCTTCAAATATTTGAAGACAGCTTGCCTGTCCCTGCTGAGCCCTTGCTCCTCCTAACTAAACATCCCGGTTCTTAGAATCATTCCTCAAACGCGATGGCTTCAAGTCCCCTTGCCATGCTGGGCACTCTCATCCACCCTGAGCTGCCCTGGTTCACAGCACGGCTCCCAGACGGGAGGCCAGGAAAGATTGCCTCCCTCCCTGACCCCAACAGGCCTTCATTCCACCCAGGCGCAGGCACCAACCCTCCCCTCTGCACCCCTGTTTACATGGCCCCTCCTGCCTCCAATCAGTCACACCCGGACTTAGTGGGTCAGATGGATGCCACAGGACCTCCAACACCCGCCCTCCGCACTACACCTTCTCCAAAGACCCAAACATCTCCCAGTGACGCGCCTCTCCCCACATGCTGATGCTCACCACTTGTTCACATCCTTCAAAGCCAGCCTCCTCTGAGCAGCCTTCCTGGGTAGAACATACCCTGTGGCCTACCTGAGGCGACCTCCATACTCAGAGACTTTAAGCACTCCCTCTAGAGAATCCCCATGCATTGCTCCATCACCCACCTCCCCTCCTACCTGCCAGGTGGGCTAGCAGCATGGAGAGGAAGCTGAGCTCAGGAGGAGGGGTGCGGAGGGAGGTAGAAGGCCCCAGCCCCAGGCGAAAAGCAGCTGGCAGGAGCCCTGCCTCTGCCCACTCTCCTACCTGCTCGTGGTATTCGATGCCCATGCTGAGTGTGTTGACCAGGATGGCGATCATGATTCCCCGGCCAAAGTACTTGCTGTCCACAATCTTTCGGAAGGTGTCACAGATTAGCCTCCAGAAGGCCAGCACAGAGCTGGGCTCTGCATCTGGGCCCAGGCTCCGTTGCCGCCGGCTGTGGGGGTCCCGGAGGTCGCTGTGCTGGGCATCCTGTGTGAACTCATAAACTGCCTCGCTGTCTGAGTCAGGCATTTCACGGTCGGCGAGCTCCACCTCCCCTGCCCCGGCCCGGGCACAGTAGGGGCAGCTGTCTGGACCACAGGCTCCACTGTCTGCTTTCAAGCAAGGGCTGGAGATCTTGCAAGAGCTTTGGCAGGCACCTGGAACAGGAGAGTAGAGGTGAGAGGCTCCAGAGTCTCGTACCTGGGGCTACCCTGCCCTGTGAGTATGTGTAAAATGAGTCAGGGAGTCTGGGGTTGTTACAGTGATGGGGTGCTAGGCACTTAGTGGGCCAGGGGTGCTGAATGTCAGGCAAGGTGGGCAGTCTTGACCCACAAGATGCCCTAATGTCAATAGCACTTCATTGACAGTCACTGCTGAGTGTCCTGGGGCTCAGAGAGGTGGCCTGGATGTCCTCTGAGGTCCTGGACAGCTCCTATATCCTAGGTGCCTTCAGCAAGGAGCCTCGCTCCCCTTCCCCTTCCCAGAAGCCAGGACTACATCAACACTGTTCTGAGCAGCACTTTCCATGGGATCCTTAAGACACGCCCACACACGTGCACTTGCACACACACCCACACCAGACACGTGCACCTGCACACGTGCTCCAGATGCGCACACTCGTGTACACATGTATACTATTTGGACACCACCATATGGGCACACATACATGCACATACCAACACATGTGTGCACAAACACATTCACACACGGCACATATGCCAGACATATGCACACATGCACACACACCAAGGAAAGAGCTTCACATCGCACATGCACCTACACACATCAAGCACATGTGCACACATATGCATATGAACACCAGACACGTGCATGCACACACGCACACACACACACTGGACCCCTTCATGGACATAGACGCATACACGCATACTAGATGCACTCGTGCGCACACACTCAGGGACCTAGCCCAAGACATCAATGTCCCTTTAAATCCAGCTTTGATCACAGAATATGAGAACCTCAGAGAGTACCAGGTAAAGCATGGATGTGGAAGCCCCCCGCTCAGGGCCTGGCCCCAGGTGGGCTCTCAGCGACATTTCTCCCTTGACTGCATCTGCACACAGGAGGGAGTCAGTAAGCACCCACTGAGAGTAATTATGGGCCCAGCCTTGCCTTTTACACAGGAGGAAATAAAAACGTGGGTGCATGTGACTGGCCCACGTCCCGTGGCAGGGTAGTGGAGGAGCTGGCATAGAAACCTTTCGCTCTGGGTTCTGTGATAGCACCTTCTGGTCCCAGCCCACATTCCCACGTAACATCCCCACGAATATCCCGCTGCTCCCCACGTGCCACATCCTTCCTGAAACACAGGCCGTGGGCTGCAGCTACAGTGAACCTGTCTGCTGGGGAGAGCCCGACGTCCCTATGTGTCTCACTGCCCCCACGACACTGGGAGTGTCACCCATCAGACAAGCAGCTCCCTGAACTGGGTCTCCCTGTGCGGAGGCAATGAGACTCAGGTTTAGCCAGTGGGGCATGAAGCTGGGCACAGTCACACACCATTTCCTCTCTGAGCCTCACAACAAGGAGTCCCGAGTGCGGGCCCCGAGTCCGCCCCTCACCAATAGCAAAGCCTTGGGCAAGTCATGCAATCCCCTCAAGCCTCCTGGTTCTCATCCACACAATGGGGATGCTAAGAAAGCCTATCACTTAATGGGTAGAGAGGATCCAATGGAATTTTGCCCGCAAAGCATGTGACAGGCACACAGCCATTGCTGTGTGCAACAGTTGCTAGACATCATTGCAAACAGCACGAAGCAGGTGCTTATTACATGATAGTTACTGCTATTACAATGTAGGAATTATGAGTTCCACTTTAGCAGATGAGAAAATTCGAGCTCATAGCAGGGATGTGACTGGTTGAAGGTGCCTAAGCCATGAGAGGCAGCATGAGAATATAAGCCCTGGTCCCTCTGACTCCAGACCCCCTAGTCCCCTCTGGGACGCCACCCAGTCCCCAGACGAGGGCACCCACATGCCTCCACCCAGAGTTCTCACCTGTACTCTGTGTCTCCAGCAGCTTGTGCATGGAGCTGTAGGGCCCGGGTGGGATGTTGAGGCTGGTGAGGGTTGGGGGCCCAGAGCTGGCAGCCACCTCTACTAGTGCCTTCTCCTTCAGCGTCTCCGGTGGAGGGCTGGTGTGCACGGTGGGATACACCTTCCCGCTGCCCACAGTCCTGCCGGATGCCTCAGATGGGGACCTGGGAGGGGGCGCCTGGCAGCGGACTGGCTCTAAGTGGCAGTCGGCATGGTAGAAGCTGTGCACAGACTCTGCGCCACCAGGGGGGGCCCCGGAGAGGGCAGGCGTCGAGGGTGGTGGCAGCATGAGCCGGCGGGACCCATTGGCATCCCTGTCCTGGATCTCCGGGCTGGCCCGGGGGGCCCTGAGCGTCCCATTGCCCAGGTGGTAGTGGTGGTGATGGTGGTGGTGGTGGTGCACCAGGTGGTGGACGGATAGGCGGCGGTGGGAGCGAGAGCAGCTGCTGCTGGGCTGGGTCTCCTGGCCCCCGAGGGGTGCTGGGCTGCTGAGCAGCCCAACCCGCACACCTGCTGCCCGAGAGACCTGAGCCAGCCTGCGGGCTGCCTTACGAAGGATGTACACCAGGTACTTGAGCAGCTCCTCATAGCAGCTGCCGGGCTCAGAGAAGCTAGCCAGGGTGCTGGCGTTGGACAGGAACCGCACACGCTGCTCCCGCATCAGCTGGCTTTCCCGCTGCTTGGTCTCTGAGAACTGCGTGGCAATCACCACCAGGCACAGGTTGATCATGAAGAAGGAGCCCACCTGTAGGGGTGGGGACAGGAAGAGGAAATGTCCTGAAGAAAAGTGAATCACAATGCCAGCCACCACATACGGAGGCATTCCTATGAGCCAAGCGCCACGCTCAGTTATTTTCCAAGCATTATCTCATTTTATTTTTAAGACAGCCTCAGGAGGTGATGCTATTGTAATCTCCATCAGACAGGTAAGGAAACTCAGGTCCACAGAGGTCAAACATTTGCCCAAGATCACTCAGCTAATTCAGAGCAAGGCTAAGACTGGAACCAAGCTCTATGAAATTCCAAGATATTGCTATTGAACATGGTGTTATCCTGCAATCTCTCAAATTCCCTGTCCCTAAACACGCACACCTGCAGAGACGCAGCACCCCTTCCGCAATTTCCATTAGGAGTAGCGAATGCTGTGGAAATGAACGCAATATTAGGGACATGGGGTTTTCAAATTATATTGAGCCTTGAGATCTTGACAAAAACATCATTTACAAGACTCCTGCTTCTAGCCCCAATTCTAGCTGTGTGACTTTGGGCGAGAGACCCTTAGCCATGGGACCTCATATCCTCATCTGAAAACAGGGACCATTGGCCTTGTCTGTCCCCATTTTCCCTGTGCCCCCCTCCCTCAGATGTGGGAGGGGCTGAACCCTTGACCCTACAGACTAGTCAGGCTGCCACCTGACTTGCTCACACTACCCCAGTCCCCATCTCCACGCCTCAGTTTCCCCAGAACTCTGGAACAGCCATTGCTTGGACAACAATCCCAAATGAAGGAAATGAATATTTATGGTGACAAAGCAGATTTTTTTTTTCTAGATCGTGTCCTAGTAATTATGATAATTAGCTTCACTAGTGTGATTCCAGAGAGCTGTTAGGAAAGATTTTTCAGGGGGTGTGTGGGAGGGTGGAAACTAGGCCCCTTATCTCCCTGTCTGCTTCCTTCCCCCTCTCCCAAGCCCAGGAGGGAAAGGGAGTGGGGGTGGGGGGGGCACATGGTGAGAAGACCCCACTTCCCTGAAGCACTGGCCTCACCCCTTGAGGTGGTGGCCAGGGATGGGAACAGGCCTCCAGTCAGGCTTCGCCCCAAGCCTGCCCACTCTTCTGCACCAGGGGAAGTTACGCAGGCAGAATGAGGTGGCCTTGGGGACTTGCTCTTTCTCAGGGCCTACCCTCTGTCTCTCACAAGGAGCTGCCTTATTTTGTCTTCATCTCTCTCTGGAGCTAGTCCTAGGTCCTGAGTAGATCTTAATCTTTCTTAATCTCTTTCTCTCAATGTCTGTCCCTCTGTCTGGCTCTGTCGTTGGCCTCTTGGTGACATGGAAGAAAGGCTGAATGTGGAGTCGTTAGCCTGGGACTGAATTCTCAGCCCCAGCCGCTTACTTTCTGTGTGATCTTGGCCCAGTGACCCACCCTCTGGGGCGCTGAATTCTCATTTAAGAGATGGGGACCACAATCCCTGCCCTGGCACCTCACAGGGGACGACGAGGATTAAACAGGCAGCAGATGTTACAGCATACGTCAGCAGTGATGCCCCACTCTTGGAGATTAATACACAGCATAGGCAAAGCGTCTGGTAGGGTCAGATAAATGAGGAAATGTCAGTTTCCTCATCTGTAAAATGGAGAGGATCACGGTGAGGATTAAATGCACCAGCACATTGAAAGTGCTTAGATCAGGGGCTGGCGCATAGTAAGTGCTCAATAAATATTAGCTCAAAGTGGTGGCGATGAAGTTATTAACTATGAATGGTAGTGATTAAAACTATTAAATATTGCTGCTTTTGCCTCCGTCTTCTGCCTTCTTAAAGTCTGGCAATTTCTGAACTGGCAGGAATAAGAGATCAGGCAGCATTTAACACCAATTGATCACTGATCAGAATTTTGGGTAGAATAATTCTTTATTTGCAAGCATTTCAGGATGTTTAGCTTCTCTCCCCTCCCCCAGTAACAAATTGCCAATTGCACTCCCCTTGTCCTTACAAAAAAACAGAACTCTGTAAACATGCTTAAAAAACCACTGGATTCATTCAAAGGGATGAATTGAATGATATGTGAGTTATGTCTCAATAAAGCTATTAAAAAAAATCAAAACCAGAATCACCCTTTCCCATTTCCAAATGCCCTCTGGGAGAGGTGGTATCATCTCAGGTTGAGAACCATTCATTTTACCCATGAAGAAACAGAGGCCCAGAGCAGTGCTGGAGGCCTCATGGAGAATGACTTGCCCAAGGTCCCAATAGCAGTTAAGTCCCGCCTTGACCTTGGATTTCCTCCTGACTCTGCATCTGGTGTCCCTCCTACTATATGATGGATGCCCTCTCTACAGGACTTGTCCTGAGAGCTAAAAACTTCAGACAGAGCAAACTATCCCCTCTCTGGACTGCCCCCACAGGTGTCCCCAGGATCGCCCATCCCCACGGGGATCTGAGGAGTCACTCACGATGATGAGGAGGATGAAGTAGATGAAATTGTAGAAGGAATGAGCATCCATCACAAAGTACATGATGTCGACCCAGCCCTCCAGCGTGATGACCTAGGGGGTGCAGAGGGGCAGGCTGACTATGGGCCCACCAAATCCTCCTTCAGTCTCCTCCAGAGGCCTTGACCCCCACCCCAACCCTGAGAGCGACCACTCCGATCCTGGGCTGTGTCCTGGGGCTGGTGTTCTGGGGAAGCTCCCGGGGCCCAGGCTGCCCCACCTGGAAGATGGCGATCCAGGCATAGCCAATGTTGTCAAAGTTGATGGCGCCCTTGAAGGGGTTGTGCTCCCCCGCTGAGCAGTTGGTGTAGTACTGGTTCCAGTTGACACAGGTGGTGTTGCTGGAGCTGTTGTAGGCCTCATAGTCCAGACCGCAAGGTGGGCCACCGCCCCCGTCCCCGCGCAGCGTGGGCACGCTTCTGCAGGACCGCATGCCGTTCTCGCGTGGCTGGGAGCAGATGAAGGGGCTCTCATCCTCGTTCTCTGTCTGGTAATAGCGCTCCAGGTCCACGCTCAGGGGGCTGCAGGATGGGAAGGGGAACAGGGGTGAGACTGGGGAGTGGGCTCTCCAGGGAGAGGGCCCAGGAAGGGAGAGATGGCACGAGTGCTCGAGGCATATAGGGTGAGCAGGGCAGAACCAAGAATGGGGAAGGGACTGGGCAGGGCAGGGATTTGTGGGCACCAGGAGCATGAGGCCTGAGTGGGGAAACTCCAGACTCAGGATGTTGGAAGGTCACATCCTGGAATAGTGATTTTCAAATTTCACTGCAAGTTAGGATCACTGGAGGGGTTGAAAAAATCCTTACATCCAAGCTGAGCCCCAGAGCAATGAAATCAGAATCTCTGGAGGTGGCACCCAGGCATCAGTACTTTTTAAAACTCCCCAGGTGGTTCCAATGGGTAGCCAAGTTTGAGAACCAGATATGTCTCAGATGTTAGAACAGATATGTCAGTAGCAACCGGAAGTGAGGAACTTGGGGGGGTGCCCAGCCCCATAACCACTCCCAGGTCCTCCCTGGACCCTGTCCACCACTCACAGGCTGAAATTCTCAGGTAGGAAGCATCGGTTCCGAAGCAGCCCTGCCCACAGCTGGACGCCGACGATGCCGAAGATGAAGAAGACGAAGAAGCAGAGCAGCAGGACGTTGCCCAGCATGGGCAGCGTATCCAGCAGCAACGTGACAAGGATGCGCATGCCTGTGGGGGCAGAAGCCACGCTGGGGACACCAGGCTGGCCGGGCTAGGCTGACTGCCACGGCCCGGCAGCACTCCCGGAGGGGCCCCACCAGGGACTCTGAGGCTGAGACGGCCCGGCTCAAGCTGGAGGGGAGACCAACAGACACCTCTGACTCCCCAGATAGCCTCTGCAGCCCCTTGCCCCGACCCACTTCCCCTTGTGGCTTGCCCACGGTAATCTGCACAGTACCACCAACAGTGAGCTGGGGAAACTGTGGCCCCTCCTAACTCTCCCAACATCATCACATGTGGATAATATCACTCCCAATTCACAGATGAGAAGTCTGAGGCTTGGAGAAATGACTTGACTCACCCAGTATCACACAGCTGCTAAGTGTAGGTGCCGGAACTCGAACCCAGGCTTTGGCTTCCGAATCCCTCTCCAACACACACCCACACCCGCACACATTCACACGCACACTCCCTACCTACTTCCTTCTCTCAACAGGCACAGTCACTTGACCTTTCTAAGTTATCACCACCAGAGTCATTAGGGAAACTGAGGCAGCGAACTCCAGGAGGAATGACAGCAGGCAGGAATCTCATTTTGAGAGCCAGCTCCTAGGCAGGGGCCAAGATGCCCTGTGCTTCACTATGGCTCTGAGCCCTGCTTCCCTGAAACTATTCCCTGCTTGGTCCAGATCCCCAAATCAGGACCTGAAGAGATACAATACTGTCTTCTCAGAAGTCCATCAATTTACAACCCCCTCCATAGGGAAAGCCACTGAAACCCCCTCCTCAAAAGCCCTGTTAGGGTTACTTCCCTCTCTCCGTACTCCAGGTCTAGAACCCAACCGGCCCAAATGGTCTGAACCAGCCCCCAGTCCGCCAAGCCCTCGTCAAGCAGACAGATCTCTAATGGCTGGCTTCACCCCCAAAGTGCCATCTATGGCCCCCTGGCCCCTCCAGGGCAAAAGCTGCTAAGCAGCAGCTAATTAACCCTCTTGGTGACTGCAGCGCCCAGCCTCGCCCCTGCCAGCCCAGTTTTCTCACTCAGTCTCCCTCCCCCTCCTCCTACCCCATCCCCCTTCAGCTTCTCTGTGCTCCAACTGAGATCAATTCCTCAGGGTTTGCATTAAGGGAATTACACCGGTGGTTAGACAGAGGCCTATAAATCTGCCAGCCATCACCTGGGGCGGGAGAGGAGGCGAGGCATGCCCCTCTTCTGGAGCTCCTGTTAACACCAACACACCCCGAGCCCCAGAGGACACATTCAACAGCTCTGCCCTCCCAGGGGCAGCAGCAACATCACACACACACACACACACACACACACACACAGAGCGCAGGGGGCTGCTGCTACATCAGGTACACAAACAGGCACTGAGCCCCAGAAACATGCATTCCTCGCCAACCACCCCACTCCTAGGACCACAGCAGGGACCATCTGCAGCTTGTGTAGGTTGGGGAGTTGCAAAGGGGGCCTGAGCAAAGGGAGGGGGCAGTATGTAGGGAGAACTAGAGCTGCCAAAGCCTCGCTGGCTCCAGAAACCAATGCAGTTTAATTTAGATAATGGGCCCGGCAGTTACTGCAATGGGTTGGAAGGGGGCGGGAAGGAGGAAGGGGACAGAGGCGGAGGGTGAGACATGGAGTGGCCTTGTCTTGAGAGAAGTCACGTTCAGCGTGGCCAGCGTGTCTCACCAGCAAGAACCAGATTGCATGAGAGGCTGTTCTGGCTAGAAAAGGCCATTAGCACTTTGCGTCCACTCCTTGCCTGTCAGCCTCTCCAGTCCCCACACCCCTATCCTCCTGGGGGGAGTGGTCATCTAGCTGAAGGAAGAGGGTCATCTGAGATGTTTCTGAGACTCTGACCTAAAGCCAGGCTAAAATGAGGTGGGGTTTTCCCAGGTAACTCCCATAGTGCCACATTCAGGAGTTCCATTTTGTTCCAGCAATCCCAGCTCCCCACTGAGCCCTTCTCTGACGGGGCCTGTGAGGGGTCAGGTGAGGACACAGTAGTAGAGGTGGGGTCTGAGAGTTCCACATTTCCTCCTGGGGCTCTCTTCAGGGGCTGAGGGCTGAGGGGTCACTCACTGGGCACCCGGTTAATGGCCCTGAGCGGTCGCAGCACACGGACTGTCCTGACAGCTGAGAAGCTGACGTTCTGCAGGTCCAGCGAGTACTCCAGCATCCTGCAGGGAGGGGCCCAAAGGGAGGCCCTTTGAGTCTGAGGCCACAGTGGGGTCAAAAGAGGTCAATGAGGAATCCTGCTTTAGGGGCAGCAGGATGACCTCTGACTCCTTCTTCTTCTTCACCAAGGGACCCTGAAGATCCGGCTCTCTGTCTGGGGGGCAAGGCTACCCCGAGACAAGGACAGATTGCCCATCAGAGAAGGGGGCAGAATTAGGAATAGGGCCTTGGAATTTAGAATATAGGCTACAGTGCTAGAGGCAGGGCAGCCTCAGACCCTCAGGAGATAGCCAGGGAGAAAGTGGTGCTGTAACTGGGCTGGAGCTGAGAGGTCACAGGCCCAGAACCCTGGCCCCGGGGAAGGGACCGATCTGATCCATTGCTCTCCCACCCCAGCCCAGGTCCTCACCCTGCGATGACGATGAAAAAGTCAAGCCGGTTCCAAGTGTCTCCCAGGTAACACTTTTTCCCAAAGATGCCCAAGGCCACCATCTTCACCACCATCTCCACGGCAAAGAAGGCAAAGATGAAGTCATCAAAGGCCTGATGTGGGGACAAGAGGTGGCTGAAACTGAGACGTGGGTGAGGGAATACCCTCTAGTCCCACCCTAGTCCCCACCAGTTGGGTCAGGGCCTCTTGCAGAGGAGTAGAGGGTATTAAGATTAAGAGGGGCCAACCCCCAACACACACAACACACACACACACACACACACACACACACTCACCTGCAGGATCCGGCAGCGCTGGGAGTCACAGGCGATGTCCTCGCATGGCCGGAACATGCCCAGGGTCACGCAGTTGAGAAGGATGACCAACATGCTGATGCGCTCAAACCAGGTACTGGCAGTCAAGGAAACAGCTGGCCAAGGCTGGAGCTGAGGCCGGCCCCCCGACCCCGCCCTAACACCTCCTCCTCGTTTACCTCCTGGCTCCATCTGAGGCTAAGCAGGTGTGGTGCCAGGGCCCTGACATACACGCAGACCAGCCCCCAGCCCCAGACTCCTCATCAGAGAAGGGGAGTCCCACCTTGGTCATCTCACCTCTCTGGACCCAGCTTCCTCATCTGTAAAGGAAGACAAGCCACAAATACCCTGACTATTTGCACAAGCCATTTGGGGAATAAATCGATCATGCCTGTGGAAATGCCAGACACCATGAGTTTGCTGCAGAATCTGAATCCTATTCTCCCTACCTCACAGGGTAGATGTGAGAAGCAAATGAGATACTGTATGTGAATGTGTTATACAAACCTAAAGTCGGATTATGCCTGCCTTACAGTTTACCAAGCACTTTCACACAATGCCACAGTTGATGCTCACAACAGCCCTGTGAAATATCTGGGGTAGATCATTTTCTTCCCCAGAACTCGAGGAAGTTGAGGCCCAGAAATGCCGAAGTCATGTGCTGAAGGTCACCCGAGAAGGCAGGATGAGACGGTGGTTTCCAAGCTCCTGATCTATGATAGTTTCCTCTGCACACCATAGCTGCTCAGGCAGGCAGAACTGCCTGTCATGACCGCCCTGGCACTAGGTGTAAGGCAGACGTCCACAGCTGCAGTCCCCGCTGCTACAGCACCAGAGCCCGGGGCTCCCTCTTCCACCACCAGCCTCCCAACCTCTCAACACCCTCAAATGACCACTAGGCATATTCACACATTTAAATATTGAGGACCCATTATGTGTCAGGCACCATGCTGGGCATAGCTCCCAAGCCGTGCAGAGTGGACAATGTCTACCCCCTCCCCCAAGAGGCCATTGCCGCCATCACACCTGCTTGTGGCTTCCAGCCCAGACCAGCCAAAACAGCAAGCAGGAGAGAGGGGTTCTTTCTAAACCCTGGGTCTTTCCATACAGTGGATTCTATGGGGTGACTCATTTCCAGCCCATCAGCAGGAGAATGTACAAAACGGCCTCCGGACCTTAGAAGGTTCCAGGCACTGGACTCACGGTTAAATGACCAAGTATCCTATTTTCTTTAAGGAAAATATGAGAAGGGTGGGGAAGAGTAAAGAGGCTAGAAAAGATCAGAGAGCAGGAGATTGGGGAAAGGAGACCAGAGACCCCCTGGGGAATGGGGATGGGGGAGGTATTGTGGCAGCTCCTGGCATGACCCACCAAGCCAGACTCTGTAGGGCCCAGAGCAGGTGGAATCTTGCTTCTGGAATGAGAAGGCTTTGGCCAGGCATGAAGAGGCCAGCAGGAATGTTCAGGAACCTATGGACCTTCCTCCCAGCTGGTCCCAGCCATAGCCCATCTCTGTTCTGACTCCCAAGCCACATGCCCTCCCCCATAGCCCATGAATCCCTCAAACCCCTGACAGCCCTCCCCTGTCTCTTCTCCACCACCCAGGCCCTTCTCCCCTAGACTCACATGCCTGCTCGCCACCTGTCCGTGGTACCCCGAGAGTCCTAATGCACTGCAGTTTCCCTAACCCCCACCCCCTCACAAGAATAAGAGGGTTTAAGAAAAAAGTTCTAGGTTTTTGGGGGTAGGCAGATGACAGGGAGGAAATAAAAAGTGCTCTGTTTCCACGGAATTGTTTTTCTGAGTAGAGCCGGAGTGCAGTGGATCTCTCCCCAGAATGGGGGTCAGCCAGGGGTCACCCTGGAAAAAGGGGGACAGGAAGGGAGCCATCATTTGGAAAGGGAAAGACACAGTTACCCTCAAGAACTGGTCTGCTTTCCCCATGCAGGTCCCCTCCTCTCCTCTGCAGGGAAAGGGGGGTCTGGAAGGAGCCCCAGTGAGTGAATGTCTCTGTGTGGAGGCAGTAGATCTCTGAGGAAGAGGGGCTCCCAGGACATCTGCTTGGACCCCTCTAATGGCAGAGTTCCACCGTGTTAGTAATCTGTGCACTTGTCGACCTCCCCTGCTGAGCTGGGGCTCCTGACAGGCAGGGGCATTCTGATACGTCTTTAGATCCCCTACGGAGCTTGCTGTAGTGCCTGGCACGGAGCAGATGATCAATACCTGGGAAGACTGAATGAATGAATGAACGAATCAACCAATCAATAAGTCTCCCTGCCTAGAAGCCAGATGTGTGTCCCCATTCAGGTCTTCCTGCCTTGTTTCCCTTGACAGAGGTGAACTGCTTATAACTGGGGGAAGGTACAGAAGTGACCTCACAGAGGAGTTGCCCCTCTTTCTGTCCCCACCTTACCCAGGCTCAGACTGGAGGCCTCTTACAGGCAAAGCCTGCCCCCGAATAACCTCATGCACAGCTCTTGATCATGTCAGCCCCTTCTTAAGGGTCCCTTGGCAATTCAGCCTACTTCCAAGTAACATCCTGCCCACCCTGTACAGCTCTCCTTCCACGACACGTAAGCATAAACGGACAGGGAAGAGACCAAGGCACACGACAATTTGGGACACTCTGAATAGAGGAATAATTGATGGGGGGGGGGTCTTTCACCCTTCTCAGAGTAGGGCTTGTTTCCTTGGGAACATGGCAGTATGTCACTGTGTGATGTTCTTCTGTTGCCATAACGACAGGAGGATGTGTCACCAGGTGGTGTGGATTTGTTGTCATGGTAATTAAAAAGACCCCTCTCACATGATCTCCCCTGACTGAGGCTGTTGTCTTGTCCTTATGCAGGGGAGGAGAATCAGGGAGACCCACAGGTTATCAGGTTGGGGGAAAACCATGTGACAGATCCCCATGGTAACCAAGGGAACGGGGGACACTGGTTGCCATAGTGACTATGAGAGACCTGTGCAGTCACATGTCTACTGTTGCTATGGTGACTGTCCGGGCTGGAGTGGATCCCAAAGAGGGGGTAGGAGAGGGGAGGATCTTTCTTCTCCCCACAACCCACCATCAAAAGCAGAGAAAAAGGAAACGGCAGAGAGAGGAACCCCACTTCCATCCCTCCTCCTTTCCTCCCTCCTGGGAGAGAGAACTAGAGCATGTTATCTCCACAAATGAGTCCTCTGTGTGGGGCTTTATCTAGATAGAGCCCTTGCTTAGCCTGGCAGCCGCAAGGGTGAGGAAAGTAGGGAGAGGAGGGGGGTGGCTGGGACACCTCTAGGGGCACAGGGGCTCTGGGCATGGGCTGAGAAGGCAAGCAGGCCCTCCAGCGGCCCCATTCCCACCTAGGAGCCTGGAAATGTGAGACTAAGGAACGTTGAGGAGAAAATGGGCCTGGACCCAGGAGTCCTGGCCTTCTAGTAAATGAGGAGGTAGGGGGATAGGTCCTTGCCTCACCCATCCCACAGAGAGGCTCCTGGTGTCTATCGGATTCGGCAACCCCTAGGGTAACATGGGATGTAGGGGCTCCGCCCTGCTCCAAAGCTCAAAGGGGGATTCCCCCAGCAGAACCCCCCGCCCCACCCCACAAGCCTATTTCCCTGTGGTTCCCCCCTCACCACGCTTCAGTGCGTGGGTGTAGGGGGAGAGAGGCTTCCAGCTGAATTGAAAACTGAAGCTCACAGAAAGGCAGCCGGCTCCACCCAGAGACAGAGACATGAGACACAGAGACACAAGAGAGACGGCCCGCTGGAATCTTTGGAAGGGGAAATAGGCCAGAAATCTGATTCAAACGTCTGTGACTCTGTGTGTGTGTGTGCGCGTGTGTGTGTGCGCGCGCGTGCGCATGTCTGCGTGTGAGCAGTTGTGTCTGTCGCCATCCTGGCTGAGGCAGGCAGGGCGGGGTGAGTGCTGGGCGGGAGCAGGCGAGGGTGGGGGGGGCTGTGTGGTGGGGGTAATCCCAGGAATGGCTCCAACTGGCACTACGGGTGATGGGGAGTCCCCCAGCAGAGCGGTGGAGCAGAGCGGGTGGGAAGGAATGTGTGTGTGACCCAGAAGGAAAGTGGGCCTGGGGCAGAAAGCATGCCAAGGGGTGATCTGGCCCCCCCTCAATCCCATTCAATTCTCCAGCCCCAGCCCTTCTCCCCAGAATCTCCTCTGGTGAGCTTAGGGTTTGGAAATTAAATTGGAGGAGGGAATTGATGAAGAGACAGGAAGAACACTCCCCCCACCATTTCCTCTGAGGACAGAAATGGAGAATTCTCCCTAGGTAAGAGAAATAGGCAGACTTGGGGCATTGGGACAGTGTGGCAAGGAAGGCTCCAGAAACTCCTGTGCCCCCACCCCTCTAGAGGGACACACTCAGACACACAGAGTGACGCACAGTCACTCACTCACACTCACTTCTGGAAGCCATTAGGGCTCCTGCCGTTCAGGCCTCCCCCCCCTCTCCTCCCCCGACTCCTGGCAGGCTCCCCTCTCCCCCTCTGGCCCCCCTCCCACTCCCCCTCTCTCGGCATCCCAAATGCCAGCCTGTGATTTCCAAATGAGAAAAAGCTGTGCTGGGCTCTGAGCTTGGAGAAACTCCTACACAAACTTCCAGATGTGACACAACAGCCAGAGAGGGAATGCGGAGGAACTCCTCCCCGAGAGGGGAGCGCGCTCCCTCACACTTGCAGGAACACATACTGGAAAGGCCAGCATGCTCCCCTCTGATCTGAGGCAGGGGTGACTGTCTGCCAGTACCCCTGCTCTCCACACCAAAGCTTGCACTTCTGAGCCTTTTGCTGTCCTCCCTTGCAACACACACACACACACACACACACACACACACACACACTTCCTACCTGGGTCTAGATCTCCTCTCTAGGAAACCTGGTCCCTTAAAAAGGAGAGGCCAAGAAGCAGAATGTACCAAGAAAAGCCTAACTAGCTTCAGTTAGTTGGGGGTGGAGGGGAGTGTCCTTATGTCCCTCCGGCTCAGAGGCGTACAGGGACCCTCCTGAAGCCTGTGGGGAGTCACAGATACCACAAAGAGAAAGAGGGAGGCCCTGGAGGCAGTTCAGAGCCCCTCTGGCAGCAAAAATACAGGTGTCTCTTGGTACTTGGGTAGGATGGCAGTGGTGAGGGGCACAGCTTAGGCAGTCCCCTGCCAAAAAATTGTTCTCAACCCATCCTCAGCCAACCCAGGCTTCTCCAGACCTAGTAATGCTGATGCCACACACCCAACTACCACTCCCCTGGGGGAAGCTGCTCCCCAACTCCCAAGGTGAGTGCTGTCCTCCCACCTCTCCTCCCCCATGCCAGGCCTCAACACTTGCCCCCGTCCAGACCACTCAGTGAAGGAGTCTGCCTCCAGACCCTCCACTAGCACCTGGAGATAGGGCAGGCGAGAAGAGATGCTAGCCTAGAGGTCTGTTTTCAGGGAGAGGGGAGAGAAGAGCTCTCTCTACCTCCCCTGGGACCCTTGAGAAGGAGGACATAGAGGTTGATGCTTTTTCCCATTCGTGGAAGGGGTAAATGATTAGGGGCAGAGAGGAGAGTTGCTCGGAACCCATCCTTTCCAGCCATATCAGTTCTCCATCTCCATCCCTGCCTGGGAGAAAGGGGCCTGGGGCTGGGGGCTCAAACCTCAAGATTGTGCCTATTCAGCAAGAACACAGACCTCTGAGGCCTGCACCTCTCTTTCTGCAGCTCAGAGAGAAAGGAAGAAGGGGCAGTGGATGAGAAGAGGATGTGATGAGGGGAGCTTCCTAAAGACCCACAAGGTGTAGAGGATGGGGGTGGGGGGGCCACAAGCTCATCCCTGCTTTGCGCACTAGAGGCAGCAGAGCTGCAGAGAGTGAGGGCGGCACCAACCTTCCACCCCCCTTCCCCAAAGCAGAGTCCCTGCTAGGCTCACAGGGGCTACAAGGGAGACCTGGGGTCTCCCACCCTGGGTCTATAAGAACCTCTGAGCTGGAAGGAAGGAGCCCAGAGAAGCTGTCCAGACCTGAGATGGCAGCAACACCTCCCCTCCACCTTTCCTTCCCCCGGTGGCAGGACCCGCCAGGGAGCTTGGGGCCAGGCGTCTGTCAAGTGGCGCTTTGAGCTAGGGTCTGACTGGGCTGGGGTCTCCCCTACCACTCCAGCCTGGGCAGACAGGGAGCAGTGCTAAATCCATCTCCCTGGAATGTGGGGCTTGCATTCCCCAAACCTATCTGCGGAGTCTACGCTGGGGTGGTGGACCCGAGTCCTCCTTAGTGAACACACTGACAGTATTACTGTCCCCTCAAGACTTTCGCGGGCCTGCAGTCCCCCATACCTGGTCTGCAGGAGCACTCTTTATTTGTGAAAGGGGAGGAGTAACCTGGACCAGCTTAACCCCATCCCCCACTTGCTAAAAAAGCTCTTGACACAGTCTTTCCCTCCACAAGAAAAATCCAGCATAAAACTCCCCAACCCAATCTTAAGCACCCTGCATCGAATGGAGATCGGGTAGGAGGCACCCGCGGCACTGGGCTCTAGCGGAAAGGGGCTCCACTCCCAGCTCCGGGGGCAGACAGCTCCCCTCCACCACATCTTGTTCTCATTCTGCGCCCCTGACATCAGCCGCCGCCGGAATCTCCTTGTTGTGCCTCCAACCCGCGAGGTGGGGGGTGAGGTGGGCCAGGACCTGGTCCCCGCCCCCCAACATCTCCTTCTAGGTCAGTAAAAACCTCAGCCTCAAGGACCAGGTTGGGGGATCAGACCCTAGAATCCGCCGCAAACTTTGGGGCGGGGGAAGGAGGGAAACCCAGGAGATTGCGGTCCCCCCTCCTCCGTCCCCGCAGCTTCCTCCCCACCGCCCCCACCCACCCCCCACCAAACTCGGAAACCAAACCCAGCTCGCTAACCGGCGCGGGCAGAGTACAGCTCCCAGGCTCCCGAAGCTTCCCACATCTGGAGGATGACGACCCTCCCCTGACCACATCTGGAGGGCGTCCAGCTGCGAGCCAGCGGGGCACAGCTCTCTTCTCCTGGCCTGGATCCCCACCCCCCCAACCCAGGAAGACTGAGGTGTGTGTACGCAGGTGGGGTAAGCCCGGGTTACCGACGAGACCTGCTCGCGTCTCCGCTCCCACTCTGGTGCCCCCTCCCCTCCCTGGCAGCCCCCCCCCCATCCGCCTACCCTCCGGGCTCACTTCGACTCACCTGGCGGTGGGTCTTCTTCCCCCCCGACCCCCGGCGGTGCGGCCCGTCCCCCTTCTGACCCCGCGCCTGGCCGTCGTGCCCCGAAGGATATGGGTTACAGACCGTGCGGAGACACCAGCTCCGCGGGCGGCTGTCCTGGCTCAAGTAGAAGAAAACCACCGGGGCCAGCGCCGGGTACGGCAGCCCCTCCGCCTCGGAGTCCGCGCTGCCCGGGTCCTTTTCTGCTGACCCCGGCCCCGGCCGGCCCCCGGCCCCCGACAGGTCGTTGAGCCGCATGAAGCTCCGGGGCTGTCCCGACTCCTCGGCGCCCGCTCCATCCTCCTCCTCGTCCATCCTCTGGCCAGCCGGGGCCCCGGGCGATCCGGAGAGGGGCAAGCGGCGCCCCTCAGAGGAGGTGTCCTCACGCAACCCGGGGGCCCCGGCGGGGGCACATCTGGTGGGCTCTAGGGCGCAAGCTGAGCCCCCGGGAGGGCCAGTTCAGCCCAGCTCCCCCTGCCCGCAGGGGCATGCTGCCCGCGGGGCGCCGGGGCGCAGGGAAACCCCGCCCGGCGCGAGTCCCGCTTCCCCTGCGCCCCTGGGGCTTCCCGGGCCAGCCGGCCGGCTCCCCCTCACTTTGTTCCGGCTTCTTCGCTTCGCGCCCAGGCTCCGGTTGCCGGATTCGGCGCTACCTTCGGCGAAGCCGCCCCGAGAGGGCGAACGAAAAGGGGGGCAGCGGCGGAGGGCGGGGGTCCGGGGAGGGGCGCCCCCTCTTCCCGCGGCGCAGCTGGAGCCGGATCTAAGGGGTCAGCATCGTCCCGGCTCCGCGCCAGGCGGCGGGGGAGGGGAGGAGGGATCTCTTTAGGGGTGGGCTTGGAGGGGGTGGGGGCGGCTCCTTCCCCCGCCCCGCCGCGGGCTCACTGTCCGGGAGGGGCGGGGAGACAGTGGGGGGCAGTCCCGGGCGGGAGTGGAGGCGGAGATGCCGCCGCCGCAGCCGCCGCGGTGGCTGCCGCTGCCGTAGCTGTCGCCGGCGCCACAGCCTCCTCCTCCGGCCGAGACGCGGAGCGAGCGAGCGAAAGCGGCGGCGAGGAGCCCCGCGCACACCACAGCTGGATCCCTCACTTCAACTTCAAGCCTCGGCCCCGCCCCCAGACAGCCCCGCAGCCAATCGCCGGACGCCGCCGGCCCCGAGCCGCGCGCCCATTGGCCGTCCGCCGTGGCAGTGCGGGCGGGAGCGCAGGGAGAGAACCACAGCTGGAATCCGATTCCCACCCCAAAACCCAGGACCGCCCCTCTCCCCTCCCCTTGCCCCTGGGTCCGCTCCCGAAGGCTGGAGCCAATCAGACTGCTGCCCAGACCGAACCCACTTTCCTATTGGCCATTGGGGTCTTTGGGACTCCCTTGGAGGGAGCCCGAAGAATCAGAGTATTCGGCGCGGGGTCCTGGCGTAGGGCCGCAGGCCCCAGGCATCCTTTGTCCACGACCCCTGATTTGGGCAGCAGCCGGAGGACGGAGCTCAGCTCTGGGCGGGCCTGGGGAAGAAAGGAGACAGGCGGCACGGGGGTGAGGGTTGTCACCAGGGGGTCCCAGAGCGAAATCCCAGGTCTCCACCTGGTTAATCTCCCACCCTGGAGTTGAGCTTGGCTGCGGGACTGGGGGAGGGAAGGAGCGGAGCTGGATGTCCTGGGGGTGGGGCTTCAGGCTGGAGGGGCCCAGTCTTGGAGAAACGGGCGGAGCTCGAGAAAGGCTAGGGTAGGCATGGTCTGGGCGTGGCCTCCACAAATCTCTTGGGCTTATTGGTCATACTCCCGAGTCAATTCTGAGACTTCGACCCTGACCTCGTAACCCTAACCCGCTGGACCTGACCTCACATTGACGCTCCTGGGCTTCATCCCTTTGCCCCTAGGGACCTTTTGAAGGGCGTGGACTCCACGCAGGGGCTTCGTGCTTGAACACGTGGCCCCAGGCAGGTCGCGCTGGACCGCAGAGCCCGGATCCCCAGGAGGGGCTGCGGAGCAGAGCGAGGACCCCTAAGAAGGAACCTGTGGGGGTCTCGAGTGTGTGGGAGGGGGCGGAAGCACAGAGCTGGGCTTTATCGACTCGACCTTCAAAGTCCCCACCACCGCCACCCCCCAACTTCGTGCCTCAGTTTCTCTTAAGTCCCTATGTGGCTTAGGGAAAGAGTGTCCGCGGAACTGGAACTTCGCGGGTCTGCCGCCTTCACTCACTCACCTTAACCCTACCGGCAGCGGGCCCTCGTGGGTTTGTGCTTTCCACGCGTGCACACGCACGCGCAGACCCCGGCCCTTGCCCCGCCTACCTCCCCGAGTTCTGGGGCTCAGTCGGCTCTAGCTCTCTCCTGCCGCCGGCGCCACTCCAGAAAGCTGTGGGTACCCGGGAGCGGAGCGCCGCGGGTGTGCTGGGCGCCGGTGGAGGGGGGAACAGCGAGGATTAGACGCCGGGAAGCACTTCCCCAACATCTGCGAGAGGTAGACACGGCGGAACCTAGTGGGTCAGTCAGTTCCCTCTCCGGAGATTTTGGGGCGCTTGCGCCACTGCGGAGAGGCGGCGGGATGGGTCGGATGACCTCCATCACCACCCCTCACTTTGCTGAGGCCATCACCCCTGGGCGTTGTTCACTCTCCTAAGGCTGCACCACCCACGCAGCCCCCGCGCACCTCCCGCCACCGCAGAGGGTTGGGGTCGTCTCAGTTCCCGCCCCGGCCGATGGGGGGAGGGGATGGGGGAAGTGGCAGAGTGGCTGCTGCGCCGTCGTCTCCCTGGTTGCCCTTTCGCCGAATCCATGCACAGAGTTGTGTAAATGAGGCCGGGCGGGCTCATTTGCATTTCATGCTAATGAGCAGATCCCCTAAGTGCCTTTTTTTCCTGGCGGGAGTCTCTGCTCTCATTCTGAGTATGCGGCGCCTGAGTCTTGAACCCCGTGCCGTCTTCTGGGAAAGGGGGGCTATTTATGGTTGCTCCGCGCGTCTGACACCTTCTTCCCTCCCGAGAGGCCGCAGTCTGCCGGGTCGGCCTGCCCTTCCCGCCAGGATAGAGGCCCCGGGGCTGGCGCGAGAAGTAGGGACGCCCAACACCCCTTCTTTGCAGAGGGGAAAATGAGGACAGAGAGGCTGGCCCAGCCCAATGATCAGGTCCCCTGGTGGTCAGCAGGCCCCACACCCTCATCCATCATCCCGGCCACCCCTGGGCTCTGGACTGAACTCTGTTCTAGAACATGCCCGAAAGGAGGGCAGGCACAAACGCACCATCTAGATAAATTGAGATCCACATGCACTTCCCTGGGTTCAGGACCTAGGGGAGACCGGCCACGCAAGACAGGATCTGATCCCTGTACTCGGCATGTTGGGGCTGATGGCCAGTCGGAGATGCTTACCCTTAGCCTGAGTGCCAGAGAGGAGGCAGAGGCAGAACCTACAGGGAAGGCAAAGAAGACCTGAAACCATCTTTATTTAACTCCAGCCCTCCAAGCCTCAGCTCTGACATCACCTCCTCAGAGTGGCCTTCTTTCCAGCAAGTATTTCAATGCCACTTAAGTGCCAAGGTGCTTAGGATACAGCACCGAGCCAGACACAAGTCTGGAACTTCACAGCACTTAGCCCAGGCTGGGATTATATGTTTGTGTTTGCAGTAATGAAATGATCATCTCCCTATCTAGGCTCTGTGTTCCCAGAGGGGCTATGTTCATTTTGCTCACTAGGGCCTTGTCTAGTGTCGGGCACAAAGTTGTTAGGTGAATGAATGACCTCAGGCAGGGAAAGGGAAACAAAGGGACAAGAAATTCCTTTCTTTGGGCCTCAGTTTCTCAACAAAGACACTAAGCCTAACTAAGAGTTTTTCTGGGTTTGAGGAAGAACCCCCCCCATATATACCCTGCTCAGCCAGCCCCTCCAGCCCCCTCCAGCCCTGCCTTTACCCCTCCCTCACAGCCCATCTGGCTCCCTGCGGAGCTAAGATAATCTTCCCATCTGTGATACCCTTTGCTCAGGGATGATACAACCATTATCCCATTTAGTCACCTTAACAGCCCTGAGAGCTGGGTGGATGGCCCCCCACCTTTCAGATAAGGAAGGGGGGTGCTCAGAATGATGAAGTTACTTAAGTGACTGCCCAGACGGTATGGCCCTGTCTCCAGTGACCCTGGCCCGCAGGTGTTCCGCTGGTAGAACAGGGTGCACACTCAAGAGGGACCAGCAAAGGGGAAGGGATGCTGCAGGAACTCTTATAATCCTGCTTCTGAGTGAGATTTATGTGGGACCCTGCCCCCTTTAGAAATTCGAGCACTCCTGGGAGAACTAACCCTTTAAGGAGGTAACTCCTTCTTCCCAACCCATTTACAGAATCCCATCATCGCGTGCACATCTCATCCCAGGAGGGAGAGAGGAGCTGCCGAGTAGAAAGCAGACTGGCTGCAGGGACAGAAGACACCAAGGGCACCCTCCCCCACAGCTGCGCCTGGACCTCCTGCGAGAAGAGGAAGCCTTAGGGGTCTTTATTGTACCCTCAAGACCCCAGAGAGAAACAGAAGTGCTGAGGGGTCGCAGGCAGGTCTCTTACCCTCTCTGGGCCTCGAATATTTATCCATAGGAGGCTGAAGGTAACTGCCTTCGCAACTCATTCATGAGGGTCAATGGGACGACAGTGGCAAGAGGGGTTGGCACACTGCCCAGACTGTTCCAAAGCCAGGGCTGGGGCTGCCAAAAAGGCCACCTGTGCTTCACCATGCTCCATCCTCCCTCTCTTCCACCTCCCCAGGCTGGGCTCCACTTGTCCAGCTCTCTGACTTCCTGGCAAGGTTGAGTAGGCTCCAGCTAGGAAGGGGCCAGCTGACCTTGTTGGCCGGAGCACTAATCCCCTCCAGATGGGCTGGTGGCTTGCACTGAGGGCCTGGCTGCCCAGACAGAGCTGACTCTGGTCCCAGTGACCATGTGTGGCTATGTGTGACCGTGTGAAGGGAGCAATTCCATCCAGTCTCCCGGTTCCTTCCTGCTTCACTCCTCCCCACTGCTGACATCCCCCACAAGCAGTGGCCCCATGAAGGCCTTCTTGTCTCTAGTAGCCTCTTTTGGCTCTCTGTGTTGCTTAGCTGGAGGGCTGAGGATGCCTGGCACAGCCGATTCCCAAAGGCCTCAGAGGGACAGCTCCTCCCCCTGCTTCCCCCACCCCGTCAGCCCCATCACTCTGCACCTGCCCTTCCCAAAGCATGTGTCCCAGTCCCCATCCCTCAACCCAAGGAAGATGTATGTGTCAAGGACAGGACTCAGGAGCATTTCCCAACATTTAGGGGAAAGGATGAGGTCACAGGAAGGCTTTCTCTGCAGCAAGAAGGACTCAGATAGATTTGGGGAAGGACTTCCAACCCAACAGATGTTCCAAACGAAAGAGAACTCTTTCTTTGGACCAGCTTGTATGAAAGCAGACAAATGGACAACATGACCTCCTGCAAGGAGGCCCTGCTTCCATCCTTTCGAGGCTGGGGCTAGATGGATACCCCAAAAGAAATGTCTTAGTCGTGACAATAGCAGCTCCCACAATGCACCAGGGCATATGCAAAGTCACCATTCTGTGAAATATAAAAGCTCATATAAAGCATCTCTGCCCCCTTTCCAGCTCAACACAAGGAGACAATGGGGAGGGGAGGGCAGGTTCCCTTCTTAACCTCTTTCTGAGGGCAAGGATTGTGCTTTCTCCCTCCTGGGCCAGTCCACACCCCCATGCCCACCCCTGGGCATCTTTACTTGGTTTTAGTCCCCTGACCTCAGTTCAGGGGACTAAATTCATTCAGGCTACAATGACCATGGAAGGGAAAGGGGCAGTCTGCTGACCCCTGGAAGATGAAGGAGAAATGGGAGAAGGCAGAGGGGTCAGGTGGGGGCTGCCAGAGGAAGTGGCCCTGAGCTGCTGGTTCCCAGTCCCTCCCTCATAAGCAAAGCTGAGGCCCTCAGGTTACCACGGGACACTGTTAAGTTTATTCTAGGGTGAGTGGGTGCCCAAGGGGGGCAGTGAGTATGGCCGAGGTCACCTGGTGGCAGGGTGCTCAGGGATGGCCACAGGTTCTATAGGGCCCTGCAGGGCCTGAGTCTCTAGTCAGTTGGGATGCTTCACCTTCTGCCCCACCCCAAGGGGGTTGGGGCAGTCATGGATGTAGTAGTTTTCGTAATTCGCAGGGATCAGTGATGGGCACTGAGCAGGCTTGATTCTCACACACATATGCAGTGGCCTGGTCTTCCAACCGTCGGAGGGTACTCAGGAAAGGCAGCTGGCGGGACAGGAAGCTCGAGGGGTCCCCATCAGCCAGAATCAGCACCTAGGGCAGCAGCAGAGCAGGGAGAGTCACCTGCCGGGGTGGGGTCACCTGCCCATTAGAAAGGCCCACTGGGAAGTTCCCTCTTCCCAACATTCTGAGGGGAAGGAGATGTTGAGGAGCTGAGGATGGGAGGGGGCAGCTCTGGGGAGGTGGCAGATTGGGCTCACAGGGATGGGTACCTTGTTAGGAATGTAGACAGAGTGGACGCACTGCACCAGGGCCTTGGTGTCCTTGGCCTGACGGTCTCCACAGATCACGATCTGACCGGAATAGAAAGGTCACTCCGGTGTGTCAGGGGAGGGAGGGCTGAGCCCTAGACCACCAGGGCTTCCCCATCCTCCTTCCGCCCCACCGTATATCTCTAAGAAGGAACAGGGACTCATCTCAGCTGCCAGGATGAGTTAATGCTTGGCAAGTGGGAACACACACACACACTCACACATGAGAATACCGAAGTGGAAATGTCATACATATACACAATGGTACAGATACAAACATGGGGAGACACACACCCAGAAGACCCAGAGCACACAGAGACCCATTCAGACAGACACAGAGTAGTCACACACACACACACACACACACACACACACACACACACACACAGTAGATGCCCACACAGAGGCAGATACCACACACACAAACACCAGACACACACGCATGCAGGCAGACACAGAGGCAAACCTGCAGATGGGGCATCCACATGCAGACAGACAAACACTCACACCAGCATCCCCCTCAAAGGTAGGTGCACAGACACACACCTCCAGGGTCACACACACCCGGAAGTACACACACACCAGTAACACAGTATGGACAGAAGCAATTACACTGACACCAAGACGTACAGAGAAACACTTCATCAGCCACCACGGACTCATATTAACTTCTGCCTCCCTGTCTGACAGGCCACGTGCCTGCACACACACAGACCTGAGCTCTGGGGACAGCCCAGGAACCCCACCCCCTGTTCCCATCTGCCATCGCAGCCCCAACTTCCCTCCTACCCGAGGTCCCAGCCCAGATGCCCTCACCCCCCACCTGCTTGAGGGTCTGCTGCTGGGCTGAGAGGGCGCGGACCATCTCGGGCAACGCCACCGGGACACGACGCATGCGCTCGGAAAAGGCGGTCAATAGGCACACACACTTGTCCATCCAGTCCTTGTGGCCCGTGAAGCCATGCAGCCGGAGCAGGTTGTGGGCTGACACGGAATTGGCGCTGGGCTCTGCTCCATCCTGGTCTACAGCACATAGGGAGGCAGGGGGTGGGGGTAAGGGCAGGTCACTGAGTCCCAGGACCCTGCCCAGGACTGTATCCAGGGCCACTTGGGGGACGGGACAGAGAAAAGGCCCTGCCCATCCTGCCCCTTCCCCGCTCTGGGTGTGGATGCCACTCCAGCAGTTATCAGTACTTTGCTGTCTTTTTTATGGCACCCTCCACTCTACCTGTCCTAGCCTCAACTGTTGGTCTCCAGGCTCCCTCCTCGCTGCTGATGCCTCTGTCCAGCCACTCAGCTGCTCAAGCTAGAGCGGCATCATCCTGTCCCCTTCCTCTCCCTCTCCCTCCGCTTCTAATCCATCTGTGAGTCTTGCCAGGGCTGTGGCCAGAAGAGATCCAAATCTCACCATGTCTCCCCATCTCATACTTCCACATCCTCTGAGCCTTCACCAATGCCTGCCTGGACTGAACACGAGTAATGGCCTCCTAACTGGTCGCCTGTTTCCCCCACCCCCACTTCTCTCCATCAGTGGTCAGAGTGACCTCCTTAAAACCATACCAGAGCAGATCACAATCCACTTAAAACCTCCTTGCCAGCCGGGCATGGTGGCTCACACCTGTAGTCCCAGCACCTGGGAAGCCGAGGCGGGAGGATCACCTGAGCCCAGGAGTTTGAGACCAGCCTTCTTTTCTTAGGAAAAAAAAAAAAAAAAGACGGCTTCCGTGCCCTGCCGGCCTCAGCATTCTCCTCGGTGCCCTCCTGGAACACGCGGGCCCTGCCTGTCCTCCAGGATACAGGCTGCCTGCACCAGGCCTGTCATGCACTGCTCCCTATGCCTGAACTCTCTCCACAGCTTCTCCATGGCCACATGGCCCCTCTTTCCCTCCAGGCCTTGGTTAAATGACACCTGTCACAGGTGTCCTCTAATCTCTCCCTAGGCTGAGTTGGTCCTCCTCTGTGGTTCTCTCCCAAGGCCCTTTCATTCACTCAGTTAACATTTATTAAGCACTTACAATGTGCCAGAACCACACTAGACCCTGGGGATACAACAGTGGCAGAAAGTCCTGATCTTTGAGGAGCTAAAATTTGAGTTTTGGGAAAGAAACCTTTAACCACAGACAAGGCACATGGGTGATAGGGAGCAGGCACACATAGAGCGTCCTACTTCTTCATGGCACTCACCACAATTTTAACTGCACATTTGTGCATGTGTTTTTGCATCATTACTGCATTTTCGCTGTCTCCCCTACCATACTGTAAGCTTCATGAGGGCAGAGACCAAGTGAGCCTTGGTCAATATCTGAATCCATGGGTGTCAGTTACTGTGCTAAGCATGTTTACAGAACAGCTACATTCATCTTTACATCAACCCTGTAAGGTAGTACCAATGTTAGCTCCATTTTACTTATTAAGAAACAGGCCAGGCATGGTGGCTCTCGCCTGTAATCCCAGCACTTTGGGAGGCCGAGGTGGGCAGATCACTTGAGCCCAGTAGTTTCAGACCAGCCTGGGCAACATGGAGAAATCCCATCTCTACAAAAAATTAGCCAGGCATGGTGGTGCATGCCTATAGTCCTAGCTACTCAGGAGGCTGAGGTGGGAGAATTGATTCAGCCCCGGAGGCAGAGGTTGCTGTGAGCCAAGATCATGCCACTGCATTCCAGCCTGGGTGACAGTGAGACCCTGTCTCAAAAAAAAAAAAAAAAGAGAAAGAAAGAGAGAAAGAAAAGAAAGAAAGGAAGAAAGGAAAGAGAAAGAAAGAAAGAGAAAGGAAATAAAAAGAAAAGAAAGGAACGAAACAAAACACGCTGAGTGTAGTGGTTCATGCCTGTAATCCCAGCACTTTGGGAGGCCGAGGTGGGAGGATCACTTGAGCCCAGGATTTCAAGATCAGCCTGGGCAACATAGCAAGACTCTGTCTCTATTTAAAAAAAAGAAATTGAGACACAGAAATATTACAGCAGCCAAAAATCACGCCATTAATAAGTAGCAGAGACACAAAGCCAGGAGGGCTCCTGCCCACACCAGCTCTTCACCCACGCTGCACTTACACCTCCCAGGACCCCAGACTAGCCCTGCACCCCCACTGACCGTCCTTCAGACGCAGGGGCAGGCCAGCCCCCAGCTCAGCCTCACTGCAGAAGTAGCCGCCACCCTGGGAGTCCCAAAAGAGCTTGTCCTGTGTGTCCTGCAGCCGCAGAGCCCACTCGAGCCACGCACTCTCCTGTGAGGCCTCATACAGGTCCAGCAGGCCCCGCACCACGAAGGCGTAGTCCTCCAGGAAGCCCCAGCAGGGTGGGTTGCTGGGGGACAGGCATTACGGGAGGGGCTGGGGAGAGCCCCAGGAGAGAGGGCCTTTCCCAGAGGAGGCCCTTTCACGCATTTGTTCACTTAACCCTCCAGATGAACCCTCTTGGGCAGGTGCCATCAGCCCACTTCCCAGATGAGTAAATGGGCCCAGGGAAGCTACAAACTCACAGCAAGCACCTGGCAGAGCCAGGACTGGAGTCCACATGGAGGGGAGAAGTAGGGCAGAGGTAGGCTGGGGACGCGTTGGGGAGACGGGCCCTCCCGGTCTACCCAGCCCCCAACCTGTGCTCCACAGTCCCCCCAGGGCCGGTGTAGCAGGTCCGCATCAGGCGGCCACTGGCCACATCAAACATGTGCCGCTTCAGGAACTTGGCACCATTGGTGGCATAGTTGATCAGCCTGTCTTGGCCCAGGACAGCCCCAGTCACAGCATAGCCTGACACCATCAAGCCTGGAGCCAGGAGAGACAAGTAGTGGTAAGAAGCTGGCCAGGACCCTCCAGGCATGTCCACCCTATCACCTTAGGCCCCAACACCTCCCTGGAGCCATGGGTGATCCCTAAGATCTTGGGCTCCAAAGCCAGACATGGCGGGGTTCCCAGCCCTTGCGCGTGACCTTGGGCGGGTTACTCAAGCTCCTTAAGCCTCTTTTGTCAACTGAGAATAATAACGCTAATCAAGGGAGAGTGAGCATTTAGCCGCTGCCGGAAAGACAGGGGCTTTGTGAAGGGGGATCCTACAGACAGGCTCGGTCTCAGGTGTGCTGCCCCACCATTCCAGGCAGCCAGCATCTTGCTGTCCAGGTGCGGCTTGGGCCGATGCTTCCGGGCCTGGAAGAGCTTCTCCAGCCCTGAATTGAGCAAGGTCCGCACGGCCTCCACATCCAAGCCAAAGCGGGCAGCAGTCAGCTCCAGCGAGTACCGGACGGTCAGCACATTCTGGCCCTGCAGCTCCCCCTTGGGGTCCTGAGGAGAATGGCCTTTGTCTGCGAGCTCACACGCCTGGCAGGCACCAGGGCCCGTCAGGTGACCCCAGAAGTCCTCACCTGACTGGGGCTGATGTTACCAGCCTCTGTGAGGCCGTAGTGCTTCATGAGGAGCTGGCCTGAGGTCAGCGGCTCGGTGGCACCCAACACAGGCTCCGGGAGGAGCTGCTGAACCTCTTTGACCGTCCACACATAGTAGGCGCCCTCTTTGGGCCGCTGGCCCCGCTCTGGGGGCGAGTCTGCATCTTCTGCGCTATAGAAGCCTCCGGACTGTGGGGAGGGGAGAGTTGGCTGGCCCCGGCCCACAGGGCAGTGGAGGCCCCAACCCCTCCCACAGCCAGGCCTGCCTGCCACCATGGACACACACCCGGTGGCTCAGGCTCCGAGCCACGTACTGCAGGATGCCTTTGGCCACGTCAGAGTAGAATTCATCACCAGAGAGCTAAGAAAGGGAAGAAAGGAGACTGTGAACAGAGAGGTCACTGGGGAGGCCCAGGTGGAAGGTGGCAACATTCTCTGAGGCAGGCGGGGGAGGGAAGCCTGGGTAGTGGGTACATGGGAGGGAACAGGGGATTCAGATTAAGAGAAGCCACAGTCACCAGGAAGGCCTTGGGAGGGGCAGCCAGAGTGAGATGCCTGTTCTCTGGGCTGGGGTCAGGGGTCACCTGGAAGGCCTGCGAATAGGCCACAGCGAGCTGTGCCTGGTCATAGAGCATCTTCTCAAAGTGAGGGACGTGCCACTGGCGGTCTGTGGAGTAGCGGTGAAAGCCCTGTGCGGATACAAAGCTGGAGGCCAGTCCCAGCTTCTGCCCCACCCCACAGCCCCCTGCTGCCCCTCCAGGGAACACCCAGTGCCCGTCACCTGCCCCACATGGTCCCGGATGCCCCCGTTAGCCATCATTTTCAGGGTATGCAAGGCCATCTGCTGGGCCCGAGAGCCATCCTGAGTCAGTCGATGGCTGAGCCAGTAGGAGAACAGGAAGCTCAGGATCACTGTGGGGGCACCAAGAACATGCAGGTGAGAGAATGGGAAAGTGGGGACAGAGATCGGGGTGGTCAGGAGGCCTTGGGCCAGGCAGAGGCTGGGAGTTCACTCAACAGGCAGTCTCTGGACAGGCTGTGAGGTCAAGAGTCAACCCACAGGACAGAAGGTAATAGCCTAAGCCAGAGGTCAGAATATCATTGGTTCACAGAGGACCAGTAAGTTACTTGTCCCCCTAGAGCCCAGAATGTCATTAGCCAAGTCAGGGTCACTGGGTCACTGACCAAGTCAGGGGACAGAAGGTCATCATCTAGGTTAAGGTGAGAGGGTCACTGCTGACACCAGCAGTCGGGTCTTCACCGATAGCTACCGACAGGCTAGGGGCAAGGAGGTCACTGCCAGTCAGGAGGACAGGAAGCTATGGGTGAGGCCAGGAGCCAGTAGGTCCCTGACCAGCATAGGAATCAGAAGGCCAAAGCCTGGGCTAAGGCGGGCGTGGGGCACTGACCCGGCGTGGGAAACTTGGGGGCCTCAGCGAAGCCACCGTATTCCTCATCATAGCCCTCATCCAGCTGCTGGAAGCAGCGATTGTTCACGGTGGCGGCAGAGGGCGGCAGCTGGCGGTCACCCACGCTGATCTCTGATCGGGCCAGCAGGGCAGTGGTGACACGCTGGCTATTTTCTAGCAGGGTGTTCTTGTTCTGTTTCCACTGCGGGAGGTGGGGGCACACCTGGAGGTCAGCTAGGGGGAGGGGCTCTTGTTTCCTAGTCCCCCACCCTGGTCCCCCAACTCCCGGAGGCACACCCACCTGTTCTCGTATTCTCAGCAACACTGTGCGGAAGCCGACTCGGGTCAAGCCATCCTCAGGAGGGAAATAGGTGCCCCCGACAAAGGGCTGGAGGTTGGGAGTCAGCCACACATTCATGGGCCAGCCCCCGCCGCTGCTGGTGGCCTGGCGGAGAGAGGGCGAGGGTGAGGGGAGCTGCTCTGAGCCCATGTGGCGCATACACTCCCGAGGAGGGCTGCTCACCTGCACGAACGTCATGTACACCTTGTCCACGTCAGGCCGCTCCTCACGGTCTACCTTCACACTCACAAAGTCCTCACTGAGCAGGCGGCCAATCTCCTCATTCTGGAAGGACTCCTCTTCCATCATGTGGCACCAGTGGCAGGTGGAGTACCCGACTGAACAGGGCCATGGGGAGAGGTCAGGGGGCCAGCAACGGGTCAGAGGGAGGCTGGCCAAGTGGCCCTGGCTACATGGAAGACGTCCTGGCCTCTAGTCTCCTGGAAGACCCGCCAGGCCGAGAGGACCCTCCCCCATCCACTGCCACTCCCTGCCCACACCCCCACATCAGGGAAGGTGGGAGCATTACCTGAGAGGAAAATCGGCTTGTTTTCCTTCCTGGCCTTGTCGAAGGCTTCCTGTCCCCAGGGGTACCTAGACCCAGCAGGGTGGGGCATCACTCAGTAGCCCAGGGGGTCTGGGAGGGGCCCAGGACCCCAGCGATTCCAGGCAGGGCCCCAGGAGAGGTGCTCACCAGTCCACAGGATTGTAGGCATGTTGTAGGAGGTATGGTGACTTCTCGTGGATCAGGCGGTTGGGGACCCTCTGGGGTGTAGATGAAGGATGGCTTCCTTTCCCTCCAGCAGGCATGGGCACTGAACTACTGACCGTCGCACTTCGGTCCTTGTCCCGGGAGGAGCTACCCCTGGCGAGGACTGGTGCATCAGGCAAGCCAGGGGCCTCCACCCACCTTCTCCCAGGCCCCCCAGCACCTGCTCCATTTCACTCAGCACCCCAGTAGGACCCCTGCTCCCAGCCCAACCCACCTTTCTGAACCATGGGGGAGACTGTGGCCTTTGTGCTCCCCCTTATGTTTTTTGGGGGGTGAGGAGAGGTGGCTCATTGGGGGCTCCTTGCCAGGTTAGTCTCCCCCAACCTCCTGGGCCTGGCGGTGGGAAGGATGGCTGTGAGGTCAGGGCGGGTCACAATGGGCAGAATGGTTCTTGGGGCTCCATTCTTACCCCTCCCCAGGCCCCTCCCCCGGCCCTTCCTGGAGCAGCTGCTTGGAGGCATCTCTCTGGCAGGCCTGGGTGTGGCCCCACTGGAAGGCAGCCTACTGTTGGTGGCTGGACAGGCCAAGATCAGTAGGGTCTGGGACTCGACCAGGTGAGGGACAAACAGAGGAAACCAGACATGGGGACTCCCTCACTCAGCGCCCACCTGCTGGGACTCCTGTGGGGCCAGGTCCTGGGCCAGACTCCAGGACACCTAGGGAATCAGAGACCTCAGGGAGTTCAGCCTGGAAGTGGGACTGCAGGCAGACCTAAATAACGAAAGGTCCATGCAGCAATAAAGGACTGTGACAGGGCACAGGGTACTATTGGAGAAAGGCCCTTGACCCAGCATCCAGCACTGGGGTGCAAGGAAGGCTTCCTGGAAGCAGTGTCAGAACAGTCCCTGAGGAGCTGGCACTGCACTGGAAGGAAGGGGAGAGGAGGGAAGGGATGAGGACGGGAGAGGAGGGGAGGAGGGCCTTACAGCCAGAGCCAGGTCTCAGGAGCAGACCGGAGGTGGGGTGGGGGAAGGGCCAGGCATGCAGGGGTGGTCCAGACTGGCACTGGGGACCGGTGTCCGGAAGACCCTCCACTGGGCCCGCAGGCAGGCGCAGGGAGTGCCCTAGGGGCCCGCTCGCCCGCCCGTACCTGCGGCTCGCGGCGAGGCCTGCACCGGCGCGGGGCAGCAGAAGGACGCGGCCCAACCAGGCCCGCGCGCCCAGCATGGCTGCTCGGGGCCGTGGGCCCGGCCGCTGAGGACAGGAAGGGAAGTCAGGAGGCTGCGAGGGGCGGGCCGGGCACCTACGGAGCCGCGGGCGGGTCTTCGCCGGGACTTGGGACAGTGTGGCTGGTCTCCGAGCGTCGCCCTGCGGCGGAGCGCAGAATTGCAGATCAGGCACCCGAGCCTTGGGAGGACCCATTCTGTGCATAAAACTGGGCTCTGCCCCTGCCTGGGGAGGACAGCCCTTCTCAAGGGAATAGGGAGAGTTGTGGGATCTAGGGCTGGGAGATGCTAGGGACATGGGATGCCAGAGCTTCAGCTCATTTTGTCCAACCCCTGCCCATTTTACAAATGAGAAATGAGATCCAAGGCGAAGGCGTACCTTGGCCAGGTCCACCAGCTAACAAGGTTTGCTTTTTGCAGCCTCCTCGTCTCTAGGTCCTACTCAAATCCTACCCACTCCAGGAAGTCTTCCTTAAATAATACTGATGAGCCCATTTTATGTCTCATAGGTTACACATGGCCTCATTGGCTACATTCAGCCAATATTTATTAAGTGCCTGCCGCCTGCCACTCTGCAAGGCACTGAGTATACAATGGTGGGCAGAGAGAAACAAGGCTCCTGCCCTCACATGGCTCACAGTCTGTTGAGAGCGGCAGATGCTAATTCGACAGCCATACCGATAAACACCCACGTGACAAGTCCGTGAGGGTATAACGTAACAAGTGACCTGATCTGGTGGAAGGGGCAAAGGATGAAGGCTTCCCTGAGGAAATCACATTTGTGAAGCCATGGAGAACGAGAGAAAGGAACTTGGAGGGTGCTCAGGGGGAGTGCTGGGGAAGGAGGCAGAGGTACAGTTTGTGCAAAGGTCCCGTGGCTTGTCAGTGAGTCCGGGCTGAGCAACTGCAGAAAGAGGGAAGACAGGCAGTAGATGAGGGCAGAGGCAAGATCTTGGAGACACTCGTGAACTGTAAGAAGGGGATTTTTATTTTTTGAGACAGAGTCTCGCTCTGTCACCCAGGCTGGAGTGCAGTGGTGTGATCTCGGCTCACTGCAACCTCCGCATCCTGGGTTCAAGGCTGGTCTCGAACTCCTGACCTCAGGTGATCCATCTGCCTTGGCCTCCCAAAGTGCTGGGATTACAGGCATGAGCCACCATACCCGACCCCATTTTTTTTTAGCCAGAGTCTCACTCTGTTGCCCAGGCTGGAGTGCAGTGGATCTTGGCTCTCTGCAACCTCCACCTCCTAGGTTTAAGCGATTCTTGTGCCTCAGCCTTCCAAGTAGCTGGGACTACAGGAGCGCGCCACCATGCCCAGCTAATTTTTGTATTTTTAGTAGAGACGGGGTTTCGCCATGTTGCCTAGGCTGGTCTCAAACTCCTGACCTCAAGCGATCCATCTGCCTCAGCCTCCGAAGTGCTGGGATTACAGGTGTGAGCCACCGTGCCTGGCCAGAGAAGGGGATTTTTGATGACAGTAGAAGCAAGCTATTGAAAGGCTTTAGTCAGGAGGGTTACCAGTTAGATCTGCGTTTTGGAAAGATCCCACCAGCTTCCCAGTGGAGAATGAACTGGAAAGGGGCAAGAGTGAAAGCAGGGGCAGATAGGAGGCTATAGCAGCACCCAGGGGGAGATGGGGGAGCAGAGATGCAGAGAAAGGGATGGGCTGGAAGTCGGTCAAGGAGGAAACGTCGTCAGGATGGGCGGCGACAAAGAAGGCGGTGTCCAGGGTGACTTGCAAGGTGGGGCCGTTCCCTCAAGAGAGGGCATGGGGTGGGGGTGGGGGGACAACTCATGGGGTTCATTGTGGGACCTGTGGGTTTGAGATGTGCACATGGAGGCAGAGATGACACTGCTTGGAGGACAGAGGAGAGGCTTCAGGAGAGAGGATTGGGGGTCTTGACTGTTGAGACCATGTGGGTGTGGAGCTGATCCAGGGAGACCATGCAGAGGAGCAGAGAAGAGGGCTCAGGTCCAGGCTTAAGTAAGCCTGTGAAAGACACAGATGGAGGCAGGGCATGGTGGCTCACGCCTGTAATCCCAGCACTTTGGGAGGCCGAGGAGGGTGGATCACCTGAGGTCAGGAGTTTTAGACCAACCTGACCAACATGGAGAAACCCCCATCTCTACTAAAAATACAAAATTAGCCGGGCATGGTGGCGCATGCCTGTAATCCTTGCTACTCGGGAGGCTGAGGCAGGAGAATCGCTTGAACCCGGGAGGCGGAGGTTGCGGTGAGCCGAGATTTCATGATTGCACCCCAGCCTGGGCAACAAGAGCGAAACTCTGTCTCAAAAAAAGAAGAAAGAAAGAAAGAAAGAAAGACACAGAAGGGAAGCAGCCAGGGTGCAAAGGACAGCACCCCAGAGATGAAGGACAGAGTGCCTACATGTCAGACTCCTGAGGGGCCAGCCTGGCTGGGACAGAAAAATGTCCACTGGCTTCAGCAACATGGAGGCCATTGGTGTGCTTAGTGGGCGTCGTTCTAGTGAAGTCAGGCTGAGAGCAGAAGTTGCCGAGTCGGCTGAGGAGGAAGAGGAAAGGGAGGGGAGACAGAGAGAGATGATGGGTGCTTGACATGAGAGGATAGATGGGAAGACACTGTCAAGATGGATGGAGCTAATTAAGACACATTTCGATGGGAAGGATTCGTTTGAGAGAAAGTGGTGGACGCCATCAAGGATAGAAGAGATGGTGGTCCTGGGTGACTCTGAGAATGTGGGGTGTGGCGGGTTGTTGGAAGGGTTGGCTAGCCGGAGGGTCCAGTGGGTGCTCCAAAGAACATGTTCTGGCTAGAAGGAATGAGGTTAAGCTCAGAGAGCCAGAAGCCTGCCTTGAATGTAGAGGAATCTGGGGTGATGACAAACCTCCAAGTGTGACCATGGTGAGGGTCATTGAGAGGTCAAGGGGCCATAAGGTCCTTGGATAATGGAGCGACTTGAAATTGAGGTAAGAGCTGGATGAGAAGACCATGAGCCAAGACCGAAGCATCCCAAAAGTGAGGTGGAGTGGCAGCCCCAGGCAGGGAAGAGACAGAATGACTTATGGCACCAACCTCCTAGCAGGAGGGGTCTTATAAGGAGGGAGGCAGGAAGCAAGGCTGCCAACTTTTTTTGTGGGAAACAAAACAGCTCCCCTTGGGAGTCCTCGGGGGGATCCAGTTTAGAAGAAGAGAGCCTGGGTGGCAGGGCCACAAAGGGTGGATCAGGGGCCAAGAAGGATGGAACATCCCAGGTTTGGGTGCAGCAGAAGATATTAATAGATGGGTGCTGGACTCTGGGTATTGCCTGGCAAAACCAGGAGTGAAAGCCATGATGGGTTCGTGCCTCATGGTCAGTCTTTGAAGAGGGTGGACTCTGAGCTGAATGGACACGCCTGGGGACATCCACATAGTAACCTCACAAGGAAGAAACTTCTGATCCCGTTTGACAAGTAAGGAAACGCAGGCACAGAGACATGGAGAGGGTAAGTAATTTACTCAAGGTCACAGAGCATAACCACTTATTACTAAGTGATTCTTGTTAGGGTCAAACCTTGGAGCAGAACTTTGAACCCTGTAAGTCTGACTCCTGAGCAGGTGTTCTTGTCCATCCTGTTTGTAACTGCATTGTGGGACTCCCTTCCCCTACCCCCACCTCAGGAAGGGGAGTGGCATTGTGCCTCTCCACTCACCGACTCTGGTGGAAGGCCATTTGTCCCTGAAAGGGGGATGGAGGCTGGCTGCAGGCTGCCTGCAGAGCCAGACCCCAAGCACTGAGGACACATCAGTGTCCAGTGGTCCAGTGATCAGGGAGCATTGAGAAGAAAAACAGGCGAGGGTGGTCATAGGGGCCCCTCCTGGATTGAGTACCAGGCCTCACCCCACCCTTGGTTTCCCAGACTCCACATAAACCCCCAGAAGGGGTCCGATTCCTCCTGTGTGGCTAAGACTGAGTTTCTCGCTAGCCTTGGCGAAGCAAGGGAGAGGGCAGAGTTACATTTAAGGTGACTCAGTAAAACAAAGGAGCCTGGGAGCTCCTGCACTTGGCTTCTGCCACAGCCGCATCACGTGCCCCTGGCTTGTCTACCCTGCTGCGCTCGAGCTCCTGGAGGTTGGATCCCTCCAAGGTGAGCCCAGCACTTTGTCCACAGCAGTCAGTCAATATTTGCTGAATTAAATCTGGGGCCCAGCCTGGGATCTCCAGGCCTTGGAGCCAGACTGTCTGACTCTTGAGTTCCAGCCCCGCCCCATGCCAGCTTTGTGACTTTGAGCATGCCATTCAACCTCTCTGAGCCACGGTTTCCTTGCCTGAAAAATGGGAGTAGTGCCGGCTGCAAGGTGAGATACCTGTGCAATCGCACTGCAGTGGGCTTTGCGCTTGGTTTCATGCTCTGTTGTCCCTGTTTTGAAATTCTTCATACGATTTTGAACAAGGAGCCCCTACATTTTTATTTTGTATTGAGCCCCACAGATTATGTAGCCGGGATCCTGAACGGAATTAACAATATTTTCTACCTCAGAGAGTCGTTGCAAGCATTAAATAAACTGATCT
Source organism: Homo sapiens (assembly GCF_000001405.40). Classification (NCBI taxonomy): domain Eukaryota; kingdom Metazoa; phylum Chordata; class Mammalia; order Primates; family Hominidae; genus Homo; species Homo sapiens. Next base: position 50,542,675 of record NC_000017.11, on the reverse strand, counting down.
GCTTAGCACGTAAGCAGTACCCAATAAATAGGAACAAAGGCCTATTGTCTCTTGCTGTTAGCCCAACCCCAGTGCCCATGTGTGATAAATGAATGAAATGACCGAATTGAGTGACAGCCTGGCAGCATCTGGAAGCGAAGGTGCCTGGGTGACGGGGGATGGAGGTGAGGGTTGAGAAGAGCTGTAAAGGAAGCGGGGCAGTTTTGCACCCCACGTTGTGCAGCTGCAGTTTCCTAAACAGCCGGTGATCCACGCTGTGGTCGAGACCCGGCCGCCACACCCCGCAAAAAGTCCACTTGGTGAGAGCTGAGAACGAGGGTTCCAGTCTTTATTATGCGGGCGTTCAGTTTCTAGCTCCCGGGCCGTGGTCCGCGTCCAGCTTCCAGAGCCGCCGCGGGATACCAGCCGCCACTGGCTCGGCGTTCCACTAGCACCGGCGCCCCGCCCAGCCCCGGGTCCGGAGGCGGGGCCGCGGAGCGTCCGGCGCAGGCGCAGGCCGGTATGGGACGGGGCGGGGCTCAGAGGAAGGGGTTGGTGCCGGTCTGCGGGGGCGGGGGCCGCGGCCCGGCTGAGCTCGGCGTGGGCAGCAGCGGCTGCGGTGCGAAGGCTCCGGCCTGCGGGAAGACGCTAACCGAGGCGGGGAGGGTCAAGCCAGCTGGCACGCTGCTGAGCGGGAGGGGCAGAGAGGCGCTGTAGGTCATGGAGCCCAGGGGCGCCCCCACAGGCCCGCCTGCCAGGCCCAGCGCCGGCGAGCCGGTGCGCATCTGGTTTAGCGTCGGCCTGCCCGGCTCGCCCGCGCCGAACGGGTTGGTGGGGGACGGAGCGCTGAGACCTGCAGAACGAGAGTGGCTTTGAGTGACCCGGGGTTCAGAGCCCTACACCGGGAGGTCGTGGAAGTTGGGAAGAAGAGTGGGCTCCTCCGGCGGAGGCTAGGCTCTGAAAGCAGGAGCCCCTGGGTTGAGGGACAAGGGCATATCTTACCTGTCAGGAAGGGGTTCCGGGTCTTTGCAACCTGGGGTGCCTTGACCAACGAGTCAAGGTTGACCAAGGAGGAAGCTGAGGGACCCAGGAAGGACTCGGGAGTCCGGCAAGCTCGGGCCTCTTTGCTTGGCTGGGTTAGTGCTTCCCCTAGTATGCCCAGGTCCAGGGCATCTGGCTCCTTCGTGCCATTTTGCTTGGAACTGGGGCTGGGGTCTCCAAACAGGTCCAGCTCTGGAATAGAAATGCTAGAGCTAATTGGTGGGGAAAGGGATTGGCGCCCGACGTGGGAGGAAGAGGACAGAGGCTGCTCGGGGTGGGCCCCTCATTCCCCAGAGCCTCACCATCCCCTTGCCCTGCTCACCCACAGGGCTGCTGGGCTTCCCAGAGGGCAGGGCCTGCTCCAGCCCCTCCTTGGTCTCTGTGGATTCTGGAGGTTTGGCAAATGGGTCAAAGGTCGAGGCACCACCTCGGAAGAGAGAGAGGAAGAGGAGATGGGTTGACAAAAAGGGCAGGTGTTGGTCTGACCCCTTTCCAGAGAAGCTGTCCTCCTAACACAAACAGTATCTGCTGCCCCTTGGCCCTGCCTGGAAGTCCCCCAGCTCCTCACTCACACTCTCTGGCCCTCTTCTTACCAGGTGTGTCGGAGGTCTCCAGGGAGGCTCCCCAAGGGTCAGCCCCAGTGCTGGGGAGTTTGTGGTGGGGAGAGTTCAGGGCCCAGGGGTCTGTGGTGGGGGGCCCAGCAGGCAGCACTGGGGTCCTGCCCCAGGGCTCAGAGGAGGAGAGCATGGGAGTCAGATCCCAGGGCTGGCTTCGGGACAGGACGGTTCCTGAGGGGATCGGAGACCAGGGGTCTGCAGAAGGCCCCCAGGAGGATCCACTGGCCTCTGTGTTCGGCCTAAAACCTGAAATGGGAACAGCATAGACATGATCCCAGGCCCACCCTTATCCCTCGCCCAGGGCCCTTCCCAGTTACCCAGCCCAAGTTGGGAGGCAGAAGATCCATGTCACAGATGGCCTGCAGCCTCAGGACCACCCAGCAGGCTGGAGCCCCTATTTGACAAGTGACCCCAGGAACTGGGACCTGCAGGTGTGGGCGACTCAGGCCACCTTCCCAGGCGTGCTGAGCAAGTGAGTGCAGCGAGAGAACATTTTGCTGCGTTTCCTAGGAGCTGGGCCCTTCAGACATTCTCCATAGCCCTCACTACGAAAGCCTGTCCCACAGGCGGCGGAGGCTCAAGGTGGTGAGTGACTTGCCCGGTGACACTCAGATTTTGGGAGGAGGTGCTTGGCCCAGCAAGTGGCTGGGAAGGAGGAGGCTCTTGGGCCAGCCTGGAAGTCTCTTGCAGCCCTGCATGCCCACCTGGGATGTCCCATGGGTCAGCAGAGCAGTGTGTGGAGGGCGGGGCCAGGGCAGGTACGAAGATGTCAGCCAAGTCCAGGATGGAGGACTGTGGAGGGGAGAGGCAGCCGCGGCTCAGAAGTGGGCGGGGCCTGGAGGGAGGGCAGGCCCTGACCTGTCAGGCTAATGCCAGTTCATTCTCTTTATTCATTCCACAGATACCTATTCATGATCCCTCACCTCTGCACAGTGCTTTACAGTTTATAATGTTTCTTCATCCACAGAGTACCTGATTTTCATAACAACCCTGTGAGGTAGGTAGGGCAGATGATGTACCCATTTTATGGATGAGCCAGCCAGCGCACAGAGGGTGGAATGGGTTTGCCTGAAGTCACACAGCCAGGGAGAGGCAGAGCTGGGATAGAATCCAGGCCAGCAGAAAGGGGCAGGAAGGCCAAAGGCAGATGTTTTTCAACCAGCCTACCTCCCTAGGTCAGTGTCCAAGAGAAACTGGCCACAGTGAACATGGACGGAAAGGAGACCACAGCACCCGGGCGTGGCATGGACAGCTTTGGAGGGCAGCCTTGCACTCAGCAGCTGCCCACTCCCCATGCGGAGAAAATATGTCCATGAGCCCGAGGTGTTTTCAGCACCATGTGCTTAGGCCAACCCTAGTCTTGATTGACAGTATCACATAATCCTAGCATGTCAGAGCTGGAACTATCCAATAAGCACACTGTGCAGAAGGGGAAACTGAGGCCATGACAGTGACATGCCCCAAGTCATAGAGTAAGTGGCAGCAAATCCAGAACCCGAATCCGGGGGTCTCCAATCAGGAACCTTTTGCATCCCACTTTGCTGTTAACTCAGTCACCAGCCCATGCAATGTGGGACTAGGGCTGCTACACCCCCACCCCTATTTCATCGAATAAACACATCAGTGCTTACTATATGCCAGGCACTGCTCTGCTCTCTCTTTACAAATACTCAGTCCATCTCTTAGGCCCTGTCCATCCCAAGCACCGCAGCCCACTCCCTACCTGGCTGGTTTTTAGCTTCTCCTCCTCCTTTCTCTCTTCTCTCTCAGGCTCTCTGTCCCGCTGATGGTGGACCACGGCCCCTGCACCATTGGCCATGGGGGAGCCATCACCCTGCCAGGACCTCACCTCCTGCAGAAGGCACAGAAAGAGTTAGGAGCATGAGCAGCTCAGGCGGGAATCCGGGGACCTGTGCACCAGAGGCTGGAGTCGAGAGAGTGCAGGGTGGGAGGCAGCTGAGAGGTTAGGAGCAGCAGGGCCACCGGGTACAGCGGGAGGAGGCTGTTAGTGCCCTGAAGCACCTCCACCAGCAGCAGCAGCAGCACCGGCAGCCCAGCGGGCTCGGCCCACTACCTTCTCGTGCTCCTGCCGGCTCAGGCGCAGAGCCAGCTGCAGCTGCAGGTCCTCGTCCCTGTGGGAGGCTGGGGGGACAGGCTGCGGAGGAAGAGAGGGGTAAACTTGGCCCTGTACCCCCACCTTGGGACCAGAAGGGCAGTATAGGCCTGCCTGGGTCATGGGGATGGAGACACTAATGCCCACCCTCAGTGTGCATGGGCCATTTGCCGCTCAGTCAGCAGGGTGGGCGTGGCCTTCTCCCTGCCTGCATCTGAAATGCAGTTTAAAGGTCAGGAAGACTGATCTTTCGCTTCTGAATCCTCTGAGAGTTCCTCAGGCCCTCCTGTGTGAGGCCCAGCTGCTTCCTGCCTGGTCTTCCTGGATCCACAGAGGTAATGGCAAAGATGATGATATCGGGGGCCTGTCCTTGTCTCCCCAAAAGGATAGCTGGTGGGCGGGGGTGGGAAGCATATCCCAGTGTCTCCTAGGAATATGTCTGAGCACACTCACCCACTCCACCATGAGGTGGTAGCAGGCACCCCAAGACATAGCATGTGCCCCTAATTGTACACTCGCCACCCTTTCCAGGCCCAGTGGAGAGGACTGGAGGCAGGGAGGCAGTCCCTGCCTGCGACAAACCGACAGAGATAATGGGTCTTGTGCTGTCCTTGGGCACAGGACTGGGGCTTTGGGTGACAGAGCCTGAGTCAAGGCCAAGGGGCTCCCAGGCACTCTCTCCCCCTAGCCCATCCCCTCCCCACCGCAGTGGGGCTGCATGGCCTCACCTTCTCTGCCTCCTCACGGCTCATGGCGAGGGCCAGCTGCAGCTGCAGTTCCTCTTCCCCTGACGTCTGAGGCCGGGCCTGCTCCAGGTCGGAGGTATAGCGGGGTGACGAAGAGGAGGCTGCAATGACCATCATGTCTCTGTGACCACACGATTACCCATCGGCTCCCACACCCCTCTGCCTGCCAGGAAGCTGAGGCTCAAGAGAACTGAGAGGAGGGGAACAACGGCCGTTGAGGCCCCCGTGGGCCAAGCAGTGTGCCAGGCACTCTGTAAGTTCCCCATCCCAACCCATCCCGGATGGAGGGGCGGCTCCAGTCCCTCCTTAGCAGATGCACAGGCGGCACTTAGGGCCCCTGACCAGGTTCCTGAAGCAGGACTTGAACCCAGGTGCCCTGACTCCAGCTCTTGGACTTCCAGATGGACCCTGTCCTGGCTTGGGGGCAAGGGAGGTGCAAGGATAGGAGGTTCTAGTCCAACGAGGTCACAACCTCAAAGCCCTCAGCAAACTGTCAAGGGCTTTATGGAAGGCGGGCCATTCTGAGTATTCCTCAGATCCTGGAAGCCCCCATGACTGGGGGCAGGAGAGTCAGGGACTGTCTAGCCGCTGCCCTCAGGTAGGGGGATGAAGGGGAATGCCATGTGTCTGGGTGCAGGGTAGAGGACGTTCCTGAACCTGGTCTCATTTCATTCTCAGATCAAACAATGGAGGTAGGTGAGCTTATCCCCACTGTACAGATGAGGAAACTGAGGTTCAGAGAACTGGTTGCCCAGGTCACACAGCTTGGAGGAAGCAGAATATAGAATGCTATCTGACTCCAAACCCATGCTTCCACTATCGCGCCATCCTATCAGGCAGCTAACGAATGATAATGAATCTATAACAACGTTATTATCTGAGCTAACTTGTTGAGCACCTCCTATGTGCCGGGTGTTGCGCCTTGCGTGTTACATTCCTTATGTCTGAATCTTCATAACACCCCTCGGAGGTAGGTATTATGAACCATGGCTTGGATTGCAGAGCCAGGAATGGAAGTCGGGCCACCTCCCCATCCCAGCCACACACCGGGGCTTACTCACAGTTGTAGGAGGACGGGGAGCCCCGGGAGCGGCTGTAGTCCTCGCCGTAGCGGCGGCTGAAGCCCAGCTGCCCACTGCCAATGCCGATGCCCTCCAGTGCCATGCGCTCCTTGGTCTTGAGGGCGTGGGTTCGCTCCTGCCGCAGCCGCTCCTCATCCTTGAGCAGGGCCATCACCTGCTTGACCTTCTCGCGCACGTTGACGCCCTGGTCCTTGCCGTCGCGGTCGATGTACTGGAAGTCCTTGAGTGTCTGGATGGTGTAGAGGTTCTCGCGGCACTGGTGGGCCACCCGCTCGGAGCCCGTCTTGAGCAGGTAGTCCAGCAATGTTAGAGCCTTGTACACGTGCCGCCAGTTCTTGCCGCTGTCATTGAGCCGCCGCCACAGCATGCCCATGACTTCGGTGAAGGCCACTGTGTTGAAGGTCAGGTCAGCGATCTCGGACATGAGCGAACTAGGGGGGCCCCAGGGGTCATTGCTGGTGGCCTCGCGCACCTTGATTTCTGCCTCGGAGTAGTTGTGCACGATGTTCTTCACCTGGCGCCGGAGTGCGGAGGTCGTCATGGCTGGAGACTTGGAGGTGGGTGGCCCTCGCCCCCGCCGGAGGTGGAGGGCTGAGGGCCACTGTGGCGAGGTCACAGTCTTGAAGGATGGGCTGCCGTGTTAGCAGAGCAGCTGCATCCTTGGGTTCCACATGGGGCTGAGGAAGAGAGGGCCAGGAACTCAGGGGCAGAGGCCTACCTCATGGGTCACTCAGCCACTGACCAACTAAATGAGGCCTGGCCAGAGTGTCCCTGCCTCCAGGGACAGCCTTCAGCGGCACACGTTCTTATTTCACTTACAATTCAGCAGGCACTTGGAGCTTTGCATGCTCATCTATCTATCTTCACAGCCACACCCCAAAGATGCTATTATCATTACCTCCATCCACAGATGGGAAAGGTGGGGCTCAGAGTATTAAATGGGCCCGGTGCAGTGGCTCACGCCTGTAATTCCAGGACTTCAGGAGGCCAAGGCAAGAGGATCACTTGAGGCCAGTAGTTGGAGGCTGCAGTGAGCCATGGTCAGGCCACTGGGCAACAGAGCGAGACCCTGTAATATTAAGTGACTTGTCCGAGATCACAGAGCTGCTGCATGGGGAACCAAGATGACCCCAGGAAGCCCCACCTAAGAGTGCATGGCCTCATGGGGGAACGCTAACAGGATTCCAGGAATGCCCGCTTGCCTTGCTTCTGCTCGGCCACTGCCTCTGTTTCTGCTGAGATCTAGCTTAAGACCTATCCTTCCTAGCTCCTCAGCTCACTTTTCTCATATTGTTAATTTTTGTAGTTTGATGCATTCAACACCTATTTCCCGGAGGCCTTTTCTGAGCCAGGCACCATGCCAGGCACAGAACACACGCCTTGGTCCACCCACGTTCAGTTGAGAGGGTACAGAAAATCACAGTCCAGTGTGGGAGTGCAGAGCCGCACAGGAAGACCCAAGCCAGGAAAATCAGGGGAGACTTCCTAGAGGAGGTGGTGACAGAGCTGAGATCCAAGATCACAAGGGAAGAGTAAGGAGGAGTGAACCAGCAAGTCAGGGGAGGGCGGCTCAGAAGAAATGCTATGACCTGGGCCAGAAGGCAAGAGAGCAAGTATCGTTTGAGGAAGACTGCCCCTCAGAGTTCTGGCCACTGCCAACACTCCTGCATGCCACCCCCACGTACACATGGAAGTGTTGAGGCCAGAGAGGGGATGGGACCTGCCTGCATCATATGGCACGTAAGTGGCAGAGCCTGGACTACCATCCAGGACTCCAGAAGACTAATCCAATTCTTATTGTCAGTGTTACCCAGTTTGGTCATTATTTCATCGGATTGCTTTACTGTCTCAGTCCCACCTTCTCAGCTAGAATGGAAGCTCCCTGAGAGTAGGAACAGTCTGGGTTCTCCAAAGCCCCAAAACGCTGGACACATAGTGGACCTCTGGTACCCCAGCAGGGAGAAGAGCTGGGCCAGCCCAATTCCCCCCAGTAGCCACAGGTCCAGGCTATCTGCTGAATACAACTCCAGGCCCAAGGTCCTCCCAAAGGCCCTTTCAGAAACCAAAAGAGGAATTCCCTGACCACCACCATTCCTCCCACACTAGCACTGGTGTGTGCATGCACACACACACTGTCTGGGCCTGCAGAGCCTCCACTTCACCCGTGAACTGTCCCCCACCCACCAAACACCTTTCGGCTCCACCCTCCATCCCAGCCCGTGCCCCAACTGGTCCCCAGGCTGCCAGAAGCAGGAATCTGAAGGAGACTGTCCTCTCGCACCCGATTCCACGCTCCTTCCACCCCAGCCCCGCCAGTGCTGGGCTCAGTTCAAAGCAGCCCCACGCTTTGAAAACATGCCTTGGCAGGTTTTGTTGGGGGCCCAGAGAATAAGATACCGTGGGAGTGGGCGAGGTGGAGAGTGCCTGGCCCACAGCGCAGCCTACCTTTTGTCTGCTATCTCTTTCCTTCCAGCGGGTCGTGGGCCTTCTGTGGGAATGCCACGGCCACAACTTGTTTAACTCCTGCCCTCCCCCTTGCTAGTGACTCAGACCTGCCTTCACCTCCCCAACCCGTGGCTGGGGGTGGCAGAGTCAAGATGGGAAATAATGTGCACCAAAGCCCGCCCAGCACACGCCCCTACCGGCTGGCCGCTGGAACTAGCAGAACCAGTCGGGCACTGTGACTGCACCAGAGCCCTACCTGGACCTGGCTGCCCTGGCCCTCCGGCCTGGCCTGTGTGGGGGCACCAGCCTCTGGGAGGGGACTCTCGGTGTGGGCCCAGCGGCCCTGCCTGGACCTTTCTCACAGAAGGTGGGCATTCTCTGCACACCCCTGCAGGGGCTGGGGGGAAGGGCGGGGCCAGAAACATGGGGAGGCACCTTGATTTTCCTTCTCTGGAGTTTGAGGGGACAAGGTGAGGCTGCCCAAGCACAGAGAAGGGAGGAGGAAAGGAAGAAGCCTGCCCAAGCGCAGAGAAGGGAGGAGGAAAGGAAGAAGCCTGCCCAAGCGCAGAGAAGGGAGGAGGAAAGGAAGGAACGCGGGAACGCGGGAGGGAGCAGCTGGGAGCGCTGCCAGCAGTGTTACAAGCAAAGGGTTTTATCGAACACGATATGCCCAGAAATAAAAGGGAGTGTAACAGAAACCCAGCGGCCGATAAGGCGGTGGCGGTAGCAGCAGCAGCCCTGGGCAGCTGGGTATGGAATTACTGCAGTGACCTTGAGCCAGACCCTGTCAGGTGGAGGGAAGGGCACAGAGAGGGCAGGGCCTGAGAATTCAGAGATGACGAGAGGGCAGAGGAGGGAGGAAGCTGAGGGGATGGGAGCAGGGCCAGCAGGCGGTGGGATGGGCCACGGGGCACGGAGTATCAGCTCTCTCCTGCATACAGGGTCCCAAGGAGAACTGCGCAGTAGGGAGGGGCTGCTCTTCTCAGGGCCTGCAGGATGGGGGGATCTGGAGAGTTTCCCAAAAGTCAGGACCGAAAAATGCAGATCGCTCATCCCCAGCAAGGGTTTCGGAGAGATGGAGAGAACCCAGATCTGTCCAGTCACACGTGCATGAGTTTGCGTAAAGTCTGTGCACCCACCAGCCCAGCCCACACCCTCTTCCCGTCCTCTGCTAAGGTGGGCTCCAGCCCCTGCCTCCAAGTCAGATCCAGCCTGAGCAGTGGGGAATGACAGTGCCCTTCTTGATGCTGTAAGGGACAGGGGGTGAGCTTGAACTCTAAGCTTCTGGCCACTGTAATAGCTGCATCCCGGGAGCACAGAAGATGGGGGAGGGGGGACTGCCCTGAGGCTAGAGGTGTGCATGAGGGGCTGAAGAAGAGGAAACAGCAGAGATGTGCAGAAGGAGTCTGTGGGGAATGCCACCAAAGATGCTAAGATGCCACCAAAGATGCTAAGTCCCAGGATGGTTGGGGAGGGGGCCCTGAGTCCCTTTTTGGGGGCGGCAGGGAGGGAGGGGTGGCAGGAAAGAAGCCTTTAGGTCCTCTACAGCTCAGCCTTCTCCCTCGCACCTGGAAAAGAGACTAAGCCCCAGAACCACTGTTTGCTCCCCACCAACCCCCGCCTTCCATGCCGCCACTGCCAGGGAGGGGGCCAGGGAGGAAGCTTACCTCCAGTGCGGGCTCCCTCGGCCCCAGCCCCAGCCCGAGTAGCCTCTGCGGTGACCCTCCGACCTGTGCAGCAGCGGGACGGCACAGCCTCGGGAGCGTCTCCAGAGCCATCCACCATGGACCCTCGTCCCAGAGACCCACCTGCTCCCAGGAGGTGCAGACCCCTCAGAGGGGCAGCGGCAGGGTCCCTGGAATGGGTAGCAGCTCTTCCCGCGTGCGTTTGCCTCCTAGCCAGCGCCAGGCAGCACTCCGAGGAAAGTTGCTCAGCTGGCCCGGCAGGTCTGCCTCAGCAGTAACAGGACACAGGAGGAAGTGCAGGGCAGGTTAACCCCTTCCTGCTGGCCAGGCAAGTGGTGCATTGAGAGGTGGGGGGCCTGCCTGTTGGCCGCCCCCAGGAAGTGCACATCTGGAGCCAGTGCTGGCGACCTGATCCCCTCTGCTTTGAGTTAACCCTTCCCCTGCCTCTTCAACAGGAAAGGAGGGGGGCTCCAACACCCCCACCACACCCCTCCCCTTCCTCCTCTGGGCCGGGAGGACATTAAAGGAGAGGGCAGGGACATTCCCTGGGGCTGGCTCTTTGGTGGAGCCCCCGTCTTCTCGTCTTCTTGGGGAGGAGAGCATCAGGACTCCAGCACAGCCCCCTCCCTGCCTTTCCCACACGGAGTCAGATCCTTCTGTCCATCCTCCCCCTCCTGCATCTCAGCTGGAGGATGCCTGAGGCCCACTTAAGGATGCCCACCCACCCAAAAACCAAAGTTGTTCTTCAAACTCTGGGAGCCTGGAGTGCTCTTCACACAGGGAGCCCAGCCCCAAATGGTTATGACTGACAGAAGACAATGAGGGGCCTGAGTTTGAGCTGACAATACCTTTTTTTCTGAGAGCCATTTCTAGCCTGTTTCATGTTCCCCTGAGCAAGGGAGGTAGCATGAAGATCAGCAGCTGTTTTTAAGGCAGAAAGATGGCTCAAGGCCAGATAGTTTGAGATGAGGAGGGGGATAAGGCAGACTAGACCCCGAAATAACAAGGTGATGTGGCCTCTAGAGCTGAAGAGGTGTGGTGAGCATGATCTTCAGGGACTGAATTGGGGCCCTGGGACCCAGCTGAAGAGGGGAGATGGCAGGGAGCCAGGTCCCATGGGTCTAGTTCTACTCCTCATCTCACACTTTGTCATACTTGGTGATGACACTTCGGGAAGACCTGGCTCCAGGAAGCACGACCCTGAAAGTGTGGGCCAAGGAAGCCAGAGGCAGGGACTACCAGAGGTGACACACTGTCCTGTCACCTGACTCCTTGTCTTGCTACCAATCTGCTCCTCTGCTTGGCATCCCACACATCACTTCCCCAGCTATGTCTGTCTGTCCTCCTGCAGGAGGGCTCTGGCAGCTGGCAGGAGGGGATCTGAGGGCAGGTGGAACATGGGAGGACCTGGATCAGGAGCTGACCTAGCCAAGATCCATCATGCAAGACACAGAGGCACACGGAAGTAGTAGAAACTTGAAGGTTCTTTATTGATTTATTTATTAACCCGTTTTCCAGAAGGTTGCTTGGGCCCGAGAGTCACCTGCAGAGGCGCAAAGCCTCCTCGACATTCTTTATGGGGCTGAGCTCATCAGCCAGGACCATCAGGTCAGTCACCAGGGTGTCCAGCAGCCCACGGACCTGGAAGAACGGGACAACATCACAGGCAGAGTTTACTCTGTGGGAAGCACCTATATATGAACTATGCTGTGAGAGAATAGCTGGAGAGGGGAAAGAAACCAGTTGTTTGTGAAAGAATTTCACAAGTTCAAAGTTCTTGTGAAATAATTTTTGGTTTTGCAGATTTTTTTTTTTTTTGACAGGATCTCACTCTGTCACCCAGGCTGGAGTCCAGTGGTGTGATCATGGCTCACTGCAGCCTTGACTTCCCTGGCTCAGGTGATTCTCCCATCTCAGCCTCCCAAGTAGCTGGGACTACAGGCGTGCACCACCAGACCTGGCTACTTTTTTCTATTTTTTGTAGAGATGGGGTTTCACCACATTGCCCAGGCTAGTCTCGAACTCCTGGGCTCAAGCAATCCACCTGCTTTTGCAGTTTTACTTTTCAAACCAGTCTGGGGAGGTGGCCCTGCGCTGGTACCTTTGACATATGGAGATACTAGAGCTAAGTTGTTCAAGGGGCAACTCCAGGGAGCCCATGGAGCGGTGCCCATTTAGCCGTTTGGGGTGGGCCTGGGCTCAGCCCCAGTTCTACTCTGGCCTCCTGGAGGCCAATTTTCCTTCCTGTATCCACAGACTGAAAGGTCTCTGGGACTGACCCCTCCAATGGGGTTGGATCATACAAGCCCAGACAAGTTGATTCTTTTTTTTTTCTGCAGAGATGGGGTCTCCCTGTGTTGTCTAGGCTGATGTCGAACTCCTGGGCTCAAGCAATCCACCTGCCTCAGCCTTCCAACGTGCTAGGATTACAGGTGTGAGCCACTGGCCAGCAAGTTGATTCTTTTTTTTTGGAGGTAAGAGTCTCACTCTTGTCACCCAAGCTGGAGTGAAATGGCGTGATCTCGGCTCACTGCAACCTCCACTTCCCGGGTTCAAGCGATTATTGTGCCTCAGCCACCCAAGTAGCTGGGACTACAGGTGAGTGTCACCATGCCTGGCTAATTTTTTGAATTTTTAGTAGAAACGGGATCTTACCATGTTGCCCAGGCTGGTCTTGAACTCCTGAGCTCAGGCAATCTGCCCACCTTGGCCTCCCAAAGTGCTGGGATTACAGGCACGAGCCACCGCACCTGGTCTGCAAGTTGATTCTTAATATCAAAGAGCCATGGAAGGGTTGACGTTGACCCCCATGGGTCCTCAGAGCCCTTTAATTACTTTCTAGACCCCATCAACCATCTGATATCTTAGTGATGTCACCAGTGGCAAATGGAACTTTTGATCAAATGAGATCCAGAGTGTGACCACAATACATGATGTAATCCCAGCTCCCCAGCTATCCACATTAGAGGAAGGCAAGACGTCGCCAATAGACATACTGACATATTGAAAATGGCTTTGTGGACCTCCCCTCCAAAACAAACAACAACACTAACAAACAAAACGGAAAACCTGGGTGAATTTCTAAGGACCTGCTACTTAAGAACGGATTAGGATGAAGTCTCTCTAGTCCTTCAAACTCTTACAGTTGATGGGAATGCACCCTGCATGGTGTTCTCCCAAGGAACGCATCTGCCAGGATGCACCTAACGGGGAGTAAGAAAGAGAAGGGCTTCCTTCCTCTCTGTTCCCCTAGAGTCTGTTCTCCAAAGGGCGGCCAGAGCCACCTTCTAAAGCCTATCAGACCCTATTGCGTTTCTATTCAAAACCTTGCGTGACTTCTCATTTCACTCCGAAAAATCCCAAGTCTTCACAATAGCCTGCAAACCATCCCCCACCCCTATGACCTGCTCCCCACTACTGCCCTCTCCCTTCTGGCCCCTCCCTCCTATGGCAGTTGCTCCCCATGCCTGGAGCACTCTTTACTGGACGTCTACTTGGCCACCCTTCCCCTCCCTTCAAATCTTTGTGGGTTGTCACCTCCTCACTGAGGCCTCTGTGCCTCCATTCCCTGCCTGGTCTATCTTCTCTCCCGTCGTACTCATCACCTAACATGCTAGGCGCATTCCTTATTCATGAGGCCTGTCTCACACACGAGGATGCCCTTCCTGAAGCAGCTCTGCTTCCACCATGATGGAGTGGGCACTTATTGTCTGCAGACTGAACGGAATGAATAAGGCAGGTGGGAGGCAGGGGAATGGCTGCTGGGCGCTTCCCTTCACCTCACTGTGCAGGCTCTGGGTGTATTTCCCCATGACCAGGGGGTCTATGGGTTCTTGAGAAGAGAGGATGATGTCAGGGGTAGGGTCTTCCAAAGAAAACCTGTCCTGACTTGCAGATTTTATGACTTTCTTGTCATCCTTTGCCTTGTGCTTCTTGCTGTTGGGACGGTCCTGCTGGGGGAGGGAGACACACATAGCCTTCAGGAGCTCCAGAGGTAGGCCAAGGATGTCCTCAACAGTAGCTCACTGGGAGAGCCTGGGCACATGCCCACCTCCACAGCCCCCACCTCCGCAGCCCCTCCAATCCCCTCCCCAGCCCCACCTGGCCCAGACCACGCCCCAGCATGCCTCTTTCCCGAGCAGCTTGGCTCCTTTCTTGTCTTCTTTGTCTTTGATCCCCAGTTGCTTCTTTTCCTGGGCTGCTCCTTTCCGCTCCTCCTTCCCAGCTTTCCCCACAGGTACCTTCACTTCCATGATAGGAGGTGATTTTTGATCTAAGGGAGGTGGGTGGAAGAAAATATGGCAGGCCCCCAACAGCCTAGTGGATGCTGCAGGTACGTGAGGAGGCTTGAGGGGAGGTGGAAAAGCAAAGGGCAATAGCCTTGAGCCCTGGTAGGCGCGTGGCTTCATGAAACAGGACTGTGGTGCCTATGTTCTGGTCCCAGCTCTGCCATGCCATGAATGGCCATGGATAAGTCATTTAACTTTGCTGGGATTACTAAACCAAGGTGGTCACTAAGGTAGCTTCTGGGTACCACATCCTGGCAGCGGACAGAAAGGGGTAAGGGGCCTACTCCATGGGCTCAACCTAGCAGAGCTTCCACCAAAGGAGTATGACTGGCCCAGGCACTGCTGCTTGTCCATTCAGAGAGATGAGGAGGGCTATGCAGAGGTGTGGTTGGTTGCACAAGATCTGACCTTGCTCTTCAGGCACATTCAAATAGATGGTCTCCTTCTCAGGCAGGCCCAGCACAGACCTCAGCCACATGGAATGGCCCACCAGGCTGTCAATCACATCTCGCCACAGCTGCAAACTAGAGGGCAAGACACAGTGGAGAAATGCCATCACTCCTCATTTGTCCTTGAACCTGCAGAGGCTTGGGTCCCTCCCTTCAAAGACCCTGGTGCCACGAGCTGCTGTGGAAATGCCACACCCCTGAACAGCCAGCATCCTCACTGTTCCCCGCCAGGGCAAGTGCTTGGAGGGGGTTCTGGCTTGCCTTGGGTGGCAACCAAGAAAAAAATGGCCCAGGACTAGGGTTAGGAGGCCTGCATGAATTCAGTCCTACTTCAGAGGGCTTGAGGCCAGGGCCAGACTTGGGTCCAGTCGCACTGGAGGGGCTGAACCTTGCATGAGACTTCCAGCATAAGGCTCCTGGGGCTTGTCCTGAGGGCCTTGAAAAGGACCCCACGCCTATACAAGCAAGTTCCAAACAGGTACAGGGGAGGGTGACAACAGAGAAATGAAGCTTTTATTGGAATCTGCCCCCCGTCTTCTTCCTGCCCTCTGGCTTCTCCTTTTTCCATTCCCCTGCTCACTGAGAAGGAACAAGGCAAAAAGGGGAAGAAAAAAAAGATAAGGTGTTTGATCTGCTGTGACTGCTCTCCAGTGAGCAGTAGGCACTGCAGGGTTCCAGAACGTGGAATGTTTGCGGCATGCTCTAGCAACCTGAGCTCAACGGAAGCTCAGACCCCTGGAGTCCCAGGACTGCCTGCCCAGGACCCCTGCAGATGCCACAAAGGGAAGGAGATGGGGCAGCTCTCCTGGCAGGGCACCTACCACATCTGGTGCAGGAGGTTGGACTGCAATGGCCTTGGCTTCTGGCACAGCTCCAGGGCTGCTTTGTTGAGCCTCATCAACGCATCCTCTCTGTGGTTCTCATCAGGGAGCACCATCACTGCCTGGCAGGGTCATGGGCACCATTCTGCACCAGGACACCAAGGCTGTGTCCTCTAGTGAAGGGCATGGTGATGTGGGGATGGGTGGCAGGGGACCAGGAACCAGGAGGGGATGCAGCTATGGAGAGCTGTCTGGGTGCCTTTGGTGGGAGCCAGGGACCCCCCTCAGAAATCTGTACCTATGAACCCCTTCTCCAAGATTTGCCAGGGTCAGAGAGTAGGCCCCCCTCCTGGAATATAGCAGCTTGGGCACCCCAGACAAAAACAGGTAACCCAGCTGGGCACAGTGGCTCACGCCTATAATCCCAGCACTTTGGGAGGCTGAGGCGGGCGGATCACCTGAGGTCAGGTGTTCGAGACCAGCTTGACCAACATGGTGAAACCCCGTCTCTACTAAAAATACAAAATTGGCCTGGCGTGGTGGCTCACGCCTGTAACACCAGCACTTTGGGAGGCCAAGGTGGGTGGATCACGAGGTCAGGAGTTTGAGACCAGCCTGGCCAACATAGCGAAACCCCGTCTCTACAAAAATACAAAAACTAGCTGGATGTGGTGGCGCATGCCTGTAGTCCCAGCTGCTTGGGAAGGCTGAGGCAGGAGAATCACTTGAACCCGGGAGGCAGAGGTTGCAGTGAGCCAAAATTGCACCACTGCACTCCAGCCTGGGCAACACAGCAAGATTCCATCAAAAAAAAAAATTAGCCAGGTGTGGTGGCACATGCCAGTAATCTCAGCTACTTGGGAGGCTGAGGCAGGAGAATCGCTTGAACCTGGGAGGTGGAGGTTGCAGTGAGCCGAGATTGTGCTATTGCACTCCCACCTGGGCAACAAGAGCAAAACTTCGTCTCAAAAATAAATAAATAAATAAATAAATAGATAGATAGATAACCCAAGAGATCACTTTCTCTGGGCTCTCAGGTTTTGTTTCTTTGCCCATAGAGCAAGAGGGGCTGCTGGGTCCTCCCTTGTTGGTTCGAGGCAGGAATATTCTCTACCATTGCCTTCCAGGGTCTTGGAAGCACCTTTCTGAAGTCCTCCAAGCAGAGGTTCCACTCCAGCAGGGGAAGGCCATCCGGCTCCCAGGGGCTCTTGGTGCTGTCCACATCTGGGCTTTCCTCCACCAGGATCTCCTCCATGATGCTCTTCCGCTGAGGACTCTTGGTCCCCACTCTGGCCTTCTGGGACCCGGATTCCCTGAGGGCCTCGTTCTCAGGCCGGGGCACTTGAGTTTCGGAGATGGGGCTCCTAAAGCGTGGTAACAGCTCAGCATTCACAGAGGCCTTCTCTGTGGCTATGGGGCTGACGTGCTCCTTGTCCCCTGGCCTGGCCTCCTCAGCCTTGGCGGGCAGGGTCATGTACTGGCGCCACAGTTGGTGCAGGCTTTGCACCACTTGGTGCTCATAATGCAGCTGCAGCAGAGGATGGGAAGGCATGTGAGGGGGAGGCTGGGGTGCAGGCCCCAGTTTCTTCAATGTAAATAAGGACATAAATAGTACAAGGGCCAGGCACAGTGGCTCAAGCCTGCAATCCCAGTGCTTTGGGAAGCCACGGTAGGAAGATCACTTGAACTCAGGAGTTCAAGACCGGCCTGTATGACATAGAGTGATCCTATCTCTACCAAAAAAAAAAAGAGAAATTAGCTGAGCATGGTGATGTATGCCTGTAGTCCTAGCTACTTAGGAGGCTGAGGTGGGAGGATCACCTGAGCCGGGGAGTTTGAGGTCACAATGAGCTATGAGTGGGACACTGTACTCTGGCCTGGAGTGTGACAGTATGACACGCTATTTCTTAAAAAAATAAACAAAAATAAATAGTACCCATCTCATAGGACTGCTGTGAAGAGAGGTGAGTTACTCATGGAAGATGCGCAGAACAGAGCTTGGCACATAAAAGAGTTTGCTATTACTGTCACCTAGGGCAGCAGTCCCCAACCTTTTTGGCACCAGGGACTGGTTTCGTGGAAGACAATTTTTCCACGGATGGCAGGGAGTTGGGGAATGGTTTCAGGATGAAACTTCCACCTCAGATCATCAGGCATTAGTTAGATTCTCATAAGGAGTGTACAATTTCCATCCCTCGCATGCGCAGTTCACAATGGGATTCGTGCTCCTATGAGAATCTAATGCCACCGCTGATCTGACAGGAGGCAGAGCTCAGGCAGTAATGCTGGCTCACCCACTGCTCACCTGCCGCTGTGCGGCCTGCGGGTTGGGGACCCTTGACGCAGGGCACACATGAGGGGGCAGGGGCTGGCGCTGGGCCTCACCGGAGGATTTCTGTGCCGGAACAAGTCTTCCTCGGTGAGATAGGCATCCACAGGTGATGGTGTGCGCTCCGGGGTCAAGACCCCCATCAGCAGCTCCTGCAGCACTTCGCGAACGACGGTGACTGCCTCATGGGCAGTCAGCTTGCTCTGCAAAAGGGAAGGTGGCAGAGGATGGCAGCCCAGGCTATCAAAACCAATGCATCCTTCAGGAAGTTGGAGCCCCCAGGACTTTGTGCCTTCCTAGGGTCTGAGTTCCTGCCATTGTCTCTCTCTCTCTCTCTCTCTCACACACACACACACACACACACACACGCCTGTTCTAAGACCTGAAAACCTCTGAGTCTCTCCAGACATCCTTGTTCCCTAAAAATGGATGAAAAGGATCCAGAGGAGGGCCAGTTCCAGTGACAGCTGCTGCTGCCTGGGGCCTGGTGGTCACACAGTTAGCATGTCACCAGATTAGGAAGAAGGGGCAGGGCACATAGTGGGGGTGCTTCTGAGGATGGTGGTGAACCTTCATCAGGCTTCAGTGAGTGTCACAGAAACACGGGAGGGGCGCCTTGTGTGAGACATGGGTTGTACAGTCAATGAGTAAAGCAAGCATGACATTGTCAAAATTACCTTTGATCACCACTGGCTGAGCCCCACATGAAGGAGCCGGCCTTGTGATTGGGGGCCACAATGAATAAAAAAGCACAGCTTTCCACCAAATCCCAGGATGCACGGCTCAAATGGCCACACTGTGAAACTGACTGCGGACGACAGATTCCAAGCTCCCACCTCACACTCACTCGAGTTGTCAGCTGATTGAGTGGGACGGTGGGCAGACTCATGCTGCTATGTATTAATTAATTATTCTCCCTGGTTTTGAAGTCTTGTCGCTTAAATGCAACTCCACTGTGTAGTACCAGACAGCGATGAACAAAACACAGACCAGTACATAGGGCCACACATTGTACTTTACAGTCTGCCTCTTAAGGCTCAGTCTAATTTCTTTCTAACTCAGTGGGGCCATGCATGGCATTGCTGCAAGCTGCTCCATGCCTGCCTAGCCAGCGCACCCATCTTTTAAATCACAAGCCCTGGGAAGTGTTTGTGGAGCAAGAGTAGTTACCTGTTTGCTAAAAATCCAATTCTCCTCTTAGGCTGGGAGAAATATGATCCCTTCAGTCACTGCCAGGAAGAACACCAGGATACCCTACCTGATGTCCACAGGGGCCATGGTCCTGGGTCCCTTACCTCCAGTACTTTCCTCTCATCCTCAAAAACGTCCTGGGTCAGGGAGACCGCGTGGAGATTGACCTGCAGTATAGCACCTCCTAATAGAGTAGGATGGGTTCGAAACTCCCAAAATTCCCTGAAGACCCCAGCAGTCAAAGACTTGAAGAAGAAGGTAAATGTTTTAATTTCTCCAGGCAGAATCACACCTGAGAGGGACAGAGACCCGAGGTTTTCAACATGCAGGAGCTGGCTGAGCCCCAGGCCTACATGCTCCTACATGCAGTTAACTGAGTCCCAGGCCAGGTGGCTGGCCAACCATCCCAGTTTGCCCAGGGCTGAGAGGTTTCCTGGAATGTGGGAATTTGAGTGCTAAAGTCCCAGGCAAACAGAGACAGCTGGCCATCCTAGCCCCAGGCCTGTGCACCTAGATAACTGAGCCCCTAGAACGCTTCTGCTCCCTGGTGGCTCACCTCCCCAGGTTCTCAAGTTCCATCAGTCTCTCAACAGACATGAGTAGTCAGGCCACACATTTCACAGAAGGAATGAGAGGGACAAGGCAGGGAAGCAGGGCTCAAACTTACAGGAGCTGGGCCATAACTAAACTTTGATGTCTCACGGAGGACAAAACCAGCCCCAGACAGGAGCTAGCACATAGGGTGGCTTCTCCCGAGTACCTTCCCGGTTGTCAAAGTAAAATCGCTGCATCCTGTTTTTCTTAAGGTCTTGGAAAGTGTCCGGCTGGTGCTGCCGTCGCCAGTCATACCAAATGGCCACGGTGCCATTATTGACCACAGTCAGTTCTGAGGAGGTTTTCTCGCCTTCTAGGGTTTCAAAGGTCAAGTGAGCAGCAATCCCAACCTGCCTCTGGAAGGAGGAGGGACAAGAAATGTCTTTGCTGCAAACCCTGGCCTAGAGTGAACAACTCATCTGGTCTGCCCAGGACTTTTCTGGCTTTAGCACTGCAAGTCTCGTGTCCCAGGCCTCCAGGGCTTGGCCACTGTCACACAGAGTGGTATCCTACTCCAGCGTGGTTGTCTCTGAGGTTACCCTCAATAGCAAGAAGAGAAGATAAAACAAATATATATATATATATTTTTTTTTTTTTTTTGAGACAGAGTTTCGCTCTTGTCACCTAGGTTGGAGTGCAATGGCGTGATCTCAGCTCACTGCAACCCCCGCCTCCCGGGTTCAAGCGATTCTCCTGCCTCAGCTTTCCAAGTAGCAGGGATTACAGGTGCCCACCACCACGCCCTGCTATTTTGTATTTTTAGTAGAGATGGGGTTTCACCATGCTGGCCAGGGCTGGTCTTGAACTCCTGATGTCAGGTGATCCACCCACGTCAGCCTCCCAAAGTGCTGGGATTACAGGCGTGAGCCTCTGCGCCTGGCCAGATAAAATATATTTTATATCCAATGAACACTTCTATTCCTTAGCATCTGAAGAATATTTTGGAACCTTCTTAGAGCCATACCTACTTGAGTTTGCTTGTTTACATGCTTGGGGGCTGGGTATAAGCCCCAAGTGGCTTATGACACTCGCAGCCTTGTGATTTTATTCTTGCTCAAGTCAGTGTTGCTGTCACCATTTTCAGACGTGCTGAATGCACGACCAGATAAAAACCCAAACAGGAGACTGTGCAGGCTGCTGGTAACTGCCAGTCACCTCAGGGCTGCACCCCTGAGGGAGGCTCTCCCAGCAGGTGTGGTGGAGGCTGTTTTACCTTGTCCTGTGGATTACTGCCTCTGATCCAGCAAGCTGGCTTCCCACAGAACAGCAGAGAAGGGCCGAGAATAGGCATGGAGACATCAGAGGAACTGGCCAATGTGCCTCTGTAAGAAAAGCCAATGACTTATTTTCTCTTAGGCTGCCACAGTCATGCCATGTGGAACCCCACAGAAACGGTCACCAGGAAGCCTAGAAACACAACCAGCTCTACCCTGCAATGGAGTATGATCAACTCCACTCCCACGCAGCTTCCTCCTGACCCATTGCTGTAGATGGGAGATTCTTAGAAACACACAGACTCTTTAAGCCCTCTTGCCAGAGCCACTCACAGTACACAGAAATACACAGACTCTCCATGCCAGAGGCATTCAAGATGCATAGCAGTGGGAGGGTCTAGAGAGCCCTCAGTTGACCAGCAAGGGAATGTCTGGGAAATCCCCATTAGGAGTTGGTTATTGGAAAGGAGCAGATGGCAATAGGAAAGCCAGCACAGGTGCTGGAATGGGTTCAAGGAGTGGGTGGCAACCACTGGACAGAAGCTAGGCTAGAGGCACCCTGATCTCAGGGAGGGAAGCCCGCTCTTTAATACTGGTAGGTGCTGGAGAACTCTTCAGCCTCTCTCCCCAGGGTTCAGGCTGCACTCACAAGTATGCTGTGTCTTCAGAGGAGCTTCCCTGACTTCTTTCAAACACTGTGTAGTCTTCCACAGTAACAGCCGAGAAGGGCCACCCTTTGCCCACCACCTCCAGGCCATCAATATCCTCCGAGAGATGGAGAAAGGTAAGATGAGCTGACTGAAGACAGGCATCGCCCCAAGGGGCTTCTGACTGGGGCATGGAGGCCATACCAACCTGCTGGCTGAAATCCAGCTCTTCCATGATTCTCTGCAGCTCCTTGCGTCGGTAGATCAGAAACAGACTCCGATCCCAGGTGTAGCGGTATGAAGCGTCCCTCTGGGCTGGTAATCCTAGCATGAGGTCCAAGGACCCTCAGCACAGGCTGCTGCCATGTCCCCTTGCTCACCCACTTCTCAAGGGCTCTGAGAGTGCCTATCCCAACACCATTTCTAGGAAGGACTAAAAATACAGCTTCCCTGTGGCAGCTAGACTCCCGTTCTCCTGTCCTATACCTCCTCAGCAGCCCTACACAAGACTCCTGAAAAATTAGCTTCCAAATAGCCAAATCTTTGGATTATAATAAAAATAATAACAGCAGCTACCTTTTATTGAGTGCTTAACAATGAGCCAGAACCTCTTAATACATTTCATATCTCATTTAGCCCTATCACAACCCTGTGCATATTTTACAGATGAGGAAACTACAGGCCAGAGGGGTTCAACCACTCTGGGGTTCACTAACACGACACAGCTGGGACCTGAACCCAGGCAGCCTGGCAGGCTCTAAAGCAGTGCTGCTTAAGAGAAACAGAATGCAAACCACAAGCACAAGCCACACGTGTCACTGAAAGTTTTCTAGATGCCACACTGAAAAAGGAAAAAAGAAACAGGTGGGATTCATTTTAGTAATATAGTTTGTTTGTTTGTTTATTTATTTATTTATTTATTTATTTTAAGACAGAGTTTTGCTCTTGTTGCCCAGGCTGGAGTGCAATGGCATGATCTTGGCTCACTGCAACCTCCACCTCCCAGATTCAAGCAATTCTCCTGCCTCAGCCTCCCAAGTAGCTGGGATTCTAGGCGCGCACCACCATGCCCAGCTAATTTTTGCATTTTTAGTAGAGACAGGGTTTCACCATGTTGGCCAGGCTGGTTTTGAACTTCTGACCTCAAGTGATCTATCCGCCGTAGCCTCCCAAAGTGCTGGGATTATAGGCATGAGCCACTGTGCCCGCCCTCATTTTAGTAATATAGTTTATTTAATTCAGTATATCAAAAATATTGTCATTTTGACATGTAATCAATATAAAAATGATTAATAAAATATATTGTTTTCACACTAAAGCCAGTGTCCAGTTGACAGTGACAGCACTTCTCAAGGCAGGGCAGCCACGATCCAGGCGCTCACCAGCGGCATGTGGCTCAAGGCTCCACACTGGACGGCAGCTCTATGGCTGCACTCCAGTTTCCTAGCTCTCTCACCGTTTTACTGAAGAAAAAGAAGAGGGAGCCGGACTTCAGGAAGACTCTGGGACTTGCCTAAGACCCCAGAGAACCACAGAGAAACAGGCCCTGGGCCTGTTTCACTGTAGAGCTATGCTGGCCACTTCCACACTACCCTGCCTCCGGGCCAGGCACAAGATGCTAGCTGGCTTACAGCCCTGCGCCTCACCTGTCTCCACCCGGATGGAGTGGGGCTTCCTGATGTGAGTGATGGGCTCCATGAGGCCACGCTGAGTTTTTGTCTTGGTCATGACCAGACCTGTCATCTCATCTCCCAAGTATTCCAGTCGACTCCAGAACCCACTGTTCTCCCAGCTCTGGCAAGGAAGGAAAGGTGAGTCAGATTACCAGGACACCTCAGCCAGATGCTGGTGGAGATGTGGGAAGACAAGAGCACCACCACAGGCTACAGATGCTTCCTCTGGGGAATTCATTGCTGCCGTGATTGCATAACAGAAGCATCCACTGCCGTGTTTTCTGGACACCCTGTTGTCATCTTTACCTGCCCCCAGCCAGATGGTGTGGGTTGGTACAGGTACTGCACTGGTCTACCAGAAAAAAAGGTGGGGGACTCTTCAACCTCTCTCTTTAGGGTGTAGGCTCCACTCAGTCTAAGCTCCTAGGAGACAAACACTAAGACTACTCTAATAACTTGCTACCTGTGTGGTCACCACAGGCTGAATAACTTTACTGACTAATCATATAATTTAGTAAAGGCCTTGAGGGCCTAATGATGTTTTGCAATGGATAGGTTTTTTCTCCCCAGCTGTGCCACCTGAGACCAGCATCCCTGTGTCCAGACACCTGCCCCCGCCCCCTCCTCCATGGACCCCCCTGCCCCCGGGCACTTAGGACAGGTGGCCTCACTTTCCTATCACGCCGGGTTGGAAGTGTGCAGTCAATGAGCTCCCGCTCCTCCTGGATCCGTCTGTAGGTCTCCCCGGTGTGCATGAGCAGCTCACTCACTGGCTTCTTTAGGTGTTCTAGAGAGAGAGGCAAGATTGCCGCCACTCTGCCGAACCAGAACAAACAGGGGCCTTGGCAGTCTGCATCGGGCAGCCTCCCTCACAGGGCTGATTTCAGGATCCACTGAAGCTTCAGAGTGAGACACTCTTGGGAGTGAAAGCACAAATGTGGTCAGCCCAAGGCCAGGCTCTGGAGGAGAGCAAACAACCCAGCAGAGCCTTGCTGCCAGATGGAGGCCGGGCGGGAGCCCTGTCTGCTCTGCTCACCGCTGAGGGCTTCCTGCTGCTTCTTCCGCAGGGCTGTGTTACGCTGCCAGTTTTTCAGAAAGTTGTGCTGAGGAGGTGGGGCCCAGGGAGGTCTCTTCTCTTCTTTTGGGGCTTTTTGCTTTGACTCTCCTTCAGCAGAGATGAGGGTCATCAGACAGGGTGAGGTAGGTATCCGCTCAGCCAGCTGAAAAGTACAACATAGGTATGTGGAGGGCAGTAAGAAGGCTCTGGGCAGGGCTGAGCACACATTTCCCGAGGCCTAAACCCGTGCTGTTATCCCACTGCGCTGAGAGTCCCTCCTCTTCAGGACTCCAGAGTAGCCAGTGACAGAAAATAAATCCCAGAACCAGGGGGCCCTGAAAGCAGCTGTCAGTCCACTCTCCCCCACAAAGGGAACTTCTGTTTCAAGATTGGGGTCAACATCTAGTGTATTTGTCCTCACAACTGATGTTGATTGCCACCTTCACCCATGTGTAAATGGAAGCATTCTTACAGGGCCCCAGGCCCCTTAGCGCCTGACCAATCAGAGTCAGCCTGGAACCAGGGAAGCAAGGGGAAGAGACAGGTGAAGCACTGCATGATGGGAAGGCTGGAAAGATACAGAATCTTCCCGTGGCCCAGGAAGCAGTGGGAAGCCACCTTCCTCCACCACGTGGACTGAGGAGGGCAGGCCAGTCTCCAGAGAAGGGAAAATCAAGACAGTGCACAGAGCAGAGGGAAATGAGGCATGTGGGCCCTGAGTCCTGATGCCTTTTTGGGTGCAGTCTACCCAGACCCAGGTACTCCCGCCTTTGGGTTCCATGAGGCAATCTCTGGAATCCTTACAGTAAATCCCTGACTTCACTGAAGCCAGCTTCAGCTGCCTGAAGTGTCCAACTATTCTGGGAGAGGGTCCCTTATCAACTCAGACTCAAAACCTACAGACTAGACTGTCTCTTTAACCCCAGCCCTGCTTGACTGTGTCAGGTGGGAGACCAAAATGACTTCAGTGACTGCTCTCATCCGGGTAGTTCTGTGCAAACAAACCTGGGTGTTCCCTCGAGCAAGTGCAATTCTCTTAAAATCCTGGAGACTCCCCAAGATGTGGTGGGGCAGGATCTGGTCACTGCCATCGAAGCTGTCACCGGGACCTGGGAGGATAAAAGAAGAAAGGGGAAAGAAGCTGTGGGTGGACAACTTTCAAGAGGGCAACTTTCTGATGGAGACTGGGTTTCTCTTGAGGCTGACCCATGAGTTGAAAGACAGTGAAGCCAGGGCTGAGACTGGGTGTACCGGAGTAGTCCAGAGGCTTTGTGGCTTCATCAGGATTCGCAGGACGTGCTACAAGGTGGCAGACCTTCCTCCTAGGATCCATGGGTTTGAGTTTACGGATGATAAATTTCTGGGTGATGACACGTTTATCTTCCTTTTCAGTAAGGCGAGGAATGTGTTGCTAAAAAGAAATAAAACAAAGGAGAATTCCACCTGTGGTGGCAGGAGGAAGAGCACCACCCATCTCTTCTGTTCTAGTTCTGGGTGGAGTTCCTGAAGGCTGACAGATCTGTTTCTTCAGCTCTGTCCATATGTTCTGTCAAGGAAATGCCTGTGTAACAGATATGTGACTTAGTAATATCCTGGAGGGAAAAAAAAGAACATCTTATGCCTCCAGACAGTTTGGGTGAGAGATGGCTGACTCTCCCAGGTAAAGCATGGGGTTAGGGTTTAGCAGCTTTACCCAGAGCTGTACCTTGGCTCCTTAAACTCATCCTCCGGTCTGTGAAATGGGAATGATGGCACCTACCTCTATGGGAAGCAAGATACCTCATCATCTCATTTCCCCTGTGGTTCTATATGAATCTCAGAAATGTTAAAACAGACAACACAGTGAATTCCTTAAGGTGGTAAAGTGAAAAGAATCTGTGTTCAGTGGGTTTTTCCATGGAGTTAGACACTCCCCATGAGTAGGGACATGGCTGGTGTTCTAGACCACTCAGGCTGCCGGCAGGGAAACGTTTCTATGGTAAGGGAAGCTTGGGCTTCATCCTCACCTCCTTCAAGTCTTCCTTCTTAATGGCCAAGGCAAGAATGTCATCTCCTTGTAGGACATTGCTAACAGGTTCAGGCTCTTCCTGAATTGTGGGTGTGGGTTGTTCAGGTCCCTTTGCCCGCTTCTTTTCTGAAGAGAAGCAGAAAGTTATTAAGTCCTTAAAGAGCTCCTTCTGTATATATCAATATATACATACAAAAATAAAAGTAAAAATATATACTAGACTCCATGGTGGGGGGCAGAGCTGACCAGCTGGATAGATAGCAGAGGCTGCCAAGGTGGCCTGGGTAG
Source organism: Homo sapiens (assembly GCF_000001405.40). Lineage (NCBI taxonomy): Eukaryota > Metazoa > Chordata > Mammalia > Primates > Hominidae > Homo > Homo sapiens. The sequence continues at coordinate 50,516,407 of NC_000017.11, read as the reverse complement.
CACTTTGCTGGGGCAATGGGAGTTCTCTCTGGAGGGTCCCCCTACCCACAGCCCCTGGCTCACCACAGTGACTAAGACTTCTGTAGCCAGAATTGAGATCAGAAGATGTTTCGTTTCAGGCCAGGTGTGGTGGCTCATGCCTGTAATCCCAGCACTTTAGGAGGCTGACACAGGAGGATCACTTGAGGCCAGGAGTTCAAGACCAACCTGGCCAACATGGTGAAACCCCGTCCCTACTAAAAATACAAAAATTAGCCAGGTGTGGTGGCCCATGCCTGCAGTCCCAGCTACTCGGGCGGCTGAGGCAGGAGAATCACTTGAGCCCGGGAGGTAGAGGTTGCAGTGAGCTGAGATCGTGTGACTGCACTCTAACCTGGGCAACAGAGTGAGACTCTGTCTCAAAAACAAAACAAAACAAAACAAAAAGATGTTTCATTCCGGGTGCCGTGGTGCAAGCTTGTAATCCCAACACTTTGAGAAGCCAAGGCAGGAGGATTGCTTGGGCCCAGGAGTTCAAGACTAGCCTGGGCAACATAGTTGAGACTCCATCTGTACAAAAAAGATTATTTTTAATATACAAAAAAGATGTTCCATTTCAGGCTATGCTATTTATAAGCTGGACAGTCTTGGGTACGCATCACTTAACCTCTCTAGGCCTCAGGCTTTCCATGTGTAGAAAGAGTCAGTTGGACTAAATCAGTGGTTCCCAAGTTATTAGTCCAATGTCTGCCTCAGAATCTTTGGGGGAGTTTTATGAATACAGCTTCCTGACTACTGCATGGAGCCAGGGCCTAGGGAGCTGTACTTTTTTCAACTCCCTAGGTGATTCTGATGCACAGTGGTTTGGGACAACTGAACTAGATGTTTTGCCAGCCTCCTCCAGTGCTGGCACTGATCCATGCTTCTGGGTGAAGGCACAGGGTTTCACAAGACACTGGTTAAAGTGCAGAATCTCTGTGGGGGAAGCAGAGCATTCACCACTGGCCATTTATTGCATATTCATTTAATAAAGATTGTTTAAGCAGCTTCTACATGCCAGGCACTGTGCTAGGTTCTAGGGATACATGCCAGAGCTTGTCTTTAAAGAGCACATGCCCAATGGGAAACAAGACCGTGAAACAGACTGAGCCAGAGTAACTACAGGAACATGGTGGGGGGGAACAACCAGCCCTGAGTCGGCGGGCGTGGGAGGTGGGGGAGTCAGGGAGGGCTTCCTAAGGAAGGGATGTTTAAATAGAGCTGAAGAAGCTGGAGAAAGGAAAGGGCCCTGGGGAACAGGCATTCCAAAGAAAATAACATAAAGAGGCATAGTGGCAAAGAATGGAGCACATCCCTGGAACTCAAAGCATGTGTTTTTGAATAGCTGGAGTGTGGTGAGGTGGGAGGGAAGAGGCAGAGCCCAGAGACAGCAGCAGCCGCCATATCGTGAAGAGCTCAGTGAGCCATGTGAAGGCTTACCCCATGGGCAATGGCATGCCAAGGAATGGATTAAGAGTTGCAAGATCTTGGGAGGCCAAGGCAGGCAGATCGCTTGAGCCCAGGAGTTCAAGACCAGTCTGGGCTCTATAAAAAAAATCAAAAAATTAACCAGGCATGGTAGTACATGCCTGTAGTCCCAACCACTTGGGAGGCTGAGGGGAAGGATAACCTGAGCCCAGGAAGTGAAGGCTGCAGTGAGCCAAGATTGTGCCACTGCACTCCAGCCTGGGTGACAGAACAAGACCCTGTCTCTAAGAAAAAAAAAAACCTGCATGACTGAGGATGAGTGTATGAATGTATTTAAGAGTCCGTTGTGGCAGCCACAGCATGACATTGACAACACCCGGGGCAGAAGGGGGTCACAGGTCACTCTCCAACGAGGACACACTCCCTGCCTTCCTTTCACAGAGGTGGCTTAACAGGATCAAACACATCTCATTTCTCTGGCTGGTCAACCCTGTCATTTTCCCTCTGGTTCAGAATGGTTTGATATAAGGCCCTACATAAAACAATCAAAAGAAAACCTAAGTCCTGAGGCCTTTAGGGAGTTTAAAACAAAATTTGGTTTTATCCACTGCTTCTTACAGCACCGTAATCTTTAAGAGGCAATATCACGAAAACATAAAGGCAGGTGTTTTGGTTAACAAAATCCAACTTTTTTTAGGAAATTTCCATAGAGTTGGTGGCCAAAAAAACTCACACCAAAATCATTCCAAACATAGTTCTAAATTCAGCCTGTTGGCCAGGTGCAGTGGCTTACGCTTGTAATCCCAACACTTTGAGAGGCCGAGATGGGAGGATTGCTTGAGGCCAGGAGTTCAAAACCAGCCTGGGCAACACAGGAGAACCTATCCTTAAAAATAATTTTTGTTTTTCTATTAGAAAAAATAATAAATTCAGCCTATCATCCACAGTCTGTTTCTGTAATGGGGTCAGCAGAGGTTTGGAAGTATCTGTCTGTTAAATGCATGGCTCTGTGCACACAAACACACATGCAGGGCTGCCGGCTGAACCCCGAGTTCCAGTCTCATCTGCCGCCATGTGTGGGGATGCAGCCTTGGGCTTTGATTTCTACCTCCCTTCTCCCTTCTACACAAACTCACCAAAGTGGGTGGCAGCCTATGAGAACTGAGATCAGCTGAAGGTCTGTTTTTGTAAATATTTTGGTATTATCTGTACTTTCTAGGACATTTGCTTCCTTTATCCATAACCTTGGCTGGGTTGACATCTTTCCAAGTGATTAAACGTCTCCAGATGTGTGCTTTTTACTGGTGGGTGCACAATTACCACGTGTCAATAGAAACTTTCAACACTGCCGAAGATTTTTGGGGGCCAAAGCTCCCATCCCTTCAGTGATAGAGAAGCTAATCTTTCATGTTTGCTTTAGATTGAAATAGTAAAACTCTGGTCTAAGGTTATTCTGAGAAAGTTATCTTTAATGTAGTCCAATAAATGCTCTGTTACTGCATACAGTCAGGGAGTGGTATGTTCTAGTTATTAAAATATTCATTAAAATGATATATACATCTTTTTTTTTTTCTTGAGATGGAGTCTCACTCTGTCCCCCAGGCTGGAGTGCAGTGGTGTGATCTCAGCTCACTGCAACCTCCGCCTCCCGGGCTCAAGTGATTCTCCTGCCTCGGCCTCCCGAGTAGCTGGGAATACAGGCATGCGCCACCATGCCCAGCTTTTTTTTTTTTTTTTTTTTTTGAGATGGAGTTTCACTCTTGTTGCCCAGGCTAGAGTATAATGGCGTGATCTCGGCTCACTGCAATCTCTGCCTCCCAGGTTCAAGCGATTCTCCTGCCTCAGCCTCCCAAGTAGTTGGGATTACAGGCATGCACCAACATGCCTGGCTAACTTTTTGTATTTTTAGTAGAGGCTGGGTTTCACCATGTTGGCTAGGCTGGTCTTGAACTCCTGGCCTCATATGATCCACCTGCCTCAGCCTCCCAAAGTCCTGGGATTACAGGCATGAGCCACCGCACCCGGCCGCCCAACTATTTTTTGTATGTTTTGTAGAGACAGGGTTTCACCATGTTGGCCAGGCTGGTCTCAAACTCCTGACCTCAGGTGATCTGCCCACCTCGGCCTCCCAAAGTGCTGGGATTAGAGGCATGAGCCAGTGCGCCCAGGGATATATATGTATCTTAAAGTTAAATTGCTCCTCGAGAGTGCTTACCAAGCCCCTTCTATGTGCTATAAACTACAAAGATGGTATAAAAGGTTAAGATATGGCTCCTTCTCTTGAGGTACTGAAAAATGTGACAGGAACACACACCAATCATAGCTAGAGGAGTTCCTACATTTGCGGTACAGGCAATAGGTTTGGTTAGACATCAAAAAAGGAACAGATCCATGTGGATTACACAGTTCAGGGCTCTGAAGAAGTGTTCAGAGGAACAGCTGCAGAGGTGGCTCCACAGGCTGAGGCAGGCTGCAAAGGAGAGGCAAGCTTTGCACAGGTACAGCGGCAAACCAAGATGCTCCAGGTGAAGTCAAAGTCCAAGCAAAGCAAGGGGCAGGGCTGAGCATGGCACGTGAGTGGCACGATAACACAGAAAACTTGCTGGGGGGCCGGGCGCGGTGGCTCACGCCTGTAATCCCAGCACTTTGGGAGGCCGAGGCAGGTGGATCACGAAGTCAGGAGATCGAGACCATCCTGGCTAACACAGTGAAACCCCGTCTCTACTAAAAATACAAAAATATTAGCCAGGCGTGGTGGCGGGCACCTGTAGTCCCAGCTACTCGGGAGGCTGAGGCAGGAGAATGGCGTGAACACGGGAGGCAGAGCTTGCAGTGAGCCGAGTTTGCACCACTGCACTCCAGAGCCTGGGCGACAGAGCAAGACTCCGTCTCAAAAAAAAAAAAAAAAGAAAACTTGCTGGGGAGGTGGAGAGGTGGTGATGTTGGGGATGAGAGGGAAACCAGGGCATGACAGCTTTGTAAAGCATGGCTCAGGCATCTGATCTTTGGTTCAGGGGAGTGAGTTGATGACAGGTGCATTTCAGAATGATTCATCAGATGAAGAGAGCCAGATGGACCGGAGAGGCAGAGGCAAGCTGGGGAGACCAGGGAAGGAAGAGCCCCAGGGATCATTTTAGGACCTGCAGGAAGACTCCACAGGGCTGAGGTATGTCTGACTACTGAGCCTATACAGGCCCAGCTCTTTCTGGTTCTTTGGTCTGGAATCCCAAGCTGATAGGGCTCCTAGTGAGCCACCCAGCTGACATTTCTCCCTTGATGCTGACAGTGAGGGGTAAAAGAGACCACCCCGCTTGCACGGGGTAGTCAGTCTCTTGTCGGAGCTGGACCAGAGGGCTGGAAGCAAGGTGCTCAGGTGGGGGTAGGAAGCGAGATACGGAGCGGGGAAACTATGGAGGGAGAAGAAACCCGGACTCTATTTCTTCTGCTTCTTGTTTTATCTAAGTATTATTCGTTTTTAGTGTTGATTAAAGTCTTTGGGAAATTCTGACCTTAGGGTTGGGCTGGGGGAACCATGGAGGGGCTGTCCCTACTAGGGCAGAGCTTTAATTGGTTGGGGAGGGGAATCTAATATTGCTAGGAGGGTTCTTGGTTTCTTAGCAACAAGACAGCGGTGGGGAGGTGGTGCATAGCAGGAAGGGAGGGTACTAGGACTCAAAAGGGCTCTCAGGTCCCGAGAAACAGGTTTAAGTCACTATTTTTGCTTTCCTTTTTGCTTATGAGTCAGAGACTTTGGAGAAACATCGCACAAGGTTACAAAATGACACTGGGTCATTAGCTGCCTTGTATGGGGGCTGGGGGAGAGTACTGCTCTACAACATTAGAGGCTCCCCTGAGATATTTTTAAAAAGATATCTTGCATGCTAAACACTTCATTTTTTTTCCCTCCTCACTCTGGTGCATGTTCTTAACTCAAGGGTTAATTAACAAACTAAATTTTCTGCTTATTAAAAATAAATATGCAGTGAAAAATCTTTCCTTGATTTGTTTACAGCAGTTCAAATCTGATACGATCTCCCAGAAACTATGTGAGCAGGAGGCAGTGGCTAGGAAAGCCCTTGACTGCCCTTGTGAAAGGAGACCAGATATTCCCTCTCTCTCAACTATTAAAAAGTATGTCACGGGCCAGGCACGGTGGCTCATGCCTGTAATCCCAGCACTTTGGGAGGCCAAGGTGGGAGGATCGCTTGAGCCCAGGAGTTTAAGACCAGCCTGGGCAACTTGTCTCTACAAAAAAAAAAAAAAAAAAAATTTGCCAGGCATGGTGGTGTGCACCTGTAATACTAGCAACTTGGGAGGCTGAGGCAGGAGGTTCACTTGAGCCCAGAAGTTCAAGACTATAGTGACCTATGACTGTACCACGGCACTCCATCCCGGGTGACAGAGCGAGGCCCTGTCTCAAAATACATATATATATATATATATATATATATATATATATATACACACACACACACACACACACACACATATATACACATATACATAATATATATAAAATACATACATATATATATATAGTATGTCATAAAACAGCATTGGACTTTTATTTTTTTAATAATGGGGGTCTCACTGTGTTGCCCAGTCTGGAATGCAGTGGCTATTCACAGGTGTGATCATAAACTCCTGGCCTGGAACAATCCTCCTGCCACAGCCTCCTGAGCAGCTGAGACTGCAGATGTGCACCACCATGCCCGGCTCAACGTTGGACTTTTATACGTGAAGAAACATAAAGCCATACTGAAAAGCGACTAAGCTCCTGTTAGTTTTCTGAGGGTCCCCTCTCCTCACAATGAGCTTTCACAACTCTGAGGCTGGGTCTCCCCAGGGCCTGCAAGAGCACATCCAGGCTTTCTGACCTAGTACATAAAGCCCTTTCATGGTCTGGCCCCTGACCTACCCACCTGTGCAGCCTCTTCTGGTTCCCACATTTACAGTTCCATAAACTCATGCTGCTTCCTAGACCTAGAGAAGCAAACCTCTCCTTTTTTTTCTTGTCTGCCATAGATGTCACCTTCTTCAGAAGACGTACCCCTACAACCATCCCTGGTCTGGCTCAGGTGCTCTGAGCCCCCTTAAGCCCGATGGGCACCTACATCACAGCATTTGTATTTCTACCTTTGTCAGGTTACTCCTCCAGGTGTTCATTAGACTGAGTTTCTTGAGGACCAGGGTCACACAGTTAATACCGATACCCTTCTGGTGAGCCACAGTACCACACAAAATCAGCTCTCAGTAAACAAAAATAGGCTGGGCGCAGTGGTCCATGCCTGGAATCCTAGCAGTCTGTGAGGCCGAGGCAGGAGGATCGCTTGAGGCCAAGAATTTGACACTAGCTGGGGCAACACAGCGAGAGCCCTGTTTACAAACACACACACACACACACACACACACACACACACACACAGAAAAAAAAAGCTAAAAATTAAATTTAAAAATAAATAAATGGAAACAGCCAAAAAAGATCAAAAGGGGGTGGGTTGCAAGTGAGAACATGTCCATGGAAGTCAGTCCGCTATCAGACGCCCTGTGGCTCTCCCAGGTGCAACCAGAAGAAAGCTGTAGAGGGTAGGAAGCAGTCATATCTAGCGATTCTTTCCAGGCTAAAGGAGCTGGATAAGTGTCATCCAGCTGGAAAGTGCACGTGGTAGGAAAAGGCAGTCAAAAAGAGAACTAGCCAAGCAAGGCCTTTCTTCTGGGTTTTTCCAGCAGGAATCCTAAGTGACGCCTGCCCCGCTCCCCGACCCTCCTCTACCAAATAATCCCATCAAGGTGGCTGGTTTCAACACTTCATTCTTTCCTCTTCCCAAGGACCCCAATTCCTGGCCCTTCTACCCTTAAACTCTTTCCTGGCTCTTCTGCACTTCATCCAGTCCGGGGATCCTGCCTCCTGCATGCCACCCTAAGATGTGGTTAGAGGTAGCGCAAGGCCATCTCCCCAGCCAGTGGTCCCTGAGGCCCCTCTGTCAGTCTCCCACTTCCTATGTCCCCATCCCCAAGGCCCAGTGCGCTGTAGGCTCTTCCTGCCTTGCCCCCCATCCCTAAGGGTCCTATGCCCAGTACCCCACTTCCCCGTGATCTTTCCTCCATCCCTGGTGCCATCCCCATCCTCCAGGCCCCGTGTCCTGAACTCTTTCCGGGGACCGCTTCCCCTCTCGGGTTCTCCCGAGCGCCCAAGGCAGCCAGCGCCAACCTTTGACATTCTCTGAGGCCTCTAATAATCTGGTCGGAGTTATTCTGAGGCGGGAATCCTTCTTTAGAGACTTCATGGTGCCGCCCGGCACCATGAAACGTTGCCCTGCACCGCCGGCCCAGAGACACCGAGGCTGCGCCGCACCCGCCAGCCAACGGCCGCCACTGCGTCCACAGCAACCGGTGCCCCGCGCGGGGGCGCGCATCCACCGATCAACTTGGGCGGAGACGGCTTGGAAACCTCCTTCTTCATCGGGCCGCGCACGCGCCCGCCGCCGGCGGCTTCAAGAGCGACGGACCCCTAGAAAGCCCTGCGGGCCCGGCCTGTGACGCCACAGGCGGCGCCGACGAGCGCCGTGACGTCACCAGCCGGGCGGGGCGGGGCGGGGGACCCGGGCGAGGACCCCCGCGAGTTGCGGGAGCCGAGGGCTGGGTGGGAGTGGCTGGCTGGTAGGGGTGCATGACCCGCCTCGCCCCGCCCTGCTGCTAGGCCACGGGGGGCGGGTGGGGCGTCGGGGGTGCCAGCCCCTGCTTCCCGCCTTCCTCGACTAAGGCCACATCCTGTCGAGGGACCTCCCTCTGCCCCCCTCACAGCGGTTCTGGGGGGGGATCGGGCCTTTCAGGACGTGCTGAAACCCCTTCGTGGCGTACCGTAGGTTTTAGGTGTCCCTGCCTGCCGTCCCCAACTCGCACCAACGCGCCTGGAGACCTCCCGGGTCCACGCTCGCTGCAGCCACTTTGGCCTTTCATCACTTCCCAAACCAGCCAAAACTTTTGCCCTGACTTGGGGCATTCTCACAGTCCTTGGAGATGCTGCCTCTGATTATTTTAAGTTTATAAACGCACCCGCTTTTTTCGCCTTCCCCTGGAGCCCTGAGGCATTCTGGGATTATTTCGGTTTTTTGTGTAGTTGCCTATTGTCAAACTGGCTCTCAGAATGTATGAGAGCAGGAGCTGCCTCAGGCCCTGCCCCCAACCCAAAGTTTAGCACTAGTAGTCAGGCAGTAAATTGTACCTCAAATAGTGAAGGGGTTCTAGAGCCAGACAATTGGGTTCTAATCCCAGCTATGTCGGCTTGTTAGCTGTGTGTTCTTGAGCCAATGCCTTGACCTAGAGAGCCGGTTTTCTCTGCTGGGCACAGTGGTTCAGGCCTACAATCCTAGTGCTTTAGAAGGCTGAGGCAGGAGGATTGGTTGAGGCCAGGAGTTCAAAATTGACCTGAGCAACGTAGGGAGACTCCATTCTAAAAAAAAAAAAAAATTTTTTTTTTTTTTTTTTTGAGACGGAGTCTTGCTCTGTGCCCAAGCTGGAGTGTAGTGGTGCCATCTCGGCTCACTGCAACCTCTGCCTCCCAGGTTCAAGCGATTCTCCTGCCTCAGCCTCCTGAGTAGCTGGGATTACAGACGAGTGCCACCATGCCTGGCTAAGTTTTGTATTTTTAGTAGAGATGGGGTTTCACCAGTTGGTCAGGCTGGTCTCGAACTCCTGACCTCGTGATCTGCCCGCCTCGGCCTCCCAAAGTGCTAGGATTACAGGCGTGAGCCACCGTGCCTAGCCTAAAAAAATTTTTTTTTAATTAGCTGGCTTTGGTGGCCCACACCTGTAGTCTTAGCTACTCTGGAGGCTAAGGCAGGAAGATTGCTTGAGCCCAGGAGGTCCAGGCTGCAGTGAGCTCTGATTGCACCACTGTACTCCAGCCTGGGCAACAAAGTGAGATCCCCATCTCATACATCCATACATACATATATACATACATAAAATGGAGGTCATAATGCTGCTCTCACAAGGCCACTGCCAGGGTTAAATGAATATGTATGTATTTCTTTTTCTTAGCGAGTATCTCACTCTGTTGCCCAGGTTGGAGTGCAGTGGCACAATCATAGCTCACTGCAGCTTCAAACTCCTGAGCTTAAATGATCCTGCTGCCTTAGCCTTCCGAGTAGCTGGGACTACAGGCATGTGCCACTGCACCCAGCTAATTATTAAATTTTTTGTAGAGACAGGGTCTTGCTATGTTGTTCAGGCTGGTCTTGAACTCGTGGGCTTAAGCGATCCTCCCGCCTTGGCCTCTCAAAGTGTTGGGATTACAAGCATGAGCCACCTCACCTGGCCTGAGTGTGCATTTAAACTACGAAACAGGGTGCCCTCCATAAACTGTAGTATCTTCTCAGTCAATTCTCAAAATCATGCTGGGGTTGAAGGGAGGGGACACATTATAAGCCCATTTTACAAACGGAGAAACTGAGCTCCAGAGAGAAGGGTGTAATGTCACCTGACTAGCGGGAAGCACAAATTGAACCTGGTTTTCTAAAGTCCAAGGCCAGGGCTCTTTGAACCCTGTCTCCTGGGACATTTCTGAGTTTGCAAGAGCTGCCCCAGACAGCGGAGGAGCTAGAGACGATGCCAGCAGTGCTGGTGAATCCCTGAGTTCCCTGTGTGTTGCCCGTTGCTGGGTCCTGCTCCAGGGCCATGGCCCCTTCTTCACACTGCTCTAGACCTTGCTCTCCTTATGACTGAGGCATCCTCCACGGACAGCCCCTCTCCTGCTCTCCGAGGCCCAGGCTCTGGCTTCCCTCTACCCTCTAGAGAATCCCCAGTTCCGTTTACTTCGCGACTGAGCACTTATGATCCAGCAGGCTAGGTGCTGTGCCATGTGGGTCCTCCAGGAAGCAAGCACTGAGATGAACATAGGACCGCAAGAGGTTTATTGCGGAGAGAGGGGGTAGTGGCAAGGCCGGTGAGGGAGAGGAAGCAGGAAAGGGCTGGGAGAGCCTCAGACTGTGCTGCAGATCTAACAAAGTCTTGGCCAACCCAGCATGTCCTCTGGGCAAAGAATGTTTGTTAGAAGTTGTCAGCTAACTGCCCTCCTTGAGGGTGAATGGCAAGTTCTTTCTTGAAGGGAGACAGGAATGGCTCACCTCCGTGGCTGTCCCAGAAGCTCTGTAAGATATGGAGGAAAATAAGAAACATTTCCTCTTGCCCTCTAGGAGCTCAGAGTCCACTCTAGAGCAAAAGACAAACGCTCATGAAACTCTAATCCGTGCACCCAGTTTCAGGAAGAAGGCCTTTTAACTTTGGGAAGTTACACAGCTTGTGGGTGGCATGTTTGGGAGCAGGACAGAGGCTTGGGGATTGTGACGGGAGGGTTTGGTGACCAAAGGACAAGGGAAGAAGCAGGTAGGGGAGTATGTGGTCAGGCAGGCATGCAACCTGGCTGGGCTCTGCCACCAGCCCCTGAGTGACCTTGGACAGGTCTCACCCCCTGTCTGTGTCCCAGTATCACCATCTGCATCATGACATGAAGGGGTCCAGACCAGATCAGAGCTGCTTCACCTTTTGAGAAGCCAATCAAACCTAGGAATCTTCTCCTGAGAAACGTGCATTTGACTTTTTTTAAAACTGTTGTAAAATACACATAACATAAAAGTCACCATTTTAATATATTCAACTGAGTGACATTTAGTACACACACAATGTAGTGCCACCATCACCACTACCTACACTACCTACATCCAGAATGTTTTCATCATCCCCAAAGGAAACCCTCTACCAGTCATTCCCCAGCCCCGACCCCCATCCCCTAACAATCGCTAAGCTCCTTTCTGTCTTTACTGATTTGCCTATTCTTGATACTTCATATCAATGGAATCATACAATATTTGGCCTTTTCTGTCTGTTTTTTTTTTTTTCACTTAACACGTATCAGTGACTCCATTCCTTTTCGTGGCTGAATAATATTTCGTTTATGGGTATACTGTATTTTGTTTATCCATACATTTGCACATCTGATTTTGCACATGACTTTGTATTCAATTCCAGAGATTCCCTGAAGCTCACTGATGTGCGACTGGGGTGGGGGTAGAAGAAGGTCAGAGTGCTTTAGACACAAAGTGGGGTCATTTGAAAGTAGATTTCCAACTCTAATGTGTGAGCTCATGGGGTAGTCATTAGCTGCAATTTAGGAACCACAGACTGGATATGAGGGGGGCCTTCTTAGAGGAGGTAGCACTTCTTAGAGGAGGTGGGCCACTAAATAAAGAGTTCAATGGGTAGTTCAGGGGGCAGGTACTCCAGGTGAGGACACAGAAGGTACAAAGGCCTGGAGGGGGCTGGGCATGATGGCTTGTGCCTATAATCCCAACACTTCGGGAGGCTGAGGCAGGAGGATCACTTGAGCCCAGGAGTTTGAGACCAGCCCGGGCAACATAGTGAGACCCCGTCTCTACAAAAAAATTTCTAAAAATTAGCCAGATGTGGTGCCATGCCCTTGTGGTCCTAGCTACTCAAGAGAGTGAGGTGGATGCATTGCTTGAGCCTGGGAGGTCGAGGCTGCAGTGAGCTGTGATTGCGCCACTGCACTTCAGCCTAGGGTGACAGAGCAAGACTCTGTCTCAAAAAAAAAAAAAAAAAAAAAAGCCCAGTGTGTGTAAAGCACAAGCTCAGATGACAGCATCGCTTCACCAGCATAGCTCCCGCAGTCTCCTCCCAGCGCCACAACTCTGAGCAACTTCCTGGAGCCCAGGGAGGAGGAGGTGGTGGCTAGGTTGACAGAGGACACGGCATAAATTATTGCTTCATGTCTCTGTTTATTTCCACCCATCCAGGTGCTGAGCATGTCGTCAGCTACTCCTAAACAGCCTCCCTAAATAGAAAGCGCATTTCCTCCACAGACCGCATCATCCATTTCCCAGGGACAGCCACCCTCCTAAAGACTGAGGCTCGGGGTCATCTATTCTCCAGCCCCTCACATCTGATCCCCCTCCCGGTTCATCCTGCCACTCTGTCTCACTTTCGCATACCCACCTGGCCTGCTCCCCTATTGTTTCCATTGTGCCTCCCCAACCAGGTCTGACCACCCCCACACATAGCTGGCTGATGCCCCTCACATCTGCCCTCACCCACTCACATCTGGCAGCTGCACCCCTTAAACAATGCATCACATCACTGCCCTCCTTACTACAACCTTGCTCAGCTCACACTCAGCAGGAATCTCACATTCTTCTTAGCCCCAAACACAGGACACAGCTGGACTCTGCTCCCAGAATGGACTGACTTCAGCTTCAGGGATGACACAGAGACTCTGGGACCTTCTTAGGAAGGACACAAGGAGGGATTTTCAGAGGCTTTGGAGTACAGTGTGTGTTTGCTTCTCAACTTTGCCCCCACTTGGGCTGTCTGCTTTAGAGTGGGGACAGTGAACTAGGCATGGTGGCTCACACATGCAATCCCAGCACTTTGGAAGGTCAAAGCAGAAGGATCACTTGAGCCCAGGAGCTTGACACCAGCCTGGGCCACATAGTAAGACCCCGTCTGTACTAAAAATAAACATTTTGAAAATTAGCCGGGTGTGGTGTTTGTGTGTGTCTGGAGTCCTAGTTACTCAGGAGGCTGAAGCAGGGGGCTTGCTTGGAGCCCAGGAGATCAAGGCTGCAGTAAGCTATGATTGCACCACTGCACTCCAGCCTGAGTGACAGAACGAGACCCTGCTTCAAAAAAACCCAAAGAAACAAAAATAGAGTGATAGACTGGGGACAGTGCCTGTCTCACAAGGTCACAGTCACCTTCTATTGCCTCATCCTTTTTGTCATCCTCAGAACTCCTACACATACACTTCTGTGGGATCTGTCTGCCCCGCTAAAGCACAAGTTCCAGAGGTGCAGGAGCCTATCTGTCGGCTTCATGGCTGTGTCCCCCATTCCTGGCTGGCACATGTGGGCCATCCTAATGGATGGGTGTAGGGAGCCTGCAGGAGCATCAGTGAGCCTATGGTCGCTGCCTTCCATGATCTGTGGGGCAGGGAGAGAGCTGGCTCCTCCCATGCAGCAGCACCCAGGGGCAGAATCACAAACCACAGCAACATACTCCTAAGAAGACTGCTATGAGAAGACAGTTCTAAGAATCAGGGCTCCCTCTGAGCATGCAGGAGTTCCTGCGCCGGTCCAGTCAGCCTGGGCTGCTGGGGAGGACACGCCCAAGATGGATGGACATTGAGTTCTGGGCTCTGTCCCGTGGACCTCCACCAAAAAAATGGTTCTCTGCCTGCACCCCTCCATCCTCGCTCTGGGCAGAAGGCCACCTTCTGAGGGCAGATTCAGGGCTGAGGGAGCTGGTTCACCTTGGGGACTTCTTCCTAAATTGTGGGGGTAGCTGAGGAATTGTCCTTCTCCATCGGTGAGAATAGTGTTCTAGTGATGCATGGCTGGGAACTGAGGGGGCAGATGCTGAATCAAAAGCCCTGGGCCTGAGTCTCTTTTTAGCTGTGTCACCCAGCACGAGGCCTCCGCTCTGAGTTTCATCTTCCTCCCTCACAGAATGGGCTCAGCACAGCCTTCATCTACTTTCCAGGATGGATGCAAGGTGGAAAAAAGAATGTGTGTGAAAGCTATACAGATGAAAGGGATTATAGTTAAGGCCTGGGACACTCAAGTCAACTAGATCATTTCTCTCTTAGTGTGATAGGCAGAATAACCTCTCCACCACAGATGTCCACCTCCTAATCGCCGGAAGCTGTAAATATGTTACCTTACAAGGCAAAAAGGATTTTGCAGATGTGATTAAGGATCTTGAGATTCAGAGATGATCCGGGATTATCCGGTGGGCCCCATGTAATCACAAGCGTCGTTACAAGAGGGCGGCAGAAGGGTCAGCGTCAGAGAGGGAAATGTGCTAATGGAAGCGGAGGTCAGAGTGTGTGGCTCCGATCCAAGACATGCCGCAAGCCTTAAGAAGCTGGAAAAGGCAAGAGGCAGATTCTCTCCTAGAGCCTCCACAAGGAACACAGCTCTGCAGACACCTGGACCATTTCAGACTTCTGACCTCCAGAGGCTGCAAGATAAATTTGTGTTAAGCCACTAAATATGTGGTCATTCGTTAAGGCAGAAACAGGAAACTAACACAGACAGGGTCATAGAAACACTTTGAAATCGAATTCTCTAACTCCTATTCAAAAGTCCGTCTCAGTCCATGAAAGCTTCTGTTCTTACCAAGTTAGCTCATGGCTCCCAGGCTATCATTAAGTAGGTCACTGCCAGGCCAGGTGCGGTGGCTCACGCCTGTAATCCCAGCACTTTGGGAGGCTGAGGCGGGTGGATCACGAGGTCAGGTGTTCAAGACCAGCCTGGCCAAATAGTGAAACCCCGTCTCTACTAAAACTACAAAAATTAGCCAGGCGCAGTGGCAGGCTCCTGTAATCCTAGCTACTCATGAGGCTGAGGCAGGAGAATCGCTTGAACCTGGGCGGCAGAAGTTGCAGTAAGCCGAGATCGTGCCACTGCCCTCACTCTAGCCTGGCCTCAGAGTGAGACTCTGTCTCAAAAAAAAAAAAAAAAAAAGTAGGTTGCTACATATCTGTCTTGAGTTCCAGTAGCAGAGCATGCTACAGTTGACGCACCCAAGTTCAAATCCCAGCTCAATAATTTTCTAGCTCGATGACCTTGGGCTAAGTCACTTAACCTCTCCGAGTCAGTCTCTTTCATGACAAAAATGGGAAAGGGCAGCAGGGGGCGTTGTGAGAATTAAATATGATTCCCTTGAAAACTCTCACAGATAAATTAAATTTTAATTTCATATAAAATAATTTTTTAGTATAAGTATTTCCCATATAATATTTTGGATATGTTTACACAAAAAATATATTCATTGTTTATCTGGTCATTGTTTAATATCATTGTTCTTCATTAATATATCGTTAAACAATATATCATTAAACAAAATCATTAAACAATATACATTGTTTATCTGAAATTCAAATGTAACTGGGTGTCTGTATTTTTGTTTGCTAAAGCTGACAACCTTAGTCTTGTCCCAGGTCACATAGCTTGTAAGCAATGGAGCTAAGCCTCCGTCTCAGGCTTTCAGCCCAAAGTCAAAGAGCATCCTGCTGTTTCACAGGCCTGACCATAAGCGGATTCCCTGAGCTACATGGCAGTCCTAGACTCAATCCAGTTGAGACTTCAAAAACAAATGCGATTTAAGCCTTGGACACACCTCAAAAATATCAAAAGTGATAAAAGTGATCATGAAAATACAATTTAAAAACAATATGCAAATAAATGCTTATATATATTATATATGTATATATATAAAGCATGTCAAATCAAGATGGAGTATGAAATGAGAGAAGAAACTACATGCAAATAAATGCTTTAACATGTATTAAGTATGCAAATTCAATCTTTTTTTTTTTTTTTTTTTTGAGATGGAGTCTCGTTCTGTCACCCAGGCTGGAGTGCAATGGGGCGATCTCGGCTCACTGCAACCTCCGCTTCCTGGGTTCAAGCGATTCTCCTACCTCAGCCTCCCGAGTAGCTGGGACTACAGGCGCGTGCCACCATGCCCGGCTAATTTTTTGTATGTTTAGTAGAGACGGGGTTTTACTGTGTTAACCTGGATGGTCTCAATCTCTTGACCTCATGATCTGCCTGCCTCAGCTTCCCAAAGTGCTGGGACTACAGGCATGAGCCACCGCGCCAGGCCATGAATTCGATTTCTAAAGGTGATGTTCCTTTTATGTTTTCCTTCGGAAATCTGGACCAACCCATAAATTCAGTGGAGTTTATAAACTAAATGGCAACTAACTGAAGGCTTATCATGGCCTGCATAGCCTTCTAAGCATTTTATGTGTAATAATTCCTTTTTGAATAAAATTGAGATAATTTACATAAAAAATTTTATATAACATAAAATTCACCATTTTAAGGATAAAATTCAGTGTTTTTTCTTCTTAGTATATTCACAAGGTTGTACAACCATTACCACTGTTCAATTCCAGAACATTTCCATCATCCCAAAAGAAACCCTGTACCCATTAGTCACTCCCCATTCTTCCCTACCCGCTAATCCCTGGAAACCACTAATCTACTTTCCGTCTCTATGAATTTGCCTATTCTGGACATTTCATATACATTAAATCATACAGTATAGACCTACTTTGTGTCTTTTTTTTTCACTTAGCATAATGTTTTCATGTATTCATTTCACTGCTGAATAATATTTCATTGTATGAAGATGCCATATTTTATTTATCCATTCATCAATTGATGGGCATTGGGCTGTTTCCACTTTGTGGCTATTATGAATACTGCTGCTATGAACATTTGTGCATAAGTTTTTGTATGATTACATGTCTTTAATTCTCTTGGGCATATACCTAGGAGTGGAGTTGCTGGATCATATGGTGACACTAAGTTTAACTTTTTTAGGAACTGCAAGACTGTTTTCCACAGAAGCTGCACCATTTTGCATCCCCACCAGCAGTCTGATTTCTCCACATATTCACCAACACTTGTTATTATTATTATTTCTATTATAACCATCCTAGTGGGGGTTGGGGGGGTCATATCATAGTTTTGTTGTCCATTTTCTTAATGGCTAATGATGTTGAGCATCTTTTCATGTGCTTATTAGCCACTTGTGTATTTTATTTAGAGAAACATCTTTTCAAATCCTTTGCCTATTTTTATTTTATTTATTTTTTGAGAGAAAGTCTCACTCTGTTGCCCAGGCTGGAGTGCAGTGGTGTAATCTTGGCTCACTGCAACCTCCACCTCCCAGGTTCAAGCAATTCTTGTGCCTTAGCCTCTCGAGTAGCTGGGATTACAGGTGTGCACCACCACACCTGGCCCATTTTTGTCTTTGTAGTAGAGACAGGGTTTCACCATGTTGGCCAGGCTGGTCTCGAACTCCTGGCCTCAAGTGATCTGCCCACCTCGGCCTTCCAAAGTGTTAGGATTACAGGTGTGAGCCACTGCGTCTGATCTTTTGCCCATTTTTAAATTGGGTTGTCTTTTCATTGTTGAGCTGTAGGAGTTCTTTATAAATTGAGGATATTAAACTCTTATCAGATACATAATTTGTAAATATTTTCCCCCATTCTGTGGGTTTTCTTTTTACTTTCTTAATAGTGCCCTTTGATGTACAACATTTTTAAAGTTTTGATGAACTCCAATGTATCTATTTTTCTTTGGTGTTTTAGTTATGGGTGCTAACTTCCTGAACATTTACAACCATGTGAGGTAGAGAATATCATTAGCATTCCCATTTTACAGATGAGGAAACTGAGGCAGAGCAGGGCTAAGTGCCCCACCCAGGATTAAGCAGTGAATGGGCAGCAGAGCTGGAATCTGAACACAGTATGCACACTCCGGGGACCCAGGTGGGAGCCATTCAGGGCTCCTGTGCTCAAACTAGGGTGTGTGAGCAGGATCCTTAAATTGTCCTGTGACCTTTGAACTTCGCTCAAGCTGAGGATTGCCAGCCTGATGGTTTTTACAGCTCATCTTATTATTGTTAGTAGATTAATCTGAAGGGTCCATGCTTGGTGGGGACTGGGAGGAGGGGCACATTTCCTCAGCAACTTCCCCGAAGATCTAAAGCAGCCTCCCTAAGCCGAGGCCCTGCCTGCAGGGAGGGCTCCAAGAGAGGCCTAATCTAGAGTGAGGGCAGAGGAAAGGCAACCTCTGGGGTGTCCCGGGTGTCAGGGATCTGGGAGGCAGGTGGGGCAGTCCCTGCCCGGATTAGTCAGCCACTTGAGGAATGGAGCCGCTCCTGCCTGACCTGCTGAGAGAAGGCAGGGAGCACTGGTAGGAGGAGTCACATAGTGTGGGTGCCCACTGCCTGGAGGCTGCCAGTGGGCCTCATGGTGCACAGCCTCCCAGCCACCCAGGAGGTGACAAATTCTATGCTGAGCCAGAGGGAAAAATTTCCAGGAGTCAGGGCTGTCTACTGAAGTTTCAGCAGCACAGGGAAATGACAGGTCTCTCTCTGTCTTGTCAGGCACCAGGAATTCCTGTTCAAGACCTGTGTTCTCTAGAGCCAGCATGCCCAGGGCACCGTGGAGTTAAGAACATGCTACCCTAAAATCTGCTGCTCTGGCTTATTGACTATTTTGAGTTAAAGGCATTTGAAAAATAGCAGGTGCAAGAAGATCATGTGAACCTTCCTTCTGCTTTTTTATTTTTTTTCTTAAGACAGGGTCTCACTCTGTCACCCGGGCCAGAGTGCAGTGGCACGATCATAGCTCACTGCAATCTTGACCTTCCCAGGCTCAATCAATCCTCCCACTTCAGCCTCCTGAGTAGCTAGGACCACAGCTGCACCACCACACTCAGCTATTTTAAAAATTTTTTATAGTGATGAATGTCTCACCATGTTGCCCAGGCTGGTCTCGAACCTCTGACTCAAGCAATCCTCCTTCCTCAGCTTCCCGAAGTGCTGGGATTACAGGTGTAAGCCACCATGCCTGGCCCCTTCTGCTTCTTTTTTTTTTTTTTTTTTTTTTTTGAGACAGAGTCTCGCTCTGTTGTCCAGGCTGAAGTGCATTGGTATAATCTTGGGTCACTGCAAACTCCGCCTCCCCGGTTCAAGCGATTTTCCTGCCTCAGCCTCCTGAGTAGCTGGGACTACAGGCACATGACACCACGCCAGCTAATTTTTTGTATTTTTAGTAGAGACAGGGTTTCACTGTATTAGGATGGTCTTGATCTCCTGACCTTGTGATCCGCCTGCCTCAGCCTCCCAACCTTCTGCTTCTTAAAAGCAGTAGATGGCCAGGCGCGGTGGCTCATGCCTGTAATCCCAGCACCTTGGGAGGCCAAGGTGGGTGGATTACCTGAGATCAGGAGTTCGAGACCAGCCTGACTAACATGGTGAAACTCTGTCTCTACTAAAAATACAAAAATTAGCCTGGTGTGGTGGTGCATGCCTGTAATCCCAGCTACTTGGGAGGCTGAGGCAGGAGAATCGCTTGAACCCGGGAAACGAAGGTTGCAGTGAGCCGAGGTCGTGCCACTGCACTCCAGCCTGGGTGACAAGAGCAAAACTGTGTCTCAAAAAAAAAAAAAAAAAAAAAAAAGCAGTAGATGAAATTCCCATGTAAAACACATCCCCTCTATACCAGAGGAAAACATCATTCTTATTATCAAGGATGGGAATTTGAGGCTGAGGTAAATCTATACAAACCAACCTCCTTAAACTAACCATTATCTTCCTAGTCACTTTTCTACCCAATTAACTACCCTACCCCAAGCACAACAGCCTGCTCAGATTTTCATAATTTACTACCCTTTGTCCAAGTCAGTCTTTGAGTGTTCAACTGTATACTTTTTTTTTTTTTGAGACAGTCTCACTGTGTTGCCCAGGCTGGAGTTCAGTGTTGCAATCTCTGCTCACTGCAACCTCTGCCTCCCGGGCTCAAGTGATTCTCCTGTCTCAGCCTCCCGAGTAGCTGGGACTACAGGTGCACACCACAATGCCTGGCTAATTTTTGTATTTTTTTTTTTTTTTTTTTTAGTAGAGACGGGGGTTTCACATCACCATTTTGGTCAGGCTGGTCTTGAACTCCTGACCTCAAGTGATCTGCCTGCCTTGGCCTCCCAAAGTGCTGGGATTACAGGTGTGAGCCACCGCGCCTAGCTGAGTGTTCAATTCTAACTGCATCTTTCGGTCTTCATTTCCTTATGAAGTCTCCTGTGCCACATAAAAACTGTATTAAATAAATTTGAATGTTTTTCTCCTGTTAATCTGTCTTATGTCAGTTTAATTCTGAGTCCCAGCCAAAAAACCCCAAGATGGTAGGGGATAAAATTTTGCCTCCCTTACAACTGTAAATTCCAATGAAAACACTAATAGTGGCTGGGTGCGGTGACTCACACTTGCAATCCTTGCACTTTAGGAGGCCGAGGCAGGCGAGACGGGTGGACCGCTTGAGGTCAACAGTTCAAGACCAGCCTGGCCAACATGGTGAAACCCCACATCTACCAAAAATACAAAAATTAGCCAGGCATGCTGGTGAGCACTTGTAGTCCCAGCTACTCGGGAGACTGAGGCGGGAAAATCTCTTGAACCCAGAAGGTGGAGCTGAGATCGTGTCACTACACTCCAGCTTCGGCGACAGAACGACTCTGTCTCAAAAAAAAAAAAAAGGAAAGAAAGAAAAAGAAAAAAAAAAAGAAAGCACTAATAGTAACATCTACCACATTTGTCAAATGCACATTTTGTGGCAGGAACTGCTCGAGACTTTTTCCATCCACCCATCATCGCAGACCTTAGGACTGCCTTGCAAGGAAGGCATGGTCTCAGTCCTGCTGTCAGAGCTGAAGAGGTGGAGATTCACAGGATGAGAGGCTTCACTAAGGGAAGCCAGCCAGTAGGGAACACTGGCCCCTCCTAGGGGCATTGCTGTGGCAGCCCCACAACCCCACTCACACTGCAGGATCCTGATCACCCTTTCACCCCCAGCCCCAGCCCCAGCCCTGAGAAAGCAGGGAGAATGGGCTGCGGCTCAGGTTGGATGTGAAATGGGAGCTCTGACCCAAGAGGACAAGGCAGGGCCAACTGGCTTCGGGGGACACAGTGGCCAAGGGCCACCACCCTCATCTCACTCACCCACTGCACAGAGAGCCTGGTGTAGGAGGCACTCTCAGACACTGGCTGGTGCGGCGATTCTGGAACATGTCTGAATGTCAGCCTCAGGGGAGCATTTTAAAAAATACAAACTCCTGGATACAGCGATTCGGGTTCTGTAGATCTGAGCTGAGGTGTGGAGGTGGAGGGGCAGGAATGTGCAATTTGGAGCGTCTGACGGTTCTGATGCACAGACAAGTTTAAGAACCTGGGGTTGATACAACTCCCTCACCAACAGTCAAGAAAACTAGAACTTAGATGACAGATGTGTTTTTCCTAGTTGTATAGTAGGAAGTGACAGTCAAGATTCAAATTAGAACCCAGGTGGGCCTAGCCACCAACATTAGACTGTCCCTCTTGGGAGGAGAAGGCCAACTTCAACACCAACCATATCTCTGGAGGTGGGACTAACGTCTGAGCCTGGGACTAACAAAAAGCCCCAAGGCAAAAGATGGACTTAAATATATAAATGTAGTTGAAATTTCTGGAAAACTCACTTCCAAAAAAATTAAAATCCATGAAAAATAAAAAGGATAGCATATTAGAAGCACTTGCAGCAAGTAATACAAAGAGTTAATATACCTATCGTCTATTCATCTATTTGTTATCTCTCTCTCTCTTTTTTTTTTTTTTTTTTGAGATGGAGTCTTGCTCTGTTGCCCAGGCTGGAGTGCAGTGGCATGATCTCGGCAACCTGCGACTCCCTGGTTCATGCGATTCTCCTGCCTCAGCCTCCCGAGTAGCTGGGATTACAGGCAGGCACACACCACCACACCCAGCTAATTTTTGTATTTTTAGTAGAGACAGGGTTTCACCATGTTGGCCAGGATGGTCTCGATCTCCTGACCTCATGATCCACCCACCTTGGATTCCCAAAGTGCTGGGATTACAGGTGTGAGCCACTGAGACTGCCTCTATCTCTTTACCTTGATAGTCCATTCAACTGGATCAAGATATCTTCTAGGTTTTAATTGGCTAAATAAGCAAAGAGCTTAACTGTGCACACAACACAATAATTAGTAAACAAATATTTAATGGAGAATGTTTAATCTGGTCAGTAAGGCTTTAAAATGTAAATTAAAACAATGTACCATTTAAAACTATGTTATTATATATGTACATACTGTCAAAGTCAAAATAAAAATGTAGAGATGAATCTCTAAATTTAACATTTTATCTCAGAAGCAACAATTGCAATTTGGGGCATACACACAGACTGGGTGGTCTTTAGTACAGCCAACGAACAAAGAGATGCTTGGGGGTTTTATGAAATGGAGAATTGTTTTGAAAGATAGCTCATTGGTGCCAGTAAGGTTTTGGGGATGGCAAGTGCTGACTGGTGAGTGAAGGTGGTGGGTAAAGCCAGTCTTAGAGTTGCAGCAGGTTGTTTCAGTAGCCATCAGATAAAACTAGTTTCAGGTTACAAGAGGCAGTTTCAGCAGCCAAGCTCGTGGAAAATGTACTTCTTGGAGCGAAGTTATGTGTCCCAAGTGCTTTTTCCCCCAACCCATTGACTCTGATTTAGTTGAGTATGGCAAGAATGACCCAATTTGTACAATCAACTTTCACAATATATACATATATAAATTTGTAAGAAAGGATTGGGAAGGATATACATGGTGGCAGAATTGTCTAATTTTCTTTTAATATCCATTCTTTCCCCCTTAAAAAAAGTTAACCAAGCACTTGTATTATGGGGGGAGCTGGGGTTGGAGAAGCTGCAAAATGCTCAGTTTAAAAACTACACTGCACAGTCTCCCTGTGGATAGGGGTGGCCAATTAGAAATAAACTGATATCAGGCTGGGTGCAGTGGCTCACGCCTGTAATCCCAGCACTTTGGGAGGCTGAGGTGGGTGGAGCATCTGAGGTCAGGAGTTCGAGACCAGCCTGGCCAACATGGTGAAACCCTGTCTCTACTAAAAATACAGAAATTAGCTGTGCGTGGTGGTGCACGTCTGTATTCCCAGCTACTTGGGAGGCTGAGGCAGGAGAATCACTAGAACCGGGAGGTGGAGGCTGCAGTGAACCAAGATTGTGCCACTGCACTCCAGCCTGGGCAACAGAGTGAGACCCCATCTCAAAAAAATAAAAAAAAATTTTTTAGAAAAGAAATAAAGCTATATCATAGGGTGGGGGACTTTAGGGAAAGCTCTTTAGAGAGAGGCTGATTCATCTGGGAAAAACCATGGCATTGCTCCTCCAGCCTTCTCCTTGTTGCCTAGAATGCAGGCATGATGGCTGGAGCTCCAGGGACAATATTAGTCCACGTGGAGACCTTAGGGACGAAGCCATAAACTGAAAATGGGTTCTTCATGACTAATGAGCATGGGCCCACCATGCTAGCCCTGAAATGCTATGTGCAGACTTCTTTTACGTGAAGAAAACAAATCCTATCTTGTTTAAGCCTATGCTATTTTGGTTTTCTGTTACATGCAATTGAACCTAAACTTAACTGATACACACACCAAACCTCTGTGGAAGTGTAAATGGGACTTTCACACTTTAGTTTCTTTTTTTTTGAGACAGAGTCTCGATCTGTCACCTAGGCTGGAGTGCAGTGGCGCCATCTCCGCTCACTGCAAGCTCCGCCTCCTGGGTTAATACCATTCTCCTGCCTCAGCCCCCACCAGTAGCTGGGACTACAGGCGCCCGCCACCAAGCCTGGCTAATTTTTTGTATTTTTAGTAGAGACGGGGTTTCACCATGTTAGCCAGGATGGTCTCGATCTCCTGACCTCGTGATCCGCCCGCCTCGGCCTCCCGAAGTGCTGGGATTACAGGCATGAGCCACTGCGCCCGGCCCACACTTTAGTTTCTATGCTATGCTCTTGCTTGCATTTATTATTTTTATCTTTTACAATAGACATGTGTTCGTGTATTACTTGTATAAACATCTGTTTTGGAGTGCTAGCCCCACCACTCCCTAGCTCTGTGACCCTGTGCAATTTCTCTGAGCCTGTTTCCTCATTTGTAAAATGGGCATGATGATAATAGAACTTATCTCATTTGGTTATTGCAGAGCTTAAATTAGCTAATGTACATAAAATTCTTGGTACAGTGTGTGGCTTACAGCTACTGCTGTACTACATTTTGCTACCACCTAGGCACTGGTGGTGGCAGAACCAATTAGAAAAACCCAGGACATGTTGTTGAGTAAAAAAGCAGGTTGCAAAACTGGCATGGGGATGTGATCTCTTTTGTGAAAAATTATTTTTATGTCTACATCTATATGTATATCTATGCAGATTATACATATAGATAGATGTGTATATCCAGAGATGCCTGGAGGAATGGTTGGCCAAATGTTAGTAGTGGTAATTTCTGGGTAGTAGAATTTTTGCTTTCTTCTAAATTGTTGAAAGATAGCATGTATTAACTTTTGAGCAGGAAAATAAAAAAAAAGAAAGAAAGAAAAACCCTTTGGAAAACAATGTTCCGGTTCTCATGCCAAGAATCATTAAAGCCTTCATACCTTTTGACCTATCTCACTCTTGAGAATTGACCTGAGGAAATAATTCAAATGAAGGAAGAAGCCATATCCACAAAAGCAGGCACTACAGCAGTATTTATTATAGGAAAATTGAGCAACCATGTAAGTGACTTACATTAGGGTAATGATGATTAAATTATTCACTCATTGGAACGTTGTGCAACAATTAGAATAAGATGATGACCATGTAGCAATGTGGAAAACTGCTTATGACAAGAGAATTGAAAGGGGCAGAATGCAAAATTAGATCTGGGCCAGGGTCACATCTGGGTAAAAATATGGCTTGCATTTGGACTAGGACTGGAAGGGAACACAAGCAAATAAGGCAAATAAAAAAATGTATTTTGTTGGGACCACTGATTATGGGTGATCCTTTTTTCTTTTTCATTTAGAATTCTGTCCAATGTTTCTATTTTGTTATTTGTTTCATAATAATAATTTTAAAATTGGCCTTAAAAATCCCCTCAGGGAGAAGGGACAGCAGGGAGAGAAAGATAAAAGGGAGACCTAGGATTCTCCCAGGAGGGGGTCGGCTGAGTAAGAGAAACTCAGAGGTAATGTACAAGACATGGAAATCAGACTGAATTCCAGCTCAGTCTTCTACCTAGGTGGTCCCAGAGGTTGTATCCCCTTTGCTTTCTGACTTGGCAGTGATCAATCAGATGGATGAAACAGTTGCCAAGGCAGTACTGATGATAAAGCTAGGATCAAGAATGCTCTTTAGGCCGGGTGTGGTGGCTCACGCCTGTAATCCCAGCACTTTGGGAGACCAAGGTGGGCGGATCACGAGGTCAAGAGATTGAGACCAGCCTGGCCAACATGGCGAAACCCCATCTCTACTAAAAATACAAAAAATGAGCCAGGTGTGGGGGTGTGCACTTGTAGTCCCACCTACTCTGGAGGCTGAGGCAAGACAATCGCTTGAACCTGGGAGGCGGAGGTTGCAGTGAGCCAAGATCAAGCCACTACATTCCAGCCTGGGTGACAGAGCGAGACTCCGTCTCAAAAAAAAAATAAAAAAGGAATGCTCTTCAAGTTGGAATCATCTGGAAAAATTGATCATGCTTGCCATTGATGAGGTTGAGAAAAGAGCACTAGCAGGCTGGCAAAAGTGGTGTGAATTGGGCAGCCTTCCTGGAGGGTAGTCTGGCATTGTGTATCCAAACAAAGGATGTGCAAATCCTTAGAGTTAGCAATTCCACTTCTTGAGATTTAACCTAAACCTAAGAAAATGATCAAACCATTGCATAAAAATATTTACGTAACATGTTCATCACAGAATTTATATTTATTAAAAATTAAGGGGGGTGCAGTGGCTCACGCCTGTGATCCCAACACTTTGGGAGATTGATGCGGGAGGATCACTTGAAGCCAGGAGTTCAAGACCAGCCAGGGTGGCTAGGCGCGGTGGCTCACACCTGTAATCCCACCACTTTGGGAAGCTGAAGATGGATCACGAGGTCAGGAGTTCAAGACCAGCCTGGCCAAGATAGTGAAACCTCATCTCTACTAAAGATACAAAAATTAGCTGGGCGCAGTGGCAGGCACCTGTAATCCCAGCTACACCGGGAGGCTGAGGCAGGAGAATCAGTTGAACCTGGGCAGCAGAGGTTGCAGTGAGGCAAGATTACGCCATTGCACTCCAGCCTGGGTGATACAGTAAGATTCCATCTCAAAAAAAAAAAAAAAAGACCAGCCTGGGCAACATAGTGAGACTGCATCTCTGTAAAAATATTTAAAAATTAGCTGGGCACGCTGGTGTGTATCTGTAGTATCAGCTACAAAGGGGTGGAGAACTGAGGCAGGAGGATCACTTGAGCCTGGGAGGTTGATGTTGAATTGTTTGAACCTGGGGGGCAGAGGTTGTAGTGAGCCAAGATTGCGCCACTGCACTCCAGCCTGGGCAAGGGAGCAAGACTCTGTCTCAAAAAAAGAAAAAAAAAAGGAACTGGAGGCTGAGGGCGGTGGCTCACACCTGTAACCCCAGTAATCCCAGCACTTTGGGAGGCCAACGGGGGAGGACTGCTTGAGCTCAGGAGTTCAAAAGCAACGTGAGTTACATGGCAAAACCCTGTCTACAAAAATTTTAAAAATTAGCCAGGTGTGGTGGTTCCAGCTACTTAGGAGGCTAAGGTGGGAAGATTGCTTGAGTCCAGGAGGTTGAGGCTGCAGTGAGCCATGACTGTGCCACTGCACTCCACTCTAACCTGGGTGACAGAGATGAAAAAAAAAAAAGAAAGAAAAGAAAAGAAAGAAAGAAGGAAAGAAAGAGAAAAGAAAAGAAACTGGGAAAACAACATTTTTTGGCATAACCATGCATTAGTACACTATGGAGCCATACTGTGATCCCAACACTGAAAAATTGGATCTAGATATAAATTTACCATGGAAAGACACTTAGTACATATTAGATAAGACAATAAAGCTTCAAAGCAAGATGTGTATTATCCCATTTTTGTAAGATTGTGTATCTAAATACATTAATTTGCATATCAGAATTTCTGCTAAGATACACACCACAATCTTAACAATGGCTAATCTTTGAATGGTGGGATTACAAACTGAATCAGACAGTTTAGTCTCAAATATGGTGCAGCAACAACTGGAAAGTCTACTGGTCTACAATGGCAGGGGTTAATTTCTCTCTACTCTTCATGTCTATTGTGGCTGGCTGCTCTGACCATCCTCTTCACCCTGGGACCTAGGCTGACAAAACAGTCTCCATGTGAACATTGCAGGTCACTGCAACAGAGAGCTGATGGACCACCCACCGGCTCTTACAACCAGTGCCAGGCAAGTTTCGTGGCCCTTCCAGGTTCAACAAGGTAGGGGTATATAATCCTCCCCAGGCCCTCAGGTGAGGCTCATGCCAAGGAGGGGTAGCAAACATTTTGGACATGATACAATCTACCACACAAGTGATTTCATTCTATTATTTAAAGTTCTTTTCTTTGCAGAAGGATGTGAGAGGAGAAGTGAGCGGTCTCACAGGCATGATGCCAGCTACAAGGGGCTGGCGAGCTGATGTGGGAGGATCACTTGAGCCTAGGAGTTTGAGGCTGCGGTGAGTTGTGATTGTAACATTGTACTCCAGCCTGGGGGACACAGTGAGACCCTCACCCTCCCTGTCCCTAAATTTGAGAGGTCTGGACTTTGCCTAATTTAAGAGGAAGACCACTTGACCTGGACCTACAGCAAGGAGAAAACAACGATGGGACACAAAGTTCTGGATGCCCAGAAGTGTTATACCGGGCCTTCTGCTTACTGCTTATAGGACTTGAGTCGAGTTAGAGGGCCTCCATGAATGTCCCTATCTGTAAGATGGAAATGAAAAGAGCTGTCCTGTTGACCTCACACAATTCGGCAGCAGGGAGGGGTGGCTCAGTTGGAGGGCTTTCAAATGATCAGTGCTCTGCCTGCACACAGAGGGTTTGGTGCTTCAAGCTGTAACCACATACCCACATGTACTATATGTCCCCAACTTCATCACCAAAGGGGGTTGTTCACCCCTTTTACTTGCATCCATGTAGAGCAGGTGAAAAGATGACAAGCCAGGTCCCACTATGGAGGAGGAGAAGCCCCCTGATGGATGAGTCATGGAAGGGCTGGGATGTGAAATGAAGGCCCCCCTTCCCACTTTGTCACAGGACACTGGAAATAGCCATGTCTCCCTTTCCTCCTGCCCCCAGCCTCCTGGCATGGAAGGCAAGAAATGATTGTAATCAGAGGTTCCCAAAAGGGAATGATCATTAGGGCCATGTATGAGCATTGAAAAACTAGATTCTGGGGCTCCACCTCCGGGAGCTTCTGATTCATCTGGTGAAGGAAAGACCAGACTGAGTCACAGAAGGTGATCTGTGCCACCCCGACTTGGCCCTGGCTCCTACCCAGCTCCTCTGCACGGGCCTTATGAGGTGTCCTGGCAGGGAGCGCCCGGATGTCTCAAGTGGCACGAGCCCTGGCAGCTGGGAGAAACCTGAGTGGTCCCAGGTTATCTGATGGCGCACCTGCCTCGGCCCCGTGCTCGCTTCTTGAATGTCAAGATCAGGGGAAGTCTCAGGAAACAGCTCCCCGAGCAGCACGGGTGACCCCACAGGCTGCCCCAGGGCCAGGCTTTCCAGGGCAGCAGGGGCAATGGAGGTGGTAAGAAAAGGGTATCCCCTGTCCTGCTCCTAGTCCCTCTGAACCAAACGTGCCCCTGGCTCCAACGACCTGCCTGCACACCTTGACTGACAAGCCTGGAATTAATCTCTTTACACATCTATCAACATGGCAGTGAGTGCCTCGAGGGCCAAGACAGGTCTTGTTCCTCCCTGCTGCCCAGTGCAGTCCCTGGCACACCATTTGTGCTTGCTTAATATTTCATGAATAAAGGAGAGGTAGTAACACTTACCATATTACCACAGGGTCAAGGAAGGACTGATATTCACACCCACTGGGCACATGGGAAACGCACGTGCTTACCTGAGAGGTGGGGAGGCCCCATTCTTAGTCACTCAGCTAGAGGCTGAGCTTAGCATGCCTCATTTGGCAGTGGTACTAGATTACTTCTGGCATCATGGTACCCTATGACATAAGGTATGAAACTTATGGAGCCTCTTCCCAGGAAAATGCCCCTCCCCACTCCCTCTGTCTCACACATATAACATACAACTTCCAGGTTAAGAGTATCACCCCTTCACCAGGCACAATGGCTCACATCTGCATCCCAGTACTTTGGGAGGCCGAGGTGGGAGGATCACTTGAGCCCAGGAGTTTGAGACCAGCCTGGGAAATATAGGGAGACCCTATCTCTACAAAAAAACAATTAGCCAGGCATGGTGGTGCACACCTGTAGTCTCAGCTACTTGGGAGGCTGAGGTGGGAGGATCACTGGAACCTGAAAGGTCACAACTGCAGTGAGCTGTGGTCATGCCATGGCATTCCAGCTTTGGCGACACAGTGAAGCCCTGTCTCAAAAAAAAAAAAAAAAAAAGTATCAGCCCTTTAAAAAATGGAAAGCTCTTTTTTAATGGAGAAAGGTTAAAATTATCTACAATGATTGTATGTAGCTAATGAATTTATTTATTTATTTTGAGACGGTGTCTCGCTGTCGCAGGCTGGAGTGCAGTGGCACAATCTCAGCTCACTGCAACCTTCACCTCCCAGGTTCAAGCGATTCTCCTGCCTCAGCCTCTCGAGTAGCTGGGACTACAGGTGCGTGCCACCACGCCTGGCTAATTTTTGTATTTTTTTTTCTTTTTTGTAGAGAAGGGGTGTTGCCATGTTGGCCAGGCAGGTCTTGAACTCTTGACCTTAAGTGATCCACCTGCCTCGGCCTCCCAAAGTGCTGGGATTATAGGTGTGAGTCACTGCACCTGGCCTGATGTCTACAACTTTTAAATTATTCAGAAAAAAAATTATACAGACATATTTATCTAAAGATGAAGTAAATGTGGCCAAAAATTAACAATTGATGAATCTATAGGGTAACCACAAAGTATGGAAACTTTTTTTTTTTTTTTTTTGGAAGCAGAGTCTTGCTATGTTGCCCAGGTTGGCCTCAAACCCTTGGGCTCAAGTGATTCTCCCGTCTTGGCCTCCCCAAGTGCTGGGATTATAGGCATGCACCACCCCATCTGGCCTATCATATTTTTCAATAGATTGAAGATGTTCTTGATGGCATTATGAATATTTGCCTATTTCCAGACTTTATAGTTACATAGTAGACAAAGGATATATGGCTTCCAATGAACTATTCTTTTATCTTTTCTGTAGGTCTGAAATCCTTCAAAATAAAATGTAGGGAGCGGGGGAAGGAATCTCAGCCCTAGGCTAAGGTTCTAGTCCCAAAATCAGGATTCCACGCTCTAGGAAGGAGCTCAAAGGAGAGGACCACAGTCAAGACAGGCTCCAGATGTGTTTATTAGGCTATTTAAATAGAACCATGTGACCATTTCTGTAGGTAAAAGGACAAAGAAGAATTACAAACACTTTGGGTCTTTCCCGAATTCTCTCCCCTTTCTCTGGTCAACTCCACCCACCTTCACTCTCAAAGGAAAGGCACAGGGGGAAGGAAGTGAGTGAGGGGGCTCAGAAGAGTCTGTGTGGCTCCTACCACCCCAAACATATTCTGGTTTCCCGAAGATAAGAGGCAAGGCTTGCTCTGATCTTTCCCAGTTCTCAGAGTCCAGCAGGCCGCTGTGCTGGACACATACATGGATCCACCAACATACATCAGTCCTTCTGTGTTCTCTCCTGCATGGTAGAGGCTGGAAGCCTAAGAGCTATATTCCTCAGAATTTCCTGCCAGCCAGGATTTGCTTTAAAGTCCACTAATGAGAGGCACTTCTAGAAACCATGATTCCTTCTCCAGCAGTGGCAGACAGTAGGCATGAGGTTTTGTAGCATCTTCTGAGCATTTTCCAGTACATCATCTGCTTTTGTGCTGCTGGAAGCTGAGACCATCAGCAGGAGTTTTCTGTGCCTCCTGCAAGTTGCTGATTTCTCACAGTTGCTACTGGCTTTCTCCAATGTTCACTTCTCTATCCCTTTCAGTGGTTTATAAATACTTCATTCCTATAGTAGATCCCTTCCTGCTTATATTAATAATACCTAGAGGGGACATGGTTTTCCTGATTCATCCAGCTATCTTAGGACCTTACTCCAAAATAAGGAAGGCTTCTCTTGGGGAGGTAATTGCCTGTAGAAAGATTTCCAAACACTGTTCATTATTTGATGCCAAAAAGGTAAACAGAAGCTGATGTGGGTGGTAGGCAATTCCCAGCCATGGAACACATGTTGGCCTGTGAGTCCTGAGATGCTGAATGGGATGCCAGTTCCCTGACCAGAAATGTCCTCCCATCTACCTCACTGCTGCCATTCCCCTGGGGATGCCAGGGCTGAGCAATAACCACAAGGAGCAGAGACGGCACCCGACAACGGAGAAGAGATGTCTGCAGTACCGACCCAGCTCTCAAAACCCACCTGGCATTACCCTGGAACACAGGAACATTTTTGTCATCCTCCTGGCACAGGGGAGGGGGTTCTCTGCTGCCAGGCTTCTTGGAGCTGAGGCAGGAGGGTCAGCAAGAGAGAGTCCAGCACAGCCAGACCCTCCCAGGAACACCGAAGACCCCTGGAAAACCAAGAGGCCTGAAGGTGACTACTTCATCTTACCAATTTCAAGCCCATCACCCAGCAGGGCCGAGCTCCCAGCACCCGCAGGTCCCGCCTTACCAGTCAGTCTTTCTCACTTCTCCTGGGTCTGTGGAGAGCTGTAGTCAGGGCTCCCTGGTATGCCTCAGCCCCCTCTGCCCGGCACCCCCCAACACACCTGTGATCCAGCTGCAGTAGGCCCCGCTCCAGCAGCTCCTGCACCTCCTTGTTCGCTCCAAACACATCCCACAGGGTCAGCTGGGGCTCAAACTGCTGCCAGTGCTGGGGAAGCCAGAGGGTCAGAGGTGGGGAGCTGGCCTGGCTACTCTGGGCCACATAGTTGGGGTATGGTGAGAGGTGGGGGAGGGTCCAGTTCAGCATGGAGATCTCAGCAGCTGACATGCATGAAAGCAGAACCAGGCCAATGGGCCAGCAGGGAGGAGGGCAGCTTCACTCCTATTCCACTGAGACTGGAACCCAGCTTCCAGCCAAGCCAGGCCTTCCTCTATGCCTCCTCTCTTCCCTCCCCTCTCAGCCAGCTCTAGCCAGGGCTTTATGGCTCTGCTTTATCCAGAGCAGCTCTGGATTTGCTTGATAATTATCTACTGTGCTTCCTATGAGAGGTTTCAGTGCTCCCTAAAAACAAGTGGAAACCCTTTATCTATCTATTGCTTCACAGAGCTCAGAAAATTGAGGTTAAGAGAGGTGAAAGGATTTGTGTCCAAGGTTGCAGTAAAATGAGGGCTGGAACTTGGGTCTCTGCAGCCCTGGTCTAGGGTTCTTAGCTATGCACCACTGCTCACTGCTTCTGCCCATCAGGCCTCAGCTGGACCTGGGCCCCACTTCTAGCTGCCAATCTCACAGAAATTGGAGGTATATGTGTGTGGGGGGGGTGGCAGGGAGGGGGCATTGATTCTGCAAGACTTTAGGAGGGAGTGGTGTGCAAGAATCCTAACTCCTTACCTGGTGAGTGATCCCCACATCGGTGCGTAGCCCCAGGGCCAAAACTTCCTCCAGCCTCAAAGAAAAATCACCAAGGAGTCTTAGAGAGGAGGCCTGTGCTCCTCCCATTCTCCAAATTCTACACTGGGATGCATTTAGAGGAGGCTAACAGGGACCATACAGTATGTGGCAAGGCAGGGGCCAGGACAAGACAGGAAATAAAAGATATACAAATAGACATGGTCTTGGGGTGTGGGGATCCTGGAGGAGAGCCCTGTGCCCTTGGATGCTCACAGCTCCAGCCTGCCCAGGGGGACACGCTTCCGGGTGCCATGGCCAAACAGCATCACCTCCTTCATCCAGTTGTCAGGCTCCAGTGTCTGGATCCGAGCCTCCCGGGTGTGGCCTCCAGCCCCCTGGGGCATAAATCGTCCATGGGCCCCTGACAACATCAACAACCATCCCCACATTAATGGCTGTTAATACTATGTGTTTACCAGATTTAAATCATGTGGTCCCTGGAGCAACTGCCTCTAACATACTGGAAATATAAATTATTTTTCTTTTCTTTTCTTTCTTTCTTTCTTTCTTTTTTTTTTTTTTTTTTTTGAGGTGGTGTCTCACTATACTGCCCAGGCTGGTCTTGGACGCCTGGGGTCAAACGATCTTTCCACCTCAGCTTCCCAAGTAGCTCAGATTAGAGGCACATGACACCAGGCCCTTTTTTCTTTTTCTTTTTTTTTTAATCATCTATCCCAAAATGCCAAGACATATAAATTCTTGGGCTCTCCTCTAGCCCTGTCCAATTGGGAATTCTGAGGGTGGGGCCCAGCAGCTTGGGTTTTAACAAGCCCTCCAGGAGATTCTCATACACACTAAAGGCTGAGAACCCTAGTGCAAGGTGCAACATTAAGCCCCTTATAATTCATGCTCAACAGTTCTATAGGGAGGTATTATTTTTTGCCACATTTTACATATGAGAA
The DNA here is from genome assembly GCF_000001405.40 of Homo sapiens. Classification (NCBI taxonomy): domain Eukaryota; kingdom Metazoa; phylum Chordata; class Mammalia; order Primates; family Hominidae; genus Homo; species Homo sapiens. The sequence goes on along the minus strand of NC_000017.11, from coordinate 50,482,798 downwards.
AATAGAGGCTTGGAGAGGTTAATGTGGCCCAAGTTCACACAGCCACGACATTCCTCTCCTGAGTCACCCTTTCTGTAGTTCACGGGACTCACCAGGCCCAACGCCAAGGTACTGACCACACTGCCAGTAAGTCCAATTGTGGGTACTGAGCGCCCCCTGCGGGGAGGGAGGAAATAGTGCAGAGTGAAGAGGGCAGGCCTCATTTTTAGACTCAGGTAAGGGGCCCCAGGTTAGAATGTCCCACCATCTCGGCCAGGATCCTTCTCTTCAGAAGGTCACAACGCCCTGGTCACACTGCAGTCTGCCCATCCTCCACCTCCAGCCATCAGCCCCAGAACTTACATTCCGGGCAAAGTTGGAGACCTCATACTGGTGGAAGCCAGCCTCCCGAAGGACAGCCCGGCCCCTCTGGTACATCTCAGCTGCGAGCTCCGGGTCAGGGGCTGGAAGGGCACCCCGCTGCACCTGGGCGAAGAGTGCGGTGCCCCGCTCCAGGGACAGCTGGTAGAGGGAGAGGTGGTCATCACAGTGGTGCAGCAGTTCCTGCAGCTGCCCAAGCCACGGCCCCACCTGCTGTGCCGGCAGCCCCAGCATCAAGTCTACAGACACGCGCCCGGGAAAGAGGCGCCGGGCCTCTGCCAGCGTCCGCAGAGCATCGCAGGCCGAGTGCGTCCGTCCCAACAGCCGGAGCTCAGTGTCATCTAGGGACTGGGAAAAGAGGGTGGGTGTAAGCATACCAGCAGCTCAGAGAGAGACAAGAACCCTCCTCCCCATTGTAGACACAGATACAGGGAGAACGCAGCACGTGGCAGGCAGCTGGAAGGCAGGAGGGGGAAGGTCAAGCTGGCACCAAGAGCTGCCATTCACAGAAGGGTCGCTATGTGCCAAGCACCTTTATGTAGTGTCTAATTTAATCTTTGTAACCCTCCAATATTAGTTCTATTTTACAGATGAGAAAACTGAGGTTCAGAGGTGTTAAGTAACTTGTCCAGGCCATACAGTTGCAAAGTTCGACCTGGAATTTAGGACTGTCTGACTCCAAAATCAAGTCTTTATTTACTTTACTTTTCAATTTTAAATAATTCTAACCTATAGAAAAGTTGAAAGAAAATCACAAAAAAAACCTTCATCTTGATTCACCATTTGTCCATATTTGTTTCTCTTTAAACATACATACCTGTTATTATGCTGAATCATTTAACAGTAAATTATAAACCAGCACTGTCCAAAAGAACTTTCTACAATGGTGGAAATGTTCATATCTGTACTGTCCAATATGATAGGTAGTAGCCACATGTGGTTATTTAAATTTAAGTGAATTAAACTTAACTTACCACATTTCAAATGCTCACTAGTCTGTGGCTAGTGGCCACTATATTGAATAGCAGTTATAGATATTATACTCCCTAACCTCTAAATACTTAGGTGTGTATTTCCTAAAGAACAAGGACATTCTCTTACATAACTGCAATCCAATTACAGAGTTCAGGAAATGCAACACTGACACAACACCATTACATAATACATTGTCATATTCAAATTTGGCTAATGGTCCCAATAACATCTACTGTAGTAATTTCCTCCTTCCTCCCCAGTCAGGGGCCACACATTGTATTCAGCTGTCTCTTCTGTCTCCTTTAGATTCTCAGCCTTTCTTTGTCTCTCATGACACTGGCATTTTTGAAGAATACAGGCCAGTTGTTTAAAATGAATAATTTAATGAATTTAAATAAATTATTATTATTTACGAATTATAATTATTTAAATGAATTATTTAAAATGAATAATTTCTACAGATTGGCTGTATAACACTGTGCTTATAGTTAACAGTGCTGTATGTACATTTAAAAACTTGTTAAGACGGTAGATCTCATGCTGTCTGTTCTTACCACAATAATTTTGTAAAAATCTCTTAATTCAGGGTTTCCTGACAATTAGATTCAAGATATGCGCTTTGGGGTAAGAATATCTTAGAAGTGATGTGTTTCTGTCAGCATATTCCATCAGAACAAAGCCCACAACCCGGAAGTCCTACGGAAATATCGGAGGTCAACCTGAGACGACTAGGTTTCTCCCTACTTAAAAACCTTCAATGGCTCCCTATCATTACTAGGACAAAACCCACACTCCTTAGTAGGCACCAAAGGTTTTGGACTCTACCTTGCAACCTTGTTTCCAGCCTCTCCAATCACAAGGAATGACTCACAACTCCCCCAAAACATGCCAGGCTCTTCCATGGCCTGTGTCGTTTCCCCCACACCCCCTCACCTGGTGAACTCTTCCTCTTCATTCAAACATCTCCTCCAGAGAAGTTTCAGTGATTTCATCAGAGTGACCTCCCTTCAGGCTGTACTCTAGAAGCCTTTTATAGAGACCCCCTTTACAGGTGACATTTACCATGCTGCAATAATCTGGCTACATGTCTGCGTCTCCCGTGTCATGTAGCAAATCTTTTTTGACCACCTACTATGTGCCAGGCACTATGGTAAGTGTTTGAAATAGAAAAGCCACACCTGATCCCTTTCTCATAAAGTCTGTGGTCTATGACAGCAGCAGACAATTAAGGAGTTATAAAAGTGTCGCACTAGGCCCTACTGTGTCCCTGGCACCCAGAAGGTGCTCAATCAATGTTTGCCCAATGAATGAATGTGACCAAAGAGGAGATGGCACTGAAGGGCGGGGTGCACTGGGATGGGGTGAGTGCCATGGGTTACCTGGAGGCCTATAGACAACCTGTTAACCCCTGCTGCCCCGAACTCTGCCAGTCTGGAGCCCGGAGCTGAAGTAGGATTAGCCTCCAATGTGACTTCCAAGTCTGCAGGCAGGTGGGCTGCCTGTGCCACAGCCTCCAGGACAGCAGCCACCGTGTGGGGACTGGCTAGACTGGGGGTCCCCCCACCAAAGAACACAGACTCCACCCTGGGGAAAGAGAATGGAGAAATGAGACCTGGGGGAGCCCTCTGGGATGCCTGCACCTATCCCCCACCACTCCTCCAAATATTTCCCAAAACGCTGCCTACAGCCCCCACTACCCACCGTTGCACCCCGCTGAGCCGCAGCAGCGTCTGAGCTTCGGTCACCAGACACTTCTGCATGGCAGCCTCCTCCAGGCGGCGAGGGATGTACTTGTTGAAGTTGCAGTAACTGCAGCGCTTCTCGCAGTAAGGCCACTGGGGGCAGTGAGTGCACGTGCGCGGTGAGAGCTGCCCTGGCCACTTCCAGGGTTCAGTCGCACACACCCCCAACCCCACCCCCACCCCTATCCCGAGGTCTTTCCACAGTAGCTAGGACATCTAAGCCACACAACTCCCCAAGGCAGGTCGCACTGGGGTTATTACATCCACTTCAATGTGAGAAAACTGAGGCTCACTCCTTTGTTACGCTGCCTCTTCCAACCAGCAGACGTCAGGAAGGAATTCAACCCAAGCTCTTTCTGGGATCATATAATTTTCATACAATTTTCCTATGAGCCATTTTCCCAGCTACCGAGTCAGAACACTGCTCTTAAGAAAATTTTGTCTTGCTAAGAGGAAAATTGTTATGAAATTTGAACCATTTGGTCAGAGTCACCGAGCCGGTGAGTAGCAGAGACTTCAGGTTTCTGGACCAAGTCATTTCCCTGCCAAAGCACAGGGTCCCATCCCAGACCTCGTACGGGGGCACGGAAACACGGCAGGCGGGTTCATAGAGTGACAAACCGCCACCTGGGTTTTGGACGGCCACGGTCACGGCCAGGGCTGCGGCCACACACCGTGGGCTCCGCCCCCGCCCCTACTCACGTGTACGTAAAGCGCCGCGCGCCGGCCCGCAGGCTCAGGACTCGGGGACCCTCCTGCGTTCTCCACGCGGCGGCGCCTCTGGGCCGCTCTGGCTGCTGCCGCCCAGCCGCGAGCCCGGGCTCCGGGGAGCGCCATGGCGCCCAGCGCAGCGCGGCGCACTGACCCGAGCAGGAGACGCGCGCAGGGATCACTGTGAGTGCGCAGCCGGCGGAAGGAAGAGGGGCTGCGTGACCGCGCGACAAGAGGGCCCGGGCCCGGGGCTGCGGCGCCACCTGCCGGGCGCCCGGGCGCTCACTGCGGCCTCCTGTCGGTTCTTTCCCCAGGCCGCGAGGCGGGCTGCTTGCCTTTTGGCACCTTGTGCCCGGGCGAGTTCCCGGACCCATCCAGGAGCTCTTAGTTTGTTCAGTCAATTCCTTGACATTTGATGTGCCTGGCTCAGAACTGGGCGCTGGGGACATCTAGGTGCATAAAGCCAGGTTGCATTCTGGCAGGAGAGAGGCAAGCCAACCGGCCAGGACAGGCAAGGCGTATTAATTCCGTGCCTGCTGGACACCAGAGCCGTCCGCCTCAGTGCTGTGAGGTCATCTGTTTTAAGAGTGTGGGAGTCAGTAGGGCAGAAGAGACACTTGGGCTGGATCTTTCTTTTAATTTCATTTACAAATATTTGGGAGAGGGGAGGTCTTGAACTCCTCGGCCTCAAGCGATCCTCCTGCCTCAGCATCTAGAGTAACTAAGGATTAAGGGCATGAGCCACCACCAGGGCTATGCACGGGATCTTGGAGGAGCAGAAAATCCCAGGGGCAATTGGCTTGGCCGGGAGAGTAGACTGTTTTGGGTCAGGCCAACCCAAGCATCTGGAGGTGTACGTGCTGGAAGGACAGTCAGATGGTGTGTGTAGGAGAGAGGGGGAAGGCGCAGGGGAAGGCCTGGGGAAGCAGGCACCTGAACAACTGTCCCACAAAGCAGAAACATCATGGGCTTCAGAGGCAGGCGGTGCAGGACAGTTCTCCCAGTGGCCTTGAACTGACCTGGTTCTCCCCTCCTTTCTTGCTTGTAGTTCTCAAGAATAACTGTAGACGCCTGTAATCCCAGCACTTTGGGAGGCCGAGGCGGGCAGATCACTTGAGATCAGAAGTTCAAGACCAGCCTAGCCAACATGCTGAAACCCCGTCTTTACCAAAAATACAAAAATTATCCAAGCGTGGTGGTGGGCACCTGTAATCCCAGCTACACGGGAGGCTGAGCAGGGAGAATCCCTCGAACCTGGGAGGCGGAGGTTGCAGTGAGCTGAGACAGTGCCACTGCACTCCAGCCTGGGTGATGGAGCAAGACTGTCTCAATAAATAAATAAATAAAACTGTAGAGTGTGCAGAGAATGCAACATCCTGAGGGAAGGAAGGACTGGCCAGCACAGCCATGCTCTGTTCCAGTCCCCCTAGAAAAAGCATGTCCTTCAACACTTCAGCCCAACATGTCACATGGCCCCAGGGTATAAAGCCCAGGGCAGAAGCCGGGCGCGGTGGCTTACTCCTGTAATCCCAGCACTTTGGGAGGCCGATGCGGGCGGATCATAAGGTCAGGAGATTGAGACCATCCTGGCTAACACGGTGAAACCCCGTTTTTACTAAAAATACAAAAAACTAGCCAGGTGTGGTGGTGCGTGCCAGTAGTCCCAGCTACCCGGGAGGCTGAGGCAGGAGAATTGCTTGAACCTGGGAGGCGGAAGTTGCAGTGAGCCCAGATGGCGACACTGCACTCCAGCCTGGGAGACAGAGTGAGACTCTGTATCAAACAAACAAACAAACAAACGAAAAACAGGGCGGGCTGGTTTCTGGGGTCCCTCAGCTTCAGTACAAGTCTGGCTGGCTGGGCGTGGTGGCCCATGCCTGTTATCACAACACTTTGGGAGGCCGAGGCGGGTGGATCACCTGAGGTCAGAAGTTCAAGACCAGCCTGGCCAACATGGCGAAACTGTTTCTACTAAAAAAAAAAAAAATAGCTGGACGTGGTAGTGCACGCCTGTAATCCCAGCTACCAGGGAGGCTGAGGCAGGAAAATTGCTTGAATCCCAGGGTTCACACCACTGCACTCCAGCCCGGGTGAAAGAGCGAGACTCCATCTCACAACAAACCAACAACAAAAAAAAAAGTCAGGCATGCACAGACAACGGTCCATCCCCCAGCTGCCTCAGCAGCTTTCCTGAGCCGTAGGGGTCCAGCTCCAAATGAATCCCAGCCTTCTGTTGTCCCTTAGTGCCTACCTATAGGTAATAAACACGTTGCATGTCACTTGTGTTTGCCTCGCTGGACTCAGCGTTATGTAACTTGTGGGTGTTTGCCTCACTGGACTCTGACAAGTTGGTAACTAGTGTGCAGTGAACCTGCCTAACAGACAGCTGGGTTCTGATCCAGCTGTGTGACCTTGAGCAAGATACGGAACCTCCCTGAGTTTCTGTTGGGTCATTGGTGAAGTGGGACCAATGGCTACTTGAAAGGATTGTTGGGAAGATTTGGAGAGAAAATAATGTGAAAGTACCTAGCACAGAGCCTGGTACTGAAAATACCTTAAACCTATGTTCATTTCTTAAAAAGTCAAGAGGAGGCTGCTGCTGCCTTGGGCAGGCACGCTGGGAGGTAAGGGGGCAGGCACGCTGCGAGGTAAGGGGGCAGGCGCGCTGCGAGGTAAGGGGGCAGGCGCGCTGGGAGGTAAGGGGGCAGGCGCGCTGCGAGGTAAGGGGGCAGGCGCGCTGGGAGGTAAGGGGGCAGGCGCGCTGCGAGGTAAGGGGGCAGGCGCGCTGCGAGGTAAGGGGGCAGGCGCGCTGGGAGGTAAGGGGGCAGGAGCGCTGCGAGGTAAGGGGGCAGGCGCGCTGCGAGGTAAGGGGGCAGGCGCGCTGGGAGGTAAGGGGGCAGGCGCGCTGGGAGGTAAGGGGGCAGGCGCGCTGGGAGGTAAGGGGGCAGGCAGGAGGCAAGTTTCCATTCCTGTGAACTGGGAATCTATGTGCCTTTTGGAACCCAGCTGTTTTTATTTCTTGGGTCAAGGTACAACCTGCTTTATCTGGCCCTGCCTACGAGGGATGCCCCAGGTTCACCAATCAAAACAAATAAAAACTAAAAATGAGGTTGGTTGGGGAGGAAGGGGGCTGGGAGATGGGAGATAATAGTTAAAGAGTATGGGGTTTCTTTCTTAGGTGATGACAATATTTAAAATTGACTGTGGTGATAGTTACACATATTTGTGAATATACTAAAGACCACTGAATTCTATACTTTAAATGGTAGATTGTCCCAGCACTTTGAGAGACTGAGGCAGGAGGATTGCTTGAGCCCATGAGTTCTAGACCAGCCTAGGCAACATAGCAAGATCCTGTGTCTATGTTTAAAAATTAGTTAAGACATGGTGGCACATTCCTACAGTCCCAGCTACTCAGGAGGCTGAGGTGGGAGGACTGCTTGAGCCCAGGAGTTCGAGGCTGCAGTGAGCTATGATCATGTCGCTACAGTGAGTCACTGCACTCCAGCACGGGTGACGGAATGAGATCCTGTCTCTAGAAAATGGGGGAGGTGGGAGTGAACTGGAGAGTATGTGAATTACATCTCAATCAAGCTGTTATACATATATAAAAAGAATACTTCTTGCTAGACTAATCTGGCAACAATGTGAAAAAGAATTAAATTAGAGTAGCTTAAAAATAAAAAATTGGGGCCAGGCGCAGTGGTTCATGCCTGTAATCCCAGCACTTTGGTAGGCTGAGGCAGGCGGATTGCTTGAGGTCAGGAGTTTGAGGACCAGCCTGGCCAACATGGTAAAACCTCGCCTCTACTAAAAATACAAAAGTTAGTTGGGTGTGGTGGTGGGTATCTGCAATCCCAGTTACTTGGGAGGGTGAGGAAGGAGAATCACTTGAATTAGGGAGGCAGAGGTTGCAGTGAGCTGAGATCGCATGACTACACTCCAGCCTGGGTGACAGGGCAAGACTCTGTCTCAAAAAACAAGAACAACAACAAAAATGGGTTGGTATCTCAAAGGGATACCAAGGGTGAGGGTTAAATTAAGTAGATAATCCACATCAAGGTGCTCTGCACTCTCAATGACAAGGAATAGGACGTCTGAAAGTGCTAGTTCCCCTCAGTGTCTTCCCTTCTCCATCCTGTAGTAGCTGCCAAGAGAGCCCACCAGCAAGAAGCCAAAGAAAACAGAAGCTCTTTATGCCAAATCACAAGGACAGACAGGGGAATGTGGGGGATGGACAGGAGGGAGGGCCTGGGCAGGCTGCCTGCCTTTTGGCACCTTGTGCCCAGGCGAGTTCCCGGACCCATCCAGGAGCTCTTAGTTCGTTCAGTCAATTCCTTGACATTTGATGTGCCTGGCTCAGAACTGGGTGCTGGGGACATCTAGGTGCATAAAGCCAGGTTGCATTCTGACAGGAGAGAGTCAAGCCAACCGGCCAGGACAGGCCTGCTGCTTTATTCACAGATTTAGATGTCGTTCCATCTGCTCTCGAAGTTTGAATTTCTGGATCTAGAGGAAAGAAAATGGAGTTAGGGTTACCAGCTGTCTTGGTTCACCCAAGAATAAGGGGTTTCTCAGGCTCTTAGTGCCAAAACAGGGAAAGTCCCCAGGCAAACCAGGATTAGGTGACCCGGTCACCCTACTGCCAGTCTCTCCACACCCATTGCTGAAGGAAACAGAGGTGGGGCCCTATGGGGCCCCAGAGCCCAGGCTGCCCTCCCCAGCCTCCTCCACCTTACACACCTTTCCTGAAATGGTGAGGGGGTAGTTTGTGACAAACACGATGTACTTCGGAATCTTGAAGTGAGAGATCTGCAGACCAGAGGGAGGGAGGTAAGGCGTGAGGCTGCGCAAGCTCACAGGGGTATGGGTAGGGGACCAGGGGCTGGCCTGGCCAGGAGTCAGCTTCGTCAAGGGCAGAGCAATCCCCACCCTGGGCTGGTTGGCAGAGGAGTGGGTGAGCAAAGAACAGAGCAGCATCAGCTAGGTTGAGCGGAGGCTCCCACCTTCCCTTTGCAGAAAGCTTTTATCTCCTCCACCGTGGTCTCCTCCCCGTCCTTCAGCCGAATGCAGGCACAAATCTCTTCCCCCATCCGATCGTCCTTCACTCCCACCACCTTCCAGGGCCAAAGAAAAATATCAGACATCACCGTGTTCATGTGTGTTTCTTGTTTCTGGGGGCTCACCTGAGCCAAGTGCCTCACCTGCACTTCCTGCACCTTCGGGTGTGTGTGAAAGAAGTCCTCGAGCTCTGCGGGGTAGATGTTCTCACCACCCCGGATGATCATATCCTTAGAGCGGCCCACGATCTTGCAGAAGCCCTGCTCATTCATTGTGGCGACATCTCTGTAAGGAAAGCCCAGGGGCAACCTGTCATCTCTGCCTTGTTCACTCACTTGCTTGCTCAGTCGTGAAACATTTATTGACCAGCTACTATGTGTCTTCCACTGCTCTAGACTCTGGGAGACATAGCAGGAACAAGACACAGTCTCTGGAATTAATAGTCCAGTAAGGGGAGGGGAGGTAGACAAAAACAAAACAATACCTATAACATATTCTGTCTCTCTCAACACATCTATACATAGCTTTTCACGACTGGCTTCTTTCCAGGTCTCAGCTCAAATGTCTCCAGACATCTTCTCTGTCCACTCAATCTAAGGGAAGCTCCCCTCCCCACCACAGCCACTTTCTCTCCTATAACCCTATTTCATTTTCTTAGTGTTTTTTGTTTGTTCATTTGCTTGTTTGTTTTTGAGATGGAGTCCTGCTCTGTCGCCCAGTCTTGAGTGCAGTGGCGCGATCTCGGTTCACTGCAACCTCCATCTCCTGGGTTACAGCGATTCTCCTGCCTCAGCCTCCGAGTAGCTGGGACTACAGGCACGTGCCGCCACCACGTCCGGCTAATTTTTGTATTTTTAGTAGAGGTGGGGTTTCACTGTGTTGGCCAGGCTGGTCTCAAACTTCTGACTTCAGGTGATCCACCCGCCTCGGCCTCCCAAACTGCTGAGATTACAGGTGTGAGTCACCGCGCCTGGCCTATTTTCTTGGTGTTATTTATCGATGTTGGGCATCATCTGTCTTCCTCCAAAAAGCAGGATCCTTCTCATCTTACTTTCCTCTGGACCTCTAGCGGCGAGAACGGTGCTAGCACATAAGGAATTCTAGTAAGAATTTGCTGAGCTAACAAATGAGTGACTGAATCTGGACTCAGATTTTGCAGCTGCTGGTGTAGGGTGATGACCCAGTTGCTTTCTTCTGTGCTATGTATGATCATCCCCACCGTATACATTTTGGAAATTAAGACTCCAGCATGTGAGGGGTCATCTTGATACCCACATCCTCACGGTGCCAGGTTAATGTTCCCGGCTCAGCCTCAAGACCTCCAGCCTCCCCTCAGCGGCCAGAGCCTCCACCCCGCCCTGCCTTCTCACCCTGTCCAATACCACTTGTCCTGATCCACTGCTTCCTCTGTCTTCTGAGGCTCACCCCAGTAGCCCAGCATGACGCAGTACCCTCGGATGCACAGCTCCCCGGGCGTGTTCAGCTTTGCCAGCGTCCCTGCCTCCATGTTCATGATCCGGGCCTGGGACAGGATGGCCTCAGGTTGGGGCTTCCTATCCTCTTGCTTCAGGATAGGTGGTCCTTGGAAATGGAGAGAGCTTTGCCTGCCCCCAACCCCCCAACCCAACTGCCTGGAATGAGGCCCCCTGGCTCTGCTTATCCCCATCCAGAGAAGGGAGACAAAGGCTAGAGTCGACCCAAAGCCAGTGAGAGACCTGAGCTGGGCATGAAAGAAGAGCTGAGTCCCAGGCTGGGAGGGCTGAGGAAACAGAGTGGGCAGGCAGCTGCTGCAAAGAAAGAGGTTTGTGGACTGCAGAGCCAGCTGAAGAATTATAAACCGTGCAGAGGAGAAGGGAGTCTCCTCTTACTTCCCATTAAGCAGCAAATAAGCCAAACAGGGTGGCATGGCAACACCATGTGAACAGGAGAGACAGAGTCTGAAAGCCTGGTAGAGAAAAGAGCCACGGCCACCGTGCCAAGGAAAGCTGAGCCTCTGTGTGCCTCAGTGTCTGTGTCCGTGAAATGGGGTGAGTGATGCCTGCCCCTGTTTCCCTTCCAGGTGGGCATCTTAGTGACAGTGGCAGTGCAGCTGTAGCACACACGGGAGGAGGCTCACATCCCTACTCAATCCCTGGGTACATGGTTGCTCTGGCGGGAGGGCAGGGCAGATTCACGCCAGGACAGCGGTCAGCCCCAGGGGAAGCAGCTGCTTGTGCACGGGGGCAGCGATCCCCCAGGGGCGGGAGCAGAAGGGTGCAGGGGAAATCAGGAGCCAGCTGGCACAGCCCCAGTGTTGGAGCAGGAAAGGAGGCATGGCTGGGCATTTGAGATTCAGGTGCACTCTGGGGCAACCTTTGAGGGGCAAAGGGACCGCCCCAAAGGGATAGGCTGCTTGGGAAATGAAGTGTTTACGCCAAGCAAGAAGAAGAACTCTGCTAAAGCGAGAGGCGAGCACCACTGGAGGAAAAGAAGCTGTGTAGGAAAACTCTCTGTGCTCTGGCTCCTCTTTGAGGCTACCCTGGCTGCCCTGAAACAGACAGTGGGCTTGGCAAAAACACACCTCAGACAGGAAGGGAGGCCGCGGAGAAGTTCAGCTGGCAGCCGCTCACAGCCACTGTTCCAGCTCTTCCCCTTTCATGCTTAGCCCACAGAGAACACTCCGGGCCAGGCCTAGCACACCCCTGCTGCTGGGGGGCTCTAGGCATCCTGAGTGAGCCATTTGACTCTCTCACTGAAAGCAACCGATGTCCCAGCTGGGTGCACCCCAGCTGGGTGACGGGAGGTGGGACTTTGGAGTCTTGGTCAGGGGCTCACCTCCGTGTGAGGCATAATTCTGCCCACGCTTTCTGCCTTCTGCTCCACAGTGTCCTCAGGGAAGTGCGCGAATGTCACGGGACTGTTCTCTGTGGTTCCATAAGCAACCTAGAGGGTCCAGAAAGGGTGTTTGAAGAGGGCTCAGCACGTGCAGAGGGATCAGGTGAGCTATCTGAGGAAATGGGAAGGAATTCATAAAAGAAAAGGGAAAGTGGAGGGCAGCCGAATGGTGGAAACAGAGACATCATTGGTAGGGGCCTGGGGTCAGGAGGCAGAGGTGCTGGGAGTGAGCAGACTAGATCTCTGCAGGGCCCCAGATCTGAAAGAAAATTGAGAGCAGGGACACCATTCTCTTCCAGCTGGAGCTCTCTCAGTGCCCCGTTTCCCTGGAGCAGCCACCTGTCTGTGCCTGTGGCTCCGGTATTACCAACACCCCACACTTCTCCCCCCATCCCCTGGCTGCCTTAACCCCACCTTCCTGATTTCAGGCCACATCCCCGGCTCCTCCCTTCCAAGCTGAAGGCCCCATAAACTTGATGAGAAAGCCAGCCTGCCTTGGCCCAGCTAGGAGTGGCACAGACACAACCCCACCCCCGCATTCTGCAAACCCTGAACAAGTGCCTGGCCTTGGGGCAGGCGTCCCCCAAGCTCTGGAGAGTTTCCCGTGAATTTATTTCCATCAAAATAAAAAAACAACCTAAGCAGTGATTTTAAAAACCAGTGGTACCCCCACCCCACCTCCCCCATTTCCAGTGGTTGGAAAGCCTGAGCAACAGAAAAACCAGAAGCCAGCCTTGGAGAAGCCTAAATACCATCAAGGAATGGTCTAGGCCAAGTATGACCCTCCTATCCTAGAGGCAAGGGGCAGAGAGGTTTGGGAAAAGGGCAGGCCCTGGAAACCAGGCCCCAACACGAGGGTACTGGGTAAGGGAAGAGAGGCTAGTTACCCCGTATCCTAGGTCCCCTTTAATCAACGGATACCAGATCTCATCCATCCTCCTCCCTGCACCAAGCTTCCCCCATATCAGCTGCTCTGGCTCTGGCACGGCTGGGGTTTGGTTCAATGTGGGTTCTGGTTTCTCCTTCCACCCCTCATCACAGACAATATCCTGTGCCAGGCAGCTTGGAGCTCACCCTGAGGCCAGAGCTGTGACCCTGCCTGCTCACCCTCCCCTTTCCACAGGAATCCGGACATCGTGGCTGGCAAGTGGGCACACAGAAATCTGGCGGGCTGGGGCGGGACTGCCCACAGAACTTAGGGTCTGGCAGCCAGAGCCGTCCAGGGCTGGTCCCTCGACCTGCCCCACCCCCTCCCGCACCCCTCCTCACAGTCCTGGGGCCACCGCCCGAATGTGGCATCTGCCAAGTACACCTCGGCGCCACTCAGCCGCCACCCTGAGACCCCTCAGGGGCGGGTCCTGACCACTAGGGTTGGGGATGAGGGATGGAGATATTTCGGGGCGATGAAGGAGGGGGGATGGTGCGACTGTGCTTGTGGCCTGTGGTTTCCAGGTGTGTTTGCCATTCCTGTGGGCCACTCTCCCCCACTTCCCACTTCTCTGCTTAGCCTTCAGCGGTGGAAAAAGGGGATGAGGGCGCCGGCGACAGAAACGCAAGCGGGGTTGGAAGAGAGGGGTGGGGGCGCGCCCGAGGGTGGGGAAGGAGCTCGGGTCTACCCAGGGCCAGCTTCGGCGCGTCGAGTCTGAAGTGGGAGACCGACGCCGGGGCGGCTCTCACGCTCGGCAGGCGCCGCACAAGCGCCCCTTTAAAGCGCAGGCAGCTGGCCCACCGCAGGGAGACGCATCCAGCTGTCCGGCCCCGCTTCCTCCCGCCTCGCATCCAGGGCACCCGGCCGAGCGTGTGTGGATGGCGCGGCGTGGAGGCTCAAACCTGAGCAAACAAATAAGTTGAGGGAACGCCTCCCTCTCTCCGATGTAAACTCGGGGCTCCAGACATAACTATTCCCCCTTCCCAGAAAAGCCCCGGGAAAGGCGGTAGGCAGAGGAGCACCATAGGAGAGCGGGGGGCTACAGCCGGGGCTCAGGGCTCGGGGCTCGGGGGCCACGGTCCCACCCCCTCATGCACGGTAGCCGGCTGGGGGAACGGCCCCGCCCCCTTCCCCGTGGAGGGCGGGGGCGCATCTCTGGGCGCGAGCGAGTTAAGCCCAGTGGCCTCGATGCTCCACGTAGGAGCTGGCTCGGCTGCCGGCTGCGGTCAGGGCCACCGTATAAAGAGGGCGGCAGACCCGAGCGCCTAGGACTCGCCGCTGCCCGCGCCCCGCCGCCGCTGCTGCCCCCAGCCCCGGCCCCAGGCGTCCCAGCCATGGTCCGCCCAATGCTCTTGCTCAGCCTCGGCCTCCTGGCTGGTCTGCTGCCGGCGCTGGCCGCCTGCCCCCAGAACTGCCACTGCCACAGCGACCTGCAGCACGTCATCTGCGACAAGGTGGGGCTGCAGAAGATCCCCAAGGTGTCAGAGAAGACCAAGCTGCTCAACCTACAGCGCAACAACTTCCCGGTGCTGGCTGCCAATTCGTTCCGGGCCATGCCGAACCTCGTGTCATTGCACCTGCAGCACTGCCAGATCCGCGAGGTGGCCGCCGGTGCCTTCCGCGGCCTCAAGCAACTTATCTACTTGTACCTGTCCCATAACGACATCCGCGTGCTGCGCGCAGGTGCCTTCGACGACCTGACCGAGCTGACCTACCTCTACCTGGACCACAACAAGGTCACTGAGCTGCCCCGGGGGTTGCTCTCCCCGCTGGTCAACCTCTTCATCTTGCAGCTCAACAACAACAAGATCCGTGAGCTGCGCGCAGGCGCCTTCCAGGGAGCCAAGGACCTGCGCTGGCTCTACCTGTCGGAAAACGCGTTGAGCTCCCTGCAGCCCGGGGCCCTGGACGACGTGGAGAACCTCGCCAAATTCCACGTGGACAGGAACCAGCTGTCCAGCTACCCCTCAGCTGCCCTGAGCAAGCTACGGGTGGTGGAGGAGCTGAAGCTGTCCCACAACCCCCTGAAAAGCATCCCGGACAATGCCTTCCAGTCCTTTGGCAGATACCTGGAGACCCTCTGGCTGGACAACACCAACCTGGAGAAGGTGAGCTCCTGGCTGTGGGCTCTGCCCTGGTTCCTTCTTCCCTTCCTGGAGGCCCCAGGAGCCAGGGCCACAGCTGGCACCATCCCCCGTCCCCAGGTTCCCTGTCCCTCTGGCTATCTCCAAGGTGAGCAGCTCTGCCACCTCCCTTCCTCGCCTTGTCACATCCCTACCCTAATCCCTGTCTGCTGCCAGTCTCGACCACTGCCCTCCTAGGATTCTTACATATAAAAGGAGTGGGACTGCCCTGGCCCCACAAAAGGCCCCCTAGGGCCATCTCCAGTGCTTCCAAACCCCCAACTGTGAGCAGCAGCCACCTCTTCCTGTTGGGCCTTCCACCCCTCCTCTGCTGTTTTTCCCGTCTCCAGTAAACCTACCACCCCATAAAGGAAGGTTTGTTTATTGAGGAGCCTTCCAGAGGAGCTGGGCAGATCAGGCCCACAAAGAGACCCTGTTCCTGGTGGGGGCTGTGCATGTGTGCTAAGGGGGAGTGGGGGACTGGGGAGTGAGGGGAAGCAAATGCCTGAGGAAGACATTCTCCATGCCCCATAGAGGCCCTGGTGGATGGCCCTGCCCAATCCACACAGACACAATTCACTGCATTCTCAAGTCCATTGCAGCTCAGTAGGCGTGGGACCAAGGGCTCCCCCAGGATGCAAGCATCGTGCCCATGGGCTCCGTGAAGGGGCAAAGGCAAGACCACTATTGTCAATCCTTGGCCCAAGACCCCAGGTGTCTCTCCACAGAGAAGACTGGCGTGACTCACTGTCTCCAGACTGCTAACTGCCCTTTGCCCTCCTCCGTCACTAGACCCATCTCCTGTCTGCATCCTCACTCATTCCTTTCTCCCCTGGGGTGCCCAGTGTCTGGCCAGGTGGGGCTACCTTGGATCAGAGCAGAATCCCTTCTCTGGGACTGGAAAAATCACCCTGGTACAGGGGCTTCAGCCAGGAGGTTTGGGTGGGGAACCAACAAGGTAGAGGAGAGTCTGGTTACTGGAGACCTTCATACCTCAATGTGGGCCACAGGAAAGGGTGCGGGTGTGGAGATGTGGGCAGAATCTCACTTGGGCAGCAGCCAACCTTTGTCTGGGTGGAAGGAGCCTGCTCAAGCCTGCCCTTCTTCAGCCCTGCCTCTCCCCAGCTGAAGTTGGAGTCCCCTGTGGCCCACCAGTGCCAGAGTGGTCTTTCAGTGGGCAGCAGAGCAGCGAATTAGGGGCTGGTTTGGGGCAGGGGAGGCCAGACAGGAATTGTGGCGCCTGGGCAAAGGTGTGGGCACCAATAGAACATTTCCTCTGGAGCCGTCCAACCTGGCCAAAGGCTCCACCAAGGTGGCTTCACAAATAGCGTCTGGCTGGCAGTGGGGGAGCAGTGAGGACAGAGCTGAGGGAAGTCCTGGGACCCTGGGACTGTGGGGAGCCTGGGCCCACTGCCCACTCCACCAAGCACAGACCAAGTTCACCGTGTACCAGTTTGGATTGCTGGGGCCAAACTCTGGCAGCCCCACAGTCCCAGTGTTTGTGCAGGGATTGTGGTGCCAGGGGAAGAGGAGCTGGGTGTGGTCCTGTGGCTACTGTTTACCCACTGCTGTGACCCAGGGCAAAGGACTGCGCTTTTTCCGTTTCCCCATTTGCATATTGAAAATAACACCACCTGGCTGGGCGTGGTGGCTCACGCCTGTAATCCCAGCACTTTGGGAGGCTGAGGCGGGTAGATCACGAGGTCAGGAGATCGAGACCATCCTGGCTAACATGGTGAAACTGCGTCTCTACTAAAAAAATACAAAAAAATTAGCCGGGCATGGTGGCGGGCACTTGTAGTCCCAGCTACTCAGGAGGCTGAGGCCGGAGAATGGCGTGAACCCGGGAGGCGGAGCTTGCAGTGAGCTGAGATCGTGCCACTGTGCTCCAGCCTGGGCAACACAGTGAGACTCCATCTCAAAAAAAAAAAAAGGAAAAAAAAAAAAAAAAGAAAATAACACCATCTGTCTCAAAGGGGGTTGTGTAGATTGGATTATCTGAGATCACTTGGTCATACTGCTTTGAAAACTGGGAAACTCCTCAAAGTGCTATGGCTCAGGTTCAGGGAAGGATCCTGCCCCTCTGGCACTCGGGTGCTTACTCATTCACTCATGACCACCTTGCTCCCACCTTGCTCCCACCTTGCTCCCCAGTTCTCAGATGGTGCCTTCCTGGGTGTAACCACGCTGAAACACGTCCATTTGGAGAACAACCGCTTGAACCAGCTACCCTCCAACTTCCCCTTCGACAGCCTGGAGACCCTCGCCCTTACCAATAACCCCTGGAAGTGTACCTGCCAGCTCCGGGGCCTTCGGCGGTAAGAACACTTCCATGTCACTCCCAGAGCCCACCCTCATGTGATAGAGGCACATTAGCCCTGCACTAAGACATGTTGGACATGCATCCTAGATCTGCTACCTAATAAGCATGGGACCCTGGGAGCCTCAGTTTCCCCATTTGTAAAATGAAGATGACAGCTTCAGACTATCCTGTGGCCAAGTCAATCCTGGCCCCATAGTTCACTGCCCTTCCCCCCAGCACTCCCACCTTCTTCCCCAGCCCCAGCAAGTTTCTGTCTCTCCAGGTGGCTGGAAGCCAAGGCCTCCCGCCCAGATGCCACCTGTGCCTCACCTGCCAAGTTCAAGGGCCAGCACATCCGTGACACGGACGCCTTCCGCAGCTGCAAGTTCCCCACCAAGAGGTCCAAGAAAGCTGGCCGCCATTAAACAGGTGGGGGCCAGGTAAACAGGTCCCCTATGTCCCTCTTTGGTGATTCCAGCAAGTGAGCTGGTATCTTCCAGGATACCCCCTGGCCCTGGAGGGTCAGGCAGACCCTCCATTTTTACAGAGAGAGGAGGGGACGACTGGGTCCCCTGTTGAAGGGAGGAAAAGGTCCTGCCCAGGACTTCCACCATTTTCTTCAAGCATCATCTGTGTTGTTGGAGTACTGACATCGATCTTTGCCTCTTTGCAGGTTCTGACCCAGCCAGTCCTGGTGACTGGCCTCTGCCTTCCACCGGAGAGACTACTGACCTTCTCACCTCCACCCATACCTTCTCCCCACAGCCTCTGCTGATGCACAGAGCTGCCTACACCTAGACACGTCCTGGCAGGGGGCCTCGGGCACTCCACTACCAACCCAGCTCCACCCAGCAGTGTCCTGGGGAGAAGGAAGGCTGAGCCTCTCCCCAGCCTTCATGCCTTCCCCACCCTCCAGCTCCTCTTGGAGAAGCTGTTGCTGAGACCCCCCCCCCAAGTCAATCAGAACCACAACAGGTTGGTCATCAGGATGGCCACCCTCCCAGGATCATCCTTCCTCTGTTCCTCTTTCCCTGCCACGTGGAAACAATCATCAGATCCTTGCCCCACCCCTTGCTTCCAGAAAGGGTTTTAAAGCCCATGCCCCAACTCTGCCAGCCCCCACCTGCCAGGACGTTCTAGCAGGACATCGGTGCTTTGCTGTCCATCTTCCCATGCTGCAATTTCTTCCTGAGATTTCTATAAATATAAATGTATGTATGTATTATATTTACTCCCCTGCCACCTATCTCCTTCACCCACCAGGTGCTGATGAGGTCAGACTATCTTTTCTCACATCTGCTTTCTGGAAGGAGGGCTGGCTGAGAGGGTCTCCTTTGAACATCTGGCCTGGACTCATCCCCATGTCTGTCCATCTGCTGTCATCCCAGGCCTGGCCTGCCCACAGCCCGGGCCGCAGTCACCACTCACCACCAGGTCCTTCATATTTATCTTGTTGATGATGGCTCGGATCAACTCTGGAGGTGCAGGGGACCCAGCAATGACACCTGAATCAGAGAGAGGGCTGACACAGCTCCCCAATTCTCCAGGCCCAGTGGAGTCCTTTCACCTACAGCTCATTCAGGGGAGGAACATTCCCTTTTCTCCTCTGACCCCGAGCCTTTCCTACACCTGGCAGCTGGCCCTGGGCTGGTGTCCAGGGACACTGGGGATCTCCCTCCCTCCCACCCACATTTTTACAGCGTCCTTCTTGCCCCCTATATAAAAGACTGGGAGCATAGCTAACTCACCCGGGCCATTCCTGTGGGGGAAGCAGCCCCCTCCCCAAGCCTGGCTGCCCTTGGCCCCACCCCACCTCCACACATGGTCGAGATGTCATAACTGGAGAAGTCTGGCTGGTTCAGAATGTCCACGAACATCGTGGGGGTACCATACAGGAAGGTGCCTCTGTATAGGAGGAGGTCTCGAAATTAGGCTTGGAAGTGGAAGGGAACTCCCTGTTCTCACCCACCCCGCCATGAAACTGCAGCAAAGGGAATAGGCAGGAGAAGCTCCTGAGGCAGGAACTGGTCCTCTCCTGGGGGTCCTCCACTGTCCCCATCCTCAGTCTCCTGGCTGGAGGGAGGAGGCAGCTTGGAAAGGTGTCAGGGCCCAGGAGTGAGGAAGAAGAGGGTTTTATCAGCCCACAAGTAGCCTGTCCACCAGTGCCCACCTCTCTCTGCTGATGGCCTCCAGTGCCTTCTTGCCATTGAAGATGGGAGAGGCCAGGATGAGGGTGGCACCGTACATCAGACACATCATTGTGCCTGCCACGGAACCCAGGCAATGGTACAGGGGGTTGGGCAGGATCATCCGCAACTGCTCTGGTGTCTGGTGATGGAGACAGGAGGCTGGGTCTGTCTTGGAGCCAGACGCCAGTTCCTCTCTAGCTGGCAAGGGGAGCCCAGCCAGCCCCCCACCCCTGCCTGAGCCACCCCTCCTGCAGCCTTGCCCTGGGCCTAGTGCCGCCTCACCTTCTCATGCAGTTTCAGGCGCTCTCCTAAAATGTTGGAGTTGTTGACAATGTTGTAGTGGGAGAGGGTGGCCCCCTTGGGGCTGCCTGTTGTCCCCTGACAAGGCAAACAGGGCATGGCTTGGCCTCCTTCTCATCTCCTTCCCACCCTGGGCCACTGCCTTGAAGAGCACGGGACCGGGAATCAGGAGACAGGGATTGTTGCCCCAGATCCATCTGTTCAGTATATTTGCAAAAGGTCTACCACGATACCAGGTGTCAGGGTCCAGCAATGCAGAAGATAAGGTCTCCGTTCTCATGCCACTTACATGGCCCAGAGAACTCTGCCACCCACAAGCTGGCTTGGGCAAATTCTCTCTTCTGCGTCTCTGATTCCTCATCAGCTAAATGAGGGGCAGCCTGTAGCAGTTCCAACCTGTGTTGGTTCAGTGAATCTGCCACTGCACCGGGAACAAGAGGGCTGGAGTGGAGAGGGCGGGGGGCTAGGGGAGGAAATGTGACAAGGACACCAGGTGCTGATATTTTCCAGGGCAGAGAGGACAGCTGAAGGCCAGTCTCAGTAAAGAAGGCATGCTCTCCTCTGCTGTCTCCCCATCCCCGCGGAAGTGTCACAGGGACAGGGGGCATGTGTCCATCTGGGCTTGGGGCCTGGAGACCTCTGCCCTACCGAGGTGAACTGGATGTTGATGGGGTCATGGCAGGACAGGAACTGCTGGTTGTATTGGAGCTGGTCCAGATGCTGCCGTGTGCTGCCAGCCGCCACCACTTCATCCAGGAGCAGGGTCCCCGGCAAAGGGGCATCCACCGAGATGACTGTGGTCAGATCTGGGAGCCTGGGGTTGGGGACGATGGTGAGAGACAGGGGCTGAGGGAGGGGGCAGGGTGGGTAGGAAGTGAAGGAATCAGGGATGCTGAATGATGCACCACCCACTAACCTGGGACACACCCACCTCTGACTCTTCAAGGCCCCTGGCTGGGCATTCTCCACTTCTGGACAGATCTGCTTCAGGACGTTGTAGTATTGCTGGGTCTTGAATTGCTTGGGGAACACAAGGGCCTTGCAGCCCACCTGTGGAAGGGGAGTCCCCCACCTCCAGTCAGCGGGGAGCCCCAGACTAGAGCTCTGGGGGAGTCCTCACTAATCAGCTGCTCTCATACAGATGCACCCGCTTCTGACACACACACCTCCAGCACACTCACAGGCACCACACTCCAAGACAAATGCACACATGTACCAGCCCCGAGACACACACACCACACCCTGAGACACATATGCATCACATATGAGGATGGACACACGCACACACACACACACACACACACACCTCTGCCCTGACACACACATGCCCCCGTCCCTGCACACTCACGCCAGGTTTGTGTCTGACCAACCACGCTCTCCTTGGAGTTGGGGCCACCTTCCAATCACACATGGCCTAAGGAAGGACACTCTGCGTATCACCCGCCTATGCATGCCCTAGCTCACACCGTCAGACTCTGACAAGCAGAGTCTGTGCAGCCCCCTGTGCCAGGCCCCAGCCGGGCCCCTCCCCGACAAATGAGCTGTACCTTCTTGAGGACATACTCCAGTTCCATAGCCTGGTAGGCTGGGTTCACAGACACCTGGTGGAAGCGGCGAGGGCATATCAGTATTCTGGGCAGACCCTGTCCCTCCTGCTGCCCCTCCGCCCCCAGGAGGCATAGAGGCAGCACTCTACAGCCCCCTAACTCCCAGAGACCTCCTTGGTGGGCCTCAGGAGAAAGCACTACCTGGTTTGAAACCAACAAGGCACTGGTTTGATCCTGGGGCTGAGGGCCTGAGGGGCTCCCCTTCAGTGATGTTCCCCCATGCACACCAAGCTGTGCCAAGCAAGCCCCTCCTCACCAGAATGATGCCCGCCTGGGCGGTGGCCAACTGCATGAGCACCCATGCATAGGAGTTAGGTCCCCACATGCCCAGCCGGTCACCTTTGCAGAGGCCAATGCTCAGGAGGCCAGAAGCAGCTTTGTCCACCTAGTGTAAAAGATGGGGCGCAAGGGGTGAAAGGGGGCAAGCAGGAAGGGGCCCAAGACTCCCACCCTCAGCCCTTAGCCCGGAGTTCTCATCACAGTCACTGGGGACAAAGGGACAGGCAGATTCCCAGCCTCAGTGGGTCTGCCCTGGGGCCTGCATAGTTAACAGGTGCCCCAGGAGCTGCTGATACAGGAGGCATTGGACCCCTTGTGCGTCAGTCCTGTCTCCTTCTCCTGCCATCCCTCGGGGTTCTCTGGCAGCCCTAGCACATTGCCCCATAGCCAGGTGCCCACGCTCCTGGTTCTGCCCAGCTAGGGCAGCTTGGGAGCTAGTACTTGCCCACTTTGAGGTTTCCAGGTCAGGACCCACCTCCTCCTTGAGTTGGGCAAAGGTCAACCTGACGTCTTCATGGAGGACGACCAAGGCCTCTCGTTCTGGGACCCTCTGTGCTGTGGTCTCCAGGCACTGGCCCACAGTCTTGCTGTTAAGATGCTTTTTGGTGCACCCCTGAACGTAGCTGAGGCCTCCGATGGGCGTGGAGACCATGCGATCCACCTCTCTGGAACTGTAGGGAGAGGAGCTATGGGTTTGACTGTCCCAGATCAGTCTCCCTGGAACCAAGGGCATGGCACACCCAGCCAAGCCAGGGGGTAGGCTGCTGACAATGTGTTAGAGACCACTAGGTTTCCTCCAGATCTTCTTGTAAGCCTAAAATCCCCCAGACCCTTTTCCCAACCTCAAGCCTAATCCCAAGGCAGCAGGACAGGGACAAGGTTACACCAAGCTGGAGCAAAGGGCCCTCCTTCGCCTTCCCGGGAAAGGTGAGATGCCATAGTGAAGCCTGGGAGAGCCTGCCTGTGCAGACAGACAGATCTTACAAAGCAGGACCATGCCTTCACCCCTAGCCCCTGCCTCCTGGAGAATAAACAGGTCACTGGGGTCCTTCCTGAGGAACCAGGGAAGCGTGCCTGGACCCTGGGCTTGAATCCAAGGTCTTAGGATTTTAGACTCCTTGGTGGGCCAGTTTTTCTCCTGAGGGCCTGAAAGCCAAAGACAGAATAGGAAAGGGATAAAGGAGAGGGCAGATGGAGGCCCTAAGAGAGGCAGCTGGGCGGCCCCTGTTATTCCACAGGCCTGTAGGTGTTCAGTGCCAGGTGCTAAAGATCCTGGGCACCTGCAGATGAAGAAGAAAGCCCCTATATGCCAAATGGCACCTGGGCTCCAGCTCCCACTCTCAGATGATGTCACAAGGCAGGCAGGCAGTTTCTGTCTCCAGGGAATTAAGAAGCTGGCTGAAAGCAGCCAGTTAAGGCAAAGGGGCCAGATGTCAGATAAGCAAGGGGCACCAAGAGCCTGAGAGTACTGAGCTGGGGATGTTGAGTGGAGGAAGCAGCCAGCTCGGGACCTGGCTCGGGTTCTAGTCTGGGGCCGGGACTCTTCACCTCTCACATGTGGCTACCTATCCATTTCAGTGCACAGGTGGAAACAGGTCTGGGTAGAGGCCTGGGCAGTCACGGGAGTAGTAACCTACTCCCCAGTTTTCTCCATCGGCCTTTCAGGAACTACCCATCTCCTCCCAGCCCTGCCAGGTAAGAGACAACCCCTAAGTAAGGGCACGTCAAGCTGGAGGAGAACCTGCACTTCCATTACTGCTCCACTTAACTTTCCCCACCTTTTATTAACTGTGGCACCTGAGCCAGGCATGGTGGCTCACACCTGTAAAGTCTTGCCAGCACTTTGGGAGGCTGCAGCAGGAGGATCGCTTGAGCCCAGGAGTTCGAGATCAGCCTGGGCAATATAGGGAAACCCTGTCTCTATGAAACATTTTAAACAATTAACCAGGTATGGTGGCGCATGCCTGTAGTCCCAGCTACTCCGGAGGTTGAAGGGGGAGGATCACTCGAGCCTGGGAGGCAGAGGTTGCAGTGAGTCATGGTTGCACCACTGCACTTGAGCCTGGGTGACAGAGAGAGGCCCTGTCTCAAACAACAAACCAATAAAACCCAGTGGGACCTGGCAAGTTATCTGTTTACTCTTTGGCTCGAAGGGGATGAAGAGACTGCCTTGCCTATTCCATAGCAGGGCCATGACGTTCAAGCGTGAACAGGCCTGCAAAGGTGCTTTGCGAATGGTGAAGTGCTCTGTAGTCGACAGGCATTTTACCATCCATTCATGGCATTTATCGACCATGCTTTCGACACACATTCAGTGAGCACCCGTATGTGCCAAGTACTATGCTAGGACTAGAGATAGAACAAGCCACAGTCCTTCTTCTAAGAAGCTCCCTGTCTCTGGGGAAATTAGACATATTAGCTCTTCGTGGGTGGGAACAGCCTAGAAAATCAGGAAATGGGAGCCATGAGGCAGACTGTGGGGGGAATCCCAGCCCATCTGAGGCCCATTGTCTGTCCCCTCAAAGCTGGGTTAAGGCAGCCTCTCTTAGACCTGGGCCCTGGGGCCACCCATACTATGGCCTCCTCAGCCCTACGGAGTACTTAGCCAACATTTATTCCTCCAACAAATATTTAGGAAACACCCACCACAGAGAGGGCCCAATGGTAAAAAATGAACAAAGCCAAATACAGTCCCTGTCCTTGCAGAGATAAGGGTCTGGTGGGAAAGACAGGAGTGCAGTCAACCTTGGTAATGATGAATGTATGTTTAGAAAGCTGAGATAAGGAAGGGGCCGTGGTCCTAGGAGCACCTGTAAGACGGAATCTGGGATCACCTGGGGCTCCAAGGAAAACTCCCTTAAGAAATTTATGCCTAAGCTGACAGCTGAAGGGTGAGGAAGTATTAATCATCAGAGAAGGGAGAGGAGGGCTTTTCCAGCAGAGGAGAGCTTGTCTCTGTGGCTGGGGCATGGAAAATGAAAGGGAGTGCTGTGAGAACGGGAGGGTGACTGGAACTTGAACCCAGCTGAAACCAAAGGGTCCAGAGCAGAGGACATTGGGCCTGGAAGAATGAGGAGAGCCCCCAAACTCCAGGTTCTGGGGTTGGGGTTTTCTCCACCCATGGGCCCAAGTGGACCCACATCATTTATGAAGTGAAGAGGGATGGATGGATGTTGGAACCAGGATCTGTGTTTATGGGCTGATCCCTCCCTTGTCCCTCCAGGGACATCAGAAGGAACCTTCTCAACCAGTGTCACTCCCTCCTCCAAGTGACAGTTTTTCAAGATGTGGTCCATGGAGAGCTGCTTCGGAATCATCTCAGGATCTCACAAAGAATGCAAATTCCTGGGCCCCTGCAATGCCTACTCATTGCAGAGCTTCTGGGGAGTGGACCGGGAGAATCTGAATTTTTAACAGAATCCCATGTGATTCTGATGTGGGACTGGGTGAGGATTCTATGAATCACACTTTGACAACCACTCTCTTGGCCATCTAAGCCACCCCAACCGCCTTTGACTCATCTATTCAAGCAAGCTTTAGTGAGCACCTACTATGTGCCAGCCCTGTGCCAGGTACTAGGGATACAGGGATGGATAAGACACTGCTCCCAGCCCTCTAAGTAGCCATAGTGTGGTAGGAAGAGAAATGTATGTAAACAAATCATTTCAACTCTCGGATTAAGGCTATTCGGTAAAGAAGAGAACCAAAAGAAGATAACCTACTCTCTCCTAGGGGTACATGGGACAGAAGTGGGGTTTCTTTCCCCACACTCCTCACATCTCAACTACCAACCTCAGCTCCTCCTGCTTCTCCCCCTTGTAATTTCATTCAATTCCATATGTCTATGAAATCTGTGGGCCCTCAGGGTCTACTGAGATCTGCCAAGGTCTAGAGTGGAAAACTGGTCCTCTTCCCATCCCACTAGTGATGAAGGAAGATGCTGCATGTCCCTCCAAACCTCCACACCCTCCTGGCCAGAGATGGCCACCAATGGTGTGGTCCTCAGCCTAGGGGGCCCTGGGAGCTTCTACCTGGATTCCACCAGGGACTGCCTAGCCCATATCCAATGATGGCCTGGAAGGTCTGGAAGCCAGAGCACATCTTCTCCTATGGGAACAGAATTTGCTCTGTTCACATTCCCACCTAGGTCTGAGTAAGAGCTCAGAAACTGTCACCTAGAGCAGGCCAGTGAGGACACGCAGTCCTAGGAATAGGGTGTGACACCTGGACTTCCCAGAGGTCTTTTTTTCATTTTTTTTTTTATTGTTTGTCTGTTTGTCTTTGAGAAAGGATCTCACTCTGTCAACTGGGCTAGAGTGCAGTGGTGCCACCATGGCTCACTGAAGCCTCGACCTCCCAAACTCAAGCAATCCTCCCATCTCAGCCTCCCAAGTAGCTGGGACTACAGGTGTGTGCCACCACACCCAGCTAATTTTTATTTTTATTTTTTGGTAGAGATGGAGTCTTACTATGTTGCCAGAACTGGTCTCGAACTCCTGGGCTCAAGTGATTCTCCCACCTTGGCATCCCAAAGTCCTGGGATTACAGGTGTGAGCCACCGCACCTGGCCACCAGGCACCTTTTTTATTTTATTTTATTTTTATCATTATTTTTTTAAGACAGAGTTTCGCTCTCGTTGTCAGGCTGGAGTGCAATGGCGTGATCTCGGCTCACCACAACCTCCGCCTCCTGGGTTCAAACGATTCTCCTGCCTCAGCCTCCCGAGTACCTGGGATTACAGGCATGCGCCACCACGCCCGGCTAATTTTGCATGTTTAGTAGAGACAGAGTTTCTCCATGTTGGTCAGGCTGGTCTCAAACTCCCGACCTCAGGTGATCCGCCCGCCTCGGCCTCCCAAAGTGCTAGGATTACAGGTGTGAGCCACCGCGCCCGGCCACCAGGTACCTTTTTATCAGAGGGTGCAGTGTTAAGGATGAGGCTGTTCCCATCTCTTGCAGGTCACCTGTCTGCTTGGCCAAAGCAGTGGATTTACCTCAGCTTCTCTCTTCAGGGTTTCTGTGCCAAGGCTCCAGGTCACTGGCCCTGAGTAGAAACTGAGGAGTACACTGCAGACAAGAGCCTTCTCCTCCATGAAGGACAGGAAGTCAGCCTGGGGGTTTGGATCTCCCAAGGGTGAGGCAACCCCTAAGTTAAATGCACGATGATTACTGGGGTTGGGGCGTGTCAGGCATTTCTAAAGGGGAAAAGTTTGAAGCTGTTCAGGACTCCGGACGGGGCACTCCACAGCTCATTCTGCAGCTGTAGTGCTGGGAAGACCACGTATATCTTCTATTGATTGTTCATGCCTTGTGAGGGACAGTTTCTGGGAGGAACAAATTTCAAGGCAGAAGGAGCAAAACTGGGTTGCCCTGTAAATGGGTGAGGCAGCCACTACCATCCCACTGGAGGGTCTGTCACGACAGGGGCTGATGGAAAGGCTGTTTTCTTAGACTCCTCACCTGGGAAGTGAGGACAAGCGTCACAGTGAAGGAGGAACACTGCTGATGCTCTGAAGCTCGGGGGACACGGGGAGAATGCACCAGGCCAGGGACTCGAGGACCCGAGGTCTCAATGCAGGTGTGCTGCTGGCTGGGTGGGTGATGGGTGTCTTATGTCACAGCTCCTCCGCCCACCCTTGGTTTTAGCTACAGCTGCTGGGGTGGCTCCTTGGGAGTCTGCTGCCTGCTCAGGAACTTCCTCAATGTGGGAGTCCCTGGTTCTGCAGGCCAGCCCAGCCTGGAAGAGGAGCTCATGCCTCCAGGGACAGCAGTCAACCCCATGGGGCTGGAGCTCCAAGTCTCCCCTTTTCTGGGAGGTATCTGTACCTTCTCAGAGGTCCAGGTGAATGAAGCTCTTGTTGCCTAGGGTGATGATGTTAATAACATCCCCTCATCAGCTTCCCCACTCCCTGTTTACTCTCTCTACTTCCTATCCCCACTTCCTAGGATCACTCTCCAAAATAAACTACCTGCACCCAAGTCCTTGTTCTCAGGAGAATTCAAATTAAGACACAGGATTTCTCCTTTCTAAAGCTCACCTTCCCCACCTATAAAGTCTGGGAACTGGCCAGGAATGATGAATCACACCTGTAATCCCAGCACTTTGGGAGGCCGAGGTGGGTGGATCACCTGAGGTCAGGAGTTTGAGACCAGCCAGGCCAACATGGTGAAACCCCATCTCTACTAAAAATACAAAAATAAAACAGGCGTGGTGGTGCACGCCTGTAGTCCCAGCTACCCGGGAGGCTGAGGCAGGAAAATCTCTTGAATCCGGGAGGCGGAGGTTGCAGTGAGCCAAGATGGTGCCACTGCACACTCCAGCCGGACGGCAGGTGTTCAGCCTCACAACAAGCATCCTCCTATTCTCACAATGACCAGGAGTCCCATTTAGTTTGGAACTTGGTTTTCCATTATTCACCATGGTTTTCAGACCAAACAGTGGTCTCCTGGAAATTCTAATTGGGAAATCGGCAGGCTGATTTATGGGGGAAAAAAAAAAATCCAGTTCAATTGGCATATGTGTTTTCTCCTGTGTCTTCACAGCGGCTCTGACAGGTGGTGTGACAGAAACCCCAATAGGTCCTTCTTCTCTCATGACACACCCTCAGACATCTAGCTGGCCACGTTGTGTGGAATAAAGACCAGGTTTCCAAGCTTCCCCGGCAGCCGATCTGGCCAGATGGTGAGGTCCTGGCCAGTGGGGTTTAAAGAGAGATAGTGTGTGCAACTTCAGAGAAGAAACTTTCAGAGGAAGGGACATCTTCTCTTTTTTTTCTTCCTCAGGCTGGAATGCTGCTTGTGACGGGAAAAGAATGGTAGCATTTTGGACCACATAGTGATTTGGGGCACCACAGAGCAACAAGAGAGGAGCCTGACGCCTGGACAGCAGGAGCTACCACACCAGTCACAGACTGGCTGTCTCCCAGATAAAGAAACTCCCATCTCCTTTCTTTTTTCTTTTTTTTGCTTTTGAAAATTAAATTATTTATTTTGGGATATTTGTAGATTGATATGCAGATGTAAGAAATGATATTCAGGCCAGGTACGGTGGCTCATGCCTGTAATCCCAGCACTTTGGAAGGCCAAGGCAGGGGAATTGCTCAAGCCCAGGAGTTTGAGACCAGCCTGGGTGACAGAGCAAGACCCTGTCTCTAAAAAAAAAAAAAAAAAAAAAAAAATTTGGGACGGTCTTACTCTGTCGCTCAGGCTTGAGTGCAGTGGTGTAGTCATGGCTCACTGACTGCAGCCTGGACCTCCCGGGCTCATGTGATTCTCCCACCTCAGCCTCCTGTGTAGCTGGGACTACAAGTGTATGACCCCATGGTTGGCTATTTTTTTGTATGTTTTGTAGAGATGGGGTTTTGCCATGTTGCCCAGGCTGGCAATTTTTTTTTTTTTAAATTAGCTAGGCATAGTAGCATGCACCTGTACTCCTAGCTACTTGGGACGCTGAGGCAGGAAGATCTCTTGAGCCTAGTAGTTCAAGGTTGATTACACCCACTGCACTCCAGCCTGGGCAACAGAGCAAGAGCCTGTCTCAGAAACAACAACAACAACAACAACAACAGCACACACACACACACACAAACCCAAAACAACAACCACAAAAAACTACAAAAAAGAAACAATACAGAAATAGCTCATGCATTCTTCAGCATCAATATTCAAATTTTCCCAATGTTAACATCTTGCAAAACTATAGTACAATATTATAGCCAGGATATTGATATTGATAATAGTCAAGACACACAACCATTCCCTTGCCCCCATCTTCTTTCAGTCACTCTCAGTTTGGGTTTCTTTGAGACACACTAATATAATCCTAGAAAAATGCAGGTGAGGCCGAGCGCGGTGGCTCACGCCTGTAACCCCAACATTTTGGGAGGCTGAGGTGGGTGGATCATCTGAGGTCAGGAGTTTGAGACCAGCCTGGCCAACATGGTGCAACCCCGTCTCTACTAAAAATACAAAAAATTAGCTGGGTGTGGTGGTGTGTGCCTGTAATCCCAGCTACTCAGGAAGCCAAGGCAGGAGAAGCTTGAATCCAAGAGGTAGAGGTTGCAGTGAGCCGAGATTGTGTCACTGCACTCCAGCCTGGCCCACAGAGTGAAACTCCGTCCCAAATTTTAAAAAAATGTTTAAAAAAATGCAGGTGAGTATCATGAACTCCCATTCCACAGGTAAAGAAGCTGAAGTACAAAGAGATCAAGTGGATCACGTGGCGGATGAACACCCGAGCCAGGAGCAGAGGACCCGGTGCAACTGCCTCAACGTTACAGCCATGCCTGCCCATGCCCCACCCTCAGATCTGGGAGAAAGGAGAGGGCATAGGTGATTCCTGTTCCTTCTGGTTTGGAATTTATCTCCTATCTGATCATCAGAGATAATATAACCTCAATTTTATTATTCCACAATTTCTACTAACTGATCCCAAGAAACTGGGACCAGGGTAGGGCAGGGTTGAGTTGGAAACAGGTGGCTCTTCCAAGGAATTAAAAGAGTTCTACAAACTCATATCAATGCAATGTGCTCATAAACATAGGACCCACCCATCATTTCGAAAGAGGAAGCATAAACAAACCAATTCTCCTTCCTTGCCCACACCACAAATGCCTGGGGCATAAAGGGTGGCCACTTCTTTTTCTTTCTTTCTTTCTTTTTTTTAACTTTATTTTAAGTTCTGGGATACACGTGTAGAACGTGCAGGTTTGTTACACAGGTAAACGTTTGCCATGGTGGTTTGCTGCACCTATCAACCTGTCACCTAGGTATTAAGCCCTGCATGCATTAGCTATTTACCCTGATGCTCTCCCTCCCCCGGCCCCACCCCTCGACCCGACACTTCTTTTTCTATTTTTTCGTTTTGTTTTGAGACTCACTATGTCACCCAGGCTGTAGTGCAGTGGCACAATTACTGCTCACTGAAGCCTCAAGCTCTCAGGCTTAAGAGATCTTCCCATCTTAGCCTCCCAAGTAGCTGGGACTACAGGTATGAGCCACGGTGCCCCAACTTCTATTCTTAAAGGGATTTGGTTTTAGGAATTTTTTTTTTCAATGCGACATGGGAAGCTTAAGGAGTTAGAGGAAAAACAGCAGTGCCAGTTGTTCTCAACTCAGAACTAAAGTAACTACTTGGAAAGGCATCAGCTACTTAGCATGGGTGTTGTAAAACCCAAGGCTCTCAGGGCCCAGGTGGGACTGAGACCAGATAGGAGCCTTGAAGAAACAAAGCACAGCCCCACCTTAAAGGTGCCAGCAGAGGGCTGGCTCCTGAGAACTCAGGCCCAGATCTGAGTAGAGAAGTCAGGAGCAAGAAATTTTATTTTTTAAGAATTCTCTTGACTTTCCAGTGTTGGCAACTAATGTGTTCACTGCTTTATCCCAAGTGTCTGAGTGCCAGGAACATAAGAGGTGCTCAGATGAATGACCAAATGAATGAATTAAAAATAATGCACATAATGACTCAATTAAAAAATAGTAGACATCTTGCTGAAGGTAATCTATGAATGGCTAACAAGCAGATGAAACGCAAATTAAAACCACAATGAGGTACCACATCATGCTCACTTGGAAGGCAAAAAAATAAAATAAAATCAAGGGCTGGGCGCGGTGGCTCACGCCTATAATCCCAGCACTTTGGGAGGCCAAGGCGAACAGATCACCAGAGGTCAGGAGTTCGAGGTCAGCCTGGCCAATATGATGAAACCTTGTCTCTACTAAAAATACAAAAATTAGCCGGGTGTGGTTATGGGTGCCTGTAATCCCAGCTACTTGGGAGGCTGAGGCAGGAGAATCGCTTGAACCTGAAAGGTGGAGTTTGCAATGAGCCAACATTGTGCCATTGCACTCCAGCCTGGGTGACAAGAGCAAAACTCTGTCTCAAAAAAATAAAAAATAAAAAAACAAAATAACAAGTGTTGGCAAGCATGTGAGGACACTGTAATCCTTATATATTGCTAGTGGGAATGTAAAATGATTCAGCTGCTTGGAAAACAGTGTGGTGGCTCTTCAAAAAGTTAAATATAGAATTAGCATATAACCCAGCAATTCCACTCCTAGTTATAATATATGCCCAAAAGAACTGAAAACATGTGTTCAAACAAAAACTTGGGCCAGGCACAGTGGCTCATGCCTGTAAGCCCAGTACTCTCTGAGCCAAGGTGGGAGGATCGCTTGAGCCCAGGAGTTTGAGACTAGTCTGGGCAACATAGTGAGATTCCATCTCTACAAAAAAAATTTAAAAGTTAGCTGGGCATGGTGGTGCACACCTGTAGTCCCAGCTACTCCGGAGGCCTAGCTACTCTGAAGGATCACTTGAGCCTGAGAGGTCGAGGCTACAGCGAGCTACCATTACACCACTACACAACAGGCCTGGGTGACAGAGTGAAACTCTGTCTCAAACAAAACAAACAAAAACCCGTACATGAATGTTTACAGCAGCACTATTCACAATACCCAAAAGGCGGAAACAAACCAAATGTCCAGCAACAGATGAACGGATAAACAAAATGTGGCATATCCATCCCTACAATGGAATCTATTATTTGGATTACAGAGGTCAAATGGGTATGGAACATCAGGTTTGGCAGAGTGGAGACTTAGATCCAAGCTCATGGATTTAAAACCTGAAGTTCATTGCCAGGAGTATGATGGCACAGGAAGGGAATGTGGAAGGCACATACAGGACCCTAAAGAGAGTCCTCACCGTGGATGAACTCATTAAGGACATTAAGCATTGGTAGTACTATGAGAAGCTATGCTGACAGTGACAGCAGGAGAGTTCTGAAACCTGCCAGCAAATCCACAAAATGGAAATGGCTCGCAGGATCACTTTTTTTTTTTTTTTTGAGACAAAGTATCACTCTATCTCCCAGGCTGGAGTGCAGTGGCATGATCTTGGCTCACTGCAGCCTCTGCCTCCTGGGTTCAAGCGACTCTCCCACCTCAGCCTCCTGAGTAGCTGGGATTACAAGTGTGTGCCACCACACCTGGCTAATTTTTGTATTTTTTGGTAGAGATGGGGTTTCACCATGTTGGCCAGGCTGGTCTCAAACTCTTGACCTCAAGTGATCCACCTGCCTCGGCCTCCCAATGTGCTGGGATTACAGGCGTGAGCTGGATCAACTTCTTGATGCCAAAGAATCGGGCAGATCTGCGGTGGGGCTGCTGTGGCCTGTGGATAGGACACCCAGTATGAAAACCCTTGGCCAGTTTGTGTCTCCACCTCTTGTCTTTCTACAACCACATTTTCTGTTACCCGTTTTTAGGATAAACTCAATCGTATATATGCAAGAAGGCCTCCACTTAGAAAAGGCCTCCACTTAGAGAAGCAATCCCATTAGTCAGCAACGGACCCTCTCGTTTATTAAGTGAAAGAAGAAACTGAAGGTAAAAGCTGTCTAGCAGTAGAGGGGGCTGAGGAGGGGGCAATGGGAACTTATCGTTTAATGGGTACAGAATTTCAGTTGGGAAAGATGAAAAAGTTCTGGAGGTGGGTGGTGCTGATGCTTGCACAAAAGTGTGAGTGTACTGTACTTAATACCACTAAACTGCAAACTTCAATAGTTAAGATGGTAAATTGTATGTTATGTGTATTTTACTACAATAAAGCAATTTTTAAAAAGGAAATGAAGTAGCCAGGAGTGGTGGCTCACGCCTGTAATCCGAGCACTTTGGGAGGCCGAGGCGGGTGGATCATGAGGTCAGGAGATGGAGACCATCCTGGCTAACACAGTGAAATCCCGTTTCTACTAAAAAAAAAAAAATACAAAAAAAATTAGCCGGGCGTGGTGGCGGGCGCCTGTAGTCCCAGTTACTTGGGAGGCTGAGGCAGGAGAATGGCAAGAACCCTGGAGGCAGAGCTTGCAGTGAGCCGAGATCGCGCCACTGCACTCCAGCCTGGGTGACAAAGCGAGACTCAGTCTCAAAGAAAAAAAAAAAAGGAAATGAAGTACTGATACATATTACAACATGGTGGAACCTTGAAAACATTTATAAGTGAAAGAAGCCAGTAACAAAAGACTATATATTGGGCCGGGCGTGGTGGCTCATGCCTGTAATCCTAGCACTTTGGGAGGCCGAGGGAGGCAGATTGCCTGAGCTCAGGAGTTCGAGAGCACCCTGGGCAACATGATGAAACCCTGTCTCTACCAAAAACACAAAAATTAGCTGGGCATTGTGGTGGGCGCCTGTAGTCCCGGCTACTCGGGAGGCTGAAGCAGGAGAATTGCTTGAACCCAGGAGGCAGAAGTTGCAGCAGGCCCAAATTGCACCACTGCACTCCAGCCTGGGTGACAGAGCGAGACTCCATCTCCAAAAAAAAAAAAAAAAAAAAAAAGACTACATATTGTATATGTCATACAACTTTGAAATAATTCCAAATACATACATAGTTTGTGAAAAAGTTGTTAGAATCAAAATGGAGTCACTTGTGTCAAACCCTGACAAAATGGAGCCAGGTAAGAACATGCAGGGAGGGTTCTGGTGCACGACTGCCTGATAACAAAAGATATCACAAGAGACTTTGCCAAAACCACAACCTTGCACAAAGGCCACCTCAATCTTACACACACACACAAAATGCTTCTGTGAGGACATTTGCCCAGCAACTGCCTGTCCAGCCCTGGACTGATGCCACCCTTGTTTTTGATCCTTGTAGCCGAGGATAATTGTTTCAAGACAACATATGTAACCCTCATTTTACCTTTAAAAATCCTTGTCTTCTTTACCTCTGTGAATATGCCCATAGTTTACTGTGGCATACATATTCCTCATTGCAATGCTCATTCCCAATTAAACTCGTTATACTTGAAGACTTTTTTTCTGTTTGTTATTTATGTTGACATTTGCTATGGGAGTGACATGTTTTGCTGTGACAAGAACATGGAGTGTACTCCCCTCCCCTTGTGAATGTGACACAATCACACCTTATCAGACCCCATTTGTGAACTACTGACCTCAGCTACTGGACTCTAAAATACAGTCATGCACTGCAAAATGACATTTTGGCTTATGATGGATGGCATATATGACAGTGGTCCCATAAGATTATATTGTAATATTGTATTTTGACTATACCTTTTCTACGTTTAGATATGTTCACATACACGACTACTTACCCTTGTGTTACAATTGCCTACAGTCTTTAGGACAGTAACATGCTGTACAGCTTTGCAGCCTGGGAGCACAGGCTCTAGGTGTGTAATAGGCTCTACCATCTAGATTTGTGTAAGTGCACTTGATGATGTTTGCACAATGACAAAATTGTCTGATGTATTTCTCAGAATGTGTTCCCGTTGTTAAGCAACGCCAGACTGTACATATAAACCCAAGAGTTTGACAGACACTTTGAGACCTTGGGCTGTGGCAGGGCTACACTCTGAGCGCTTCTCTGAAGAGTGAAAGCTCAGGCTGAGCTAAGGCCACACCCTATCAGCCTTTGAGCTAATTTCCAAAGCTTCACCAACTCCGGTATACCCTCTAGGATGGTCAAGCCATCTAGCTGAGAATCTCTCTATAAAGGTACGCCTCAAGCGTCAGTCAGACTACTTTCCACAGAGGCTTGCTTTCATCCTAAGTGAGCAATTAGACTTTAATAATTGGATTCTAACAGACTGGAACTCACTCACTATGTGGCTAAGGGACCTCCTCTATTGAGTGTATTCCCTATGAGATTTGTTTTCTTATTCTCCCCGCTTTAAGCACTGTGAACAAAAAAAGAAAAAAACTCTTTGTATGGCAATAAACTGTGTGACTCGTGAAATCATACTTTGATCATCTCATTATTATTATTATTATTATTATTTTGAGACAGAGTCTCACTCTGTGGCCCAGGCTGGAGTGCAGTGGCGCGATCTCGGCTCACTACAACCTCTGCCTCTGGGGCTCAAGAGATCCTCCTGTCCCAGCACCCCCCGAGTAGCTGGGACTCTAAGCGCGCACCACCACATCCGGTTAATTTTTGTATTTTTGGTAGAGACTGGGTTTCGCCATGTTGCCCAGGCTGTTCTTGAACTCCTGAGCTCAAGTGATCTACCTGTCTCAACCTCCCAAAGTGCTGGGATTACAAGAGTGAGCCACCACACCTGGCCATCCTTATTTTAATCATACAAGACACTATGATTCCATATATATGTCCAGAATAGGTAATTCTATAGAGACAGAAAACAGATTAAGTGGTTGCTTAGTGCTGGGAGGGATGGGAAGACAGAGAGATAATAGCTACAAGGACATAGGGTAACTCTGTGAGGTGATGAAAATGTTCTAAAATTGACTATAGTGATGGTTACACATATCTATGAATATACTATAAGCCATTGAATGTACACTTAAAAAATAATGTGCATAATCTACTCCTAGGTATATATCCAATAGAAATCAAACATGTGCTCACCAAAAGACAGGTACTAGGATATTTGTATCATTTCCAATATTTAAAATACCCAAATGTCCATCAACGATGGAACAGATAAATAAGTGGTGACTTATTTGTAATTATACAATAATGAGAGCAAAGGAACTATGATTATGCCCAGCAATCTGAATCTCATAAAACAATGTTCAATGAAAGAAGCCAGATTTTAAAAGGTATACTGTCTAATTCCATTTATACGTACAAAATAGGCAAAACTAATCTATGCTGTTAGAAGTCAGGAGAATGGTCAGTTGGTGAGGGTCAGTGACTTAAAGAGGTCACGAGGGAACTCCTGGTTTCTGGTCATGTTCTGTGTCTTGATTTGAGTGCTGGTTACATGGGTGTGTTCACTTTATCAAAAGTACATCAAGTGGGCCTTAAAATATGTGTACTTTTCTGGCTGGGTGTGGTGGCTTTGGGATGCCGAGGTGGGTGGGTCAGTTGAGGTCAGGAGTTCGAAATCAGCCTGACCAACATGGTGAAACCCCGTCTCTACTAAAAATACAAAAATTAACCAGGCATGGTGGCATGTGCCTGTAATCCCCGCTACTCAGGAGGCTGAGGCAGGAGAATCGCTTGAATCTGGGAGGCGGAGATTGCAGTGAGCCAAGATTGCCTCCAAAAAAAAGTGTACTTTTCTGAATCTGTCATATATTTCAACACGAAGTTTTAAAAAAAAAAACCTTCTAGGGCTTAAGCTACTGCCAATGTAGTCATAATTAATAAACTAAATTTAGCAACATTGCAGTACCTATTTAACATTCTGTCAGAAAAATAAAAGCAGCACATAGCACATCTGTGCAAAATATATACATTAATAAATAAAGCTGGGCAAGCCAAGAAAACACATCTGTTCATGATCTCTGTCTTAGAAATTACTCAAGAAAATAAACAGTCCCAATGTTGAATGTCATAGGCTTTTCCTTCCTGAGGCTGTGTTTTCTGGACAGTCATGGTACAATGTGACTGTTAGCCCTGCCAACCTGTTTCAGATGTGGATGCATGTTCTACAGGTTCAGGAGCACAGAGCAGCTGATGATGCATAGTTGTTCATTTAGAATATGGCTTACTGAATGCAAGGCTCCAGCAAGATCCAGAGGGCAGCTTTACAATTTTTTTTTTTTTTTTAAAGATAGGATGGGGTCTTGCTCTGAAGCCTAGGCTGGAGTGCAGTGGCATGATCACAGCTCACTGCAGACTTGACCTCCCAATTTCAAGTGATCCTCCTATCCCAGCCTCCTGAGTAGCTGGGAACACAGGAATGTACCAGCAGACCTAGATAATTAAAAAAAATTTTTTTTGTAGAGTCAGAGTGTCTCCCTATGTTGCCCAGGCTAGTCTTGACCTCCTGAGCTCAAGCATTCTTCCTGCCTTGGCCTCCCAAAGTGTTGGGATTACAGACGTGAGCCACCATGCCCAGCCTGTAGACACTTTTGATGACACGTCGGGAATGTAATGATTCTGCTTTATGAAAAGATAAGCACTCTCAGAGAGGAAGGCAGAGATGGGTAAATCTGCAGGGTATCTGAACAGAAGAGAAAAGGAACACTGAGTATCTCCTCTGTAATGCAATCATACAGGTTTTCGAGGCAAATTGTCCCAGCAATTTGTGGGAGATGAGGACTTTTATTCCTGTTTTAAAGATGGAGAACACTGAGATGAAAAAGTTAAGCAACTGGTCCAAGATGCTGCTAAAAAGGTTGATTGACAGCCTCATGTAAGTCAGGCACGGTAGCTCATGCCTATAATCCCAACACTTTGGGAGGGTGAGGCAGGAGGATTCCCTGAGTCCAGGAGTTCACGACCAGCCTGGGCAATGCAGTGAGATCCTGTCTCTATAAAAAATTTAAAAATTAGCCAGGGGTAGTGGCATGCACCTGTGGTCTCAACTATTCAGGAGGCTGAGGCAGGAGGATAACTTGAGCCCAGGACTTCAAGGTTGCAGTGAGCTATGATTATGCCACAGCACTCCAGCCTGGGCAACAGAGTGAGCCCCAATCTCTCAAAAAAAAGCCACATTATCTAATTGCAAACATTTTTCCACCAAAACAGACCAAGTGACACTTACACACAGAAGACAATAATGACCAAATCTGCCACAAAGTCACAGAAGATGGAAGACAAATGGCCAGTAAGCATAGGAAGAGGTGCCCATGTCACAGATCAAAGAAAAACAAACATGAGGCATTTGTTCCCCACGAGATAAGCAAAGATGAAAAATATGGATATTATGATGCCTGCAACTTATTTTCAGATGGTGGCAAAAGTGTGTGTGTGTGTGTGTGTGTGTGTGTGTGTTTGCAGAGAGAGAAACTCGGGGGCTGGGGAAGATATCTAGTCTCTGATCCTTTAGCAGCTGATATTTCTTTTTCTTTTTTTTTGGGCCGGAGTCTCACACTATCGCCAGGCTGGAGTGCAGTGGTGCGATCTCAGCTCATTGCAACTTCTACCTCCCTGGTTCAAATGATTCTCCTGCCTCACCCTCCGGAGTAGCTGGGACTACAGGCATGCACCACCGTGCCCAACTAATTTTTTTGTATTTTTAGTAGAGATAGGGTTTTGCCATGTTGGCCAGGTTAGTCTCAAACTCCTGACCTCAAGTGATCCGTCCATCTCAGCCTCCCAAAGTGCTGGGATTACAGGTGTGAGCCACTGCGCCCAGCCAGTGGCTGATATTTCAAACTCAATTCCTTTTGATCACTTATCTAGATTATTACACCACCGGGGCCAAAAAGCTGCTATTCCAAAAATTATATATAGATATAAAATAATTCAACCTGTCTGATACTGTAATAAATGAAACATTACAAGAAGAGAAAATAGAACAAATCAGTAATCCTCTACCCAAACCAAAGATTGCTGTCTTTCTAGAGGAGTCTATATTTAATTTCAAATTTCCATGATAGGCACTTTTGTCAAAGAATATTCATAAGCAGTACTAGAAAGCAGTTGCAGCTAAATAAGAGTTAATCCTTGTAACCCAAGTAGGTTCATGTTCTTGCTGGCTTTATGCAATCAGTGGGAGAGGTTATTTTAAGATAAGCTAGAGCACTAGATGATCACGCTGCATTCAATAGGGCCTAAAAAAAACTCCCCAAGTAGAGAAGATTAATAAAATGGCTATGAATTTCAACATAAAAACAGGAGTTATTGATTATATGGAATGTTGGCAAGGATGTGGAGAAATATACCAGAGTGTAAACTGGTATAAGATTTTTAGAAGATGGTAAGTATAGAGGCAGGAAGCCTAAGAAACTTACACTTTAGCATGCCCCCCAGCCTGGCCCCTCCCTACCATCCTAGTGCTGGGCGTGCCTGGAAATTGGAGAGGGAAAGCTGGCTGCAAATCAAGAAGCATTTATCTGTCAGCATTTCTGACAAATTGCTTAAAGAGAGCTCAAAAGAGAATCTTCAAGCTCGCAGCAATTGGTAGCAAATTCTTTTCTTATTCTAAATCGATCTTCAGTTTGCACAAAATCTGATACTTAAGAGCTTTTTATTCTTGTTTAGAAAGAGGGCATCCCAAACTGTGTTAGCTTCAAAACCTGTAAATCTGGATTCCTTCTGATTTGGTAATATCTACTAACATTCTGAATATGCATACCTTTTGAAACAGGTCTGCCATGGAGAATCTAAGGGGAGAAGCTGTTTGGCCTCCTGGCAATTCTACTTTTAGGGATCTATTCTAAAAAACAACAACAACAAACAAACAAACAAACAAAAACCTGGCCGGGCGCGGTGGCTCACGCCTGTAATCCCAGCACTTTGGGAGGCTGAGGTGGACGGATCACAAGGTCAGGAGATCGAGACCATCCTGGCCAACATGGTAAAACCCTGTCTGTACTAAAAATACAAAAATTAGCCGGGCATGGTGGCGTGCACCCATAGTCCCAGCTATTCGGGAGGCTGAGGCACGAGAATCAGTTGAACCCAGGAGGCGGAGGTTGTAGTGAGCCGAGATTGCGCCACTGCACTCCAGTCTGGGAACAGAGTGAGACTCCGTCTCAGAAAAAAAAAAAAGAAATAAAACCTAAAAAATGCCTAAAGGTATGATTAATTGCCACTTAGCAAAGAACTGGGAAAAAAAAATTATTCCTATGAGTAAGAGATTAGATAACTAAATTAGAGAGCATATACAATGCAATACTGCCATTAAAAAATGAAGACATGGTCAGGCAAAATGGCTCACGACCTATAATCCCAACGCTTTGGGATGCCAAGGCAGGAAAATCGCTTGAATTCAGGAGCTCAGGCCAGCCTGAGCAACATATTGAGACCCCGTCTCTACAAAAAAATTAAAAATTAGCCAGGTGTGGTGGTGTGCACCTGTGGTCCCAGCTACTTGGGAGGCTAAGGCAGGATGTTTGATTGAGCCTAGTAGGTCAAGGCTGCAGTGAGCCATGAATGTGTCACTGCATGCCAGCCTGGGTGACCGAGAAAGACCCTGTCTCTAAAACAAAACTAAACTAAAAGGCCAGGCGTAGTGGCTCATGGCTGTAATCCCAGCACTTTTGGAGGCCAAGGCGGGAGGATCACTTGATTCCAGGAGTTTGAGATCAGCCTGGGCAATATAGCAGACCCAGTCTCTACAAAAAAAAAAAAAAAAAAATTGTTTTGTTTTGTTTTTTTGGGATGGAGTTTCACTCTTGTCACCCAGGCTGGAGTGCAGTGGTACAATCTCAGCTCACTGCAACCTCTGCCTCCAGGGTTCAAGCGATTCTCCTGCCTTAGCCTCCCAAATAGCTGGGACTACAGGCATGCACCACCACGCCTGGCTAATTTTTGTAATTTTAGTAGAAATGGGGTTTCACCATGTTGGCCAGGCTGGTCTTGAACTTCTGACCTCAGGTGATCCACCCATCTGGGCCTCCCAAAGTGCTGGGATTACAGGTGTGAGCCACCGTGCCCAGCCAAAAAAAATGTTTTTAATTAGCCAGGCATGCTGGTGTGTGTCTGTGTCCCAGCTACTTGGGAGGCTAAGGTGGGACAATTGCTTGAGCCCACAAGGGCGAGGCTGCTGTAAGCCATGATTGTGCCATGCACTCCAGCCTGGGAGACAGAGTAAGGTCCTGTCTCAAAATAAATAAATAAAAATAAATAAATAAATAAATAAATAAAGACACAACATTTAATGACATGGAAAATGTCTAATACACTGTAGGTGATAAAGCAGATTTCAGAAAAATGTGAGCTGATGTTTATTGCTGTGTCCTCATGCCAGCTCTCTTCAAAGACTCTGCATGCCTGATCTGTGATCTTCATAACCACTCCCTGACCAAGATACATACCCATTTTACAGATGAAGGAATGAGGCTCCAAGAAATGCAGCACCTCACCCAAAGCCACAGAGCATGTAAACAGCCAACCTGGGATTCAAACCCAGGACTGCCTGGCTTCCAAGACCCCAATACAATACAACATGAATCTTTTCAGAGCCCTGTGACTTAAAAAGGACCGCCAGGCCAGGCATGGTGGCTCACGCCTGTAATCTCACCACTTTGGGAAGCCAAGGTGGGCGGATCCCTTGAGCCCAGGAGTTCGAGACCAGCCTGGGCAACATGGTGAAACCCCATCCCTACAAAAAACACCAAAAAAATTTAGCTGGGTGTGGTCGTGCATACCTGTGGTCCCAGCTACTGGGGAGGCTGAGGTGGGAGGATCACCTGAGCCTGGGGAGATCAAGGCTGCAGTGAGCCGACATCGTGCCACTGCACAGCCTGGGTGTCTCATATGATTCTCACATTACTCTCAGATCATTTCTTTTTAAGGATGAAGAAGCAAGTAGTTCATTTTCTTAAGGTTCTGACCCTGATGGGTGGCAAATCTGGACCCTTTTCCAAGAGTACTACTCTTTACTCTGCAGCCCATCCACATCCTGCCCTGGGGGCCCTGCAGGCTGACGGGGAGCCGTCTGAGTGCCTCCAGTCCATGGGGAGCCCCTCCCGGGATGGCCCCTTCAGCAGCTGCCCCCACTAGGCCTCCCACTTGGCAGTCCTTGAGCACACACTGACTTTTCCATCTCCTTGTGGTATCTGATTCTTTTTCTTTGCTGCCTCTTCTCTCATTGTTCTGCTCTTGTGAGCCAGCTCACCTCTCCTGGCACCAACCCATAGTGGCTCTGCACCCTACCTGTGCAGCCACCTGGTCGGACCCACCTGGAAAGCCTTCTGCCCCAGCATTAGCCCTGCCCAGCCCAGCCTTGCCTACCAGCAGGAACTGGACAGAAAACACGAGCCAGCTGGTTCAGGGCAATGCAGGTGAAATAGCTGTGGCATTCTGTGACACTCAGGGCTGGCAACTAAAGTCGGGGGCTAGAGGTCACTGGGCACAAAGGATTGCACAGTTCTGACATGGTCATGTAGAGACCACAGGCAGAGCTGGGCTCTGAGGGAGCCACAGTTGGCAGGGAGGATTGCAAATGCCTGGGCAAACAGGTCTGCCATGGAGAACATAAGAGGAGAAGCTGTTTGTTTTGCCTCCTGTTACATATTACCTGCTGGGTAGAGGTTCTTGGAACCTGGGCCAGAGGTTTACAGGTGGACCCTGCCCCTGTCGGGGGGTGGAAATGCCTCAGGCCCTGGGCAAGGCCTCTTCAGAAGCCACTGGGGAGGGAGGATGAAGGACTCAGAACCTTGATTTGTGAGGGGCCCAGAGACTGCAGGAACAGTCCCCATGCTGAGGCCACCCCCTGCTTCCTGGGGAGGGTGCCATACTAGCTAGCCACCAGTGAGGCTTTCAAAATTAAATTGAAAGCAATATCCTGTTTTGTTCCAAGCCATGGACTGGCCTCTGCTCCTTACCCCCCATGGGAGGCTGGTCCCTAGGTCCACAGAGAAACATACATCATCAACAAGGCTAAAAGACAAGCAACAGCCTGGATTTATAAATTTCATTTTATATATGAGACAAAGGATTAATATTTAGCCTGTGTTTTAAAAAACACAAATCAATAAGGACAAATAATCTCACACAATAAATGGGCAATGAATAGGAACAGAACAGACACAGGAGACATTACCAATAAACATTTTAAAAGATGCCCAATCTCACTGGTAATCAGGGAAGTATAAATTAAAACCACAACGAGATACTCTTTCACCCCCACCAGAGCGGCAAACTCTTTTTTTTAGCAATAGTGTCTATGTTGCCCAGGCTGGCCTCAAACTCCTGGCCTCAAGTGATCCTTCCACCTCAGCTTCCAAAGTAGTTAGGACTACAGGGTCGTGCCACTGAGCCCAGCAGCAAACACTTTAAAGTCCAGCAATGCTAAATATTTGCAAGGATGTGGGAAAATAGCAAAACTTGGTTGCTGCTGGTGGTCACAGTAGCACAGTCTCGCCAGGGCAATACCTAAAAAAGAACTCTTCAGCACAGCAATTTCACTGCTAGAGATATAGTAATAGCATGGACTGCTATACAGCAGGTAAAACCAATAACTTAGATCTACAGGTCTCAACTTATGTCCATCTGAGATGAATAGATCTGTAACACACATACTACTGTATGAAAGAAGAAAAGAACTATGATACTATTTTTGCTGAAATTATAAAAGCATAATAATGCTGGACACGGTGGCTCATGCCTGTGATCCCAGCACTTTGGGAGGTCAAAGTGGGAAGACTGCTTGTGCCCAGGAGTTTGAGACCAGCCTGGGCAA
The DNA here is from genome assembly GCF_000001405.40 of Homo sapiens. Taxonomy (NCBI): domain Eukaryota; kingdom Metazoa; phylum Chordata; class Mammalia; order Primates; family Hominidae; genus Homo; species Homo sapiens. The sequence goes on along the minus strand of NC_000017.11, from coordinate 50,439,277 downwards.
CATAGCAAGACCATCTCTAAAAAAAAAAAAAAAAAAAAAAAAAAAGCTGTGTGGTAGCATGCACCTGTCGTTCCAGCTGCTCGGGAGGTTGAACTGGGAGGATCACTTGAGCCCAGGAGGTTGAGGCTGCAGTGAGCCATGATGGCGTCATTGCACTCCAGCAGCCTGGGAGACAGCAAGACCCTGTCTCTTGAAAAAAAAAAGGCATAAAATATGTATTGTTTATTGATACACAAAAAAATCCAAGACTAAGAGCACTTATTACTCACATAACATGATTCTAAGTACTTTCCATGTTTAAACAAATATAAACTTTAAAAACAGATCAAATGATACAAGATATAGTCAGCCCTCTGTATCCATGGTTTCTGCATCTGTGGATTCAATCAACCTTAGATTGAAAAATACTGGGGCCAGGTATGGTAGCTCAGGCCTGTAATCTTAGCACTTTGGGAGTCGGAGACAGGTGGATCACCTGAGATCAGGAGTTTGAGACCAGCCCGGCCAATATGGTGAAACCCCATGTCTACTAAAAATCCAAAAATTAGCCAGGTGTGGTGGCAGACGCCTATAATCCCAGCTACTCGGGAGGCTGAGGCAGGAGCATCTCTTGAACCTGGGAGGTGGAGGTTGCAGTGAGCCTAGACAGCGCTGTCGTACTCCAGCCTGGGTGACAGAGTGAGACTCCATCTCCCAAAAAAAAAGAAAAAGAAAAATATTTGGAAAAAAAAATTCCACAAAGTTCTGAAAAGCAAACTGCCACTGAGCCCAGCAGCAGACACTTTAAAGTCCAGCAATGCTAAATATTTGCAAGGATGTGGGGAAACAGCAAAACTTGGTTGCTGCTGGTGGTCACGGTAGCACAGTCTCACCAGAGCAATACGTAAAAAAGCTGAAAATGTCAACTCTTCAGCACAGCAATTTCACTGCTAGAGATACAGTCATAGGATGGACTGCTATACAGCAGGTAAAACTAATATCTTAGATCTTGAGCTTGCTGCTTACTAAGTACTATGTTGAATCCACACAAATGAAGTGATGTGTAGATACTGTATTAGGTATTATAAGTAGTCTAGAGATTATCTAAAGTACATAGGAGGATGCACATAGGTTATATGGCACCATTTTATATCATAGGCTTGAGCATCCAAGGATTTTGGTATACAAGGGAGGTCCTGGAACCAACCCCCCATAGATACTGGGGGACAACTGTACTATTTATGGATTCAGAGACATGCTAAAAGTATAAAATGTGCTTCAGCACAACATATATTAAATTTATGATGGTGGCTCTCTGGTGGGGGTCAGCTGCAGGAGGGACAGAAAAGGGACTTCAATTTGATCTGTAGTGTTTTCTTTCATTTATAATTTTTCTGAAAACAAGAAAGGTTAAATTTTTATTCCCTGTCAGACACACAGGTGTTTGTTATTTTTCCATGTAATTGTGTTTCAAATTTTTTTTCACATGAAAGTTTTAAGAGGGAAAATACAAGGAGCTTGATGATCTCCTACTAAGGGTGTCTACAATATCCAAAAGATGAAGCAACTTCCTAGCATGGGCAGGAGACCCACAGCGCCTGTTATGTAAAGGGTCAAGGTCAAGACCAACTTTTTTTTTTTTTGAGACAGGGTCTCACTCTGTTGCCCAGGCTGGAGTGCAATGGCGTGATCACGGCCCACTGCAGCCTGAAACTTCTAGGCTCAAGTGATCCTCCTGTCTCAACCTCCTAGTAGCTGGGACCACAGGCAGGAGCCACACGCTCAGCTGGGATTTATTTATTTATTTATTTAGTAGAGACAGGGTCTTGCTGTGTTGCCCAGGCTGGTCTCAAACTCCTGGCCTCAAGCAACCCTCCCACTCCAGCCTCCTAAAGTGTAGGGATTACAGGCGTAAGCCATTGTGCCTAGCCAAGACCAACATTTATGCAATAAGCAAGAGCCCTCACTTGTCCATGAAATTCACATGCTGTACTCATAGCTAAGTCCTCAGTCCTCATTCAACATATTCACTCTTGTGTTATAGCTCATTGGTCCAATATATCTCCTAGCTCATGGCAGTCGAAAGGCAGGCTCTCCCTTCCCGTCTCCCTTGCACACCACTGAAAGTTTTGTGATCTCATTCTTCTAGTCCATGTGCCACTCGCCAAGCCACATGCCATGGGGCTGCATCCTCTTGGGGGGCTCCTTTGCCTAATTTGCACAGACACTAGGCTAGTGGTTGACCTTCCAGTGGTCGTTGATATGGGAGTAGAGATGGCCAATGCTTGTGCAGGAAGGACAATGCTGAACTGCTGAGTCTGAACCTGTAATAGCTGTTTTATCTTGAAATAAAATTATAATTTTTATGTACCTGAATAAATAGGTGATATATTTATACTAGTTACAATGTGCAACTATTGTTCAAGACAAAGGTGCTGTTGTGACAAATAAAATCCCAAAAAGATCACTACTAAATGGTCATTTTCTTAATTGATGGCCATTTTAATGCATGAGGGCCATTAAAAGCATAAAAAGAGCCTCAGGAAAAAAAAAAAAAAAAGAACTGCCTGGGCATGGTGGCTCACACCTGTAATCCCAGCACTTTGGGAGGCCGAGGTAGGTGGATCACCTGAGGTCAGGAGTTCAAGATCAGCCTGACCAACATGGCGAAACCCTGTCTCTACTAAAAATACAAAAAATAGCTGAGTGTGGTGGCACATGCCTGTAATCCCAGCTACTCGGGAGGCTGAGGCAGGAAAACTTACTTGAAATCGGAAGGCAGAGGTTGCAGTGATCCGAGATTGCACCATTGCACTCCAGCCTGGGCAACAAGAGTGAAACTCTGTCGCAGGAAAATAATAACAACAACAGGCCGGGCGTGGTGGCTCACGCCTGTAATCCCAGCACTTTGGGAGGCCAAGGCAGGTGGATCACAAGGTCAGGAGATCGAGACCAACTTAGCTAACACGGTGAAACCCCGTCTCTACTAAAAATACAAAAAATTAGCCAGGCGTGGTGGCAGGCGCCTGTAGTCCCAGCTACTCGGGAGGCTGAGGCAGGAGAATGGCGTGAACCCGGTAGGCGGAGGTTGCAGTGAGCCGAGATCGCGCCACTGCACTCCAGCCTGGGCAACAGAGCGAGACTCCGTCTCGAAAAATAAAAAATAAAAAAAATAAAAAATAACAACAACAACAACAACAAAAATGAACTCTGACTAAGTCTCACATTCTATATAAGCAAAAATAAAATGAATCAGACTTAAGTGTAAAAAAAAATTATAAAATCTTCTGGATCTAGAGCTAGGCAAAAAGTTATTAGGCTTGACACCAAAAGCAAGATCCATTAAAAACAAACAAACAACAAAAAAAAACACTCACTGAGCGCTGGGTGCAGTGGCATGCACCTGTAATCCTAGCTACTTGGGAGGCTGAGGCAGGAGAATTGCTTGAACCGAGGAGTTGGAGACCAGCCTGGGCAACATAATGAGATCCCATCTAAAAAAAAAAACTCACTAAACTAGACTTTATAAACTAGACTTAATAAATTAGACTTTATAAAAAAATTTTTTTAAATTGCTATATGGGCTGGGCATAGTGGCTCACGTCTGTAAAGTAATCTTAGCACTTTGGGAGGCTGAGGTGGGAAAATCACTTGAGCACAGGAGTTGGAGACCAGCCTAGGCAACACAGTGCCATCCATCTCTATGAAAAAATTTTTTAAATTAGCTGGGCTTTGTGGCGTGTACCCATAGTCCTACGTACTTGGAAGGCTGAGGCAGGAGGATCACTTGAGCCCAGGAGGTTGAGGCTGCACTGAGCCGTGGTTGCACCACTGTGCTCCAGCCAGGGTGACAGAGTGAGGCCTTTCTCAAAAAATTAAAAAAAAAAAAGGATTAAAAAATTTTGCTCTGCAAAAGACCCTTTTAAGAGGATGAAAAAAAGCTACAAAGTGGGGAAAAACATTTGTAAGCCACATGTCTGACAAAGGAATAATACTAGAATACATACAGAACTCTGAAACATTGAGCTGTTTAATACGTAAAACTCACTTTTGTGAGTTTTTGTCAAGGTTAATGAGCTGCTCCTCCCAAAAGCACTCCTTGGCTTCTGAGCAAAAAAAGCCAGACACAGGCCAGGCACGGTGGCTCACGCCTGTAATCCCAGCACTTTGGGAGGCCGAGACGGGCAAATCACCTGAGGTCGGGAGTTTGAGACCAGCTTGACCAACATGGAGAAATCCCATCTCTACTAAAAATACAAAATAAGTCAGGCGTGGTGGCACATGCGGGTAATCCCAGCTACTTGGGAGGCTGAGGCAGGAGAATCGCATGAACCTGGGAGGCGGAGGTTGTGATGAGCCAAGATTGCGCCATTGCACTCCAGCCTGGGCAACAACAGTGAAACTCTGTCTCAAAATAAAAAAAAGAAAAAAAAAAGATCTGTGCAGTTTACTGTATGTAATTATATCATAAAGCCCCATGATCTTTCTACCACTCGACATAACCACCCTGAGGAGTATGTGACCTCTGAAAAATACCAACTACAAAGAACAAACTACAAACGACTACAAAGACTAGTAAGGACTACAGTAAAAAAAAAAAAAATTATTTTTTTGAGACGGAGTTTTGCTCTTTTGCCCAGGCTGGAATGAGGTGGTGCTATCTCGGATCACTGCAACCTCCACCCACTGGGTTCAAGAGATTCTCCTGCCTCAGCCTCCCGAGTAGCTGGGATTACAGGTGCATGCCACCATGCCCAGCTAATTTTGTATTTTTAGTAGAGATGGGTTTTCGTCATGTTGGCCAGGCTGGTCTTGAACTCCTGACCTCAGGTGATCCACCTGCCTCAGCCTCCCAAAGTGCTGGGATTGCAGGCATGAGCCACCGCACCCAGCCCAGTAAAGATTTTGAACAAGATACTCTATATTGGTGGAAGCTTCCATTCTCAGCATCTTGTTTTGTTATTATTATTATTATTATTTGAGACATGCTCTCACCCTGTCACTGAGGCTAGAGTGTGGTGGCATGATCACGGCTCACTGCAGCCTCGACTTCCTGGGCTCAAGCAATCCTCCTGCCTCAGTCCCCCAGGAAGCTGGAACCACAAGCACATGCCACCACACCCAACTAATTTGTAAAAAGTATTATCTGTAGAGATGGGGTCTCCCTATGTTGCCCAGGCTGGTCTCAAACTTCTGGGCTCAAGCGATCCTCCCACCTCAGCCTCCCAAAGTGCTGAGTTATAGGTGTGAGCCACTGTGCCTGGCCCATTTTCAGCATCTTGAATGGAACCACTGGTGTGTTTGTAAGTATGTACAGAAAATACATAAGAAGTGATAATTTGGGTTTAGAAAACTCTCTCAAGAAGACATAGAAGGGCCAGTGCGGTGGGTCACACCTGTAATCCCAGCACTTTGGGAGGCTGAGTTGGGAGGATCGCTTGAGCCCAGCAGTTTGAGACCACCTGGGGCAACAAAGTGGAAATCTGTCTCTACCAAAACAAAATACAAAAAATTTAGCAAGGCATGGTGGTACACACCTGTAATCCCAGCTATTTGGGAGGCAGAGGTGGGCACATCACCTGAGACTGGGAGGTCAAGGCTACAGTGAGCCGTGATCACGCCACTGCACTCCATCCCAGGTGACAGAGTAGCCTGAAATACTTGGAGTCAGGAGGCATCCATGCTGCAGGTTTTCTTTTGGAATAGCTGGACAGAGACCCCAGGAGAAGAGTGCCTAGGAATCAGGGATGGGGGCTGAGTCAAGACACTTGTCCCTTGATAGGATTACTAAAATACATACAAGGCTAGATATTAGTTTTCTAGGAAGAAAACCTTTGAGGTAGCCAGGTGCACATGGTGGTTTGTGCTTGTAATCCCAGCTACTCAGGAGGCTGAGGAAGTAGGATTGTTTGAGTCCAGTAATCCCAGCATTTTGGAAGGCCAAGGCAGGCGGATCACGAGGTCAGGAGTTTGAGACCAGCCTGGCCAACATAGTGAAACCCCATCTCCACTAAAAATACAAAAAATTAGCTGGGCGTGGTGGCAGGTGTCTGTAATCCCAGCTACTTGGGAGGCTGAGGCAGGAGAATTGCTGAACCCAGGAGGCGGAGGTTACAGTGAGCCCAGATCGCGCCACTGTACTCCAGCCTGGTGATAGTGCGAGACTCCGTCTCAAAAAAAAAAAAAAGAAAAAGAAAAACATATTTAAGTGTGTGTGTGCGTGTGTGTGTATAAAACAAAACTTGATGCTTCTTTTTGCTCAGGGGACTACAGAATTACAGAATGTCAGGTTAGGAAGCTGCATACTCAGGGTTCATAAGAGACCAAGTGAAATTTCACACACGTATGAAGGCTGCATACTTCAAATCACAGCCTTATTGGGTTTAGGGATCAGGCTCAAACTCCAGCCTCTTTAGGAATCACAGAATCTTCTCCCAAAGGTAGAGCACATCTTGTCCAAACAGCCTATTTTACAAACAAACTAAGGTCTGCGGAGGTTCAGTAACTTGCCTAAAGCCACACTAAGTTAGGACTGGTAGGACTGGGATTTGCTTTCCCGTCAACTAACTCCCAAATGGAGGAATACATGCATGCCACTGAGGTTTATAAAGCACGATTTGTAAGCTAGAAATACAACATGTTTAGTTCTAAAGGGAGAGGCACTGGCAGAATTGTTCCTACCCTTCGTTATTAGAACAGTCCCATGGCAAGGCCAACCCAGAAGATGAAATTACAGCCTGCATGTTGGCCTGTTGAATGCATGACCAGCTTTATTCCCATCTTCAGCATAAGCTCAGGCCTGTCCACCCATCTCCAGCAGCCCCACCTTTGCTTAGGTAGTTTACCCTGCTGGAACCTTCTCCCTCCTACTCCCCAGACACAGTTACTATACTGTGGGCCTTGGGGTCACTGTAAGAATGGGCCAAGCCATCATTACACAAGCATTCCTGTAAAATAGCTCACCACTAGGACAGGTTGCTCACTGACCCATGCAATGGGATGAACATGTCCTTGGCATCAAACTGTGTGTTAAGCATTTTCTTATGGGACCTCATTTAACCCTCACAATGCACTATTTATACATAAGAAAAGTCAAGGCCAGGCGTGTGGCTCACACCTGTAATCCCAGCACTTTGGGAGGTGGCTGAGGCAGGCAGGTAACTTAAGCTCAGGAGTTCAAGACCAGCCTGGGCAACATGGCAAAACACCATCTCTACAAAAAAATACAAAAATTAGTTGGGTGTAGTGACGCAGGCCTGTAGTCCCAGCTACTGGGGAGGCTGAGATAGGAGGATCACTCAAGAGTTCGAGGCTGTAGTGAGCTGTGATCGTGCCACTGCACTCAGCCTAGGTGACAGAGCGAGACCTTGTCTCCACCAAAAAAAGAAAGAAAGAAAAAAAAAGTCAAGTTTAACTTAAGTAAAAAAACTACTCAGCTAGAAAGTGGTTCATTTGAATCCAGATCTGCCTGGCTCCAAAGTTTCATCTGTAGATTGAAGTAAAATAGAGGCCGGGATCAGCAGCTCACCCCTATAATCCCAGCACTTGAGGCCAAGGCAGGAGGATGGCTTGAGGCAGGGGTTTGAGACCAACCTGGGCAATACTTCATAACCCCATCTCTACAAAAAATTTTAAAATGATCTGGGTATGGTGGCACTTGCCTGTAGTCCTAGCTACTTGGGAGGCTGAGATGGGAGGAATGCTTGAGCCCAGAAGTTTGAGATTATAGCAAGCTATGATGGCACCAGGGTTCACAACGATTGAAGCACAAGTGAGATTTCACGGAAGTACAAAGGCTTCAAACTGCAGACCTAACCTTTCAGGGATCAGGTTCTAACCCCAGGCTCTTTGGGAAGTCTCCCCCTCCCATTTCCACAAACCAGATTCCTCCTGCTTTGATTGACATCTTTAATGGCACTGCAAACTTTCTGCCTTGAATCAGTGTGTCTATGGACTTCCCCTGTAGACTCCTTCTAGAAAAACAGCTCTGTCAATGAAAACAAACTCATTCATCTTTTTATTACCTTTACATGCTTCACAGTACACTGCAGCAATGTACAGCATTCAAAGCAGAGGAGGGTAACTAAAACAGATGTGTACCATTCACTGATTCCAGCAGCCAAGTTCATAGTTATTTTCTACTGTTACATTTAGACTGGAGGATCCCCAGTGGAATGCATAGGGATATCGTTACCAAATCATTCATAAATCATGTTTTGGAAATTATGGGAAGAGTCTATTTCTTGTAACTATTTATGGTTACCACCCATAACACTTCCAGGCTTAATACAAGGCGCTTGTATAGAAACAGCATTTTGTAGTTTTCCATGTGTGTGTAAACTGTTGGTCACAAGAACAGAAAAATAGCTCAGCAGCTGTCTGAGCTATGTGATGTATGCAAAATGTGTCAAGCCCAGAGAGACATGAGACTTCAGTCATGCTCCTTCCTTCCCAGGGACAATTGTTTAAAGGCATTTTGCTCCTAACTAGCTGCTTTACCCATTACTTTCATGTTAACAAAATTTGTGATACAAAGAACAAAGTATAATGAATCAATAGCTTATATCATTTTAATGTACATTCTTGGTAAATCACTTAGGAACTGTCTCTTCTTTTCATTTATTTATTTATTTAGAGACAGAGTCTCGCTCTGTCGCCCAGGTTGGAGTGCAGTGGCACAATCTCGGCTCACTGCAACCTTCTCCTCCCGGGTTTAAGCGATTCTCCTGCCTCAGCCTCCCAAGTAGCTGAAACTACAGGCGCCCGCCACCATGCCCAGCTAATTTTGTATTTTTAGTAGAGACAGGGTTTCACCATATTGGCCAGGCTGGTCTCGAACTCCTGACCTTGTGATCTGCCTGCCTCGGCCTCCCAAAGTGCCGGGATTACAGGTGTGAGCCACTGCACCCAGCCTTCTTTTCTTTTAAAAACCCACTTGTAACTGCTGCTCATCAGATCATATAATCAGGGCAACTTGAGTCTATGCTCCCGGTTGCAGTCTGCAAACATGGCCCAAATAAATCTCTCTACTTATATTACTTTGGCCTCAGATTTTTCCCTTAGGTCCACAGTCTTATATGATCATAGCCATCCCCATGGAGGGTGGTCCACAAAGCCCCCTTACCCCTCTGTCCCCACCATCAGCACCAAGTCACTGGATCCCCAGCTCTGAGCACCACACCTAATTCTGAGAGGCTTTAGCCACTGATCTCTCTGCCTTCCCAGCTCTGAGTGTTCTCAACACCCTGGATGCAGCTGCCTCATAGGCAGCCCCAGGCCAGCTTTAGGGCAGGTCTGGGGGAAGCCTGCTCAGCCCAGGTTTCTCCTTGAATTCCTTCCTTGGAGGTTCACTGAAGCCCCAGACTAAGCCATCCACCTTCTTTGGGGAAGGAGGCACATAGATAGGGGGAAGGAGTTGGTCGTGAGGAGTTCTGGAGAGCAAAGGACAGCTTTTTCTTTCCTTCTGGGGAGAAAGACTCTGGGCCGGGCGTGGTGGCTCACGCCTGTAATCCCAGCACTTTAGGAGGCTGAGGCAGGTGGATTACTTGAGTTCAGGAGTTTGAGACTAGTCTGACCAACATGGTGAAACCCCATCTCCACTAAAAATACAAAATTAGCTGGGCGGGTGGCGCACACCGGTAATCCCAGCTACTTGGGAGGCTGAGGCAGGAGAACTGCTTGAACCCAGGAGGCGGAGGTTACAGTGACCTGAGATCATGCCATTGCACTCCAGCCTGGGGCAACAAGAGCGAAATTCCACCTCAAATAAAAAAAAAAGAAAAAGAGAAAGACTCTGAACAGCCCTGCGTCAAACGGAGAGGAGGACGTCCAGCAGACCCAAGGACTGGACATGTAGCTGGGTGGAAGTCACCATCTTGGCAATCAGCTAGGAGAAATAATTGGGTTCCAGAAAGAGGCCACCAATCAGGGGATCCTCTCCTACTTTCAAATCAGTCAGAATTCCCACCCAGACACCAGTCAAGGGTTTCCAGGGATCAGCCCTGCCTCAAAGGAAAGGCTGAGAACAAGAGCAAGCTTGTTTTATTCATCAGCCCAACAACACAGCAAGAAGGTAGTAAGTAATGAACTAACTAGCTCAGAGGTTAGATAACATGCCCGAGGTCATACAACCAACAGGGAGAGGACCCAGGGCTGTCATCCAGGATAGTCTAACTTCAAAGCCCTTGCTCTTTTCTCTCAGGCAAAACCAGGGTCTGGTAAGTAATAGGCCTGGGTGTTGGGCAACAGGAAAGCAGGCTGTGTGTGAGCAGATCGGAGAAAACAGAGGACGAAAGTCCAAGCGCATTCCTCACCATGGCACTTGCAACACCGAATAGTGCTCACCTTGATTTATTTCTCCTCCTACGAGGCTGCAAGTTCCTGGCAGGGTGAGGACTGAGTTCTGTGGCCTCTATATGCACAGCATGTGCTAGCATGACGCAGAATCTGTTCTCAGGAATGTTTGCTGATGGTTTCAGCCCTGAGGCTTCTTTTTTCATTTTTATTTTTATTTTTTTGAGATGAAGTCTTTCTCTGTCACCCAGACTGGAGTGCAGTGGTGCAATCTCAGCTCAGTGCAACCTCCGCTTCCCAGGTTCAAGTAATTCTCCTGCCTCAGCCTCCCAAGTAGCTGGGATTACAGGCATGTGCCACCACGCCAGGCTAATTTTATATTTTTAGTAGAGATGGGGTTTCTCCATGTTGGCCAGTCTGATCTAACTCCTGACCTCAAGTGATCCGCCCACCTCAGCCTCCCAAAGTGCTGGGATTACAGGCATAAGCCACCATGCTTGGCCTTTATTTTTATTTATTTATTTTTGACATGGAGTCTCCCTCTGTCACCCAGGCTGGAGTGCAGAGGTGCAGTCTTGGCTCACTACAACCACCGCCTCCCAGGTTGGAGCAATTCTCCTGCCTCAGACACCCTAGTAGCTGGTATTACAGGCACATGCCACCACGCCCGGCTGATTTTTGTATTTTTAGTAGAAACGGGGTTTCACCATGTTGGCCAAACCGGTCTCCTGACTTCAAGTGATCTGCCTGCCTGGGCTTCCCAAAGTGCTGGGATTACAGGCATGAGCCACCCACCCAGCCTTTATTTTTATTTTTTGAGTCTAGGTTTTGCTCTGCTGCTCAGGCTAGAGTGCAGTGGCATGATGACGGCTCAATGCAGCCTTGAACTCCTGGGCTCAAGTGATCCTACCACCTCTGCTTTCCAAAGTGCTGAGATTACAGGCATAAACCACCTTGCCTGGCCTGAGCCCTGAGGCTTCTGAAGGGGAAAGTAGGAGAGAAATCAGGTAAAACCATCACAGTCAGACAATAAGGGTGCAGGCACAAGGGAGTGGAAGGGGCAGAAAGAAAGTAGGCCAAACACTCAGAAAATCATCTGTCTGGATAAATGAGTCTCCTCCTGACACAGCAATAAGAATTTCTCTGAAGCTTGGTGCTCTCAGAGGTCCCAGGGCTGTAGCAGGTAAGTGACCTGTTTTGTTTATAGATAAAAAAAAGTCAAAGGTCAGAAATGTTGCCATGTGGCCTGATTTATTACTTATTTATTGGTTTGTTTGTTTGTTTTCTATTGGGCAGCCTCCTGAGCCAGAGTAGGCTGAGAGACTTCCCCTGTGGCCTGATTTAGTGTGATAAAATATGTACACTTTGGGAAGTAACTTTCCTCAGAGTCCTCCCAGCCTGAGGGGGCAGCCATGAGTCCAGAGGAGAGGCTTAAGAGACTAGGGGGTCAGGGGAGGGCCGAACTTGTCTAGGGAGACCCTGGGAAGTAGTGAGTGACTTCCCAGGGTCACTGGGAAGAGGACCCCACTGTCCTCATCTCAATCCCATCTACTGACCAGCCTTGATCCACTTAGTTTTCTCAGCAAATTAGGCAGAGTGATGTTAAGGCATTGCATGCTTTCTAGCATTCAGAAATCAGCAAGTTCAGAAAGTGTGATCTTGGAGTTCTAGCCAAAAAGGAGTCTGCATGTCCCTCCAACTCTTCCTACTTAGCCTTTTTAAAAACAAAAACAAATCTAGTTCTCTGAGACACAGCTTTGTTCTGACTTCTCCCTTTTCCATGTCCAGGCCCACACCCCATCTGATGTTGCTGAAAGTGCTGTCCTGACCATAGACTTAGTATCTGGCCGAGTTGAGTGGTAGGACAGGCTCAGTAGTGCACAGGGCTCCCCAGTGGTGCTGCTGAAGCTAACAGCCCTGATAACATGAGTGGCAGCCTGCTCTCTGTGTCTCAAGCACTTTCACATTTGCCATCTCACGGGGTCCTCCCAAGGACTGGTCACACCGGGAAGGCAGCTTTACTTACTGTGCTGCTGCAGAGGCAGTGAAGCTACTGGGAACTGAAATCCTCTGCCTGCCAGCTTCCATCCCACCCCTTGCACTGAGGACAGAAGGAAATAGGCCCAGGAGTAGGCAGCAAAGAATTAAAGCCATGTTAGTGAGCAGCTGATGAGGAGACAGGAGACTGCTAAGTTTAGTGGCCTGGGTCGGGGAGACTGGGGCTGATCCCCAAGTTTGCCCATGAAGGGGTTCCAACTCAGAGGCAGTGTCCTGGGGGTACAGCCCAGGCCTTGGCCCTTGCCCCTCCCCATCGGAATATTCTCCTTAAAGCCCACACTCCTTGCCCTCTGTGCCCATAAAGGAGAAGGAATCGAGAGTCTTGGACCAGAACTCGAAGTCACTGCAGCCACCAACCAAAGCCCCCTCCCCACCCAAGTCCACCAGGCCAAGCCAGCTTTTCCTATTGCCTAGGTGCTGGCGGGGGGCGGGGGAGGGGCGGGTACCTTCCCCCCAGTGCACTCGTCCAGAGGTGGGGCTTCCGAAGCTCGCCGGGACCTCCAAGTTCCTCTCCCGGGGAACTGCCCCGCCCCCTCTCTTCCCGCGGGGGGCCAGTACCTGAGGAAGCGGACACCCTGCAACCTGGCTTCCTGCCAACTCCGAGAGAGGGCGGCCCGGGCCCCCAGCACCCCCGAGCTCCCGGCGCACAGCCTCCCCAGGCGCAGCATCCCGACGTAGACAGCCATGGCTCGCTTTGCCCTGCGTCCCGGCCCGAGTAAACTTTTAAAGTGAGCCGGGGCGGGGCGGGCGCGCAGCGGGCGGGGAGGCGGGGAGGGTGGCCTCTGCCTATGGGGTGCGGCGGATTCGGTCTCCGCCGGCGGGGCGGGGCGGGGCGCGGCGGCGGCGACTTCGCGCGGGGCCACCTTCCCCTCCGACCCCGCGGCCCTCCCCCTCCCACCCTCGAAGAATAGCCCTGGTTTCCTCTGGATCCGAAGGCCCCAGCTGCAGTCCGAAACAGATCTTCCTCGCGACCATCCTCAGGGGCCTGGATGTTAGAAGCGCAAAAATTTGTTGATTTCCTAGAGGGAGAGCCAGCAGCACATCCGTGAGGGGCCAGATGGCAAGGTCAAGATCCATCCATCCCCTGCCCCCTCGGGTCACGTGCTGGCCCCGCTACTTGCGAGCCGGGGGCCAAAGGAGCAGGCGCGAAGCGTCCTTGAGGCATGCCAGCTGGAGCAGAGGGCCCCGCGGGGTTGGGGAGGCAGCCAGAACAAAGGGTGTCGCGGGTGAGCCCCCTGCGGGCCCGCTGGCGCCAGAGTCCCAGCTGAGGCCAGATGTCAGCTTCAGAAGGAACACCAGTTGTACCCCATCTCACAGGAGGCATCCTCCCATCCCTCCTCGGCGCCTCTGCCTTGACCTTCTGCACAGGGTTGGGGGCCGGACACGTAAGGTGGCCTCAGGGACTGGGACCTGTGTATTTCATCCTCCATCTGCCTGTCTTGGGGCCTGTGGCACAGTTCCCTGTGCTGCCCCAGGTGTGAATGGAAAGCAACCCTATGCCCCTCCTTAGGGTTCCTGAGGCCCAGGGGTGAGTGGGGTACTAAGACCTGGGCAGAGCTGCGGGACAGAGAAGGTGATAGCTCTGGTCCTGGCTAGGAAAAGTGGCACTGGGCACCAAAGAGTAGCACAGTTTATACCTGTTCCAGGTCCACACTGCCTCGGCCTAGCCATGACTCTTCCTCTAGAGAAGGAGCTGGAGAAGAATGGGGCAAAGGCCCTGGCAGTGTGACCTCCCCTCTCCTGACTGGAGGAGATGAAGTAAACCCTGCCAGGCAGAAGGGGTGGCTGAGAGTGGAGCCTGGCCTGAGGTGACCTTTGCCCTTATCTGGGAACTCTGGCTCCACTTGGGTCATGAGAAGGAGTCCATGCTGGGCCTCTTTATGATCTTGAGCGTGACCTCAAATCCTCCCTGGAACCCCGGTTCCTAGGGAGGGTCCCCACACTTCAGTTTCTGTGGGGTTGGGGCAGGAAGAGACAGAGGAACAAAGAGATCACCGGAGGCTGGGCCTGCAAGGGTGTGCTTTCCTAATTAGACTAACTGTCTTTGATAGCGGACCAGGGAATGTGGAGGGCTGGGGCATTCACAAGTCTGGGTTCCCAGCCGTGGCTGGCAGGCTTAGCCTCTAGCATGCTGGGTGACCCTGGGTAAACCACTGTCCCTCTCTTGGCCTATGAAGTGTGGGGTGGGTACTGATCTTGTAGGTCCTTCCACTCTTCTGGCTAGTTTGAGGGTCAGTCCTAGAGTGGGAGAGAAGTGAGTTCCTCCTTGAACTTTGCTCCAGCCTCGGCTTTTCAAGACACTGGGCTTTCCTGACTCTTCCTAGGTGCACAGGCCGTGGCATCATAGCCATCAGTTTCAGGGTATCTTGTACATGCCAGGCTCTTCAAGGACATTTTCTCTGACCCTCACAAACACCCTGCAAGGAACAGGCATGGCTTGGAATGTGTCTTTGTTTTTATGGATGAAGAAACTGAATCCCAAAGAGGTTCAGCTTCTTAAACATAGGCCAAAGCTCTGCCAGTAGTCTCTTTGTGGCTTTGGGCAAGTCACGGGGCCTCTCCAGCCTCGTTATCTGTCAAATGGGGATAATAATACCAACTTCACGCAGAGGGCTGGGTAAGAATTGAGTAGGTGGCACAGAACTGGTAGTCGGCCAGTTTTCAGTGATTGTTTCTTTTTCCATCCTCTCCTTCCTCTTGTGTCTTCACTCTAAGACCTTCCTCTGTGTAGGAATTGCAAACCTTTTTTAGGAGGGAGAATTGTTTTATTTGTGCAAAGCCCTGGTAGGCACTGGTTCTGTGGATGGGGAGGAGGGCTGGGAGAAAGTCAAGACGGCTGGTGGAAGTCCGTGAGTCATGGTGGGGGAATCACGTTGACCCGCATTCTTTGGCTAGTATAAGGAAGTGGGGAGCAGGGCAGTGGGCCATCCAGGCTCTCCAGCTTCCCTTCCCTTCCCTTTAACCAATTAAATTCCCCGTTGCTCCCCAAGGGGCCTTCTGCCTGAGCCATCACATCTCCTTTATGCTGCATGTGACTTGCATGATTTATGGTCCCTGTAATTTGGCTCATGCCATTGGCTACCATGAGAAAGCCCTTATTCCCGCCCCTTTGCCCATGTCTTGCTTCTGTGCTTCAAAAGCAGGCTCAAAATGTAAACACCATTTATTGATTTTTTTTCTTTCATAACATCAACCTACAGAAGACCTAGTCACAGTTACAGAATAGAATGTAAATGTAAGTATCACTAACTTTGGAAGTTACATCTGATAGTAGTTGAGAGGGAAGGGGTGGGGGAGAGTATAAAATAAAAAAAAAGGGTATGTCATTATGTACAAAAATAATAATAAAACTATAGTACCAGCACTTAGGGAGGAGAGATGGGGTGCAAGTACCCATTTATCAAACAGAAAATCTAAAACTGGCAAAATAAGTATGTCATTTAGAGGCAAGTAGCAGAAGAAGATAAATCAGAAATCGTTACAATAGTTCAAATGATTCTCTTTGGACTTAAATAGATATTTCACCAAATAAATATATATATGTATGTATGTATGTATATATTGACCCCAAGAGTTTGAGGCTGCGGTGAGCTGAGATCACACCACTGCACTCCTGCCTGGGTGACAGAGCAAGACCCTGTCTCAAAAAAAAAAAAAGAACACCCGCAAAAAAACAGAAAATAACAAGTATTGGTGGGGTTGTGGAGAGACTGGACACGTGTGCATTGGGTGGTGGGAATGTAAAATGGGGCCACCACAGTGGATGGTATGGTGCTTCCTCAAAAAATTAAAAATGAGTTATATGATCCAGCAATTCTACTTCTGGGTATATACCCAAAATAATTGAAAGTCGGGACTCCAACAAACATTTGTGTACCAATGTTCACAACAGAATTGTTCCCAATAGCCAAAAGACAGACACAACCCAAATATTCATCAATGATTGAATGGATAAACAAATGCAGTAGATCCATACAATGGAATACTATTCAGCTTTCAAAAAAGGAAGGAAATTCCCACACATGCTACAGTCCACATGAACTTTGAACACATTGTGCTAAGTGAAATAAGCCAAACACAAAAGAATAAATACTGTATGATTCCATTCATATGCGACACCTAGAGTAGTCAAATTCTTAGAGACAAAGTGGAATGGTGGTTGCCAGGGGTTGGGGGTGTGGTGGGGGAATGGGGAGTTATTATTTGTTTAATGGGTATAGAGTTTCAGTTTAGGAAGGTGAAAGGTTTTTGGAGATGAATGGTGGTAATGGTTGTATACCAATGTGAATATACTTAATGCCACTGAACCATAACCTTAAAAATGGCTAAAATGATATATTTTATTTATGTCTATTTTTCCACAACTTTTAAAAAAGCTTTTCTTTGGGGCATAGCAGTGGGAGGAAGAGTGAGGGCAGAGAACAGGCTTTTGTTAAAAAAGCTCTTTTTGGCCTGGTGCGGTGGCTCACACCTGTAATCCCAGCACTTTGGGAGGCCGAGTCAGGCGGATCATGAGGTCAGGAGATCTAGACCATCCTGGCTAACACAGTGAAACCCTGTCTCTACTAAAAATATAAAAAATTAGCCAGGCGTGGTGGCGGGCGCCTGTAGTCCCAGCTACCCAGGAGGCTGAGGCAGGGGAATGGCGTGAACCCGGGAGGCAGAGCTTGCAGTGAGCCAAGGTGGCACCATTGCACTCCAGCCTGGGCGACAGAGCAAGACTCAGTCTCGGAAAAAAAAAAAAAAAAAAAAAAAGCTGTTTTCTTATATTATTTTCTAAGATGGTGTATATTATTTCTCTTAATAAAATTTTTTATTAACATGCCTGAGGGAGGCTTCAATCAGTTACAGGAACTAATGTGTTTGATGAGGTTTTCACTGTAAAAAAAATGAGTGCAAAGAGGTTACTTAGGCTTGGAATCAACTTCAGTGTCAGATCTGGAAAGAATCCAGCCCTAGTGCTTTTTCTGTCAATGACCTTGAGCAAATCCCTTTTCTCTGGTGTAATTTTTCATAGCTCTCTGTTGTAATTGACTGTCTCCAAGTAGTAAATAAAAAATGGCCCTTTTAAAGAATTTCCTTCACTGTGTGTTTGAGAACTGAGCTGTCTAATAAGAAATGCAGTGATCATGAAGGAGAGGTGGAAAAAAAAGAGAGACCGCTGGCAGCCACAGAAAGAAAAGGGGAGAGGAAGTTGAGGAAGGAAGTTTCAATTTTCAAAGATATTGAAATGACTTGGAACAGAATGTGTATATTCTGCTAATCAAGCCAATTAGATCCAGTAGCCAATATAAAAAAAAAGGCTAATAAAAATTGTTCTAAACACGGATGTTTCTCATTCTCAAACTCTCAAACTGAAAGTGAAAATAAGGAACTTGATTTGAACTGCTGTGTAGAGTCAAATTATCTTTTAGTTATCTTTTTTTTTTTTTTTTTTTTTAAGAGACTGTCTCACTCTCACTTGGGCTGGAGCTGGAGTGGTGCAGTAGGGCAATCATAGCTCACTGCAGCCTTGAACTCCTGGGGTCAAGTGATCCTCCCACCTCAGCCTCCTGAGTAGCTGGGATTACAGGCGCATGCCACCACACTGGGCTAATTTTTCTTTTTTTGTAGAGATGAGGATCTCAATGTGTTGCCCAGGCTGATTTTGATCTCCTGGGCTCAAGTGATCCTCCTGCTTCAGCCTCCCAAAGAGCTGGGATTCACAAGCAAGAGCCACCACACCCAGCTGAGTAAAATTATCTCGATCACGACTAACAATTGCTGCAGGCACAGGCAGACATGTTTTTAAATGATCAGTATTTTCTTGCTTACATCCCCAAATTGAAAACTAAGCCATAATCCCAGCAACTGCCAAAAAAACTGTGAAAGCCTTGCTTTTGTAAGAGGATAGGACAAAAATCTTTATTTGGATGGTGTAATATTTTACTTTTCTTGGGTCAAAGTCAAGAACTAAAGTCAACTGTGAAGTCTTGGATAAAGACCCAGTGTTAAACCAAATCTAATTTAACTTTCTTTTTTTATTCATTGGTTCAGCATTCATTCATTGAGTAACTACTTGCTGACAAGCATGATATGAATGAGACATGGTGTCTGCTCTCAATGAGCTCACTGTCTAGGAGAAAACACCAACCCTGAGACTGACAATGGCCTGCAGTGCGGCCAGTGCTGTGTGAGCAAGGCTAGGGGAGAGGCACCTACCCAAGGTGTGTTGCAGAAGGCCTCCTGGAGGTTTGCATCTAGTCCTGAGAAAGAAGCAGTGCGTCAGTTTCCTATTGCTGCTGGAACAAATTGCACACATGTAGTGGCTTAAAACCCCAGAAATTTATTGTCTTACAGTTCTGGAGGCCAGAAGTCTGAAGAGAGTCTTACGCAATTAAAATTAAAGTGTTGGGCTGGGCGCGGTGGCTCATGCCTGTAATCCCAGCAATTTGGGAGGCCAAGGTCAGGAGTTTGAGACCAGCTTGGTCAACATGGCGATAAGGGAGGAGACCACCCCTCATATTGTCTTATGCCCAATTTCTGCCTCCAAAGAAAGAAGAAATAAAAACTAAAAGGCAAAAATGAAATCCACAAGCAGACAGCCCAGCGCCACACCTGGGCCTGGTAGTTAAAGATCGACCCCTGACCTAATTGGTCATATTATCTATAGATTACAGACATTGTATAGAAAAGCACTGTGAAAATCCCTGTCCTGTTCTGTTCCGTTCTAATTACTGGTACATGCAGCCCCCAGTCACGTACCCCCTGCTTGCTCAATCGATCATGACCCTCTCACGTGGACCTCCTTAGAGTTGTGAGCCCTTAAAAGGGACAGGAATTGCTCACTTGGAGAGCTCGGTTGTTGGAGACGTGAGTCTTGCCGAAGCTCCCAGCCGAATAAAGCCCTTCCTTCTTTAACTCAGTGTCTGAGGGGTTTTGTCTGCAGCTTGTCACGCTTCATTTCTTGGTTCCCTGACCGGGAAGCATGGTGATGAATGGATGGTTGAGGCAGCCCCTTAGGTGGCTTAGGCCTGCCCTGTGGAGCATCCCTGCGGGGGACTCCAGCCAGCTTGAGCGATGCGGATCCTGAGAGCGATCCCAGGTAAGCAATTGCCCCGGTGGAACGCCTTGCCAGAGCAGCATGTGGCAGGCCCCCATGGAGGATCAACGCAGTGGCTGAACACCAGGAAGGAACTGGCACTTGGAGTCCAGACATCTGAAACTTGGTAAGACTAGTCTTTGGAACTTGCCCACTCCATTTGAGTGGAAGCGTGGCCTGATCACCCACAGTGTGCCTGTACCGGCACTTTGGTTTTTGTTTTTGACTTGACTTGGATTGCTTGGTACGTTGGTTTGGTTTTGGTTTTGACCTGGCTTGGATTTCTTGATACTCTGATTTTGTTTTTGATTCTGGTTTGGTGTAAACTGTAAAAGTGTGTGGGTGTCCTTTTTACCTGTTCTTTGTTTTGTGGTGTGCGTTTGGTGTGAGTATGGTGTTTTGTCTTGAAGAAGCATGGGTCAGGCACAAAGTAAGCCCACCCCACTAGGAACTATGTTGAAAATTTTCAAGAAAGGATTTAAGGGAGACTATGGAGTACTATGACACCATGAAAACTTAAAACTTTGTGGAAGATAGTCTGGCCAGCATTAGAGGTGGGTTGGCCATCAGAAGGAAGCCTGGACAGGTCCCTTGTTTCAAAGGTATGGCACAAGGTAACCTGTCAGCCAGGGCACCCAGACCAGTTCCCATACATAGACACTTGGTTACAGCTGGTTTTAGAACCCCCACCTCCCCACAGTGGTTGAAAGAACAGCAGCATAAGCAGCTGGCAGAGGCAAGGAAAGACCAGCAGAGAGAGAAAGAGGAAGAGAGAGAGACAAAGAGGGAGTCAAGGAAGGAGAGAGAGAGATAGAAAGAGAGAGGCAGAGAGAAAGAGACGCAAAAGAAAAGTCAAAGAGAAAAAGAGATAGAAAATCAAAGAGAGAAAGAAAGAGATATACAAGCAGTTAAGAAAAAAAACAGTGTACCCTAGTCCTTTAAAAGCCAAGGTAAATTTAAAACCTATAATTGATAATTGAAGGTATTCTCTGTAACCCTGTAACACTCCAATACCACTTCGCTGTCAGTGTAAACAAGGGTGTATCCTGAAAGCACTGAGGCCTTCCTATCAAAAATCCTTAACCCAGTAACCCGCGGATGGCCCAAATGCATTCAATCTGTAGCGGTAACTGCTTTGCTAACAGAAAAAAGTAAAAAAAATAACTTTTAGAGGAAACCTCCTTGTGAGCACACCTCACCAGTTCAGAAGTATCCTAAGGAAAAAAAAAAAAAAAAAAGGATGATTTAACATTAACCACTGAAAATTCCCTTAACCCAGCAGGTTTCCTAACAGGGGATCTAAATCTTAATTACCATACAAAGGTCCAACCAGACCTAGGAGGAACTCCCTTCAGGACAGGATGATGGATGTTTCCTCCCAGGTAATTGAAGGAAAAAAAAAAAGCCATCTATACCAATTCTAAGTTAATTTGGACAAAACAAGGTCTTATTAATAGCAAAGGATAATTAAAATCCCAAACTTACAAGGTTTTCAACAAAAGTAAAGTTTGCTAAAAGTTAACAGTGTAATATGTATTATAGTAACTTCTAATCTTGTGGCCTTAGTCTAGTCCACAGACATAAAAGAAGTTCGCTTTGGAAAAGAATGATTATCATCTTCGAAAAAAAAAGGGAAAAAAAGAGGGGGCAGAATTTATGTAAAAAGAGTGTTATATGGTAAACTCTTGTCCTGAAATAAATTAACTGATTGTTTTTAAAAAAATGTTTGTAATAAGTCAGAAAGTTAAGACATGTCAAAGAATTGTCTGCAAAAGTCGTGAAAGAAAAAAATGTTAAAAAAATTATGCAAGAAATGTTGTATAATTTAAAGGTAACTAGGCCTTCTGAATGTAAAACTATTGAAAAAAAAAGTTTATGTGCAAGGTGTATAAGGAAAGTAAAATATACCTTTGGTAAAAGGATTATAAGGAGGCATAAGAATGTAAATTTTTACCTACATTAAAAGGTTAAAAAAATTTTGTTTTGAAGGTTTAAGCAAGTTTTAAAACGTTAATTGTAAAGAAAATCCTGTGTGTAAGCATATTAGCTAAAGTTAAAGGGGTATCATTCAGTTTTTCTGTGAACTGGACATTAAAGTAAAAACACAACTGGTTTTTCTTAAAGCACTAACCTGCTCTTTAACAAAAATTATAAAAGGTTAAAAAGAGTCTATAAAAATCTTACCTTATGGTCCGACATTAAAAATTGAATAAATATGTATACAAAGTTTTATTAAAACTAAATTTAACATTAATAGCACACTAATATAAAGGTGAAATTTAGTTTATCTAGTATAAAAATCATACAAGAAGCATTATTAAATATAAAATGGTGTTTGGCTTTCTTTGGTCTAAAAACTAATACAAATAGGTGCTAAAGGAAATTTCTCAGTAAGAAGTCACCAAAGACTATAAAGTCCACTGTTGATGTCCCCACATTTACAACAAAAAGTCAATTTCTTAGAAATTATATACTTGGTTTATCTTCCACTTTCCTTTCCCTCAAAACTAAAAGTCTTTTAGCACAGGTACCACCCCTAGAATTTCCAGTAAACCAGCACCAGCCTGAAGATCACTTTCTTATCAAAGGGTGGAAAGAAGAAAAACTCAGGCTAGCCTAGGAAGGACCCTACCTTGTGCTGTTAACCTCTGAGACTGCTGTTCATACAGCGAAAAAGGGATGGACTCATCACACCCGAGTCAAAGCGCCACCCCCTCCAGAGTCGTGGGCCACTGTCCCAGGGGAAAACCCTACCAAACTAAAGCTAAGAAAAATTTAACTCATTCATCTATTCTATTACTCTTTCTTCTTTTCTTGCTCTATTGCTGACCATCTGGTTATTAACATAACCAAGTCGATTTAGCCTCAAACTATTGCATTTAATGTTTGCCTTGTTATACCCTGTGGGGACTTGCCAAGTCAAAGACAGCTCTCTACTTCAGAAAAGTACCTCTGTCCCTCCTGACTCCCCTCAGACTGGGCATTAGTAAATTAGGACCATTTAATCTGGGGAAATTTCGATAAAGACTCCAGTGTCAACCAGGAGTCTTGCTCCCCAATGTAGAGCTTTTATGCCGTAGTTGGTCCAACATTCTGTGGACCACTAAAGAGCAAGGATGGACTGCCCCAACCGGTTTGTGTAATTTCCCAAAATCATACACTCATTTTACTAGAGGATCATAGAAGTTAAAGACTTAAAACAAACTTTGGCAATTAAGACAGCATACCAGGATGCAAATGCCTCATTGGAATGGATCAAATTTTCCATCCACATGTTAAACAAAAGCAATTGTTATGCTTGTGCACATGGCAGGCCAGAGGCCCAGATTGTTCCCTTTCTGCTAAGGTGGTCCTCCAGTCGACCAGGCATGGGCTGCCTGGTAGCTCTTTTCCAGGATTCTACAGTCTGGAGTAATAAGTCGTGCCAAGCTCTCTCTGCTATATCTGGCACCCTGCGGTCAGCGGGTCAGCCCCCAAGGGCCATCCAGCCTCCATCTCCCAACACTAAGTTCACTTCGTGTCTCTCATGACAGGGAGGAAACTTAGCATTCCTTAGAGACCTGAAGGGATGTAGTGAGCTTAAAAATTTTCAAGAGCTTATCAATCAGTCAGCCCTTGTTCATCCCCGAGCAGATGTGTGGTGGTATTGTGGTGGACCTTTACTGGGCACTCTGCCGAATAACTGGAGTGGCACTTGTACTTTAGTCCAATTGGCTATCCCTTTCACCCTGGCATTTCATCAACTAGAAGGAGAAAAAATAAGGCATCATAAAGCGAGAGAAGCCCCTTATGGGTCTTTTGACTCTCATGTCGATTTAGACACAACTGGAGTCCTATGGAGAATACCAGATCAATTTAAATCTTGAAATCAAATAGCTGCAGGATTTGAGTCAATATTTTGGTAGGTGACAGTTAATAAAAATATAAATTGGATAAATTACATCTATTACAACCAACAGCAACGAGCTTTTCATGAGTTAAAAGAAAAACTCATGTCGGCCCCAGCCTGGGGTCTACCTGACCTGACAAACCCTTTACACCCTATGTGTCAAAAAGAGAAAAAATGGCAGTTGGAGTTTTAACCTAGGCTGTGGGGCCCTGGCCAAGACCAATGGCCTATTTCTCAAAACAACTAGAAGGGGTTTCCAAAGGCTGGCCCCCATGTTTAAGCGCCCTGGCAGCAACAGCCGTGTTAGCACAAGAAGCAGATAAACTAACCCTTGGGCAAAACCTGAATATACAGGCCACCCATGCTGTGGTAACTTTAATGACTACCAAAGGACATCATTGGTTAACAAATGCTAGATTAACCAAGTACCAAAGCTTGCTATGTGAAAATCCTCGCATAACCATTGAAGTTTGCAACAACCTAAACCCCGCCACCTTGCTGCTGGTATCAGAGAGCCCAGTTGAACATAACTGTGTAGAGGTGTTGGACTCAGTTTATTCTACCAGGCCCAACCTCCAAAACCATCCTTGAACATCAGTAGACTGTGAGCGGTACGTAGACGGGAGCAGCTTCGCCAACCTCTGCAAAGTGACTCTGAAGAAGACGACAAGCCCTGCTCCACTCACACCCGGAAGCTGACTGGTCCACATACAGCTGAAGCATGAGAAAACTCATCATGGGACTCATTTGCCTTAAAATTTGGACTTGTACAGTAAGGACTTTAACTGACCTTCCTCAGACTGGGGACTGCTCCCAGTGCATACATCAAGTCACTGAGGTAGGACAAAAAGTTGCTATAGTCTTATTATTTTATGATTATTATAAGTGTACTGGGACTCTAAAAAAAAAACTTGTTTGTATAATGCTATGTTTGTATAATGCTATTCTATGCAAGGTATGTAGCCCAGGAAATGAGCAACCTCGTGTGTGTTATGACCCATCTGAGCCTCCCATGACCACAGTTTTTGAAATAAGATTAAGGACTGAGGACTGGTGAAGGCTCATAAATGATACGAGTAAGGTGTCAGCCAAAACAAAAGAAAAAGGGGTGCCCAAACAAGTCACCTTAAAGTTTGATGCCTGCGCTGTCATTAATAGTAATAAGTTAGAAATAGGATGTGATTCTCTTAATTAAGGAAGAGACTGTATAGAAGAAAATAAGTACATTTGTCATGAATTAGGACCATGTGGAAATAATGTGGATACTGTTCTTGTGTCATTTAGGCTACTTGGATAAAAAATAAAAAGGATCCTGTCCACCTTCAGAAAGGGAAAACTGGCCCTTCCTGTGCCAGTGGTCAGTGTAACACCTTAGAATTGGTAATAACCAACCCCCTTGATCCTCACTGGAAAAAGGGAAGTGTGTAACCCTAGGAATCGATGGGGCTGGACTGGATCCTCAAGTAAATATCGTGGTTTGAGGAATTTATAAACCCTCTCCTTAGCCAGTATTTCAAACCTTCTGTGATAAACTGACTGTGCCAGTACCAGAAATTCCAGGAAAAACAAGAAATTTGTTTTTGCAATTAGCTGAGCATTTAGCCCAGTCTCTCAATGTCACTTCATGTTATGTATGTAGATATGTAGAGGAACTGTAATGGGAGATCAATGGCCATAGGAAGCCTGAGAATTAGTACCTACAGACCCAGTTCCTGATGAATTCCTGGCTCAAAATAATCACCCTGATAACTTCTAGGTCCTAAAAGCCTCAATCATTAGACAATACTGTATAGCAAGAGTAAGGAAGGACTTCACCCTTCCTGTGGGAAGACTCTGCTGCCTTGGGCAAAAACTGTATAATAATACTACAAAAACAGCCACCTAGTGGAGTTCAAACCACACTAAGAAAAATCCATTTAGTAAATTCCCGAAGTTGCAAACTGTGTGAACCCACCCGGAGTCCCACTGGGACTGGACAGCCCCCACTGGACTATACTGGATATGTGGGCATAGAGCTTATACCAAATTACCCGACCAGTGGGCAGGTAGTTGTGTTCCTGGCACTATTAAACCATCTTTCTTCCTACTGCCCATAAAGACAGGCGAACTCCTGGGCTTCCCTGTCTGTGCTTCCCGCAAAAATAGAAGCATAACTAGAAAATTAAAAAGATGATAAATGGCCCCCTGAGAGAATCATACAATATTATAGGCCTGGTACTTAGGCACAAGACAGCTCGTGGGGATACCCGACTCCCATTTACGTGCTCAACCGAATCACACAGTTACAAGTTGTCTTAGAAATAATCACTAATAAGACTGGCAGGGCCTTGACTATTCTGGCCTGGCAAGAAACTCAGATGAGAAATGCTATCTATCAAAATAGATTAGCTCTCGACTACTTGCTAGCAGCTGAAGGAGGGGTCTGTAGGAAATTTAACCCTACTAATTGCTGCCTACACATAGATGATCAAGGGCAAGTAGTTGAAGACATAGTTAGAAATATGACAAAACTGGCACATGTGCCTGTGCAAGTGTGGCATGGATTTGATCCTGACGCCATGTTTGGAAAATGGTTCCCAGCATTAAGAAGATTTAAAACTCTTGTAATAAGAGTTATAATAGTAATAGAAACCTACTTGCTGCTCCCTTGTTTGCTACCTGTACTTCTTCAAATGATAAAAAGCTTCATCACTACCTTAGTTCACCAAAATGCTTCAGCACAAGTGTACTATATGAATTACTATCGATCTGTCTTGCAAGAAGACATAGGTAATAAAAATGAAAGTGAGAACTCCCACTATTGAGTGAGATTATCAAAGGGGGGGAATAAGGGAGGAGACCACCCCTCATATTGTCTTATGCCCAATTTCTGCCTCCAAAGAAAGAAGAAGTAAAAACTAAAAGGCAGAAATGAAATCCACAGGCAGACAGCCCGGCACCACACCCTGGGCCTGGTAGTTAAAGATTGACCCCTGACTTAATTGGTTATGTTATCTATAGATTACAGACATTATATAGAAAAGCACTGTGAAAATCCCTGTCCTGTTCTGTTCTGTTCTAATTACCAGTGCATGCAGCACCCAGTCACATACCCCCTGCTTGCTCAATCAATCACGACCCTCTCATGTGGACCCACTTAGAGTTGTGAGCCCTTAAAAGGGACAGGAATTGCTCACTTGGAGAGCTCGGTCATTGGAGACATGACTCTTGCTGAAGCTCCTGGCCGAATAAAGCCCTTCCTTCTTTAACTCAGTGTCTGAGGGGTTTTGTTTGTGGCTTGTCCTGCTACAGCAATGCTCCATCTCTATTAAAAATATAAAAATTAGCTGGGCATGGTGGCACACACCTGTAATCTCAGCTCCTCGGGAAGCTAAGGTACAAGAATCGCTTGAAGCCGGGAGGCAGAGGTTGCAGTGGGCAGAGATCAGTCACACCACTGCACTCCAGCCTGGGCAATAAAGTGAGACTCTGTCTTAAACAAAATTAAATAAATAAATAAAATCAAGGTGTTGGCAGGGCTAGTTCCTTAGAGGGGAACCAGAGAAGAATCCATTCTTTGTCTCTTACAGCACCTAGTGACTCCAGTTGTTCTTTGGCTTGTTGCCACATCACTCCAATCTCTGCATCTGTGCTCACATTTCCTCCTCTTCTCTGTCGGATCTCCCTCTGTCTTCCTTGTTTTATTTTTTTGAAGTAGGTAGTGCCTTCCCTCATGGTCTTGGCATGCCTTTGATGAGCAAGGAAAGCCTTTCTCTGGAAACCCCCAGCAGACTCCTCTTGAGCTCCTCTGCTATCACTGCTACCCATGCCAACAACTAATGCAAAGCGGGACATAGTGCTATGGGCATCAGAAGAATGGCTCACTTTTGGTCAGGGTGATCAGGTAAGACTTCTTAGAGGAGGTGGTATTTGGACTGGACTTTGAAGGATGAAAAGGATGGTGACCATGGAAAGGGAGGAAGGAGAGGACATTCCAAATGGAATGAACAGAGGGGAGAAGGCAGGAATAAGGAAGAGATGAACGGTTTTACAGGAATGATTTTTTTGAGTGCCTTCTATGGACTAAGAACTCATTTAATCCTTATGAAAAAATAGCTTCTAGCTGGGCGTGGTGGTGCACGCCTGTAGTCCCAGCTACTCAGGAGGCTGAAGTGGGAGAAACCTTGAACAAAGGCGTTTGAAGTTACAGTGAGCTGGCTGGGTGCCATGGCTCAGGCCTATAATCCCAGCACTTTGGGAGACTGAGACGGGCAGATCACTTGAGCCCAAGAGTTCAAGACCAGCAGGGGCACCATGATGAAACTCCGTCTCTATTTAAAAAAAAAAAAAGAAAAAAAGTTACAGTCACCTGATCACGCCACCACTGCACTTTAGCCTGGGCAACAGACCAAGTCCCTGTCTCAAAACCAACCAACAAACAAGAAGAGGCTGGGCTCAGTGGCTCACATCTGTAATCTGAGCACTTTGGAAGGCTGAGGTGAGCAGATCACTTGAGGTCAGGAGTTTGAGACCAACCTGGCCACATGGTGAAATCCCATCTCTACCATAAATGCAAAAATTAGCCAGGCATGGTGGCATGCATCTGTAATCCCAGCTACTTGGAGGTGGAGGCAGGAGAATCGCATGAATCTGGGTGGTGGAGGTTGCAGTGAGCCGAGATCACACCACTGCACTCCAGCCTGGATAACAGAGCAAGACTCCGTCTGTAAAAAAATAAATAAACAAACAAAATAGTTTCTTCTATAGGTGGAGATTTATGATTGAGGAATCCAGGCTTGGAGAGATTAGGTAATGTGTCCAAAGTTGGTAGAACCAGATTTGATCTCAGTTCCATCTCAACATATGATGATTTTATTTATTCATTCATTCATTGCTTATTTATTTGTAATAAACTTTTCTATATTATAATTTATTACAAAAGTTATAAGGCTGATTTTAGCAAATTTTTAAGGTTAACTAGGTTAAAAAGTATGGATATTCATCTATACATTTTCCTAGGCTCATATATATTGAGCCTAGGAATATTATATATATTATTATATGTTATATATTAATATATCATATCTCTGTTAATATTATATATATAATTTTTATTTTCTCTTTTAAGAGAAGAAGAGTTGCTATGCTGCCCAGGCTGAACTTAAACTCCTGGACTCAAGCCATTCTCTGCCTCAGCCTCTCGAGTAGCTGGGACTACAGGCATAAGCCATTAAATCTGGCTATTATTACAAAAAAAAAATCATGCTGGACAATTAATAGAATCAGAATAAAGTCTATAGATTAGAGAGTAGTATTGATCAGTGTGAATTTGTTGATTTTTACAATTGCCCTGTGGTTATATATTTCCTTGTACTTAGAAAAAAAATTGATATATTTAGTGATAAAAGGGCATCATATCTGCAACATACTCAAACAGTTTAGAAATTGTGTGTGTGTGTGTGTATGTGTGTGTGTCTGTGTGTGTGTGTAGACAGAGAGACAGAAGGATAAAGCAACTGTAGTGAAATGGCAAATGGGAGATCTGGGTAAAGAGTACACAGGAGGGCCAGCCGCAGTGGCTCACATCTGTAATCCTGGTACCTTGGGAAGCCGAGACCGGTGGATCACCTGAGGTCGAGAGTTTGAGACCAGCCTGACCAACATGGAGAAACCTCGTCTCTACTAAAAATACAAAATTAGCCGGGCATGGAGCGCCCGCCTGTAATTCCAGCTACTCAGGAGGCTGAGGCAGGAGAATTGCTTGAACCTGGAAGGCGGAGGTTACGGTGAGCCGAGATTGCGCCATTGCACTCCAGCCTTGGCGACAGAGCAAGACACCGTCTCCAAAAAAAGAAAAAAAAAGTACACAGAAATTATTTTTATTTTATTTTATTTTTATAATAGAGATGGGGTCTTGCCATGTTGCCCAGGTTGATCTCAAACTCCTAGCCTCAAGTGATTCTCCTGCTTTGGCTTCCCAAAGTGCTGGGATTACAGGTGTAAGCTACCGCACCCAGCTCCAGGAATTCTTTCTATTCTTACAACTTTTCTGTAAATCTGAAATAATGTCAAAATGAAATTCTGTTTCTAAAAAATGAGATCAGGCCATGTACCATACTCAATGACTTGCATGTTTTTACTTGACCATATGCAATAAACATTTTTTTCCAGATCAATACATACAGTTCCTAGTCATTCTCTTTAATGGCTGCATAATTTTCCACAGTAATGTTCCATTGTATAAATACATTCTCAGTTTTTCAACCACTCATTTGTTGATGGATTTGACTTTTTTTTCTTGAGACAGAATCTTGCTCTGTCACTCAGGCTGGAGGGCAGTGGCACGATCTTGGCTCACTGCAATCTCCACCTCCTGGGTTCAAGCGATTCTCCTGCCTCACCCTCCCGAATAACTGGGACTACAGGTGGGTGCCACCACACTTGGCTATTTTTTTTTTTTTTTTTAAGTAGAGACGGGGTTTTGCCATGTTGGCCAGACTGGTCTCCAACTCCTGACCTCAGACCTCAAGTGATCCACCTACCTTAGCCTCCCAAAGTGCTGGGATTACAGGCATGAGCCACTGCGCCTGGCCTTTTTTTAATTTTTATTTTTTATTTTTATTTTGATAGGGGGAGGGTCTCATGCTGGAGTACAGTGGTGCAATCACGACTCACAGCAGCCTCACCCTCCTGGGCTCAAGTGATCCTTCTCCCTCAGCTTCCTGAGTAGCTGGGACCATAAGTGTGGGCCACTATGCCTGACAAATTTTATTATTTTTTGTAGAGACAGAGTATCCATTCCTATGTTGCCCAGTCTGGTCTTGAACTCCTGGGCTCAAGCAATCCTCCAGCCTTGGACTTCCATAGTGCTGGAATTACAGGCATGAGTCACTATGCCCAGCTTCATAGCAATTCTTGCACATTTATCTTGCTATATGAACTTGACTTTTCCCTCTATGTGCATTTTTTTTTTGTTAAAAATATTTATTTAAAAAGTACAATTGTCATATCCCTCGATATGCTTTTTTTTTTTTTTTTTTTTTTTGTGAGACAGAGTCTCTGTTGCCCAGGCTGGAGTGCAGTGGCACGATCTTGGCTCACTGCAACCTCCGCCTCACTGGCTCAAGCAATTCTCTGCCTCAGCCTCCCGAGTAGCTGGGATTACAGGTGCCTGCCACCACGCCCAGGTAATTTTTGTGTTTTTAATAGAGATGGGGTTTCACCATCTTGGCCAGGCTGGTCTTGGACTCCTGACCTGGTGCCACCCGCCTCGGACTTCCAAAGTGCTGGGATTACGGGCATGAGCCACCGCACCTGGCCCCCTCTGTATGCTTTTTTTTTTTTTTTTTTTTTGAGATGGAGTCTCACTCTGTTGCCCAGGCTGGAGTGCAGTGGCGCAATCTCGGCTCACTGCAACCTCTGCCTCCTGGGTTCAAATGATTCTCCTGCCTCAGCCTCCCGAGTAGCTGGGACTACAGGCGCGTGCCACCATGCCCAGCTAATTTTTGTATTTTTAGTAGAGACAGGGTTTCACCATGTTGGCCAGGATGATCTCCATCTCTTGATCTCGTGATCTTCCCACCTCAGCCTCCCAAAGTGCTGGGATTACAGGCATGAGCCACTGCATCCAGCCCCTCTATATGCATTTTAAGATAATATTAGGCCAGGCGCAGTGGCCTGCCTATAATCCCAGCACTTTTGCTAGGTGGTCGTGAAAGGATCTCTTGAGCCCAGGAGTTCAAGACCAGCCTGGGCAACATAGGGAGACCCCGTCTCCAAAAAAAATTAAAAAATAGCCGAGTACAGTGGTCCATGCCTGTGGTCCCAGCTACTAGGGAGGCTAAGGTGGAGAGGATCACTTGAGCACTGGGAGGTGGAGACTCCAGTGAGCTGTGATCGTACCACTGCATTCCAGCTAGGCAACAGAGCAAGACCCTGTCTCAAACAAACAAAAAAAGAGAATATTTACTTAGTTCTAAAAACAAAAATGAAACAAAAATCTTGGGATTTCTAATTGCAGTTGCCTTCAATTTGAGGGTTACCTTGGGAAAGGCTGACTTACAGGAACATGGTGACTTACATTCCACATGTATGTCTCTACATGTGGAAGTATTTAAGGCGAATTTATAGCCAAGCGTGGTGGCTTATGTCTGTAATCCCAGCACTTTGGAAGGCTGAGGTGGGCGAATCACCTGAGGCCAGGAGTTCAAGAGAAGCCTGGTCAACATGGCAAAACCCCGTATCTACTAAAAATACAAAAATTAGCTGGGCATGGTGGCGCGCACCTGTAATCCCAGCTACTTGGAGGCTGAAGCAGGAGAATCGCTTGAACCCAGGAGGTGGAGGCTGCAGTGAGCTGAGATCATGCCACTGCATTCCAGCCTGGGAGACAGAGACTCTGTCTCGAAAAAAGCAAATTTATGTAAGTAAGTAAACTATATAAATGGAGATCAATATTAAAATATACTTTGGGGGCTCACATCCTCAAGGCCTGAGACTGCTTTTTTTTTTTTTTTTAACTTGAGATGGAGTCTAGCTCTGTTGCCCAGGCTGGATGGAGTGTGGTGGTGTGATCTTGGCTCGCTGCAGCATCCACCTCCTGGGTTCAAGCAATTCTTCTGCCTCAGCCTCCCGAGTAGAGTAGCTGAGACTACAGGCACATGCCACCACACCTAGCTAATTTTTGTATTTTTTAAAGTAGAGATGGAGTTTCACCACGTTGGCCAGGCTGATCTTGAACTCCTGGCCTCAGGTGATCACTCGCCTTGTCCTCTCAAAGTGCTGGGATTACAGACACGAGCCACCATGCCTGGCCTGCCTTTTTTTTTTTTCAACCCACCTGCCAAAGGGACTCAGCTGCCCTTAAAAAGGTTGATTCCTGCTGCGTGGTGCTATTGGCTCTTTCTCTCCTGTCTCTCTGTGGATCCTTGATG
Organism: Homo sapiens; assembly: GCF_000001405.40. Taxonomy (NCBI): domain Eukaryota; kingdom Metazoa; phylum Chordata; class Mammalia; order Primates; family Hominidae; genus Homo; species Homo sapiens. The sequence continues at coordinate 50,407,065 of NC_000017.11, read as the reverse complement.
TGCTACTTCATATTATTATGCTCACTTTTTCAATGTTTAAAAATTTATTTATTTAGAATAGGGGGGTGCTCTCACTATGTTGCCTAGATTGGCCTCAAACTCCTAGGCTCAGGCGATCCTCCTGCCTCCGCCTCCCAAGTAGCTGGGATTACAGGCAATGGCTGCTGCACCTGGCTATTATACCCGTTTTACAGAAGGAGGAACAGAAGCTGGGAGTGTAACAAGTTGCCAAGATTGCCCCAGAGTTAGCAGTGGCTGCACTGGCCTGACGCCCAAGGGTTTTCAGGCAGCTGATGACTCCTGTCCTAGTCTTGATCTTGGGCTTCTCAATTGCTGCTGGTACTTGTGTTCTGTTTGGCAGCTCCCCTAACAACCTCAGACATCCAAGCACAAAGTGGCATTTGGTTTTGGGGGGTTCAGCATAGGGCCAGCCTGTTGTTTCCAAGAAAAAGGCTGCCAACAGACGACAGGCTTCACTTTCTCACAAAGCTGCAGGGCTCTAGCCTAAGAGATTTAAAGAAATCTTCCCCAAAGTCAGTACCTGTGGTCAGTTCCTTGCTCTGCCTCTCTGCTTCCCTGGGCTGCATCTCTACCTGTCTGGACCTCATCCATCCTTCAAAGCCCAACCTAAATGCCACCTTCTCCATGGTGCCTTTTCTGATTTCTCTCTTCCGTACAGGCTCCTCCCCACCATGCTGGGTTTGCACCCACCTTTCTTGGAATGCATTCACTTTCCTGCTGTGATTGTCATTAAATAGTTGACCTTTTTGAACCTCAATCACTTCACCTGTAAAACTGAAATAATGTCTGCCTTATAAGTCTGTTGTGAAGGCCGAGTTAAAAGACATAATATATGTAAAGCACAGTCTGAGGCACAAATAATGTTTTTGCACCTGTCAACCTGATGTTATCACACACACACAGCACTACATATTCATGCACAGATCTCATCTCTATGTGTTCAGGCACTTATCCTTTTACCTTTTATAATAATTATTTGCATGGACTGTAGGCTCCTTCATGGTAGGAAAAATAGGGTGTAGTGAAAAGAAACAGGATTTGGAATAAAAAAGTCTGCCCCTCAACCAAAGGTGTGGCTGAGAACAAGTGACTTTTCCTCTCTGAGCTTTGGTTTCTTCCTCCTTAAGAGAGGGAGTACGATGAAATGTGCCTCACTGTCTCCTCATGTACATTATCAAAATAAGATAATGGATGCTCAAGGATTTAGAGATTGCCAAATGCTAATGTATGTATTATCCAATTGCCCTTGTCTGTTTCCCAGAAGCCCAGCACAGTGCCTTGCTGGCGACGGGTTGGGGTGTGCACAGCGGGGATTTGATAAATAAGGAGTAGGCCATTGTGAGAGAGAGGCAGGACTAGCTGGATTTCCTAGGCCGACTAAGAATCCCTAAGCCTAACTGGGAAGGTGACCGCATCCACCTTTAAACATGGGGCTTGCAACTTAGCTCACACCCAACCAATCAGGTAGTAAAGAGAGCTCAGTAAAATGCTAAGTAGGCAAAAACAGGAGGTAAAGTAATAGCCAATAATCTATCACCTGAGAGCACAGGAGGAGGGACAATGATCGGGATATAAACCCAGGCATTCAAGCTGGCAACAGTAACCCCCTTTGGGTCCCCTTCCATTTTATGGGAGCTCTGTTTTCACTCTATTAAATCTTGCAACTGCACAATGTTCTGGTCCATGTTTGTTACAGCTTGAGCTGAGCTTTCACTTGCTGTCCACCACTGCTGTTTGCCACTGTCACAGACCTGCTGCTGACTTCCACCCCTCCAGATCCGGCAGAGTGTCCGCTGTGCTCCTGATCCAGCAAGGTGCCCACTGCCGCTCCCGATTGGGCTAAAGGCTTGCTATTGTTCCTCCACGGCTAAGTGCCCAGGTTCATCCTAATCGAGCTGAAGAGAGCTATAACACTCACTGCATGGCCCAAGATTCCATTCCTTGGAATGCATGAGGCCAAGAATCCCAGGTCAGAGAACAAGAGGCTTGCCGCCATCTTGGAAGCAGCCTGCCACCATCTCGGAAGCAGCCTGCCACCATCTTGGGAGCTCTAAGAACAAGGACCCCCTGGTAAGATATTGGCAACCATGAAGGGACCTCCAAAGCAGTAATATTGGACCACTTTCACTTGCTATTCTGTCCTATCCTTCCTTAGAATTGGAGGAAAATACTGGGCATCTGTCGGCCAGTTAAAAACGATTAGCGTGGCCGCCTCACTTAAGACTCAGGTATAAGGCTGTCTTGGAAAGGGCTTTCTAACAACCCCAACCCTTCTGGGTTAGAAGTGTTGGTCTGCCTGGAACCAGCTTCCGCTTTCAATTTTCCTGGGGAAGCTGAGGGCTGACTAGAGACAGAAAGCTGTCTTCCCGAACTCCCGGGGTTAGCCAGTTGAGATCATGGTGCAGCCAGAAGTCTCTGCTCAACAGTCACCCATGCGTGCGCCCCTACCTTTCCTTCTGACCCATACCTCCTGGGTCCCGACCATGACTTTCTTGAAAGTGTAGCCCCAAAATTCTCCTTACCTCTGAATCTACTTCCTCTGATCCCTGCCTCCTAGGTCTAATGCTTCAGACTTTCACTTCCTCTCCCAAGTATTAGAGCAGGTTGTATCTCCAAAGGGATCTAAGGAAGCTCTATGCTGTGTCCTTAGGCATCTAGAATATGAACCCAGGGAGTCTTGTCCCTGATGTACCTCCCAATTTAGGCATACAGCTCTCGACATGGGCAGTTAGGTGGGACCCATTCCCCAACACCCTTGCCAGGGCCCCAAGTTTGTAAATGGCTAGGAGGATTGCTCTCCCATTGTGTAAGATGCTCTCCTCCCCCAATTTCTACCCAGCTTATCCCTCTGCAATGCAATCTCCAAGCCTTGGCTCCTTGGCCAGGGCCTTAGAACTGATGACCCAGTACGTTAACAACTGGAACTGGGTCTACGACAACATAATAGATCAGGATGAAAGCGAATTGAGTAAGTCAAGGAGAGAAGAGACAGAGAGAGACAGATAGAAAAAAGAGAGGGAGAGAGAGAAAAAGAGAGATAGATGTAGTAAAGAAAAAACAGTGTGCCCTATTCCTTTAAAAGCCAGGGTAAATTTAAAACCTATAATTGATAATTGAAGGTCTTCTCTGTGACCCTATAACACTCCAATACTGCCTTGTTGTCAGTGTAAACAAGGGCGTAGCCTGAAAGCACTGAGATCCAGGAACCAATGGATGGCCCAAATGCATTCAGTCTGTAGCAGCAACTGCTTTGCTAAGAGAAGAAAGTGAAAAGTAACTTTTTTTTTTTTTGAGACGGATTCTCACTGTCGCCCAGGCTGGAGTGCAGTGGCGTGATCTCGGCTCACTGCCAGCTCCACCTCCCGGGTTCACGCCATTCTCCTGCCTCAGCCTCCTGAGTAGCTGGGACTACAGGCGCCCGCCACCATGCCCAGCTAATTTTTTTTTTTTTTTTGTATTTTTAGTAGAGATGGGGTTTCACCGTGTTAGGCAGGATGGTCTTGATCTCCTGACCTCATGATCCACCCACCTCGGCCTTCCAAAGTGTTGAGATTACGGGCGTGAGCCACTGTGCCCAGCCTAGAAAAGTAGCCTTTTGAGGAATCCTCATTGTGAGCACACCTCACCAGTTCAGAATTATTCTAAGTCAAAAAAGCAAAAAGGTAGCTTACTAACTCAAAAATCTTAAAGTATGGGGCTATTCTGTTAGAAAAAGGTAATTTAACACTAACCACTGAAAATTCCCTTAACCCAGCAGATTTCCTAACAGGGAATTTAAATCTTAATTACCATACAAAGGTCCGACCAGACCTAGAAGGAACTCCCTTCAGAAAAGAATGATAGATGGCTCCTCCCAGGTGATTGAGGAAAAAACACAATGGGTATTCAGTAATTGATAGGGAGACTCTTGTGGAAGCAGAGTTAGAAGAATTGCCTAATAATTGGTCTGCTCAAACGTGGGAGCTGTTTGCACTCAGCCAAGCCTTAAAGTACTTACAGAATCAAAAAGACTCTATCTCAATCCTGACTCAAAAGGTTACCTACACCCTCTCTGAAGCGAATTTGCATAAGAACTGTTGTTTATGGGGATGCATCTTGATGGGGCAGCTGGGTTGTTAGGAAATACTCAAGAACTCAGCCCAGCTCTAGAACTCACCTCTGAGCATGAAGGCAATGTTGGGCACGCTGGTAAAGGACCACTAGAATCCAGCAGCTCGGACCCCTTTCTTTGTGCTCGGGAAAAGGGGTGCAGGACTGCTACATCGGTGAGCATAACTAATCCGATAAGCAGAAGTCCATGGGTGGTTATGCACCCTGGAAAGGAATAAGCATTAGGACCATAGAGCACCCTCTAGGACTAATGCTTATGGGAAAATCACTAGGGGTGCTGGCATCTCTATTTTTTTTTTCAGATGGGAAACATTCCCCCCAAGGCAAAAATGCCCCTAAGATGTATTCTGGAGAATTCGGCCCAGTCAGAGTGTATGTACCTTTTTCCCTGTCAGACTTGAAGCAAATTAAAATAGACCTAGGTAAGGCTGGGCGCGGTGGCTCACGCCTGTAATCCCAGCACTTTGGGAGGCTGAGGCAGGCAGATCACGAGGTCAGGAGACTGAGACCATCCTGGCTAACACGATGAAACCCCATCTCTACTAAAAATACAAAAAAAAAAAAAATAGCCAGGCGTGGTGGCGGGCACCTGTAGTCCCAGCTACTCGGGAGGCTGAGTCAGGAGAATGGCGTGAACCCAGGAGGCAGAGGTTGCAGTGAGCCGAGATCATGCCACTGCACTCCAGCCTGGGCAACAGAGTGCGACTCCGTCTTAAAAAAAAAAAATAGACCTAGGTAAATTCTCAGATAACCCTGATGGCTATATTGATGTTTTACAAGGGTTAAGACAATCCTTTGTTCTGACATGGAGAGATATAATGTTACCGCTAGATCGGACACTAACCACAAATGAGAGAAGTGCCGCCATAACTGCAGCCCGAGAGTTTGGCGATATCTGGTATCTCAGTCAGGTCAATGATAGGATGACAACAGAGGAAAGAGAACGATTTCCCACAGGCCAGCAGGCAGTTCCCAGTGTAGACCCTCATTGGGATGCAGAATCACAACATAGAGATTGGTGCCACAGACATTTACTAACTGGCGTGCTAGATAGAAGGACTAAGGAAACTAGGAAGAAGCCTATGAATTATTCAGTGATGTCCACCATAACACAGGGAAAGGAAGAAAATCCTACTGCCTTTCTGGAGAGACTAAGGGAGGCATTGAGGAAGCATACCTCTCTGTCACCTGATTCTATTGAAGGCCAACTAATCTTGATAAGTTTATCACTCAGTCAGCTGCAGACATTAAAAAAAAAACTTCGGAAGTCCACCTTAGGCCCGGAGCAAAATTTAGAAACCCTATTGAACTTGGCAACTTCGGTTTTTTTATAATAGAGATAAGGAGGAACAGGCAGAACAGGACAAATGAGATAAGAAAAAGGCCACCGCTTTAGTCATGGTCCTCAGGCAAGCGGACCTTGGAGGCTCTGGAACATGGAAAGGCTGAGCAAATCGAATGCCTAATAGGGCTTGCTTCCAGTGCGGCCTGCAAGGACACTTTAAAAAAGATTGTCCAAGGCCGGGCGCGGTGGCTCACGCCTGTAATCCCAGCACTTTGGGAGGCCGAGGCGGGCAGATCACGAGGTCAGGAGATCGAGACCATCCTGGCTAACACGGTGAAACTCCATCTCTACTAAAAATACAAAAAATTAGCTGGGCGCGGTGGTGGGTGCCTGTAGTCCCAGCTACTCAGGAGGCTGAGGCAAGAGAATGGCGTGAACCCAGGAGGCGGAGCTTGCAGTGGGCCGAGATCACGCCACTGCACTCCAGCCTAGGCAAAAGAGTGAGACTCTGTCTCAAAAAAAAAAAAAAAAAAAAAAAAGATTGTCCAAATAGAAATAAGCCACCCCTTGTCGATGCCCCTTATGTCAAGGGAATCACTGGAAGGCCCACTGCCCCATGGGACGAAGGTCCTCTGAGTCAGAAGCCACTGACCAGATGATCCAGCAGCAGGACTGAGGGTGCCTGAGGCAAGCGCCAGCCCATGCCATCACCCTCACAGAGCCCTGGGTATGCTTGACCATTGAGGGCCAGGAGGTTAACTGTCTCCTGGAAACTGGCGTGGCCTTCTCAGTCTTACTCTCCTGTCCCGGACAACTGTCCTCCAGATCTGTCACTATCCGAGGGGTCCTAGGACAGCCAGTCACTAGATACTTCTCCCAGCCACTAAGGTGTGACTGGGGAACTTACTCTTTTCACATGCTTTTCTAATTATGCCTGAAAGCCCCACTCCCTTGTTAGGGAGAGACATTCTAGCAAAAGCAGGGGCCATTATACACTAGAATTAGGAGAAGGGAAAAGGGTAAATATATATACAGACTCAAAGTATGCTTACCTAGTCCTCCGTGCCCATGCAGCAATATGGAGAGAAAGTGAATTCCTAACTTCCAAGGGAACACCTATCAAACATCAGGAAGCCATCAGGAGATTATTATTGGCTGTATAGACACCTAAAGAGGTGGCAGTCTTACACTACCGGGGTCATCAGAAAGGAAAGGAAAGGAAAGAAGAAATAGAAGGGAACCGCCAAGTGGATATTGAAGCCAAAAGAGCCGCAAGGCGGGACCCTCCATTAGAAATGCTTATAGAAGAACCCCTAGTATGGGGTAATCCCCTCCAGGAAACCAAGCCCCAGTACTCAGCAGGAGAAATAGAATGGGGAACCTGACGAGGACATAGTTTCCTCCCCTCAGGATGACTAGCCACTGGAGAAGGAAAAATACTTTTGCCTGCAGCTAACCAATGGAAATTGCTTAAAACCCTTCACCAAACCTTTCACTTAGGCATTGATAGCACCCATCAGATGGCCAAATTATTATTTACTAGACAGGCCTTTTCAAAACTATCAAGTAGATAGTCAGGGCCTGTGAAGTGTGCCAAAGAAATAATCCCCTACACTACAGGCCATACATTTCAATCCCTGTATCTTTAACCTCCTTGTTAAGTTTGTCTGTTCCAGAATCGAAGCTGTAAAACTACAAATGGTTCTTTAAATGGAGCCCCAGATGCGGTCCATGACTAAGATCTACCGTGGACCCCTGGACCAGTCTGCTAGCCCATGCTGTGATGTTGGTGACATCAAAAGCAACCCTCCCGAGGAAATCTCAACTGCACAACCCCTACTATGCCCCAATTTAGCAGGAAGCAGTTAGAGCGGTCATCGGCCAACCTCCCCAACAGCACTTGGGTTTTCCTGTTGAGGGGGGCACTGAGAGACAGGACTAGCTGGATTTCCTAAGCCAACTAAGAATCCCTAAGCCTAGCTGGGAAGGTGACCGCATCCACCTTTAAACATGGGGCTTGCAACTTAGCTCGCACCTGATCAATCAGGTAGTAAAGAGAGCTCACTGAAATGCTAATTAAGCAAAAACAGGAGGTAAAGAAATAGCCAATCATCTATCGCCTGAGAGCACAGGAGGAGGGACAATGATCGGGATATAAACCCAGGCATTCGAGCCGGCAACAGCAACCCCCTTTGGGTCCCCTGCCATTTTATGGGAGCTCTGTTTTCACTCTATTAAATCTTGCAACTGCACACTTTTCTGGTCCGTGTTTGTTACGGCTTGAGCTGAGCTTTTCCTTACCGTCCACTACTGCTGTTTGCTGCTGTCGCAGACCCGCTGCTGACTTCCACCCCTCTGGATCTGGCAGGGTGTCTGCTGGGCTCCCGATCCAGTGAGGCGCCCATTGCTGCTCTGGATCAGGCTAAAGGCTTGCCATTGTTCCTGCGTGGCTAAGTGCCTGGATTTGTCCTAATTGAGCTGAATAGAGCTATAACACTCATTGCATGGCCCAAGATTCCATTCCTTGGAATGCGTGAGGCCAAGAAACCCAGGTCAGAGAACAAGAGGCTTGCCGCCATCTTGGAAGTGGCCCGCCACCATCTTGGGAGTTCTAAGAACAAGGACCCCTGCCACCCACCCCCCGTAACAATTGCACTTACTTTATTTGGTGTTCATAGTTTCCCTCTGAGACAAGATTTTTTATTTTTTATTTTTTTAGAGATGGGGTCTTGCTATGTTGCCCAGACTGGTTTTGAACTCCTAGCCTCAAATAATCCTCTCATCTTGGCCTCCCAAGTATTGGGATTACAGGTGTGAGCTATCCTGCTCGGCCCCTCTGAGATAAGCTTTAATATCCCTATTTCAAAATGAGTAAACTGAGGTTTGGAGTGGGTAAAGTGCTTCCTTCCTTCATTCATTCATTCATTCATCCATCCATCTATTCATTTATTCAACAGACATCTGAATGAGTAGCTACCCTGCATCAGGGTATGCCAACTCTGGGCATACGAAGATGATTAAGACAAAAATCCCTGTCCTCACAGTCCAGAATGAAGGACAGACACATAAAGATGAGTATAATACAAGGTGGATCATGAATTGTAGCTAATATTTATTGGGTACTTACTAAGTGCCAGTGACTGCTGTAAGCTCTTGGTGTGTTTTACTCCTTCAGTTCTCCCCAACCTCTGTTAGCTACATGTCTCATAGATTGATTCATAGATAAGACTGAAGCCTGGTGATTGTCTACGGTTTTATAAGTAGCAAGTGGCAGAGCCAGGATGAATACCCAGTGGATAGGTATTAGTGCCAGAGGTCCCACTTGGCCATCAAGCTCTACTGTCTCTGATGATAAAGTAGCAAACAGGGACCTAAGTTGGTTGGGGGGGGCGCTAACTCAGTCTGGCATTCACGGTGTTCAGGGGAGATTTCCTGAAGGACTAAGGAATTAGCTAGACAGAGGTGAGTGGGGGGGAGGGAGGGCCATCGCTGGGGAGGGCCAGACGTGGGAGCCACCTCCTGGAAATCTACACAGCATCTAGGCCAGGCAGGGACTGGAGCGTGTGAGGAAGCTGCGAAAGCAGGCAGGACCCAGCTTCCAAAGGAAAGTGGTCCGTATCCTAGAGGTAGCTGCAAGTTTGAAGGGTTTTACGTAGGGGAGAGACTTGGCCAGATTTTTAGAAAGATCACCGGGGAGCTGGGTGAAAGTGGATGGAAGGACAGAGACAAGCACTGAGGCAGTGAGTGGGGAGGAGAGAGGAGAAATTCAGGAAGAAGAGTTTTCCCCATGATGGTTATTCGGGGGTTAAGTAGAGGACAGGGAGCAGTTTTAGAGGACACCCAGCTTCTGCTCCTAATCAGGGGGATTGGGGTGATCTGATGAGGTCAGTATTGGATGTCAACCCAGTCTTCTGGCGCCCAGTCCGTGCCCTTTCGCCTCGTGGCACTGCCAGCAATAATGCCCGCGGGCCACGGGTGAACGTGAACCGAGCTCGCAGCCTCCAACCCCACCCCTCCGGCGGCGGCGACGTGCAGTGCATCACCCTGGGCACCAGGGGGCGTGCCCGCACACGCTCGGGCCGCTCTGGCCCAGCCCATCTCAGTGGTCGCGGAAGGTGACGTGGACACGGAAGTGGTCGTCGTCGCGGCACCGGTGGGAGCTAGGCGCGAGGCTCGGAGTGCGGCCAGCGGGCGGAGGCGGTCTCGCATCGGCGGCGACGGAGGGCTCAGGCGTCGTCGTTTGGGTGGGGGGCCGCTGAACTGACAAGCGACATTTCAGCTCCTTTCACCCGCCGGAACCCCGGAGCCGGGGCCCGCTCAGCCGGCGTTACCATGACCAAGGCCGGTAGCAAGGGCGGGAACCTCCGCGACAAGCTGGACGGCAACGAACTGGACCTGAGCCTCAGCGACCTGAATGAGGTCCCGGTGAAGGAGCTGGTCAGTATCGTCCCGCGAGGCCCAGGCGCCCACCTTCGCCGGGCGCTGGCCCCTACGTGGGCCACTTACTTTCCTCTTCTCTAAAAGCATCAGTTTCCTTTTCTTTAAAAAGAAGCGGGGTGGTGGGACTAAGTCCCCTAGGAGGCCGCGTCCAGCCCAAGGTTCTTCCCGGGATGTACACGTGTCACTTTGGCGCAGTTCCAGAACATAGGGAAGATCTGCTTCTCTGGCCCTAGGCTTTTTACAGGCTAAGAAGCGAATCTGTCACCTTTGCGGGGCTTTCACAGCGCCCACCTCCGTGCCCGACTCTGAGTAGGAGCACACGGAGCAGTTACTGGATGTATTCGAGAATGAATGAGTGACTTGTTCCAGGGGAGTAGGCCTCCTGGTAGACCTGGGTGTGGCCCAGAACCTGGCTCTTCTAGGAAGCTGGCAATTCCAGCTGGCTGCCCGAGCCCTGAGGCAGCCTAACTCGAAGAAAGTAAAGTCTCCCCCCAGCTTGGCTGGTAAACTGTCATCTGAATTCCGCTGAAACTGGCGGGAGTCCCTTTCGCCCCTCTCTCCCCCAACCTTTCCCCTGTAAACTGAAGCTTACAGCTCCAGAGAGATAGCAGGCATCTAGTTTTGTCAGCGTGGAGCTAGTTCCCACATCCCTCCTTTTCCCACTCCGTTCCCCCTCCCACCCGCGCCAACGCCCTACTAGACTCACTTTGGGTGACCCACACTTTGCTTTCTGCCGTTGATAAATTACATTTGCCTTGGGCGCTGGGCCCAGTCTTTCTTCCACCGTGGACGGGTATTACAGTGGTTAGAACCGGGTTCCTAGCTCCTCCCAGCTCCATTGCTTAATAGCCGAGTGCCCTTGGCAAGCTAGTTAGCCTTTATGCCTAGATCTCCTCATCTATACAATGGTGATAATAGTTTCCATCTCATACGCTTATTGGGAGGTTAAATACCATTGTAATGGAAAATGCTTGGAAGGAGCAAATACTGATACTTGTAGCTGTTGTTGTGTTTTTCCCGCTGTAGTATTTAAAACTTTTTTAGGTGGTCAAACTTCACTTTTACGACTTTGTGACAGAAAGTGCAGGTTGCCAGAGGATCCTTAACTGAATATATGCCTCCTTTTCTACCCCAGGAAGATAGATGGCCAGCCTTATTTCACCCTGCCCTAGGACTGCTCTCTGAAACCATATACTCCAGGCATCTGAACAGTCCAGCATTAACCTTAGGGAGAAAGTTTTGCTGAGCTTGTCCAGCCTGGACACCATGGGAAAATAGAGATGGGCTGTGAGGGCCTTTTTTTTTTTTGGATGATGGAGTTTTGCTGTTGTTGCCCAGGAGTGATCTCGGCTCACTGAAACCTCTGCCTCCCGGGTTCAAGCGATTCTCCTGCCTCAGCCTCCCGAGTAGCTGGGATTACAAGCGTGTGCCACCATGCCTGGCTAATTTTCTATTTTTAGTAGAGACAGGGTTTCTCCGTGTTGGTCAGGCTGGTCTCGAACTCCTGACTTCAGGTGATTGCCTGCCTCAGCCTCCCAAAGTGGTGGGATTACAGGCGTGAGCCACCGCACCCGGCAGGGCCTTGTTTTTTCACTCTGTCATTCACTCCGCTACTTACTCGATCAGTCATGATTCAGGCAACATGTATGGATATTGAGTACCTGTTCTGAGGAAGGGCCTGAACTGGGGAATATGGAAATTGCAAAGCTTTATTAGACACTGTCCCTGCCCTGAAACCTAATAAGAGGGACGCTGGGTAATATTTATTTTTAAAGTGCTAGGAATAATGTCTAAGAATCTAAATTTTGCTTGCCTGCCTGCCTGCCTGCCTTCCTTTCTTTTTTTTTTTTTTTGAGATGGGGTCTCACTGTGTTGTGCAGGCCGGCCTCAAACTCCTGAACTCCTGGGCTCAAGCGATCCTCCTGTCTCAGCTTTCTGAGTAGCTGAGACTATGAGACTACAGGTGTGAGTCCCTGTGCCTCGCCTAAGGTTTACCTTCTTGGAGGTTGTACAGCCACATCCCTTCTCTTTGCATTCTTCCTTAGATCATGGTTGACTGGCTTATTTTTCCTCTTATTCCCAGGAACATTACTCTTTACTGCCATTTTAAAAGGCCTTTCCTAATCATGGGAACATTCTCTGGAAAATGCTTCATTAACATATGTCAGTGAATTGTTCCAGATGTTGGTCTGACATGTTTTTCTCATCCTCTTTTACCTAGGCTGCCCTTCCAAAGGCCACCATCCTGGATCTGTCTTGTAATAAACTGACTACTCTACCGGTAAGATTGGCATGCAGCCGTGACTCCTTCTGGTGCCTTGGATGCATCTCCTTCCTGTTTCGGGGGTTGAGAGGGGGGTGGGAGGGTGTCATAAGGTGTAATTTCAGGATAGGCCTACAGGCAGGCTATAGCTAAATCTGAGTGTGTAGGGGAGGCACAGTGGAATGGAGTGGTTGGTCTCAGTGGGAAAGGAATTGAGATGGAGGCCTCATTCTTCAGAACAGTGGTAAAGTCAGTCCACAGAAAACTAAACTCAACAGGGTGCTGAGTAACTTACTGGGCTCATCTTTTTTCTACATTATTTTATTCCTCTGAAAAATAGTTTACCTCCCTACTGCATAGAGGATGCTAGAGACCATTTTGTAAGTTGCTCTGCGTTCCAGGGAGAAAGCTGTGAACAGCTTCCTTGTGCATCTTTTGATGGGGAGCAAGAAAGAAGGTGATTTTATGGGCTACCTTATCATTATTCTCCCAAAGGACTTGAATTAGTTGAGATTTGCTCAATGTGGTCAGCACATTCAATCCATGATCAAATCCTTTTTATTTTTCTTGCACAACGTCTGCTAGTTTTCCTTCCACTCCACCTGTGTAGACAGTGGATTCATTCAGCCCCTCAGCCTCTCTGACATAGTAGTGCTCCTGCACCGTCAGGCCTAAGTGTGCTATTGCCACTTCCACCCATCACTCTAGCCGTGCCACTCCTTGCTGTACTCCAGGGTGACTTCCTATTTGGCCCTGGCTGTGGCTCAGAGGTCGAATTCAGAAGTTGGCAATGTCCTCATTGGATTATTAGTCCACTCACCTCTCAGTATTCTCCTAGGCCTTGCTCATCGTCCACAGTACCTTGTCACAGCTCATCAAAAACTGTTTCTAACATTCAAAAAGCATCGAGATCTCACTTCTTCCAGAAAGTATTTTGTGTTGAATAAAAGAAGAATATGTTGGGAGCTGTGGTTCATGCCTATAATCCCAGTAACTCAGGAGGCTGAGGTGGGAGAATCACTTAGCCCAGGAGTTTGAGAGCAGCCTGGACAACATAGCAAGATCCCGCCTCTAAAAAATTAAAAATAAAAGCAGGTTAGCAATTCCTTGCAGCCGCACTCCTTCTGTACACTTTGCCAGATGGTCATTCAGCCAAGTGCACTTTTCGATCTGAGCTTGTTCTGTTGTCTGTACTGACAACTTCCATTTCACTCTGCATTTCAGATCCACTGGCATTTCCAAGTCCCTAGAGAGCATGAATAGTGCCTCATTAGCTGAGGTTGTACCATCGCTTTCAGATGGGTGCTTAGCAAAGGTTTAATGTCAGGGGGATGTTTTGACCTGTGTTGAGAAAGAGCCAGGACTTGGGTAGGATGGACCCCAGCCCGTTCAGTTAGTTATTCACAGAATGTCTGTTGAGCACCTGTGTTAAGTACTGTGCTAGGTGCTGCAAATAACAAGAATCAGACTGAGTACTCCAGGAGTGCCTGATCTTTTTAAGAAAATGAACGAGCACGCTGTTTTGACAGATCCTATGAATGGTGAGCATAGGGTGCTGTGGAAGGACAGAATGGGTAACCACACCTCTCCAGGAGCAGTGTGGAGGGTAGGCTGGAGCAAGAACTGAGGGTGAAGGAATAGTGTTTTGTGCCTACTTTGTGCTAAGCCCTTTTCCATACATATCTTGGTAATTATCACCAGGTGTGGTAGGTGTTCTCTGCATTTTCATTTGAGGAAGAACGGCTGCTAACAGTAGAGCCAGGATTTTTACATGGGGTACCTCTGACTTGAGGGCTTCCAGACTGTTACACCGAAGTGTGTGAGCCCAAGGCTTAGATGAGGAGTTTCCAATCTTGTGGCTTCCCTGGGCCACATTGGAAGAAGAAGAGTTGTCTTGGGCTACACATGAAATACACTGATGAGCTGAAAAAGGAAAAAAAATCTCGTAATGTTTTAAGAAAGGTTACAAATTTGTATTGGGCCACATTTAAAGCTGTCGTGGCTCGTGTGTTGGACAAGCCTAGCTTAGGTTCTCTCTTTGGATCCTAGTCGGATTTCTGTGGCCTCACACACCTGGTGAAGCTAGACCTGAGTAAGAACAAGCTGCAGCAGCTGCCAGCAGACTTTGGCCGTCTGGTCAACCTCCAGCACCTGGATCTCCTCAACAACAAGCTGGTCACCTTGCCTGTCAGCTTTGCTCAGCTCAAGGTAACAATTCATGAACCAGTGTTTCATGGCCAGGGTGGCAGAGAACTCAGGGACTCTGGAGCACGGCCCTGAGAAAGGCTGACAGAAATACCCCCTTGTTGGTCCTGCCTCAGATGGCGCTCCCTATATGTGGAACACAGAGGGGCATTCTTCCTGCTCATTTTGTTTCACCCTGAGGGACTATGTATGTGAACTCGGGCTTAATGAGCCTCTTTGCCCATCGCCCATCTCTTTAGAACCTGAAGTGGTTGGACCTGAAGGATAACCCCCTGGATCCTGTCCTGGCCAAGGTGGCAGGTGACTGCTTGGATGAGAAGCAGTGTAAGCAGTGTGCAAACAAGGTAAGCACCAAGCTCCCTCCCAGTGGCTCCTTATACACTCCCTGGGATTTCTCCTCCTCCTGTTTTTCCCTCCTAGGGCACCTGGAGCTTTGTGTGGAGTTAAGCATTCAGGTCCGAGTGAAATATGTCCACTATGAGCCTGTCAAACAGAGACCTTTGTTTCTGCATTTACTTTATCTTTTTGTTTTTTATTTGTTTTGAGACAGAGTTGCTCTGTTGCCCAGGTTGGAGTGCAAGTGGCACAATCTCGGCCCACTCCAACCTCCGCCTCCCAGGTTCAAGCGATTCTCCTGCCTCAGCCTCCCGAGTAGCTGAGATTACAGACGCCTGCTACCATGCTCAGCTAATTTTTGTATTTTTTAGTGGAGATGGTGTTTCGCCACGTTGGCCAGGCTGGTCTCCAACTCCCGACCTCAAATGATTCGCCCACCTTGGCCTTCCAAAGTGCTGGGATTATAGGCGTGAGCCACCATGCCTGGCCTGCACTTAGTTCGCAAGTCGCAGAACAAGACTGCCTTCTCTACTGCAGTACTTCCTCTCTTAAGGAGCCGGGACCTTGCGTGATGCAACATGACACTGTGTGGACAGTTGTTTTAATAGTACCGGGGGTTAGGGGCTGTGGCCTTTCTGAGGCACAGTCGTAGGAATGTTGATAATAAAAGCGATGATAAAGGTGTTACAGCTGTAAGCAGGCACGTCCTGGGCAGACCTGGTATTTGATTACAGTTGAGTCATCTGACATAGGAGTGAGGAACTGAAAGCAGCATGCAAGACAACTATTGTCTGTGGTCAGTAGCCTGGAAGGTGCCGTACCCTACCTATTAAGAACAGCATTACACCTATCTCTTAATAACTCCAACTATAGTCACTTTTTCCCTCCAGCTTTGGAACAGATTGCTGCTGCTTCAGCTGAGCACCAGATGACTAACTTGGCTATGTTTAAGGTGCATGTTGAACAAAAAAGACTTAACTTTAAATACTAGAATTCATGGGTGAATGATGAGTCTCTGCTGTCTCAAGTAGAGAGTAAGAGAGTAAGATACTTCTTATCATTAGCTCAGGGCTTCTTATATAATCTTGTCATCTGTATCATCTCTTATTACAACAAATCAAGCACAAAGTTAACCAAGTAGCTAAGACAAGAGTTTTCCCTTAGATGAGAACAGTATAAGTGATCAGTGAAATCCTCTTTTGAAAACTAGGTGCTGTAGGAGTGATGTCTGTTCTGCAAGCTGACAGTAGCTACCATTGATTACTCTTTCCTTGTCCTGGATGCTTTCCATGCACCATCTCACAATCCTCAGAGCCCTGAGGAGTCGGCATTACTTTCATTTCTCTGACACAAGAAACCCTCAGCATATACACACCTTTCATTCATCCATCCATCCATTCATTCAGTAGGTAATATGTGGAACCATAGGAAATTGATGATATTCCAGTTTTTGACATACAAAAATAATTTTGATTGAGTACAAAGGCCTTTTGTATTTGCATATGTCTTTCAGACAAAGCTCCAGGCAGCATAGTGGATGTGGTAACTAAAGCCATGGTCCCTAGCACAGCTGTCCTAGAGCTGCAGCACACCTTTAGGCTTTGTAGGGAAATGGCCTGGGCCAGTCAGAATCAGGTCGTCTGTCTGCAGGAATTAGTTTAGGTCTTACTAGCTCTGACCAGGTAAGACCTAAACCCTGGTGGGTATATGGGTTAGTCTTAATCTGCTTGGTACATATTAAAGCAATTTTTAAAAATGATTTGTTCAATGTATTCATCAAGTGCTTACTGTATGCTATGAACTAGAGTAGCTAGACAAAAATTTACCCTCCAGGAGCTCACAGACTCCAGACTATGACAATCTGTCCCATTTCTGCATTGCCTGTGTTTTCAGATAATTAATTTTTTTTTTTTTGACATGGGGTCTTGCTCTGTCACCCAAGCTGGAGGGCAGTGGCGCACTCTCAGTTCACTGCAACCTGCGCCTCCCGGGTTCAAGCAGTTCTCCCACCTCAGCTTCCCAAGTAGCTGGGATTACAGGGGCATGCCACCATGACTGGCTAATTTTTGCATTTTTAGTAGAGATGGGGTTTCACCATGTTGGCCAGGCTTGTCTTGAACTCCTGACCTCAGGTGATCCACTCCCCTCACTCCTTTTCCTCAGCCAACACCCTGGACTCTTACTTTCCACACTCTCCCTGCAATCATGGCAACGGGACCCATAACTTCTCTACTGCCTGAGTGCCCTGAGCCCTAACTCTGGGTCCAGACCTGATTTCTTTCCTTTTTCTTTTTTTTTTTTTTTTTTTGAGACAGAGTCACGCTCTATCGTCCAGGCTGGAGTGCAGTGGCGCAATCTCAGCTCACTGCAACCTCCACCTCCCGGGTTCAAGAGATTCTCCTGCCTCAGCCTCCTGAGTAGCTGGGATTACAGGCGCACACCACCACACCCAGCTAATTTTTGTATTTTTTAGTAGAGATGGGAGTTTCACCATATCGGTCAGGCTGGTCTTGAACTCCTGAGCTCCAGTGATCTGCCCACCTTGGCCTCCCAAAGTGTGGGATTACAGGTGTGAGCCACCGCGCCTGGCCCAAACCAGGCTTTTGAAAGGAGATCCTTTTGCTGGTCTGCTCCTGAATACTTCTTATGATGGGTGTGTGCTTGTCTGGAGGTATGCGTGTCTGGAGTTTTCTAGAAATAAGAATTACATATGAATATACATGTCTGTCTCGTGCGCATGCATATTCAAATGTAATTGTTAAGTGCAGTAGTAAAACAAGACCCTTTTGCTAATAGTTTGGGTTTTCTTCTTTTTTCTTACTCACATGGTAAAGAAAATAAGCAGCAGTACTTACTGAGCACATATAATGCCAGAGATTATACAAGGCAGCCAATACAAGTTATATTATTTATTCTTCACAACACTCCATAGAAGTATATCTTATCTCTGTTTTCTCGATCAGAAAATCGGCTCAGAAAGGTTAAGTCACTTGCCAAGGTTATACAATAAGGGGTAGTCAGGATTGCGTTGGGCTCCAAGCTTACACTCTATCCCCTACAGCCAAAGAATACCACCTTTAAAAAAATACAAACAGAAAAGGTCTTTACCTCCTCCACCCACCATAGCGAGAATCTTTGTGATTGTGTGGTTAGAGGTCATCCATGAGCGAGTTTATGTGGATCTGGGGAGCTCAGATTGCCGAGTACAAGTGTGCTGTGTGTAGGCTTCTCTCGGAGCTCTCCTCTGCATGTGGTGAAAGTGTGTGCGACAAGCTCTGCCCTAGGAATGCAGGGGACTGTGCTCAGGTCTTAGCTGTGCTGCTTTCTGGCCATTAGCAGTGGACAAATCACCCTATGAGTCTTGGTTTTCTTCCTTTTGAAATGGGAATTAGCCATTCCTCATGTATGTATTGAATGCCTGCAATTAGCTAAACTCTGTGCTAGCCACGCCCCTGTGTGATACCTACAGACCAGACAGCGGTTCCTGCCATTAAGGAATCTGCCATCTTATGACCAAGCCAGATAGGTAGCAAGTAGCTACAATGTCCTGTGTTGAATTCCACAGGAGTAGATGGAGGGGGACTTAAGGTAGCCACAGGAGGGGCAGTCAGGAAAGCGTGTTGGAGGAAATGCTGTTCCCAAGTTGTTGCTGAGGGTCATATGGAATCATGCATGTGACAGTGAGTGTAAATGGCAGAACTTTTTACAGATTCGAGTTGGCATTGTGTTTCACTTTTTTCTGACAGTTTTAATGACCTTGGCTCATAGCACTCTTCTCCAACTAAGGTTGGCACAGTAATTTTAGGATACAAAGATACAATTAACTCTATTAGTTTGGTGGTGGTGGTGGTGGTGGTTGTTGTTTTGAGATAGGGTCTCAGTCTTCACCCAGACTGGAGTGCCATGGCGTGACCACAGCTCACTGCAGCCTTGACCTTCTGGGTTCAAGTAATCCTCTCTCCTTGGCCTCCTAAGTAGCTGAGACTACAGGCATCTGCCGCTGTGCCTGGCCAATTTTTTACATTTTTCTGTAGAGACAGGGTCTCATTATGTTGCCGAGGCTTGTCTTGAACTCCTGGGCTCAAGCAGTCCTTCTATCTCGGCTTCCCAGAGTGTTGGGGTTACAGGCGTGAGCCACCACATTCAGCCTAACTCTTATTAGTTCTACATTGCTACCATGATAATCTGGAAGCCTGAAAATAGTCTGTTTTTTGAGACTTCCCTGAGCAAACATGACTATGAAGAGCACTACTTTCCTCCTTTTCCTTTGCAGGTGTTACAGCACATGAAGGCCGTGCAGGCAGATCAGGAGCGGGAGAGGCAGCGGCGGCTGGAAGTAGAACGTGGTAGGTGGCTGTCCCTCTTGTAGTTATCTTTCAGGTCCTCATCCCAGCCAGTGGATTCTCATGCTTCAGGAGCTGGGATCCAGTAGAGTAGTCATGAAGAACAGTTAGTGGGCGGTGGGGGGACAGTATTGTGGTGGATGGTATCGTCTTTATCTGATGAATCTCTCTTCAGTCCTGGCTTCTCTGCTGTGCTCTAGAGGCAGTCAACTGCTTATATTTCATCTCTGCTTGGAGGGTTAATAGGCATTCATATGAAATGTGGCTAAAACAGATTCCTGATGGCCCTTCAGTCCCTCCCAGTGTTCCCTGTAATAGGAAATCACTTTCCCTATAGTTATTCAAGCCTAAAATAGGAAAGATGTTAATGACTCCTTTTTTTCTGTAATTCCCACATCCAATCTGTCAGCAAGTCCTATGTGGGACTGTTTCTCCAGCTCCGGTGCCATCTCTAACCAGCCACCATTCTGGGACCATCACAATGCCTTCCAGCATGTCTCCATGATGCTGCCATCTCCTTAAACTCATTCTCTTCACAACAGTCTGGGAGATCTTTTTACAACATAAATAATTATGCTGCTACTTGCTTAAAACCCTCTAATGGCATCCCACTGAACTTAGAATGAAATCCAAACTCATTGACAAGGCCAGCAAAACCCACCTTGGCCCAAGCTTACTTGCCTGCTCTCCACCGGCCTTGTTGCACACACAAGTGAAACTGGGCCATTAACTTCAGCTTGAGTACACCAACTGCAGTCTCACTCAGGGGCTTTGCTGGGTTTCCTTTTCCCTTAGTCTCTTTAAGTGCTGGCTTCATAATCCCACATCTCTGCTCAAATGTTGCCTTAGGTTAACTGTAACCCTTTTAGAACCACTGGATTAGAGTAGCCATTCTACCTGTCACTCTGTCATACCCTCTGCTAGTTTTTTTTTTAATTATTTTTTGAGACAGAGTCTCGCTCTGTTGCCCAGGCTGGAGTGCGGTGGCACGATCTCGGCTCACTGCAACCTCCGCCTCCTGGCTTCAAGCCATTCTCCTGCCTCAGCCTCCTGAGTAGCTGGGACTACAGGTGCCCCTCTGCTAGTTTCTTTAGGGCACAGATCACTGTCATTGTTACGTTCACCTGTTTATTGTCTTCTCTAGAAAGTAAATGATATAGGCACTGGAATGTGGCCTGTTTTCTCCATTGCTGCATCTCAAGCCCTTAAAATAACCCCTGGCACATAGTAGGTGCTCTGTTGACTGGCTGGCTGATTTCTGAGCCCCTCACTGGAGGACTCTTGTGGTTCAAGAAGGGATGTGTACAGTACTGATTACAGGCAGTCCCTGAGAGCACCGTGCCAAGTTACAGCCATCCCTTATTACGCATGGCCACTGTGGCAAGACATACCCGTGTTTACTCTGACCCCTGTTGCCTTCACCTCTCAGTGGCCCATGTTCCCTAGAGGCTGGGTGGAGTGTGTTCTTGGCATTCTGGTGCCCAGCTGGAACTTGGAGCTTGTTTCTACATGGAGAAGCAGTGGAAAGCTACAGTATTTACAGTAGTACTATTCAGCTACATTATGGCTAACATAGCCTTTTAAGCCCTAAAAGGACATTTAACCATCATTTGTGGCATTCTGGCTTTGGCAAAATGTATTTCAGACTTCCAAATAACTAATTTGGAAATGCATTTTTAGAACCCAATAATTTGGAGGTTGTAATTTGGAAGTTTGCAAACATGCTTGAACCATTGAGTAAATCTGAATGTGTTCCTGTGTTCAGTTCTCAGATTCATGAGTTCAAGTATTTGTTTTTTAAGACTAGTCAAGTGCAGGCTGGTCCTAGTGCAGTGGTGTTTACAACTAATTCATCACAACCAGTTAGAGATTTCTTTCTTCCTTCTCCACTCCCACTGCTTCACTTGACTAGCCTTAAAAAAAAAAAATAGTCAGTGCAGTAGTAAGAAGGTAGGTTCACTTTTTTAGAACACATTGCCATTGTTACTTTTTTTCTTTTATTTTCTTTGAGGCATGGTCTCACTGTCACCCAGGCTGGAGTGCAGTGGCACGATCATGGTTCACTGCAACCTCCACTTCCTGAGCTCAATAGATCCTCCCACTTCAGCCTCCCAGGTAGCTGGGACTACAGGCATGCGCCAGCACACCCAGCTAATTTTTTCGTTTTTTTATAGACAGTCTTGCTATGTTGCCCAGGCTGGTCTTGAACTCCTGGCCTCAAGTGATACTCCCAGCTTCACCTCCCAAAGTCCTAGGGTTATAGGCATGAACTACTGCTCCTGGCGTCATTGTTTCTAACCCTAAACTTGAGTGCTCATTTTCTCTTCTCACTTGTCCCCCCATACCACATTCATTTCTGAAGCTTGGGAAGATAGGAGTCCCATAGAAAACTGCCATGGTTTTTTCTCTTCATAGCTGAGTTCTAGAAGGCAATCAGTTGCTATGCCTTCTGAGTTAGTACCTAATTCTAGAGGAGCACCACTTATCCCTCATGCCTTTCTTAGGTCCTCCTTGTTATTTTACCCTAATTTCTCTGCTGCTTGAGGATAGGAACCTCGTAATCAGAAACCATTCAGCAAACCCTGAGAGCAGCTGCTTTTGGGGAGGGCTACTTCCAGGAGCAGAAGGATGGCTGTTTCCTTTGAATATTTCTTATGTGAACCATGGCACCAGGGTAAAGGTGGCAGAATCTGTACTTTTAATCACTTGGGAAAGCAAACTGCTGGAGTGTTTGTGAGAGAGAAGTCAAATTTTGGTATGTTTTGTTGTAGAGGCAGAGAAGAAGCGTGAGGCTAAGCAGCGAGCTAAGGAAGCTCAGGAGCGGGAACTGCGGAAGCGGGAGAAGGCGGAAGAGAAGGAGCGCCGGAGAAAGGAGTATGATGCCCTCAAAGCAGCCAAGCGGGAGCAGGAGAAGAAACCTAAGAAGGAAGCAAATCAGGCCCCGAGTAAGTTTTCTGCCTGTTGTAAGATTCCAGCAGGGGTACAGTGGAGACACTCATGTTTCCAGGCATAGACAACTGGGGTGAGCAGGCCTGCAAACCTTAGATAAAGTACACTCTAAAGCTTGGGAGTGGATGAGAAGGTTTGGTTACGGGGAATGGGGGACTCTCCTAGGGAGGCAGTGCCCAGCTTGTTTGTTTCTCCAGTGCCCACATACTTCTGTGCAGGTGTTTGGGTCAGATGTATCTTGAAGCATTCCCAGAACAGAGTCTCACTTTTTTTTAGAGGTGAGGGTCTAAAATCATTGAGATATGCAAAAATCACACACATGGTCAAGTTTCCTTTTTTTTTTTTTTTGAGACAGAGTTTCACTCTTGTTGCCCAGGCTGGAGTGCAATGGCGTGATCTCGGCTCACTGCAACCTCCGTCTCCTGGGTTCAAGAGATTCTCTTGCCTCAACCTCCAAAGTAGCTGGGATTACAGGCATGTGCCACCACGCCCAGCTAATTTTGTATTTTTAGTAGTGATGTGGTTTCTGCATGTTGGTCGGGCTGGTCTCAAACTCCCGACCTCAGGTAATCCGCCTGCCTCGGCCTCCCCAAGTGCTGGGATTACAGGTGTGAGCCACTGTGCCCGGCAAGTTTACTCTTAAAAGTGCCTTACAGTAAAGTTCTGTGGCTCAGGCCTTTAATCCCAGTGCTTTGGGAGGCTAAGGTGAGAAGAGATCACTTGAGCCCAGGAGTTTGAGACCAGCCTGAGCAACATAGAGACTCTGTCTCTACATAAATTAAAAAATTAGCCAAGTGTAGTGGCACACACCTGTGGTCCCAGCTACTTGGGAGGCTGAAGCAGGAGGATCATTTACGACCAGCCTGGGCAACAGTGAGACCCCTCACTGCTTGAACACTAGAGGAGTCATTTGGCCTGCATTCAGGGAGCCACATTGTATAGAAAACACATTTTTGTGTTTTACCTGACTATGGTTGAATTTCGTTAGTGACGTGGCTCCACATGCTGCAGAGGATCAGATACCCTCTGGGTGAAAAGGGACTCCTGAGGGAGAGGCAGGTGAGGGAAGGAGCTCTGTACAGAGAGTGGAGGCCTGTGGCCCTGCCCCTACTCACCCTTGTCTTGACCAGGACAGGGCCACAGGCCTCCACCTTCCTGATCTCACTGGTTTTTAATTTCCTTGTTGAAAATGAAGATCATACAGGGTAGTGATAAGGATTAAATGAGGAAGCAGGATCATGCAGTTCCTGGCATTGTGGATGATCAGTCAAGTTTTTAAAAATTTTGTCTAAAAATCTCAAAACCAATTTTTTTCTAATTAAAAATGTAACATATGTTCATTGCAAAGAATTGAGAAAAGATACCTATCTATCTAGATACATATATCAGAAAATGGCAACCACCTGTACTCCCCCATTCCTAGCAATCATCACTGCTTACAATATGGTGTATTACCTTTTGGGCTTTCTTTTTATATACACATTATATCATAATAATGACAATAATGATAAATCCTGACCGTGTTTCCCCAAGTGGACAGTACTCTGTCAGCGCTGGATGCTTCCTGATAAGCCTCTCCCTCTGCGATCCCAAGAGGCGTGGATCACCATGTTACCAAGGAGAACTTAGGACCCTGAGGGCTGTGAGCTACATGAGACACGCAGAATGAGTGCCAGTTGCAAATCTACCCCCTTCAGATCCAAGGGAAAAGTTGTTTCTGTTTCGGTCTGTGGAGACATTTTTTCTCTTCAGGGCCTGGGGAGTTTTTGCTTGAGGAAGGAATGTAGGTAGATCTGCACGGAGGAGACTAGCAGAGATTAGTATAGAGCAGGTCTCCTCTGACTGAACTTGCTTTGTCTACTGTTACTTTTCCTCCAGAATCTAAGTCTGGCTCCCGTCCCCGCAAGCCACCACCCCGGAAGCACACTCGTTCCTGGGCTGTGCTGAAGCTGCTGCTGCTGCTGCTGCTATTTGGTGTGGCGGGAGGGCTGGTTGCTTGTCGGGTGACAGAGCTGCAGCAGCAGCCCCTCTGCACCAGCGTGAACACCATCTATGACAATGCGGTCCAGGGTCTACGCCGCCATGAGATCCTCCAGTGGGTCCTCCAGACCGACTCTCAGCAGTGAGCTTGTCCCCAGCACCTGCTGCCTCCCAGCCTTGGAGTTTGGATTCCTATGGAATTGGGTTCTGCTGGACACAACCTCTTTTTAGCATCAGACCTACCTGCCATCATCAAATGGCTGCAGATTGGTACATGAGACCTCCTCTTTGTAGGACTTCTTCATTCCTTAGTCAGGGTTCCCTGAAGGAATGAGGAGAAATGGGAGGTGGCGGGGGGGCGTGGGGGGCAGTTACCTGCATGCCTAAAGGAGTAGGCTTGGGGGTGGGGAGAGAGAAAACATAGCCTTTTCTAGTTGTTATATAAAGCTGTGTAAAGGCAAGGCTCGTTTCTACTAAATGGTCAGCTGTCACTACATTTATACTTTTGTATGCCACAAACCCTTTCATTCCTCCCTGGGAATCAGGGTAGATCAGGAGGAACTGGGGGGGACTAGAACACCACGCTCAGTAAATCCAGTCTAAACTGGGAGGTAGGGGTATTCCTGTTTTCTTTAGGACCTCAGAGATGTAAGCATTTTAGCAGCCACACAAAATCTCTGGCTATGAAAGGGACTTCATGACCATCCAGTCCAATATAACACTTGCAGACAGAGAAACTGAGGTCTTCCATGACTTGCCTAGTCTCCCAGCTAGTTTGAGGCAAAACTGGATTCCCACTCTGGTATTCTTTCTTCCCTTTACATCATTTTCCCTCCTTTATAATGTCCTGAGAGACCAGAACTCACACCAGAATCGATTATTCCTCAGGTGAAGCATAGACTCTTTCATGGTAGACAGATTTCACGACTCAGAGATAGAAATCTCTTGCTATCATCAGGTCACGGGCAGCTCCTGTGGAGTCCTGCCCAACTTATGTGGCTTCCATAAAATGGCAACAGTCCAGGCTCCTTGCCTAATTTTAGAGCATTAACTCCCTAATTGCCAGTAAGCAAGGAGGTGGATCTCTGCAAACCTACACTGTCTATGACAGCTCTAGTTGTACTTGGTGTGACTAAATACCTCAAAGGCAACCTGCTTCTGCAGGTTTTGAAGTGTCAGCTTCATAAGACACTGAGGTTTAGAATTGTTTGATTCTAGACCATAACTGAAGGGCATAAATGGAAACAGGATATGAAGGGAAACAAGTAGCATCATGGAGCTGAAAAGTGGTGCATCACCCAATGGCTAGCACAAACAAGGATCACACTGTCCATTCTCTTGTCTGCTAAATTAAGCATTTTCTTGCCTCCTTTGCTTCATCTTTTCACAACAGCTGGATAGAGGGATCAGAAATGACTGTGTCATGGTGCTCATTCACTGCAAACTCCCAGTTGCAAGCTCCTTGGCTCCCCCGGAGGGAGCAAGAATCTCATAGTTCAGAGACACAGAGGGCCTTTTAGCCCTAATGACCTTTTGGATGGGACTGCAACTCATGACTATCCTGATATTGGAAGAAAGGACTTTGTTAATCTTCTCCCCCATAGCTCTGCTGCGTAGGTCTACATCTTACTCAGAATCACTACACATTCCTTTAGTCTTCCTCCAAGCTCCAGAGCCATTGGTACAAATGCTTTATTGAAACTAAATACATAATACACACAATGAGATGAAGACAATATAGAAGTCCGCATAGTCATCATAATCCCGTTCCTTGGCCGGTTGAGGCAGCTCAGTGGCTGAGCCCAGTCAAGCCAACCCGCAGCTTCACTCACGACTTCAAGATTTGATGCTAATTCTTTTGGATTTCTACAGTTATTAAATAAGTGTCTGAGTGGACTGTCTTTGTTCCTTTGTGTTTTGAGGGCTGGCTGGGTAGGAGTGGGGGTGGTTTGTCTGTGGCAGTGAATTTTTGCCAGGAGAGGAACATTAAATGCCAAAGGTAGGTGGCAGTATTTCAGTCTCTGCCCCAGCCGACAGGCAGAGAGACCTTCACAAATAATAAGACCCAAGAAAGACTGGGCCTCACCTAGGCTTGTGTTCCAGGAGGTGCTGCCAGTCTCTTCATTACAGTCAGGCTCTGAGGTTGGGGAAGTGGAAGTTTCCAGCTTTTCATCCTCATCCCTGAGGGCTAGAATCAGTCAGCACTATCTAAAGAGAGATGTGGCTGTAAAGTGGTCATCTGAAGGTAGATACGCCTGGATAGTTCTGGTCCAATGCGGCGAGAAGTGGATGTCACACCTTCCCCACGGCGCACCTGTATGTCTGCGAGCAAATTCTGGCGTTCTTTATCCGAAAAACACTGCTGATAAGCCTGGAAGTGGTAGATGACCTCTTAATATGGTACCATCCATGGTGATCCCTTCTCCATGAGCATGGAGGGTGCTACGCTTGGCTTGGGGCATGAGAACCTGTCCTCCCTCCCTGGGTCAGCATTAGCAACACTGATCTTAGTAGACCTGCACTGCTGACCTGTGAGGCCTTTGTGGGCCCTCAACAGTTGTCCATGGAAATCTGGGGGCCCACTGAGCCCGCAGGCAATGGGCAGTGACCCCTGAGCCCTGGAGCAGCATACCTGTACCAGGAGCTGTGGGGAGGGATAGGCATTCACAACTGCACTGGCCATTTCCAGGCTGACTCGGTTCAGCTGCTGAATCTGTCTCCTCCAGACTAGTGCGAGTCCCCTGCCAGCAAGGTCCACCTTCACCCCTCCAGCCCAGTCACTCTCCAGACAGAAGGAGAAGGTAGTTTCATCTCGGAGCTTCCTGCAACAGCGTGGTTGGAGAGCTGTAAGTTGCTCATTACTCTTCTACACCTGTTCCCCTCAAGTGGCAACTGAAAACCCCCCCACTGACCTTGGAAGAGGTGGGCGCCATGTTACATCTGGCCTTTTTGTGCCTTTGACAATTTGAGTGCTCACTTTGTTGCCAGGTATAGGGCCAGTTGCTGATTCATTTAAAAACTACATCTAGTCCATTATAGTAGAAGAAAAGATACCAGATTCTTTGGATATCTGGCAATCTGCAATCTATTTCTGGTTCTTCTAACTGCTAGGAGCTTAGACAAGTCAATCTCTTCAGGCCTCAGTCCCCTCAAGTATAAAATAAGGGACTTGGACTGGATTGTCTCTGAGGTCATTTACTTATTTTAAATTCTGACAGTGAACACTTCTTGAACTGAGTAGGCCAAAAATTTGCTTTCCTAGTGCTTATTACATTGTGATCTGACCTGTAATTAATCCTGGTAACTTGGCCTATGGTAACCTGGCCTATGATATCAGCCTGCAGAACACATACTTACATATAGGCGAAAGGAGAATATTTGAAAAGGCGCTAGGCTTGAGGACTCTTCCCAAGAATCCCCAGTGTGAGGTCAGCTCCTTCTGCCTCAAGCTTGAGAGACAATGGGCTGACTGCAGAGATGAGGGGAAAGGGACATTTGCTTTGACTGCAAGAGCCATGGTAAAGGACAGGCCCAGCATGGAGGCTGGACTTGCTGGGGTTACTCACTTGAAGGGCGCCTCAGCCACAGCCTTTGTGAATGCGCATGTGAAGTCGGCCAGCTCTTTCCAGCTCTGCACAATTTGAGCCTGGGCTTCTGTGTGTAGCTGCAGATCCACCAATGCCTAGAAACCCAAAAGCAACGATGGACTGGAAGGGTAGGAAGAGACTAGCTGCCAAGTCACTGTCCACTAAAGCCACACCCCAGCCCCTTGGCTTCCTGTTTGGTACCTTCTCTTAGTCAGTGCCAAGGCAGAAAACAGTACGCAGCAGGCATTTTATTCTCTATCAATAGCAAGTCTCAGGTGACCAGTGAGTACCCAGCCCGATTCAGGCAACAGGACGTTCTTACCTCTTCAGCGTCTACCCTGGATACCATGGACCCTATGCTGGCCTCTGGTTGTCTCTGCTGCTGCTTCTTGGTCTGTTTATTTGCTCCCTGTTTCCCTCTTCTTGGAGGATTCTGAGCACTGGTGCAGGGGAGGAAATCAAAGAACAGCAGCTCCAGGCTGAAGTCAGGCAGAAGATACAGAAGAAGACTGGACCAGAGCATCCCCCTGGACTTGTTAGAGATGGACTACCTTGCAGAGTGACCTACATCTGCAATGAATAAACTAAACTCACCCCCCTTGGCCCAAGAGCTGCCCCTTTTAACATGAAATCACCAGGGCAAATCCAAACCTGAAGCATTTCTCCTGATCCACAATCACCAGTGACAGAGCTTTCCCTGCTGTCTTTGCTGTGATGTCAGTTACAAAGCCCTGAAGCGTTTCCTTCCCTTTCATAGTGCTGTCCAGGCTTCCCTGCATGAAGGGGCAGAAACTGCATTAATACTTGCTTCCTAGTAAGAGTCAGCCCTCTGTTCCGTGTCCTCCCACCCTCTGGCTCTGCCCACCTGCTTTCCATTGTCGATCATGGACACAAATGCCTCTGCCCGGAGCAACACCAGTACTGTTGGCTCCTCCACCCAGTCCTCTCTGTCCTGCCAAAGTACCCAGAACACAGCACAGGGAGGGAGGTCAGCAGGTATTGAGCACCTGTGAGAGTGGCCCAGGTCTTCTGGGTGAATGAACTAACTCCCACCCCTTATGCATTATCCTTTCTGGAATGAAGTCACTGTGGCAAGAAACAGTGTCGCTGTCCCTCCCAGCCCTCAATGATTCAGTCTTGGTGCCCTGCATCTCAGAGACAGTGAATAAGAAAGGAACATAGCAGCCGGGCGCGGTGACTCACGCCTGTAATCCCAGCACTTTGGGAGGCCGAGGTGGGCAGATCACGAGGTCGGAGATCAAGCCCATCCTGGCCAACACGGTAAAACCCCATCTCTATTAAAAATACAAAAATTAGCTGGGTGTGGCGGTACGTGCCTGTAATCCCAGCTACTCGGGAGACTGAGGCAGGAGAATTGCTTGAAACTGGGAGGTGGAGGTTGCAGTGAGCCGAGATCATAACACTGCACCCCAACCTGGCAACGGGGCTAGACTCCATCAAAAAAAAAAAAAGGAACATAGCAGGCCAGGCACGGTGGCTCACACCTGTAATCCCAATCCCAGCACTTTGGGAGGCCTAGGCGGGCGGATCACCTGAGGTCAGGAGTTCGAGACCAGCCTGGCCAACATGGTGAAACCCCGTCTCTACTAAAAATACAAAAATATTAGCTGGGCGTGGTGGTACACGCCTGTAATCCCAGCTACTTGGGAGGCTGAGGCAGAAGAATCACTTGAACCCAGAAGGCAGAAGCTGCAGTGAGCCGAGACCATGCCATTGCATTCTAGCCTGGGCAGCAGGGTGAAACTCTGTCTCAAAAAAAAAAAAAGAGAGAAAAAAGGAACATAGCAAGTTGAAAGGGGCTGGGGCCATTTTGAATACGGGAATGGAGGGAAGGGAAACTCTTCCAAAGGTTAGTACAAGTAAATGACTCTGGCTTTGAAGGCAGATGCTGTGAGCCGAGTGGTCCTTACAAACAGATAGGTTTTTTTGTGACAAAGACAAGAATCACAAGGGAAACTTCAGTCTATGAGAGTACCTCCTGTTTATCACAGGTAGGGCATAATCAAAGTCAAGGATGCCTCAAGGCCAACAATCCTCCAGCAGTACAGTATTATGGAGTAATTGGGGAACAGGACTTTGATAGAAAGTTTTCTGATTGGGTCCCTATAAGCAAAGCAAGACCTATATTACAGCAAAGTGTAGGTTTGGGGAGCTCTGGGTTCTCATTCCCGTTGTGATCCTCAACAAGGCTTTTAACTTTTCTGAGCCCCAGTTTCCCCACCTGTGATGTGGGGAGAAGTCCTACCCCATAGGATGACTGATGGAAACACAAGAGAGAATGTGGGAGTGCCTTGAGAGGGTAAGCTGCTCTATGAATATAAAGGCTTGCTAATACCCCCAGAGTAAAAAGTGTGGGGAACTGTCCTGTGTTACTGAGAAAGTTATCAGATCCAAAAAAGAAATCAAAGAGAGGAAAAAAAAATCTTTTTTCTTATTTTATACAAGATGCTTCTGGTGAGATAAAAAAGAATCTTAGTGCT
The DNA here is from genome assembly GCF_000001405.40 of Homo sapiens. Classification (NCBI taxonomy): domain Eukaryota; kingdom Metazoa; phylum Chordata; class Mammalia; order Primates; family Hominidae; genus Homo; species Homo sapiens. Next base: position 50,377,045 of record NC_000017.11, on the reverse strand, counting down.
AGGCAAGGTGCCTCACACCTGTAATCGCAGCATTTTGAGAGGCTGAGGCAGGTGGATTGCTTGAGCTCAGGAGTTGAAGACCAGCCTGGGCAACATGGCAAAACCCCGTCTCTACCAAAAATACAAGCTACACTCTGCAATCTCTACAAAAAACACAGGGCCCACATGTCTTCTGGCTCCCAGCTGGGTGTCACCAGCAGGGACCCGAGGAGAGGACTAGTGGGAAGGAGAAAAGTGAAGTCAGGGTATTTTTCCCCTGGCTCCCTCCCAGTGGGGTCACCTAGGGTTTGCTGTCCCCCTCTGTGGCAGCTCATAGCTTCGCTCAAGGTGGTCCTCTCTCCATTTCTCTCTCCTGAATTCTGTTAACCACTCCTTCCCCTCATCCCTTCAGGCATAGGGATGGTAACAGCTATGCCAATGGTTCTCAACCGGGGGTGATTTTTCCCCACAAATGACATCTGGCAGTGTCTGCAGACATTTTTTATTGTCATGACTGAGAGGGGTACATTAGTAGATAGTGGCCAGGAATGCTGCTAAACATTGTGCACATCATAGGACAGCACCCAAAACAAAGAATTCTCCAATCTAAAATGTCAACAATACTGAGGTCGAAAAACCTAAGTTGTGCTGTTATTACTGTGAGGTACCATGCTGTCACTGGTAGTTTCCTCATACCCTGCCCATGCCTTGGCAAACAGTCCCTTTATTCAATCTTCTTTTAATTACCCTGAGTTGAATGTGCCATCTGTCTTCCTGCTGGGGCCCTGATAAGTATCCTTTAAAATAAAAGCATATTTATCCTGTAATTGTAAGGGGAGGAGAGGGAGGAAATGTCAGCCAGAAAACTCCTACCTCAGACGGCCCAGCCCTTCTCCTCCAAGTGACACTGCAAGGCACAGCCTGCGCCTCAATCACACAGCGGCACTCCATGGTCTGCAGTGCTCCTAGGAGCTGGCCCCCACCTTCCATCTGTAAGAGCACTGCAACAGATGGAAAAGGGACTGTCAGTGGGGGGTCCAGAACGCAGATAACTCAGCACAGGACAAAGACACATGTGAGGACCTGGATCCAGCACTACAATGATGTGTTTTAAGCATTCCTCTGGCCTCTGGGCTTTCATCCTGGTAACCAGTGCTGCATTCTTTCTTTCCTGTCTTCTCAGGGTGCTTTCCTTCTGCCTTGCTTGTCTCTGCTGCCGGCATCCGTGTGAGCCTCTTCCCTGGACCTTCTGACTCGGCTTGGTTTTCTTCTGGGGTGGAAGGATGTCAGAATTTGTTTTGGTTACTGCCAAGCTGCTGCTCTGGCCAGGGCAGGTAGACAGGTAGGCTGGAAGCTGACAGCATGGATCTAAGATCAGGTCCTTGTTATCTGCTGCACTCCTCTCTGGGGTATCATGGAGGGGAACTTCAGGGATCTTTGGAAAGGGCTTTTTCCAGTCACATGATGCACCTTCATTATTTTGATGATCCAAAACACTTTTAACTGGGGAGCTAGAGTCCTCAGGGCTCAGTTGCTTGTGGGTCAGAAACTTACATGTAAGCCTTTGAGCCAGAGGAATAAATTCTTCTTCATCTTCACTTTCACTGCTTAGCAACCTGACTGGCTGTGTTTGTGTGACAGTTTCAGCTATTTCTGGGACAGGTGGTGAAAATAACTCTGGTGCTGGAGGACAGGAGGCTTCACAATCTGAGATGTCAACCACTACAATCTTCTCTTCCCTTTCAGGCTGTCTCCTCTTTGTTGAAGATGGTTCCTTCTTCAGAAAGGCAAATGTTGGCAACTCCTCAGAGTCACTATCACCAGAATCCAGTGAGGGTGATGACTTCTTTAGAGCCATCAGTATGTGCTATCAAATAATTCCCTAAAAGGAAAAGAGACATATGACACAGACTGGAGCATTCAATTCAGTCCACTAGCTGTGTTCCATAGCCAGGCTTTATGACATAAATATAAGATATAGAGAATACAGAAACAGAGAAATATGACATGGCCCCAACACATTCAATCTGGAACTCTAACTCCTGGTAATCTAACAGGAATCCTCCTCAAATTCTTTCCAGGTCAAGCTGAAGTATAAACAAAGTAGAGTTACCATTACAAAATTTTAATGGGGGGAGGTGGTAACAAGATTTAACACCTCCAACCCCTTGTTTATCTTCACGTTTGAAATGGAGATGTCAAAAGTTCTTCTTTTTTTTTTTTGAGATGGAGTCTCACTCTGGCACCCACGTTGGAGTGCAGTGGCACAATCTTGGCTCACTGCAACCTCACTCCCAGGTTCAAGTGATTCTCCTGCCTCAGCCTAGCTGGGATTACAGGCGCCCCACCACCACACCTGGCTAATTTTTGTATTTTTAGTAGAGATGCGTTTTCATCATGTTCGCCAGGCTAGTCTTGAACTCCTGACCTCAAGTGATCCGCCCGCCTTGGCCTCCCAAAGTGCTGAGATTACAGGTGTGAACCACTGCACCTGGCCAAAAACTGTTCTTTTTAAAAATTGAGATATAGGCTGGGCATGGTAGCTCATGCGTATAATCCCAGCACTTTGGGAGGCCAAAGCAGAAGGATCACTTGAGCCCAGGAGTTCGAGAACAGCCTGGGCAACATAGTGAGAACTCGTCTCTACAAAAAAATACAAAAATTAGCTGGGTATGGTGGCTCACACCTGTAGTCCCAGATACTCAGGAGGCTGAGGTGGGAGGATTGCTTGAGCCTGGGAGGTCAAGGCTGCAGTGAGCTGTGATTGTACGACTGCACTCCAGCCCGGGTGACAGAGTGAGACCCTGCTTCAAAAGAAAAATAAAATAAAAATAAAAATAGAGATATAATTTGCACAGCATAATATCCTTTTAAAAGTGTACATTCAGTAGATTTTAGTATATTCACAATGTTGTGCAACCATCATCACTATTTTATCACCTCAAAAAGAATTCCTGCAGCCATTAAGCCGTCACTGTCCTTTCCCTCCCTCCCCAGCTCCTGGCAACCATAAATCTGTCTCTATGCATTTGCCTATTCTGGATATTTCATATAAATAGAATCATACACTATGTGGCCTTTTGTGATTGACTTTTTTCACTCAGCTTGTTTTCAAGGTTTATCTATGATGTAGCCTGTATCAGTAGTTAATTGCTTTTCATGACTGAATAATATTCCACTGTATGGATATGCTACATTTTGTTTATCCATTCATCACTTGGACATTTAATTTGTTTCCTTTTTTTGCCTGTTATGAATAATGCTGCTATGAACACTGACATACAAGTTTTTGTGGGGGTATGTTTTCAAATCCCTTTCGTGTATATACCTAGGAGTAGAATTGCTGGGTCATATGCAAAGCTAATCATTTCTTGAACATTTACTAACACTGTAGGTATGACCCAGAAGGAGACATGTAACCTGCCTAGGCCTCAGTTTCTTCCTTAGTAAAACAGGGATGGTAACAGCACCCATTTTATAAGGTAGTGAGAATTAAATAAAATAATGCATCCACCGCGCTTAGTACAGCATCTGGCACACAGCTGGCTAAGTAGAGTAAGTTGAATGACTAGGGAGGGGGCCTCATCTCTGACCCTTCGCTGGGCCTCCGTTGACATCTGCAAATCAGGGGAGTGGGACAAGCGGGCCCCTGCCCGACAAGCTCTGCGCCTCTCAGGCTGGCGGTCCGCTGCAGAGGCTCCTGGACACCTTAGCCACCAAGATTCTGCAGAGCGGTGTTCAGGAGGGAAGCCCTGCCCAATCCGCAGGCCTGCGACCGGGGACGCTCACCTGCAACTTCTCCCGCCACTCTTTCAACTGCCACGCAGGGCCCGGAAGTAGATCTCCTGATAGCGGAAGTAGAAACTTTTCGAGACCGGAAGTGAGTGATCGAAAGCATGGCGTCGGTGGTGTTGGCGCTGAGGACCCGGACAGCCGGTAATGGGACGCAGTAGTCAGAGCGGGGTGAGGCGGGGAGGCAGAGTGGAGCTCCAGCAGGGAGGGAAGGAGGTGACACTGATCCCCGCGGAGGACCTTGGATGCGAGGGGAAGTGTGTGGGGTACTCCAGGTTTGAGGGACGGTGTCGCTGGTCACGTGACACATCCTGGGTGGAGCCGTGAGTGAGGGCGTTTGAAGAGCACTTGTCTTTCTCCTGCCTCAGCAGCACGGACGGGTTCCTTGGCGGTTGGGGATTTGGGTGGGTCCTTTCTCTGTAGAAGTATTAGTAACATTGGCATATTGGGGTTGAAAAAATTAATCTATTGATTCAGCAGATTGAGGTCTTACTTTGTGCTAGACACGGCGGTAGGTGTTCGGAAAATCAGCAGAAAACGTGAAGACTTGGCTTCTAGCCCCCGAACGGTTCTCTCTGGTGCATAAGGCAATAAATGAACATATAAAGTAGATGTAGACTGGCAAGTGCTGTGAAGAAGGATAATGTGTGTCTGTGTGTGTGTCTTTTTTTAGATTGGACGGTGAAGGAAGGCTTCTGAGGAGATAACATTTAAAACCTAAAGAATGACAGGCGGGGCGTGATGGCTCACGCCTGTAGTCCCAACACTTTGGGAGGCCTAGGTGGGCGGATCGCTTGAGCCCAGGAGTTCAAGACCGACTGGGCAACATGGCAAAACCCCATCTCTACAAAAAATACAAAAATTAGCTGGGTGTAGTGGCGCTTGCCTGTGGTCTCAGATACTCAGGAGGCTGAGGTGGGAGGATCACCTGAGCTCGGGAGGTCGAGGTTGCAGTGAGCTATGTTCATACCACTGCACTCCAGCCTGGGTGACAGAATGGGGCCCTATCCCCCCCCCCCAAAAAAAAAAGAATGACAGGAGACCTAGACCTGTGTAGAGTGAGGGACAGGAGAGTGACTTGAGCCAGTTTTACATTTTGAGAAGCAAACTATTGCTCTTATGTAAATTTAAAGGGGATAGGAGTGGAAATGAGGAAATCAAATGGAAAGTCGTAATAGCCCTGAGGAGAGATGATTTAGCCAAGATGTTTGTGGTGGCAGTGAACTTGGAGGAAAACGGATGAATTTGAGATCTGTTTTGGAGTTAGCATCCACAGAGCTTGCTGGTGAACAATATGTGAGGACAGCAAAGAGAAGGAATCTGCAATGACTCTGGTTTCTGCCTAAGCAACTGGATGAATGGTGGTACCATTTACTTTGAGGAGGAGGATGGGGAGTAGGGTGAAGAGCAAAGATTTGTGAGTGAGATAATGTAAGTAAAGTAAAAGCCCAGCTCCTGAGCTTAGTAAGTATGTAAATGAATGAATAGATGTTTAAAGGTAGGTAGATCCTGGCGCCGGGCATGTTTTAACATGTTGTCTTTCTGAGTCCTTATCTCTGGTCCTTTGCCCCAGCTAGTCTCTGGTGTCATGGAAATGTCAGAAACCCAGGCTTCAGGAACTCTGAACTTATAGGCTCCAGAGACCCACAAGGCTTCTCTAAAGACACTGGCATGGACCTTAAATCATGGCTGTGTCTGGAGACCTGCAGGCAAGGAGTTGCACCCCTAGGCTTGTCATACAGCAAGGGACTACCATCTTAGTATGAATTTTAGTTCATTTTACTTCTGCAAATGAATGCTATTGAGCACTTTGGAATGAGTATGGAGAGGTCAGATTAACAAGGGCAGTGTGTGGGTCATGGTTGGACCTCTGCTTGATGTGCTTTGAGAAGAAAGGGCCCAGCCTTCTGAAATGGCCAGGACCCTGTGGGAGCCACTTTTAGGCCAGCCATCCTTTTGGTTTACTAGTATTTGGTGAGCAGTGGATGAGTGGACAGCTGAGAAAGTCATGGGTGAGGCCTGTAATCCCAACACTTTGGGATCACCTGAGGTCAGGAGTTCGAGACCAGCCTGGCTAACATGGTGAAACCCCGTTTCTACTAAAAATACGAAAAATTAGCTGGGCGTGGTGGCGTACACCTGTAATCCCAGCTACTTGGGAGGCTGAGGCAGGAGAATCGCTTGAATCCGGGACGCGGAGGTTGCAGGGAGCCAGGACTATGCCATTGCACTCCAGCTTGGGCAACAAGAGTGAAGCTCCGTCTTTAAAAAAAAAAAAGAAAGAAAGTCGTGGGTGAGCCTGAAACCGAAGCCTTTCTGGATGTACTGGGCTCCCCAAGTCTGTTCTGGCCCCTCCGTGGTGCATGAGGGTGAGTGAGCCTCTGAAGCAGGCAGCTCTCTGGTGTCCATTTCTCCTCAGCACATTTAGACTGAATGTGTCAGAACCCAGAACACATGATGTTTATTTTTTTCCATTTGTGTTTCACTGCTCCCCCGCCCCCTCCCCCAAAAGGAGAAAGCCAAGGACTTAGAGGTATTCCCTGAGAACTAATACACTCAGTGGCACTTCTGCTCCCCTGACACAGCTTTCTCATCTCCCCACCGCCTCTCACGTATCAGCATGTGGCCCATTGAGGCAGAAATAGTTTGAGCCTGTCTGTCTGAACAATGTTTCTGTTTTCTCTGCAGTTACATCCTTGCTAAGCCCCACTCCGGCTACAGCTCTTGCTGTCAGATACGCATCCAAGAAGTCGGGTGGTAGCTCCAAAAACCTCGGTGGAAAGTCATCAGGCAGACGCCAAGGCATTAAGAAAATGGAAGGTGAGGATGTGCCTTGGCTTCCCCTTCCTAGCTGCACCCTGTCCTCATGTTCCTTAGGAGAGCAGAAGAACCCTGCGTGTGCCTGGCCCTGTTCTTCCTTACCATCATAATTGGCTCCAGTTTAAAGGAACGGATAAGACCTGAGGAAGGGTCATCGAGTGGGTGGGTGTGAGCCATAACCATGCAATTAGAGACAAGAGCTGCTGGGTGGCAGATCCTGCGCTGCTTGTGTTGGACTGTCTGGGAGTTGTTTTTGGCCAGGGGCAGGCTTGGAGGTTGGTGTGCAGCATTTGGGCCATCATGTTTTCTTGGTAGTTTGCTATGCTGCCCCAGTCACTGTGGACTTCTCTTCTAGGTCACTATGTTCATGCTGGGAACATCATTGCAACACAGCGCCATTTCCGCTGGCACCCAGGTGCCCATGTGAGTTGCTCCGTTGCTGCCCCCCTTTTTCCTTTTCTAGGTTGACCTCTCCTTGCCCCTAAGCATGGTAATAACAGTTGCATGTATTGAGTGCTTACCAAATGGCAAGCATTGTGCTGATTCCCATGCCTACACGATCTCATTTCTTCCTTACCACATCCCTGTAAGTAAGGTGAAATGCCAGAGACCTAGACGGGGTGGAAGGAGCAAGTGACTGCTGGGATTTGCACCAGGTCTGCCTAACTCCCAGATCACTATGATTTGCCCTGGTGTTGCATTGGCCTGGTATTCTTGGTTCTCCTTTCTAACCCTCAGTTCTTGGAGGACAAGATACCTGGTGATTTAAAATATTATTTTAGTCTTGGGAAACTAATTTCAATTTATTAGTTTTTCATTATTCTAAGACTTCTTCCTTTGTATAAACTTACTTGCAGATGGTTGAAAGATAGCTTGAATTTAATGAAATAGAATTCAGTGTGCCAGGAGTTAGGTTCATACCAGGTGGGGATTTCAGTTTCAGCAAGTTGGCATCATTTTTATAGGGTAGGACAGTTCTTTGTTACAGAGACATAACGATACTGTACTCTCCACATTATTTTAAATATTAGTTGCCTTTGTAAACAGTTTCCCCTCCCCCACCCCTTTTTCGATAATTTTAGTAGGTACAAAAAGGTTGATAGTAACCTGTATTTATTTCAAAGATGCTAATTTGTATGTGAATTGATTATGTATGTAGTAGCTTTTTACCTTTTAGAACTTAAGACATTAGATGTGTGGCTATGTCAACAATAATAATCAAAGCTAACACATTTTGAGCTAGACAGTATTCTAGGCCCTTTATGATTGTTGAGCATTAATCCTCAAAATGACCCTGTAAAATAGTTAATATTATCCCCATTTGACAGACGAAAAAATAGAGGCACAGTGAAGTAACTTGCCTAAGACCACACAGGAGTAAGTAGCAGTGCTGGTATTTGAACCAGGCATCCTGGCTCCAGAGCCCATTCTTTTAATCAGAGAGACAGAGAATAATGCTGGACTACCTGGGTAAAATTTGCCACACACCCAGCCTGAAGTTCTAAAAGAAAAAGCTAAAAAATATGGTTAAAAACTGTATATACAACACAGTTTAATCTCTCTGCTTCATATTTCACATCTGAAAAGTGGCGTTGGAAATAATACCTCTTTCACTAGGTGAGAATTAAATGACTTAATGTGTATTAAAGGGCTTACATGGGTATTAGCTAATGCAGTAGTATGATTGTTTTATTAGCATATGCATTATCCATATAGCTTTGGTTTATATTTTCCATAGAGCCTAAACTTTATAGATCACTATCTAAATGAAAATTTACATCAAACTAGTGTTTTAATATGACAGTTCTAGTGTTGTTTAAGTCTAAGTGAAGATTTAGGGCATCTTCCTGGGTTTTGGGATTTGTGCAGTGTGGCTTCTGACCAGCTGCATAGACATGGCTCCAGGTAACAGTCCCTGGGACTGAGCAGTGGCCCATGTTGGCTGTTGGAGCTTTCTTTTCCCTCATTTGTTATGAGTCAATAAAGAAGCAGAAGGTTTGGACGTGCTAGCCAGTGGGAAAGGGAACCTGAGATGGAGCTCTCTGATCACCCTTTCAGCCCCAGGGCCCGGCTCTGTGTGAGAAGTCTGTCCCAAAATTCTGGGACGGACCACCTCGCTGACCAGCTGACCAGCTGACCAGGTCTGTGTGTTGCAGGTGGGTGTTGGGAAGAATAAATGTCTGTATGCCCTGGAAGAGGGGATAGTCCGCTACACTAAGGAGGTCTACGTGCCTCATCCCAGAAACACGGAGGCTGTGGATCTGATCACCAGGCTGCCCAAGGGTGCTGTGCTCTACAAGACTTTTGTCCACGTGGTTCCTGCCAAGCCTGAGGGCACCTTCAAACTGGTAGCTATGCTTTGATGTCCTGTTGAGGCCATCGGACAGAGACTGGAGCCCAGGTGACAGGAGATGGTGATACCAGAAGTCAAGGGTTGGGGTGGCGACACGGCCTCCCGAGGAAGAGGTCTGCTTGATGGTGACTCTGCAGGAGACTCTGAAGTGACTGCTGGGAAACCCTTTGGGAGACCTGACCTGGGGCCAAAAATAAAGTGAGCCAGCGTCATGAACGCATGCTATTTAGGGACACACCTGGATGGAACTGCCTGGTGATCTGTTGGTCCTTACCCAGGTTCTCTAGTGCACACCAACGGGGAGCCTCAAAGCAGGAAAGAACATATCTGAGTGAGGAAATGAGAAGGGGGGACTTTGTAGGAGGGACTTGCTTTGGCACTGTCCTCCAGAGGGGGAGGAGGGGAGCTTGTGCTTGAGGGTGTCATTGCTGCTTCTCCTCTTAGATCCCAAAAAAGGCCAAGGGCTGGGCCCTGGGAGGAGGGGTGGGAGCAGCCAGTAAAGGAAGCAACACAGTCATGTTCTCCTGTAGCCACATGCCAAGGGAGCTGGGGCTGCAGCCCCAGAGGTGGCCACAGGAAACCCTCTTCCCTGCCTGTCCAGGTCTAGGGCAGAGAGAGAGCTTGTGGGATGGCAGGAGATGCTTCTGAGAGGCTCAGTCAGGCCCCAACTGCCCTGGACTACCGAGGTCTTTGCAGTGGTAGGGCAGAGTAGGAAACAAATGGCTTCTTCCCGCTCACCTGAAGAGCTAGGCGCACCAAGCCCACATTCTCTTCTCGTTCTTGATTTATCTCAAACGATAAACAGTAGCAAAGAATCTGGCTTCAGGAATACTCGGTGAGGGCTTAGAGTGGGCTGGGGTCAGGCCACTCTATTGTCATCCCAGCCAGGACCTTTAGAGGCTTGGCTTTGAGTGGAGGGGCCGGGAAGAAAATCTCATTTTGGATGGTCATTCCTGGCTGTTGGAGGTAGGTGGTGTTGGCTACAGCCCCAGAGAGGGGCTGTTGGGTCCAGTGACTTCTTTCAGGGACTCTACTGTGCCCTGAAGGTAGACACTCCAGGGATTGAGGTCAGAGAAGCCTCCCAGTTCTGGAGTTCTGCCTTGAACATGTCATCTTGTTTTCCCAGGACATGACCCTAGATTCCTCACCTCCTGCAGGTCCTTGACAGAGGTGACCTGGGGTTTGTGGGGTTTACTTTGGCACCCTGTGTGGGGGCATCAGGTACCAAGGCCCAGCTGGGGTAGTCTTTAGGCAGGGGAGATTGATGGGGGCTACCTCCACAGGCTCAGTGCTCTCCTTTCCAATCTCCTGGAGAAAGGGGAAGGGCAGGACAGAGGTGGTTGCTCCCTCCTACACTGTGGTGTTCCCCTGAGCAGGGCAGGTGGCTGCTTCCTGGGATGACTGAGTAGAGCCACAGCTGGCCGGTGGTGGAGGCAGTGACCTTATGGCTTCCTCATAGCTTGGTGGCAGCTGGAGAGATGGGAGAGCAAAGGCATTAGCCACTTTCTTGCCCTCTTCCCATATATGCAACACCCTTTCTTTGGACTGTTGCTTTCTGCATCTCCGCTGGAGATGTTGGCTCCATGGAAACCCCTCTGGTTAGGCCTCCTTGGGCTGGGGTCTGCACCATCTACACAAAGAGGTGAACTGGGGTCTCCAGTCATATCCTTGAGTTCTCCACTAGTGGTCCTTTTCCTGACCCCAGGGCCTCTAATTGGGTATTGTGTGTTAAAATGCGATATGTGAAAAGCTCGGTTACCCAGGGCACCCAGGGCTGAGAAGGCTGGACATTCACCTCTCTGCAGGCCCGGAGCCCGAAGCTCTGTGCAATCAGCTGGTGAATCTGCTGCTGCCGGTCCTTCTTTCGAACACTCTCATAGCTGGGCAGGCGAGCTGGCTGCCACAGGGGCAGCTGGTGGCTCCTGGGCAGCCCCACACAGAATACCTCACCCCCCTGGGAGTGGCCCTGTGACCAAAAAAAGCCAAGGGAGCCAGGGAGGCATGCACCAGTGTTATCCAGCTTCGGTCTGGGTCCTCTTCTGCAGAGCAAGCCTAAGTTCAGGGGTATTGCGCTCCTCCCTCTCCTCCAAGAAGCCTCTCCAGTCTTCATCCCATCCTTCCCCTCCCCTGCGTTCTTTTTAGTCCCCTTAACCACGCTAGGTCCCTTGCCTGGCTTCAGAACCCCAGCACACACTTTTTCCCCCATCCCAGGTGGCAGGCCCAGGGAGCCTCACTTGTATCCCTTGGGACTCTCGGCTCCTTTCCACTGGCTGGACCTCGGTGTGGCATCCCATGGTGCTGAAGTAGGGAGGCGGGCAGCCCTGGGATCATGAAGCACAGCTCAAGGTGAAGCTCAGGGTCAGTGTGCAAGACAGCAGATTCCAAACCCTTTATTTCCCTCCATGCCCCTTTCTCCATCCCTTTAATCCTCTCCACCTGGGCCAAGGCACAAAGCTCAGACCCTCAGCATTTCTGAAATGCACTAGGGTGTAAAGAGAATCCACTCCTTTCTGGCCAGTAGCTCATTCTGTCACTGTCTGGTAGCCAGGTCTCATGACCTTTGGTGGGAAAGTCAGAGAAAACCACCTCCTGTCCCTACCCCTCCATCCTGTCTGGTGCCCAGTGTTGGGGAATGGTGTCAGAGACTGGGGGGCTGCAGCTCAGATTTTGTTTCCTTTCTATACAGGATGCCATATGGCACGCTGTCCCTGGGGAGAGGACTGACAGTGCTGTAGTTGCCACTTACCCCCTTCCCCAGAAGTCGGGGCTCTGCACTTTCCCCTGGGAGCTGGAAAAAGACCTTGTCTTCACTGAGCAGCTCCTTGCACTGAGTTATGTTTAACAATGGTCAGGGAGGGGCCTAGATGTTATTAACCCTTTCCACACTGCTCCCCTGACTCAGAGGGAACCCAGGCTGGATGCTGCAGAGAAAGATTCCAAAGGCCCTTTCTTTTCCATACTGAACACTTGTTTCTCCTTGGCCAGAGCACAGGTGCCCTTTTGTCAGGATTTGGGTCGGGGGTGGGGGGCATGAAGGCAAGGGGTTGGTGGATCGGGGTGCTTACGTATTGGCTGGGACTCCGGAAGAAGTGGCAGGCGCAGAGGACCTGGCAGCACTGGGGGTCGCGCTGGTGCAGCAGCAGCAGCAGCAGGATGGCCATGATGAACACTGTGGATGAGGCTGCCTTCCCCCAAGAGGCACCGTCAGGGGGCAGCCTGGACCCAGCATGTGCAGGCCCATCTCCTCACCAGATTGGAATTCACTCCAGAAGCTGGTGTAGGAATGACCTGGCTGGTACTGATACCAGCTTGACAAGCAAGGCAAACTGAGGTGCAGGCAGCTCCCTTTTTGCTACGGCATCAAGTCCCTGGGGCAGAGATTTGTGAGGGGGAGCAGAGTAGCCCTGTCCCTTCCCTGCCTGCAGCCCAGGGGGTGATGTGTGTAAGGGAGATTTTACAGAGACACAAAGGGAGGGGATGGAGCAGATACCCTGAGAAACTGGATCTGAGGAGGCAGGAAAGGACCCAAGAGCCCAGCTCAACAGCTCCTGGTGCCCAGCCCCTCTTGTTACCAAAGATTGTGGCATCATAGGACCTGGCACAGGGAAGGGACCAGAGGGATCAAAGACCAGCCATGTGCAGCATACTTCTCAAGTCTTGGCTGGGGAGGGCTGTTGCTTGAGGTGACCCTATAGATGAAGAATCTGGGCTTTGCCTACAGTGAGGGGCCAAAGGTGCCTCTGCCCCACCCCTGGGACACGGAATGGCAGTAGGTACTCACTGGTGGCCACGACTATGGCCAGGAGGCTGTTGTCCATGGTGATGTCTGCACACGGAGAAGCAGTGGCAGGGGATGCCAAGAAAGGGCATCAGTCTTGAGGGCAGCCAGCAGGGCCACAGGGCTGACCCTCCCCGAGGTGCCACACCCCTCCCTGGGAACCCTGGCCCAGAGGAACAGCTTCATTCAGAGCAGGGGCATCTGTAAGCAGCTTTCCAGGAGCTCAGCCTCTCCTGCCTCTGCAGGCCTGGCAGCTATGAGTGTCCCACTACAACCTTCAGAGCAGGGGTTGGGGGGAACAGGCCCTGCTTCTGCTGAACCTGACAGCCAGTGGGACTCCAACTCGCCCAGATCTCTGCACTTCTCAGTCCCAGATCCCTCCCAGCCCCATTGCCCACCTCCACTTCCCATTGGCTCAGATAACTGGGCTCTGGATGTTAATTGGCTGTCTTCTGGTCTTGGCTTCCACCTCTAACAGAACCGTGGTGTCCATGGTTGCCCTGGAAACTGGGTACGCCAGGCCATGAAATACAAAAGCCTCTCTGCCCAGGCTCTCCTCCTCCCTCCAAAGCAGTTATTGTGCAGCTCTGGGGGCCCAGCCTGCCTTTGGCCGCTCCCCGCCCCCACTCTGTGTCCTGCCTGGCCCAAATCCTGATTTTGACCCCAGTGGCCCAGCCAGGAGTGGATTTCAAAGAAACCTCAAAAAACCCAAGCCTCCAGGCTGAGCTAACCCTACAGAAAGGTGGGGGATAGAGAACACTGTCTGCCAGGAACTCAGGCAGCAAAGCTGAGCTCTCACCTCAGTGACCTGGACAGGGGAGAGAATGGGAGAGGAGCACCTCCACCCCCAAATCTGCCCTCTGAACCTGTCAGGAGGAGTCCTGGAGGCTGGTCCTGGGTCCTGCAGTGCTTCCAACTCAGTGGGGCCAAGACAGGCCTGCCAGAGCAGCAGGGGTGGGGTTACGCTTCCCTAGTTCTGCCTGCCTGCTTGTTAGAAAGGCCTGAGGAGCTTTAAAAGCATACCACTGTGGGTTGCCACCTCAGACCGTTAAATCAGAATCCTCTGTCAGGATCACGACTCACTTGAGTTGAAGAATGTAAACTCCAAATGTTTACAGCAGGTGACAATAATGGGGAACTACGACCTGATCTAATATGGTGGAGAAGGACAGGGATGCGGCGAGTGCATGTGTTACCTAAGATTTTTTTTTTTTTTTAATGGTACTTTGAGGCCAGGAGTAGTGGCTGATGCCTGTCATCCCAACGCTTTGGGAGGTTGGAGCGGGAGGACTGCTTGAGGCCAGGAGTTTGAGACCAGCCTGGGCAACATGGAGAGACCCCTGTTCTGCCAATAAATAAATAAATAAAATAAATAAATAAATAAATAAATAAATAAAGAATGCATGCATGCCAGGCATGGTCGTGCACATCTGTGACCCTAGCTACTTAGGAGGATCACTTGCGCTCAGGAGGTCAAGGCTGCAGTGAGCTATGATCGTGATCGTGCCTGGACAACAGAGCCAGACCCTGTCTCTAAAAATACTACTACTACTTTGAAAACCGTTGTGCTAGCCTAACACAGCACAGCCATAGCCCAGGTTAAACCCACAGGCTAGTTTGTGAGCTCTTGGCCAGCAGAGTCTAAGTGTTCTAATATTTACTGCCTGTGCCTAATATGCTGAACCTAGTTGTTAATTTTTCCTCCTTATTGACCTGAGAGTTGATATTGGGAAACAAAAACCACAACATTCTGGAGAACCAGGGTACAGCTTCAGATGTTCACTAAAACAGGAGCCAGAAAAAACGAATTATCTTAGCCTCTGAACCTAAGTACCTTTTCCTTCGAATTCTTGCCATTAGCTCCTTCCTGCTTACCTGCCCAGCCAGGCTCTTATGCGAGCCGGAGAGTGTAGTGACTGAGTGGCTCTGGAGGCTTCCTGCCTCTTTCTGAAGGCTGCTGCCACCATCAAATAGTTAGCTGTGACTTTGGGCTCGTCATTTCACAGCTCTAAGCCTCAGTTTTCTGATCTGCTAAATGATGATAATAAAAATGCCTCCCTCCAAGAGTTGTAAGGATTGAGATACTACAGGCATGGTTAGCACCACGGCAGCTGACAAAAACCCCAGTGCTGTTATCGGTTGGTTGTCAGGAGTGCCCCCTCCTGGCAACTAGGAGAACTTGACATGTGGCAGCCTGGGCAGGAATTTGTTCCCCAAGCTGAGCTCAGTGTGGCTGGCTGATAGGGTGACTTTAGAGGTCTAGAAACCTTCACCCTTGCTCCCACATTAAGCAAGCTGTGAAGGACTGATACCGAGCTCCGGCTGTCAATGGTAGGAGAGTGGGAGGGGGAGAGGAGGCTTGGGAAAGGGAGGGAGGATGGACAACCCTTTTCAACATGAGTCCTAGGACAGTGACGAGGGACCTAGGCTGCTGCTGCTCCTGCCCCGAAAAGAAAAAGCTCCAATCATAACGACCAGGCCATGGCTGGGATTGCCTCTGTTGAAGGTGCCCCATGTGGCAGGGCCAGTCTTCTAGGATGGACCCTGCTAAGGCCAAGGATAGAGAAGCCAGCACCTGCTGCAGCCTGGCCTGGTGGTGGGGGTGGGAGTGCTGGGTCAGGGCTCTCAAACTAAGCTCAGGTCCTGCTGGTCCCCTGGCTTGCTGGGTGGCAAAGAAGAAGTCTTTGAGCCTCTCTGGGCCTGTTTACCCCTCAGAAAAAGGAGCTGGATTAGATGTTTTTTGAGACAGGGTCTCACTCTGTCACCCAGGCTGGAGTGCAGTGGTGCAATTTTGGCTCACTGCAGCTTCAAACTCCTGCTTCAGCCTCCTGAGTAGCTGGGACTACAGATGTGCGCCACCACGCCTGGCTAATTAAAAAAAAATTCTTGTAGAGACGAGGTCTCACTGTTTCCCAGGCTGGTCCCAAACTCCTGGGCTGAGGTAATCTTCCTGCCTCAGCCTCCCAGTGTTGAGATGACAGGCGTGAACCCCTGCACCCAGGCTAGATGGGTTCTTGAGTCCCTCTGGGTGGATTCTAAACTGTTCTTAATCTGGAGGAATGAGATCTTTACCTTCTCAAGGCTACCAAAGTACCAGCTAAGACTTCTGGAGAAGGCCCAATGAATGGTGATGGCTTCCTGACACCCAGGAGGAAAAACACAGAGCCCAGAGTAGAGAGATAGAGATATATTTCTTCTGTTGCATATTTCAGACTTCACGCTGAGCTTCAGGCACAATTACTCCAGGTTCTTCTGAGAGTCTTGACAGAGTCTTCTTCCCACGCTGCTCATGTGACCTCACTTCCAGTGCACACCTGGAAACTCTGCATGGGTCTCAGTGGGCCCTGACCCTGCCTTTCCCATCCAGGGGCAGGGTATGCTGGAAAGCCCTGGAGCCGCCCCACCCCACTTCTAGGGTCCCCTGGCTACAAAAGAACTGTCCTGCTAGAGCCCAGCTCTGCAGCGCCCCCGATATCACCTGTTCTTCGGGCCTTAGAGCCTGGCAGGGCACTTGCAGCCCTGTGGAGCCTCAGCCACGAGCACCACAGGCCCAGAATGGGGCATGAGGCCCTGGAGAGTGAGGCAGGCCCAGCCTCGTGCAGAACAATAGCAGGTGGGCTCAGCAAGCCCCTGCTCCCCACAGACATGGCCCACTTCCTGGGGCTGCTCTGAGCCCTATTGCACATCTTCTGTTCTAGTTTCTCTCCCAACCACCCATTTTCCTTTTTAAATTAAAAAAAAAAAAAAAAAAAGAAAAAAAAGAAATTCAAACTAGACAGGAAGGTGAGGAAGAGCTGGGTGTGGAATGCTGCTGGTGCCCTTCTCGCGTTCCCGCCAGCCCTCTGATCCCCAACAGAGACATCAGCAGTAGTTCATACTGTGTCCACCTTCCCTGCCGTCTGTGTGGGTTCTTGATGGCTGAAATGGGTGTGCAGCCTGGGCCTCTGGTTCTTGCCTGTGGGAGGGGACACCCCTCCACTGTCTGTAAGGTGCAATTTCCCGGGTCCTCCACGGGTACTGGCTGGGGCCCTGCTACCTGAGTCGCCCGTCTGCTTTGACAGGCCCCAGCTCTGATTTGGGGTCGGGGGACAGAGAGCTCCAGCTGGTCAGTCTGCAGGGCTCCAGGGAGGGGCAGGGAGAGGGGCCTATGGCACACAGTCCAGCCACGGACCAGAAGCTGCTCAGTTCCCTGTCTGTCCAGGCCTCGAGCGCAGGGCCTGTGAGCTGTGTGTGCCGCTGGGCAGCCTCCTCCGCGAGCTCCGGCTGAGGCAGGTTCAGGATGCTACTCAGGCCCTGGAAACTCTGCTCCATGTACTCGTTGTGGGGTGGCCCTGCGTGCAGCCAGCTGGCATCATCTGTGGGTGCAGAGCAGGCAGTAAGCACACCCCCTGCAACAGACTCCGTGGAGGCCAGACCCAGGAGTTGGGTCTGGGTACCCCAGTTCCTGTCACAGCCCTACTTCTGAGTCACAGCTTGCTGAATGACCTTGGGCTAATCCAAGGGACTTTCTGTGCCTATAAAACTGAGTTTTATAAAATCAAGGCAGTAAGCCTTAGATTCCCAACTTTAGGATGCAGTAAAGCAGTGGGTTCAAGGCACTTTAGAAAAGGGAACAGTCTGGTTTGTGTCCCATACCCTTTCTTGACCATCATTGGTGGCTCCTAGAGCCCTCAGAAGCCTGTACTCGGGCACTTCAGCTCTTCATGCACAGACAATGGCCAGCTTTGTCCCCTTGGCTTAGAGCACCTCCTCTGACTTTGTCCTTGAGGCGCAGCCCCTGTCCCTACCTGCTGTGCATTGTTGCCATTCTTCCCTTGACTGGGAGGTCCAGGTGTGCGGGGGACACAGCTTGCCTGCCCTGGATCTGCTGCAGCCCCACCAGCACCCCCTCCTCCTCTAGGGTACCCCACCTCTTAACCACCTTCTTGTGATAGGACGTGGTGGGGGAAGGAAACACCTACCAATTGATCACCTCCTGCATACCGGCCACTTTCCCTCCAGAGGCTCATCCCTCATAGCTCCCAGGGGGAGTTACTTATACTAGGCCCTCCCTTGCAGGAAATTTGCCCAGCCTGTGTCTCTGTTCAGAGCCTGCTCCCTTAGCCTCAGCCAAATGGGCAGAGAGCCACATGACCCTGCCCACCTGGCCAGACAGTGGACTGGGATAGCCAATCAGATTTGCTGTCCCAAGAATGTGAAACCTGGGGACTAAAAGTCTCTGGTCAGTGTCTGTTGCACTGAGAGGCCATGGATGGGGAGCCAGAGCCTGAGGCCAATGCATAGAGACAGGACAGGATGAGGAACAAGATAGCCCCAGAGAGATGGAGAAAGCACCTCTGGTTCACAGTGAGGCCTGAGACATTTCCTAGCTTTGTGAAGGAGACCTCTGCATTCTTCCAGTCTTCTCCCCTTTTTAACTCAAGCTAGGTTGAGTGGATTTGTGTTGCATGAACCAGGAGGTCCCTGATAGGTGTACTATTCCAGCTTCACGTGCTAAGACTGAGGCCCAGGAAGGCCAGGTAACTTCCAAGGACAAAAAGCCAATGAACTTGTGAGAGTTATGTTCCAAACCAAGTGTGCATGACTGTAAAGCTCCCTTTTCCACCACACTGCAGTGCAGGACCCTGCATGCTACAGGAAAGAAGATGAAGGCCCCAGCCCTTCCATGCTTCCCTGACTCTAGGGATGGGAGTCAGCTCTGATGGTTGGCTTCTTGAGGTCACCTCTCTGGCGAGTCCTATTCTGTCTGGCTTCTGGGCCTCATTTGAGAACTGCACGCTTACCTTTCCTGAGAGGTAGTTTGCGGTTGAAGGTCAAGGGCAGCACAAGGAAGCGGGTCTCACCCAGCGGTTCCCAGAACTGAAGGAGTCGAACAGTCCAGGGCCCTGGCCGCAGGGGCCGGCTCAGTGGGGGCTTGTATTGCGTGACCTCAGTCTCCGTATCTACTGTGATGTCATAAGATGTGGCCACCACATAGGTTGGGTCGATCCAGACCACTGTGGCTGTGAGGTTGGGGCCCCGGGCCCAGCGCTGCACGGCCACAGGCTCGTCCAGCGGCCCCAGTAACCCCCCAAAGTTCCGGAAAAGACGCTCTTTGGGGTCCCAATCAGTGCCAACCTGTAGAGAGAGAGGCAGCTGGGCAGGAGTGTGGGGGAAAGGTCCTTCTCCCTCCTCTGAAGCTGCCTCTCACTGTGTAATCTCAGGCCAGTCACTGTCTCTTTCTGGGCCTCAGTTTCCCCATCTGCAAAATGAAGGGGTCAGACTAGGAGACCTTTAATATCTCTCCCAGCTCTGAGATTCGTTCTAGGCTTCCATTCTGACTGCTAGGCAGTGGAGGTCAGTCCCCCTTATTGGGGACAATACGGCAGGGATGAGGTTCAAAGTCCTGCCCAGAGACCATTCCCACATGAAGCCAAAGCCTCTGAGAAAGAGACTATGAGGAGGGGCCAGGCGCGGTGGCTTGCGCTTGTATTCCCAGCACTCTGGGAGGCCGAGGCGGGTGGATCACAAGGTCAGGAGATCGAGATCATCCTGGTCAACATGGTGAAACCCCGTCTCTATTAAAAATACAAAAAAAAAAATTAGCTGGGCGTGGTGGCGCGCGCCTGTAGTCCCAGCTACGCGGGAGGCTGAGGTAGGAGAATCGCTTGAACCTGGGAGGCAGAGGTTGCAGTGAGCCGAGATTGTGCCACTGCGACAGAGTGAGACTGTCTCAAAAAAAAAAAAAAAAAGACTATGAGGAGCCACTCAGAAGTGTAGTTTCATGGCCCAACTCGAATGTCCCTGCCCCTCTAGGCGAAATCTCTGTAGTCTGGAAGATTGGGCTTGTGTTGTAGTGGAACTGATAATTCCCTCCCTGCTCCCTGCATGTCCTCTGCATACCCCAACCAGGAGGTGCTCCTCAGTGTGCACAGGCTGGGGGGTGACACAGGATGTCTGCATGGGGGCATCACCATGGCTGCCATGACTGGGAAAAATAACCTTACCCCTCCCTTGGTGTCTGTCCCTCTCTTCCCACTACCCCAAGTCTGGGTGGGGGTTGGGAGAAAGCAAGTGGGGGACCTGTCCCACCTCCAGACTCTGGAGCCGGCTGGCCTGGTCACTGCGCCCCAACAGCTTCAGCGACCCTTGGGGCATCAGCCACATCTCAAGCGTCTCTGCCGGCCCCTGGGCTGAGGGCTGCACCGCCTGCGTCACCAGGTAGCCCTGGAAATGGTCGTCATAGAAATACAGGTGCACGCTGGACGGCAAGCCCCTGGGCTCAAACCTAAGGTGCCAGCAGGGAGAAAGGGAGATGCCATCAGCACACCTGACTTGGCCTGGAGTCCCAGGGAGGGGGCTCTGGGGAGTCCCATCCCCAGGCACTTCCTTTCCCCAGATCTCACCCCCACAGCACCTGCATGCCTGGCTCTAGCCGTCTTTTCGGTATTTGCATTTTTCCCTGCTTCAGACTGGGGCCTTGTTGTGGGCAGGGGACGTCACTCTCTGGTTGGCCTCCCCCTAGGGCACCACACCCCAAGGGCCTGCTGTATGTCAGAAGGGGGTCTCACCTGCAGAGTGGGGTGCCCATTGGGGGTGCAGCAGTGGCGGCATGGTGCAGGCTGAGGCGGGCGAAGGCTGTGTAAGCAGTGAGCATGACATCACTGAGCCCACTGGGGCCATCAGCCGCGTCGTAGGTGTTCTCCCAGTAGGCCTTGAGGGCTGGCGTGCCGGGGGGGTAGCTGCCATACAGGTGGAAGTCCAGGATTTCCAGCACCTCCTGGTTCACAGTCGACTCGAACTTCCGGGCGAAGAAGGTGGGTCTGGAGACTTGCTGGAGTGGGAGAGGCAAGGAGGGTGAAGGGCTCTGGAAGCCCCAGAGGGCATGGTGGGGCTGGCCCCTCAGCACTGCCTAGAGCTCAGCCTCCTGCGGCTTTTCCTGCTGCTGTTGTAGCCCCAGACCCCTGAGGGTTGCTGCAGGCCGTGGCCCCCCAGATTCTCTTACTGGCCCACCCTGCCATTTTCCTGGTGAAAAGCCAGGGGAGAAGACCTAGCCAGGGGCCTTGGGGCCTCGGGCAAGCACCTGCAGCCGGAGGAAGTCCTGTGGCTTGAAGTCGTTGGGGGAGCAGCCACACCAGTCCACAATGTGCTTGTACTGGCACTTGCAGCCCAGCTTGCGGTTCCAGTTGGTGACCCGCAGGTTGTTGTCCACGAGGGTCTCACAGGCCAGGCTGTTCTCCAGCACCGTGTGGAAGAAGGACTGCAAGCAGCAAGGGAGAGTGGAAGGTGAGCTGCAGGCAGCCCAACCCACGCCCTCCCTGGCCTTCATGCCTGCTGGGCTACCCACCTCGGCTGGGAGCAGTGTGTATGTGTAGAACTGGCGCAGCTGGGCCACAAGCGGGTCATCTGTGTACACCACATACTCCACAAAGCTGCGTGTCAGCACGAACCAGTCAGAACCGCCATCCACCACAATGCCTGCTGGGATCTGCCGCTCGCCCAGGCGCCACATGTGTGAGTCGCACTCATGGAAGAGCCGGTCCAGGCCCTGTTTCTTGATGAACCTGTGGGCAGCAGAGAGGCCATGGCTGGGGATCCTGCAGGGTGGGGTCTAAGCTCTTTCACCCGCCTGGCAACCAACACTCCTCAACCTGTGACTGGTGTGGAGGCTTTGAAACCCAGGGCTGGAGCCACCGAGCCCAACTGTGTGGGAGGGGTTGGGACAAGACTCTGGGGCCAGGGCCTCCTTCCCCACCCCCTCACCTGGAGTTGTCCCGGCCATGTGACTTGAGGAAATTCTTGTCCCGGTTCTTGGATAGGAATGCCACCAGCTCCTCATTGGTCCTGGTGAAGGAATGGGGTGACAGGCAGCCACATGAGATAGTTGCTCAGTCACTGGCCCAGAGCGGACCTTCTGGCTTTTCTTCTCTGCCTGATTGCTGGCTGGCCATGTGCCCTACCCCTGGCTGATGTCTGGGGTGGTGAGCACCAGAGGCCCCTGAGGAAGACCACCCCATCCTTCCTCTGCCCCTTGCTGTCTGACCCAGAACACCAGGTACAGACCTCTGGCTCCTCCTCCTCCCCATCTCCTATCATGCTCAATTCTTAGATCATCTTACACCAACCCCTCCCCTAAAACATAGCTGGGGCCCAGGGGCCCATGTCTGAGCAGGGCGGATCCCAGAGTTACGCTTATGGGGCAGAGAAGGTCCACCAAAGCCCTCCAACCCCAGGTGCCCAGACAGGGGTCCCCTCCCATGCAGAGGACTCAGAGCCCCATCCCCACACCTGGTTGGATAGTCAGTGGCACTGAGGTTGATGAAGAAGTCCCAGGCCCAGCCAGGCACCTCTAGCAGGTCCCGCATGCTCCGCAGGTACATCCTCAGGAGGCTGGCCCCGCCCCAGATGGTAACCATGCGCCAGGGCGTCACCCGCACGTTATCATAGCCCTGGGCCAGCTCCACCACCTCCCGGTGCAGGTAGTCGGAACGCTGGTGGGGAGGAGACACTCAGCTAGCCTCCAGTGTTATCGCCATCCCCAATCCCACCCCAGGACAGAGTGAAGGGACACAAGACGAGGAAAGCACAGGGCAGGGCTCCAGCCCCTAAGCGGCTGAGCTGGCTCGTGCTGCCACTCCCCTGTTCAGGGCCTCAGTTTCCCTCCTAGGCTACCTGGGCCAGGTCAGAGACTCTGTCTGTCTGCAACCTTCTGTTTCTGCTCTGCTCATCCCAGACCCCTTGGCCTCTCCCCACCACAGTACCTTGTCCACATGGATGTAAAAGAAGTGCTGCTCGTGATAAACGGCCTTGAGGAGACGCTTCAGCTGGCGGATGGCGCGGCCGTGAACCACCAGCATGTAGGCGATTCGCACCGGGGGGCCATCCATGGGCTGCTGGGCTTGGCTCTCATCCCACTGGATGCCGGGGCTCATCTTCCCTGAGAGCAGAGGACAGGCGTTGGCGAGGCCCACCCTAGGTCACAGGGTGGGGGTGAGATGGGAAGAGGGAGCTGCCTGCCTTCCGAAGAAACCTAGACTTGGAGCTCCATGCTCGTGGGTCCCCACTCTGCCTCTGCCACTTAGTAAGTACACTGGATGAAGACTTAGGCAGGGAGGTAGGATCCCCTTGGCTCTTTCTTCCTCAGAGAGATAGGGGTGAGGATCCGGGCCATGCCACCCCCCTGCCCCCGCCTGGGAAGGGCTGGAGCACCCCTGTCCCTCACCAGTCAGCTGACAGTGCCGGGGCACAGCCTTGGGCATGAGGCTCCCAGCCTGGTGCAGGCACACCACATTGGCGATCTCCTGCTGGCACTGCTTGGTGCTGGCCCGGGCCAGTGCAGACAGTGCGTCCTTGCCCACGATCTCGCACTTGGGGGTGAAGCCATTGTCCGTGGGCTGGGGGGCGCCCTCCACGCTCCCTGTATCTCCGTGTGGTGGGAAGCCAGCTGCCCCTACCAGCGCCTCCCCAGCTGCTGCCCCACTCAGGTTCTGGCGGCCTGGGGCTTCCGGGGGTGGGGCAGGTGGGACCCGCCGGCTGGCTCTCTGCCGGCTGGTTACTGCCCGTACCACCTTGGCCACGGGCACTCCTGGGCTCTCAGCACGGCCCCGCCAGCGCCCATGCCTTCTGCCTGTGCTGCCCCGTCGCCCTGCTGAACTGTCTGTGTCCTTGGAACCCTCGCCAGGGTCCAGTGGCCGTGGCTTCCTCTGCCTTCCTTTCTGTAAGAGAGATGCAGACACATCACTGGGGCAGACCCTCACCTCCTCCTGTTCCTTGAGTTCCATCTTGGTTGGGGGCACCCTCAGACCTAGATGTTCCTGCCCACCTTTTACCCAGAGAAGCGCTTTTCACCTAAGGACTCCGCACAATCAGTACCACCATGGGAGCACCTCCCTGGCCAGCCACTGAGGGCGCACTGGGCCTCCCTCCATCATACCAACACCCCCGTCCCCCACTGGCTCTCAGATTACATGGCAGTGTGCTTGGTTTTCTGTTCTGGACTCAGATACCACTTCCTTTTTCAGCAGATGTTAAAATAAATATCTACGTGTGTCCCAAGGGAAGGGTGCAAAGACCCCACCGAGGGTACAAGTGTCCACCTAAGACCCAGCACTCCCACCGAGGGCTGGAAGGAGACAGTGGTCTTCAGAAGACTCTAACTTCCAGATGAATCCAAAGCATTTCCATGTGGGAAGACTGAGGCCACCTCACAGCGAAGGAGGAGTGCCCATGGGGGATGATGGAGGTGAAGCCTGAGACCCCAATACTGCTTAGGTCCTCTAGGAAGCAGATCAAGACAGAGTGAGAGGGCATGAGATTCACTGCGGGTACCCCTGTGAACGATGGGGCAGGAGCTGGCAGGGAAAGGCTTTGGACCGCAAAGGAGACGGCCATGCAAGGAGAGGGGCAAGAAGAGCGTCCACCTCCAGCACAGCCTCGAGGAAGTCCTGGCCGGCTCCTGGGAAAACTCCGGCACATGTACTGCCTGGAGCTGGTGAGCCCTGAGCCACCTCCACACTCAGTCCCTGGCTTGAAAGCTGAAGCAGGGCCTGAAGGTGCCCACAGCTGGAGGCTGTCACCTCGCTGCATGTGCAGCAGGTTCTTCCTTGAAGGGATCCCTGCAGCGGGGCGCCTCTACCGCTGCTGCGCCCCTGCTTCCTGGCTCTAAGTGCTCTGGTACCTGCTGCCTCTCCTCAAATCCAGGCACTTCCCTAGATGGCCTGGTGGTGACTGAACAGCATGTCCAGCCACCTCCTCCTCCGTTCCCCCATCCTACTTGCCCTGCCTGACCAAATCCCATCCATGCTTTCAGATCCAGCTCCAAGGCCCCTGGCATGCAGCCATTCCATTTGCCCTGCAGTGGAATGGGCTGGGCTCCAAGGCCCTGGATGTTCCTCTAGTAGTGAACTCCTTGATGAGAGACATGTCAGCTCCATCTCTCCAGGGCCCAGCAGAGCAGCTGGCACACACGGACACCTAGCTGGTGTCTGATGGATGAGATGTAGAATGGACGGAGGAACAGGGGCCACCATGTGAACACTCTAGAGCCTCCAGGGCTCTGGGCCTAGCTCTGCCAACTCACCAGCAGTTCCCTAACTTCTCTGAGCATGCTCCCCCAGCTGTAAGGAGTAACAACTGAGCATGAGACACTGCAGCTAG
The DNA here is from genome assembly GCF_000001405.40 of Homo sapiens. Taxonomy (NCBI): domain Eukaryota; kingdom Metazoa; phylum Chordata; class Mammalia; order Primates; family Hominidae; genus Homo; species Homo sapiens. The sequence goes on along the minus strand of NC_000017.11, from coordinate 50,352,188 downwards.
GGAGAGCCGTCTCCAGCCTTGTAAACCCTCTCCCACGGGCCTTCCCCTCCATGCTCACAAGTTCTCCAGGACTAAGTCCTCTTCTTTCTTGGCCTTTCAGCAGCGTGACTTAATGGACCACTCTGTCTTGCTTGAAGCACCCTCCGCATTTGCTTTCCAGGATACCCACCTGGCTTTTCTCCTCTCTCCACTGCCACTCCTTATGGTCTTCTTGGTGCTTCCTTGTTTCCCAGGGCACATCTGGGGGCCCTTCCTGTCCTAGCACCTTCACTTCCTAAGTGACTTTCAGTCTCTGGGTTTCTGAACTCCATCCCAAATCTCAGATTGACCTCTCTGGCCTGGATAGCTCCCTTGAACGTTCAGGCATTTAACTACCAGCCTCCTTGACATCTCACATGGGAGCTCGATAGACCTCTCAAAGCCACAAGCCCAAAAGTACCTCCTGCTCTTCGACCCCAACCTGCTCCTACTTCATCTTCCCCATCTCAGTTAATGACATCTCCATCCTTCAGGATGCTCAGGCCAAAAACTTTTAGGAATCATTTTTTTTTCTTTTAGATAGAGTCTTGCTCTGTTGCCCAGGCTGGGGTGCAGTGGCGCAATCTTGGCTCACTGCAACCTCTGCCTCCTGGGTTCAAGTGATTCTCCTGCCTCAGCCTCCCGAGAGGCTGGGACTACAGGCACATGCCACCATGCCTGGCTAATTTTTTATTTTTAATAGAGATGGGGTTTCACCAAGTTGGCCAGGCTGGTCTTGAACTCCTGACCTCGTGATCCACCTGCCCTGGCCTCCCAAAGTGCTGGGATTACAGATGTGAGCCACTGCGCCCAGCCAGGAGTCATCTTTGACTCTCTTTCCCTCACACCCCACATCCACTCCATCAGTAAATCCCATCGGGGCCACCTTCAGAATACATGTGGAATGCCATCCCTTCTCAACACCTCCCTCACTATCCCTGCCTGGATTCCCTGGTCTTCCAGCTCCTACTCTTGTTCCCCTAAATTCCGTTCTCATCACAGCAGCTGGTGTTTCTGTTACAACTCTTAAAATCCCATTTCACCACTCCCCTGCTCCAAACCTCCAGTGGCTTCCCCTCTTAGGATAAAAACCAAGGCCCTTACAGGAGCCTACAGAGGCTCCATGAGCTGTCTGGATGCCCCCTTCTCCACCCAGGCCTCTCTGACCTCATCTGGGAATTTGTCATGCTCACTCTCCTGCAGCCACAGTGGTTTTCTCTGCGTCCCCTCATCCCCCCTGGCACTCCTGGCTCCAACCCTTGCACCCACTATCCCCTGTGCCTGGCAAACCCTCCCCCAGATAGCCCCACTGCTCACACTCCTTGCCTCCTTCAATTCTTTGTTCAGATGGCATCTTCTCAGTAGGGCCACCCAGACCACTGGATTTACAGTGCCAGCCCTCCCTCCTCCTCTGCTTTTCACCATCGCACAATATTTCCTCTCATCCTACTATTTATTTATACTGTTTTTTTAATTTGTCTTTCTCCTCAGAAGATTGTAAGTTCCCCAAGGGCAGGGCTTTTTTCCTGTTTTGTTCACTGACATAGTCGTAGCACCTAGGAGAGTGTCTGGCTGTAGTACACACTCAGTAAGTGTTTGTTTTTCTGAGGCAGTCTCACTCTATTGCCCAGGCTGGAGTGCAGTGGTGCAATCTCGGCTCACTCCAACCTCTGCCTCTTGGGTTCAAGCGATTCTTGTGCCTCAGCCTCCCACGTAGCCGGGATTACAGGTTCGCACCACCATGCCTGGCTAATTTTTTGTATTTTTAGTAGAGACAGAGTTTCACCATGTTGGCCAGGCTGGTCTCGAACTCCTGACCTCAAGTGATCCACAAACCTTGGCCTCCCAAAGTGCTGGGATTACAGGCCTAAGCCACTGTGCCTGGCCTTAGTATTTTTTGAATGAATGAATGAATGAATGCAAAGCTTTTGGCATAGGCACAGCATTCAGTAAGTACTGGTACTTTTTTTTTTTTTTTTTTTTTTTTTGAGACGCAGTCTCACTCTGTCGCCCAGGCTGGAGTGCAGTAGCGTGATCTCAGCTCACTGCAACCTTTGCCTCCCAGGTTCAAGCGATTCTCGTGCCTCAGCCTCCCAAGTAGCTGGGATTACAGGTATGTGCCACCATGCCTGGCAACTTTTTGTATTTTTAGTAAAGACTGGGCTTTACCATATTGGCCAGGCTGGTCTCAAATTCCTGACCTCAAGTGATCTGCCCGCCTCAGCCTCCCAAAGTGCTGGGATTACAGGCGTGAGCCACCATACCTGGCCCAATGCTGCTATCTTTATCATTATGATTACTCAGATGGGAGGAGGAAATTAGTCAAACGTGAAGTCAAGAGAGACCCAAGATCCTGGACATCTTGGACTCGGCTGGGTTGGGTTCTCTGTGCTCCTCACCTCCCCAGGACTTCCCCCAACCTACCCACTACCCTACCCACACCCTACCCACTACCAGTATGGGCACATCAGGAACCTCATGCTGTCAGGCTGACAGCTACCTTCAGGCCAGAGCCCCATGCCTACATCCATGCCCTCTGTGCCTAGCACCCAGCCAGCCTTCTGATCTTTTTATTTTATTTATTTTAATAGAGATAGTCTTGCTATGTTATCCAAGCTGGTCTCGAACTCCTGGACTCAAGCGCTTCTCCCACCTTGGCCTCCCAAAGTGCTGAGATTACAGGCATGAGCCACAGTGCCCGGTTGCCCTCTGATCTCTTAAAGGTGGCCAGTGGGAGCTGGGGGCGCCCATTCCCATCCGAGAAGAGATACCTGCAAGAGGAGGCAGCAGACCCTATTCTCTACCCACACTGGGGAGGGCACCACAGGCTGGGGAATCCCTAGGAAAGGTAAATGCAGCCCCACTGAGCTGAGTGTGCATCAGCCTGGTGACATGTGAGCTGGCTACAGAGCACAAGCAGAGAAAGACATTCCCAAGCTTAGGTGGGTAGATGGCAGAGAGCTGTAGGCTCTCCGAGTGGAAGCCAGTATCAGTGAGTTAGGAAGCTGGTCAGGAGGGCAGGGCATGAGGCACGGGGCCAGGTTGGCTGTGGTGGGGGCCAGGATGTGGGAGGAGATGGGCATGTTGGTCCCTGCACTGCAGTGGGAGCTGGCTGACCCTGAGAAGGACAATCCCAGAGGAGGCTGGGGGATGAGGAGGCAGCAGTGAGGGAGCAGAGGCCCTGGTGGGCAGTCAGCCCCCACCTCCATCCCTTCCAGGCATGTCCAAGGAGCATCGTCATCACAGCCCCAGCCTTGTGCCCCTCACAGGCTGCCCCCAGCAGCCCCTGAGGTCAGGAGCCCTTCTGATGACTGAGGGTAGGGAATGGTCCTCTGACTTCTGGCTGGGATACATTCTGGCCTCAGAGGCTCCTTCCTCTCCTCCAAGGAGGCGATTAAAATCCTCTGCCACTTCCTGGCTCTGTAGCTCCACCTTAGAATCCTTCTCTGAGTCACAGAAAGGGTGAACACAGAAATGCTCCCCCCATACCCCACCTCCTTTGACTTCTCGGGCTGCATTTAAAACAAGTGGTGAGATGGTGTTTGTGGAAGCTTTGGAAACTATAAAGTGGCTCTCTGGAGGTTCGTGACCATCCCTGGGATCCACTCTCAGCCTCTCCATAGATGGGCAGAGTGCACGTCTTAAATGCACACTGAATCCTGTGCTGCTTAAACCCCTTCAGTGCTCTCCCACTGCACTTAGAATAAAACCCTTGCCCCTTGCTCTGGTCCTTTCAGCCGCACAGAATGGAACCTTCTTTCAGGGAAAGCACCACACCCTCCTGTCCATTCCTCAAGGGTGCCCAGCTAAGCCCATTCTCCTCAGGCCTTCTGCCTGAACTCTCCTGCCCACCTCTTCCTGTGAGAAGCCTTTCCTGACCCCCTGATCTAAGCCAACCCCTTTGTAATTCTATTAAATTCCTTTTCGCTGTCTGTTTCTCTCTGTAGATTACCTGTCCATGAGGGCAGAGACCTCATCTATTTTATTTTTGTATCCCCAGTATTAGCACAGTGTCTAGTACAAAGTAGGACTTCACACCTATTTGTGGAATGAATGAATGAATGAATGAATCGTATTCCCAATGCACAGTGCTGGGATAATAAGAGTTATTTATTTACTGACAGCTGAGCATGTGCCAGGAACTCCTGCAAGTGCTTCACAGGCATCATTTTCACTTAATCTTTATAATCACCTAACACGGGAGGTGCCATTATTATCCCCATCTTGAGGAGGGATACTGATAAGGATAAGGGAGGAGGCAAAGTGATTTGCTGGTGGTCTTCTCAGGGTCAGAGCTGGAAGAGAGTGGTGAAGTGGGTGGTCCAGCTTCAGCACTCACCTTCCCATGCACCCCGTTATGCTGCCTGGCAACCCCAGAGTCAGGTGAGGGAGCAGCTGAGGGGGTCCAAGCAGCAATGGGTGCCTGGACCGCACAAGCTTTTTCAAACATTCCAGCCCAGGATTCCCCTATTCATTCAGCCAGGAAGCTGGAGGAGGAGGTGGTGGGGGATGGGGGCGGTAGCCCAGAGTGGTCACATATTCCAGGGTCAGAGGGCTCCCTAACTGCTTTGGCAGCCCATTCCATCTTGGAATGTCCCATCTGCCCAAACAGTCTTCTTACACTGGGCCTGAAACACTCTCCTACTTGCTTGTCCTACTTGTAGGTCTACACCCCACGGATGTCACGGAGCCAGCCCCACCCCCGCCCCCACCTCCTTTTGGAGTTATGGTCTCATGTGACTCTGTTCCAGCCCCCATCACCATCCCACCCTCTGGGTTCTCCCAAAAAAAGGCAAGGGCAGCTCTTCTGTCTCCACACCAGGCCTTCCAGACTGGCGAGATGCGGTAAGGGGTCGCGGGTATCGGGGCTTGCCGGAGGACAGCAGCAGATAGAGTCTCTGACCCGGAGCCCTGGAGGCAGCAGAACAGGGGCGCTGGGGGCAGGGAGGTCCTGACCTCTGGGCCACAGCTTAGGGCTGTGGTGTGGCCTGTCCTCTCCATCTCCGCAGCACGAACCCAGACCCAATGGACCCTTCCTCACCACACCGCTGAGGTGTCTGAGCCTCCCGCTGAAACCACATCGGGGAAGAGGGAGAAAGACCCTCGAGGCAGGGACTTGGGGGCTGAGACGGCTGTTGGTTGCCCCTGCTCTGCGGCTGGGGCTCTGTTACAGTCCCCATTCCCTTAAAGCCAGAGGGCCCCTCCCTAATTCCCTAAGGTCCTGAGGCCAACTCACCAGCTCAGTTCCTCCTCTCCCTGCCCTCCGGAGACCCATCCAGGTTCTTCAAACCCCCGGCTGAGGAAGCCACACCTCGGGAATACTCCAGTTCTCTCCTTCGGCGTCACTCCCTGTTCCTTCAGTTCCCGGGTACACACTTTGTCCCAGGCCTGAATTCCACCCCCGAGCTCCCCTTCCTCACCGGCCGCTGCCCCTCGGGCTCAGCTGGGGAAGGACGCCCTGAGTCCCTTGGCCCTACTCCTCCGCCCACGGCGCGCATATCCCCGCCCCCTCCCAACTTCAGAAAGTTTGGCCTGGGGCTCCCCACCTCCGAGCAGGTTCGGGCCCAGCCCCGCCTCCCAGCCCCGCTCGCCGCGCCTGACCTTCATCGCTCCCTTGGCCGGAGACCACCCTAGCATGACCTGCTCCCCCCGCCCGACTCCCAATCCACCAGGGCCCGGGTCTCCAGGTCACGCACTGCCCCCGCGCGCAGCTCCCTAGGCCTGCTGGGGAAGGGAGTGCCGGGGGCCGGATGCTCCGCTCTGGGCGACCGCCGGCGCCCCGCACGCACGCACGCGGCCCGTGCCCCACTTCCCCGGCTGGGGCCGCCCGCAGCCCCGCCAGGACCCCGCGCGCCCCCGCGCCCGGCCTGCCCGCCCGCCCGGCCGTCGGAGCACCTCGCCCGCCTCGTCCTCCTCCAGGCCGCTGAAGCTCCACACTACCAGGCCCTGCAGCAGCAGGATGGCCAGCGCCGTGGCAATCGCCAGCTTGTAGCGCCGCACCAGCTTCTGCACTCGCGCGCTCGCCACCATCTTCCTGCCCGGGACGCGGGGCGCGCGCCCAGCCCTGCAACCCGGCCGCGAGCGCGCGCACGGGCGCGGGGCTGAGCCGCCCCCCCTCCTCCACGCCTAGGGAGGCGGGCCGGGCGCGCGCCGGGGCGGGGCCGGGGGCGGGGCCTGCGGGGCCAAAGCACGGCGCACCGCAGGCTAGGGGTGGAGCCGGGGCTCGCAACACCTTCAGTCCCGGCAGTCGCGGGCGTGGGCTTGAGCGCGTGCCTTCTGCGCTCGTGTCTCCGCCGGTGCCCCTGGCTCCCACGTGTGCTCCCCTCCACCTGGACGGCGAGCGCCTGGTGCTGGGGAGTGGAGGGTCTGCGGCACAACCTCTCTTGCCTGGTGTCGGGGGTCGTGGGCGAGTTCAGTCCCACGCGGGTAAGCTCTCGGTCCCGGGGGCCCAGGGAACGCCAGGGCTCCCAGAGACGCCGCCTTGGGAGAGGGCGTGTGAGAGCCACAGGCGTCTGCTTAAAAACCTGGAGGCCGCACCTGCGGGGCAAAGTCTAACCCCTTGACTGGCATCAGAGAGCCTTCACGAATCCTCCTTTCCGCTCTGCGCTCATCCTAAGCATCCTCAGGCCGCTCCCAGAGTCGTGGTTCTCAAACTACTCTAGCGTGTGTTGGAGTCTCTTGGAGGTCTTGATAAAACAGATTTTTAGTGCCCCTCCTCCCTCCCCCAGAGTGTCTGCTTTGGTAGGTCGGTAGTGAGGCCTAAGCATTAGAATTTTCAGCAGGTTCCCAGGTGATGCTGATGCCTTTGCTCTGGGACCAAACTTGGAGAACCAGTAGACCTCGACACATGCTGCTCCCTCTGCCAAGTCCCCACCCCCTACACCATCAGTGGCATCCTCCCTGTGCGTCCCCAGCACTGTGCAGTGAGCACCAATCATACATCCGGTCGTGACTGCTCTGGGATCTCGCCCTGCCTTGGACACCCAGCAATGCTCAAGAAATGTTGCGGAAAGCAAGCAGGGGAGGCCCAGATTCCCGTCTAACCAGCTGTCCCTAACATTTGTTTGAGAACCCGGCGTGTTCAATGAGCACCGCATTGGACAAGGTCTAAGCACCTGCGGCCTTCCCTAAGCCTGGCAGGCCCATGGAGAGAGGGAAGGCGAGAAGAGCAAAACAGTGGCCACCAAAGCAAGGTGAATCCCCAGCTGGGGAAGCCAGGCACTGGGAGGAGGAAGTCATAAAAATAGCAAACACAAGTTAGAAGGTTTAAAGGGAAGACGTTAGGAACCACTACAGAGAGGTCTGGAAAGAGAAGTGGCTTACAAAAAAAAAAGTTTGAAAAGTTAGAAGGCCATGATGGAGGGGTTTGGAAGTTGCCACAAGGTTGGGTTGATGAGAGAATTCTAAACTGATGTGTACAGGATACACAAGCATTTGATGGTACATAAATAACCTCCTTTAATCGTCTTCTGCGCTTTAGCATTTGTAATCATTCTGTTCCTCCGCGTTTGTTAAATGGGAGAATTGTAAACTATGTTTCCGACGACAGTTTGGCTACTTAAGAGAGCCTACACTTCAATGATTTTGGAAAACATCAGTTGACATCCCGGCAATTGATATGTTAATTAAATATTGATCTTGTGTGCTCATTAAATCAGATCCTCTAGGGACTTCTACCTGCCAAGAATTCCCCCCACAACAATGAAAATAGCTTTATTTTTCACTGATTATATAAGTAATAAATATCCATTATATAACATTTAAACACTAAACGAATAAGAAAAAAAGTAAAAGTCACCTACAATCCCACCCCTTAAGATGATCATCATTAACATTTTAGTGGCTATCCTTTCCTTTCCTTTCCCCCATTTCTCTCTTTTTTTTTTTTTTTTTTTTGAGACGGAGTCTGCTCTGTTGCCCAGGCTGGAGTGCAGTGGCGCGATCTCGGCTCACTGCATGCTCTGCCTCCCAGGTTCACGCCATTCTCCTGCCTCAGCCTCCCAAGTAGTAGCTGGGACTACAGGCGCCCACCACCACGACTGGCTAATTTTTTTTTTTTTTGTATTCTTAGGAGAGACGGGGTTTCACCGTGTTAGCCAGGATGGTCTCAATCTCCTGACCTCATGATCTGCCCACCTCAGCCTCCCAAAGTGTTGGGATTACAGGCGTGGCCACCGCGCCTGGCTTTTTTTTTTTTTTTTTTTTTTTTTTTTTTTTTTTGAGTCTCGTTCTGCCACCCAGGGTGGAGTGCAGTGGTACAATCCCGGCTCACTGCAACCTCTGCCTCCCGGATTCAAGAAATTCTCCTGCCTTGGTCTCCCGAGTAGCTGGGGTTATAGGTGCGCGCCACCATGCCCGGCTTATTTTTGTATTTTTAGTAGAGACGGGGTTTCACCATGTTGGCCAGGCTATTCTCAAACTCCTGACCTTGTGATCCACCTGTCTCGGCCTCCCAAAGTGCTGGGATTACAAGCATGAGCCGCCGAGCCCAGCCCACTGTTGTTTTTTTTTTTTTTTTTTAAACAAATTCGTTATCTGGTTATTGTGGTGCCTGTAATTCCCAGCTACTCAGGAGGCTGAGATAGGAGGATCGCTTGAGCCCAGGAATTTGAGACCAGCCTGGGCAACATGGCAAGTTGTCTCTAAAAAATAATTAAAAATAAAATCCCAGATTATTGAGGTATAGCATGCATAGACTGGCTTAGATTTCACCATATAAATTGCAAGAATCATTGTTTCCCTCTGTCTCCTCTTCGGGTTCTCTAATAGGTTCCATTGTGCTTTTTTCTTTTATTGTAAAAAGTCTTGAAAATACAAAATGGTTTTCAGAAAAGCAGAATAGGAAAGCAGTCTTTAGTCATAATTGGGCTGCCTGCATGATATATTCTTTCTTATGTGAAGAAATGATCCTTATAGTCTTCATTTTTAGGGCTACTTTATGAGGCATGTATGCTGAATGTTTTCAAATGCATTTGCAGCAGCTAGAGTCCGAATTTGGTCCAACACCAGCAGGCATGGAGGTCCCTGCAGGAAAACCTCCAGGCTGTGCCTCCAAGCATCTCCTCGGGCTCTGTCCCGTGGCCTTTATCTGCTTTCTGCTTATCCATCCAGTTCCTTCTGATTGACACTTTACTAGGCTGTCTGCTGGCCCTGATCCTGGCTTTCCCTCTGGATGCTACCTTTGCGTGTACCCTCTGCCAGTCCACACCCACGCCAGCTCTGGATCCCTGGGTCCCTGCTTGTCAGGAAGTTCTAACACCTAGTGAAAGGATCATATGGGTTTTTCTAGCATGACCTAATGAGATTATGAAATATTTTAAAAATAATTTCCACATATTAAAACATTTTTGCATCCCTAGAATGAATGTTACTTGGTATTAGCAGCTGTTTTTTTTCTTTAAGTTGTAGTATAAGTTCAATTGGATTTACTAATATTTTATTTATTTATTTATTTATTTATTTATTTATTTATTTATTTGAGATGGAATCTCGCTCTGTTGCCAGGCTGGAGTTCAGTGGCACAATCTTGGCTCACTGCAACCTCTGCCTCCCGGGTTCAAGCGATTCTCCTGCCTCAGCCTCCCGAGTAACTGGGACTACAGGCACACATCACCACACCCAGCTAATTTTTCTGTTTTTAGTAGAGATGGGATTTCACCATGTTGGCCAGGATGGTCTCAATCTCTTGACCTCATGATCCGCTGGCCTGGGCCTCTCAAAGTGCTGGGATTACAGGTGTGAGCCACCGCACCTGGTCTTATTTATTTATTTATTATTTTGAGACAGGGTCTCACTCTGTCTCTTGGACTGGAGTACAGTGGCATGATTATAGCTCACTGTAACATTGAACTCCTGGACTCAAGTGATCCCCCGCTTCAGCTTCCTGAGAAGCTGAGACCACAGGTGCACCACCATGCTCAGCTAATTTTTAAAAAATTTTCTGTAGACACAGGGTCTCACTATGTTGCACAGGCTGGTCTCGAACTCCTGGGCTCAAGGGATCCACCTCAACCTCCCAAAGTGCTGGGATTACAGGCATGAGCCACCATGCCCGGCCTAAGAATGTTTACATCTATGTTTGTAATGGAGATATACCAGAAGCTGCAAAATCAGAGGTAACTTGTAGGCCTTGTTTATTTGACCAGCACAGGGTTTTGAAGCATTTGAGTTTGAATTCCTGAAGAAGGGGTGCACACTCACCAGTGCCTGCAGCTCCCACCTTTTCCTTTCATTTCATACCCAATCAGCTGCACCCATTTATGTTATTTTCTGGCTCTTGTAGACACCCCCAGTTTGTGGTTTTCTTTTCTCGTTGTTAAAGCTTTGGTAGATTTGGGAATCAGTTATTCCAGTCTACAACATAAGTTGAAGAGCATTTTTTAAATTCTGTTTTTGAAATAATTTATGTAACAGTAGACACTGCTATTCCTTAAGCATTTGAAAAGTCTTGCTAGCAAAAGCATCTAACAGGAGCCCTTTGAGAGCTAATTCTTTGGTAACTTCTGTTAAATAAAAATTATAGGAGGGCCAGGCATGGTGACTCACACCTGCAATCCCAGCACTTTGGGAAACTGAGGCAGGAGGATTGCTTGAGCCTAGGAGTTTGAGACTAGCCTGGGCAACATAGTGAGACCCTGTCTCTATAAAAATAAAAAAAAATTAGCCAGGCATGGTGGTGCACGCCTATAGTCCTAGCTACTAGGGAGGCTGAGGCAGGAGAATCATTTGAGCCCAGAAGGTTGAGAGTGTAGTGAGCTATGATTGTGCCACTGCACTCCAGCTTGGGCAACAGAAGGAGATCCTGTATAAAAAAAAAAAAAAGTATATATATATGGCTAATTTCCTGTGCTAGACCCCAACATACCAGACTAAAAATCAAAATGGAGTCACTATCTGACCTTGTGAGAAATCAAGAGAGAGAAATAATGGCCAATTTCCCAAACAGGCCAGTTTAAAATTTTAATTGGCATAAGTTCCCTCTGCTTTAATCCTTACATTACAAAGTTAGCCTGAAGTAACCTGATGTTCACTCATCAGTTATTTTCTATTGTTCTGTCTCTATATTCCTGCCTTACCACAAAAAAGTAACTTTGAAAATTAATGAAGATGCTCTTTGCTCATTGCATCTGCTGTTTTCAGCCCTTCTCTGTCTGTAAGCCCAACCTCCTCTGCTGGGCTCCCTGGAATACTTTTCTATTTTATGGGTGAAGTGTTGCCTGATTCTAGAATCACAAATAAAGCCAATTAAGATCTTTAAACTATTTTTGTTGTAATTTTGACTTTTGACCATCCTCCCATCTCCTGCCAAAAAATAGCACAAAATTCTGATAGCACAAAATAACCAATAGGGGGAAAATAGAGGTATTAAAGGACAAAATATCAATTTTGAAACCCCAGCATGAGTGAATCCATTTTGATTTTTAGTCTGGTCTGTTGGAGCCTAGTGCAGGAGCTCAGTACAAAACAATGGCCTCCTATAATTCTTACTTAACAGAATCAACATCGTCATTATGAATGTTATTCTAGAGAAAAATGTAAACACTCCACTGCATCTCTCTTATTTTTCTTTTGCAGTTATTTTATTTATATTGTATGTCAACAGTATGAAGTGTTCCAAAAATGAAAGGTCCACATATCTTTCATTTTTCTATTTAGCCAGCCGAGAGCCCATATGCAATATTCGCTTCCTCTTTGGTCCTCTAGTTGTCTAAAAAGCCTGTGGGGTGGGCACGTGTAATTCACCCGGGGATATGAACTGGGCTTCCACACCCAAGCTGAAGAGCACTGGTGATGGAATATTCTGCTCCTGCAAATCATCTTACTTCTACATGGGGTTGCTATAGGAAGCTGGTCCATAATTAGAAGTTGCCCATACGGGCTTTCACTGCTCCTCTGATCCACTTCCTTGACCTGCTTACTAAGCCTAGACAAAGTGCCCATTACTTGGACTCCCAGGGTTGCAGTCTCAGTGCTCAGCTCTTTCACCCCCAGATTCTATTGGCTAGTATATTTCCACTGTGAGAAGTAGAAACTCTGTCTCCACTCCATTCCAAGTGACTGAAACATTAATGAGGCCAGGTGTGGTGGCTCACACCTGTAATCCCAGCACTTGGGAGGCCAAGTGGGGGTGGATCATTTGAGGTCAGGAATTTGAGACCAGCCTGGCCAACATGGTGAAACCCTGTCTCTACTAAAAATTCAAAAATTAGCTGGGCATGGTGGCACGTGCCTGTAATCCCAGCTACTCAGGAGGCTGAGGTAGAAGAATTGAACCCGGGCGGTGGAGGTTGCAGTGAGCCAAGATCAGGCCGCTGCACTCCAGCCTGGGTGACAGAGCTAGGTTCGGTCTCAAAAAAGAAATAAATTAATAAATAAAATAATGAGGGGAAGGTTGGAAAGTTCATACTTTGACCCACTCTCTATTCTCCAAATACTTAACAATGAGAGATAAAGTTTTTAAAGGCATTGATAAGATATATACAAGCTTAAAAACAGGATAAACATTTAGGTGGATAAGAAAGAGAACAAACTGGAAAGCAAAGTGGTGAGTAGGACCAAAGCCAAGGGCCTATGGGGTAATGGGAACTAAAATGTTGCACAGGGAATGGGGGATGGAACCAGACTCTGGCAGCAGCCACAGACTAGAGTGAGGCTACCCTGCTTGTGAAAGGAGACTGAAAACAAAAAGTGCAGCTGACCAGATCTCAGGAGCTATGGCCCAAATGGTGGACCTAGGAAGGCTGCAGAACAAAAACAGCCTCACAACCCAGACTTAGGTCAAGCCATCCTCTAACTCTGGGTCTGCACATCTCCCAATATCAGTGAAGAGCATGAGTTCCCAACCACTATCACAAAACTATTTCTGGACTAGGGCACAGTGAATGCCATGACGAAACTAAACCCACCAGACAAAAAAGGAGAGAGTAAAAAGCACAATGCAAAAACAAAAATTCTCAGCTACAATGAGCCTGTAAACCCAAATTCCAAAGGACATGAAGAAATGGAATGATAAAAAAGATAGCCAAGCAATTCAACAACTGGAATATGAACTTTCTCCACATGAAATTCATCTCTTGGACTCATATGACAAAGACTTGAAAATAAGGATGGCTCAAAGAAGTAAATGAAGAAATCATCTGACAAACAAGAAATTATGAAACAAATGTAGATGAAAATGAAATGAAGATATACATATGAAATATAAATAATTATACATCTCAGAAATAAAAATGTAGAAAAGCAATAAAAATATCTCAAAAGATAGGGTGAACTTTAGACTGGATATAGTTGAAGATAAAATTAGTGAATTGGAAGATAGCTCTAAAGAATTGACAGTGAATGCAGCAAAAAGAGGTACTTTGATTAAAAATAAGAACAGTTTGAAGAGTAGGAGAATAGATTGAGAGACTCAAACTATGTATAACAGGATTTCCAGAGTAAGAAAATAAGGAAAATGGCAAGGAAATAATATTGAAGCTATGATAGCTGAGATTATTTCAGAATTCAAGGAAAATATTAGTAACATACAAGAGGATTTTGATTTTTAAAACTCAATCTGATACTCTAAGTTTTACTGTTTCTTTAATCAGTTTACATTTAGTGCCATTAATGGATTATTTGGATTTTCTTTGATTATGATTATTCCACATTTTCTGCTCACTGCCTTCTTTCTCCACTTTTTTTCCCTTTACTATATTCTGTTGGATTGGTAAAATCTTCTATTCTCCTTTTTCTCTTCCAGCAGTACCAGGGTTGGTACAGCTTTTATCAACTTACTTAATGGCTTTCCTTAATATTTTCTGTGCTATTCACTCCATTGGTGAGGGAGGGATTCCCATCCTAGGTTTACAGAGATGGCCAAACACACGACATTTGATTCTGGGCAGATGAGATTGACAGTAGTGTATTAGTCACATATACTCATAGCCCAGGGCAGGATATCACACACCATGCAGGGCCACACAGGGGTTGCGCTCAGAGACAGTGAGCAACTAAGGGCTGTGGGAGGCAGGCTTTGTAGTATCAAGAGGATGAGATGTCCCCTAGTTTCAGCAGGAAGATGTGACTGGCTTATGTGGATAATTATGCAGGCTGCAGGCTGGCAGGAAACTGAAACCCACTACTCAGGAATAAGCAGGAAGTGCTCCTGGTCCCCTTGATAAGGGGGGTTATTTGGCTGGGGGACCTTATCCAAGGGAGCAGAGTGAGGAGGTGAACTTGTGGCTAGGCCAGTCAAAGCCTCCCAATTTCACCGCATATAAAGTCAGTATCAGCATTTAATACTGCGCCTGAGTTTTAGGCCTTAAACGCATTTTGCTGTTAATTTTCCTTTCAGGGCTATATAGACTGTTCGTCTGCTATAATCTTCCTTAATAATTTAGAAAGCAAGAATTAGAATTCTTTAAAAAAATTTTTTTTTCTTTTTTTAGACAAGGAGCATCTTACTATATTGCCCAGGCTGGCCTTGAATTCCTGGACTCAGGTGATCCTCCCTCTTCAGCCACCCAAGTAGCTGGGACTACAGGTGTGCACCACTGTGCTAGCTCTAGAATTCTTTTTAAAATTCTACTTGTGTTTACTTACAACTTTTCAGATAATTTTAATGTGACATTGTTCCTCAGTGGGTAGGCCTGTGCAAACCTGTCGCCAAAGTCCAAGGAAACTGAGAGACTGAAGAAAAAGGCTGACAAATTCAGTTTCTTAGAAATAAACAATAGGAAATTAGAAACAGAAGCCAGGTCTGTGTCTTGTGCAGTGGCTGGCAGGGAGACAAGATGTTACCCCCTAAGACCCAGGGCTTATCTACCACAGGGAAGGGGTATATGTGATCCAGAAGGCAGGTGAAGGACAATTGAAGTATGATAACATCAAAGTTGTTTTGACCTAAGGGAGGTAAGTACCTGTTCTTACACAGGTAACAATAGATAGACTGGAAAGCTTAGAGGAATTCCCAGAATTGGGGCTAATCAGAAGTCATCATGGCGGCTTAGCCTCCAATATGGAGTTGCTTTAGCCTTCACAGATATTCAATGATCACAGTCCTCATAGAACTATAATTTTTATTTCCCATTGTAGAAAATTAGTTTCTCCCTATTCATCCCCACTTCTTTTCTCTCTCTACTATGTGAACAAGGATCATTCTCACTTGTTAAAAGTTCATCTGGGGTTATGAACTTTGTCATTTTGGTTTATAATGTAGCTAATTTCTTTTAAGGGAATAATCTCTCTTTTTTTTAATCTTCAGTTTTGAGACTATTTAAAAATATTTAGAGTAATGCATATATATTAACTTGTTCAATGCCCTTTGCCAAGTAGATAATTTAAAAAATTACTTCCTGAGGCAGGCAGATAGCTTGAGCCCAGGAGTTTGAGACCAGCCTGAGCAACATGGCAAAACCCCATCTGTATTAAAAATACCAAAATTAGCCAGATGTGGGACTACCGTCGGTAGTCCCAGCTACTCAGGAGGCTGAGGTGGGAGGATTGCTTGAGCTCAGGGGAGTGAGGCTGCAGTGAACCATGATCACACCACTGCACTCCAGCCTGGGTGACAGAGCAAGGCCCTGTCTCAAAAGAAATAGTTCAAAAATTTCAAAAATAAGGCAACGAATTAATTAAAAACTGTTTCAGAACAGCCAATGATCTCCCTTTCTTTCCCCTCTGCTCTCTACTTAGAATTAACCAGCCTGGCCCGTTTGCTTTGTTGCTTCCACATTCTTCTCTCTGCTCATATAAATATATGCAGATGTCAACCCTTTGGTAGGTTTCCACTCCATGTTTTACAGAAGTAAGATGATACAGAAATTACCCAACACTGTGTTTTTAAATAAATCATCATTTTATCATGGATACCCCTCCAGGTTAATACATAATAGCTACATAATGTTTATTACTTTAGTATAGATACACCATAATTTATTAAGCCATTCACCTGTTATTGGGCATTGAGGTCATTGCTAGTTATTTTGCCCCTACACATATGGCTTCAAGAAGCATCTTAGTTCATATCACCTGATATACTGGTGTCTTTATTTTTGTATGATAGATTTCCAAGAGTGAGATGGGTATGTACATTTCTCTTTTAAAAGATATTGCCAGAACATTGCAAAAAGGTGCTAGCAATCTGTAGTCTTGAGAAGACATGAAAACTCTCCTTCCCCTAAACCTCTAAGCAGGTGCTTCAAGCTAGATATTTTTCTCATTCTTGAGTATTTACATCTGATTTTTTCTCTACTGTCCTGGCATACATCTTCAAGTGATTTATTAAAGAAGAGTATTCAGGAGGGATTCTTTTAAAAATAACTTCCACACCTGAGGTCTTTTTGTTGCCTTCATACATGAATGACAACATGGCCTATCCTTTAGGTTTTTCTAGATCAGTGTAGTTCAAACTACAGGTCACAACCCACTCAATTTAAAGGATTATGGCTACATTTTAAAAAACATAGAATGGGGGTGGGACATGGTGACTTACACCTATAATCCTAGCACTTTGGGAGGCCAAGGCAGACGGATTGCTTGAGCTTAGGATTTTGAGACCAGCCTGGTTGTCTCTACTAAAAAAAAAAAAAAAAAAAAAAAAAATTGGCCAGGTGTGGTGGTGCATGCCTGTAGTCCCAGCTACTCAGGAGGCTGAGCAGGGAGGATTGCTTGAGTCTGGGAGGTGGAGGCTGCAGTGAGCCATGGTTGTGTCACTGCATTCCAGCCTGAACGACAGAGTAAGACCCTGTCTCAATGAAAAATAAAAAAAAATAAGTTAGTCGAGCATGGTGATGTGCACCTGTAGTCCCAGCTACTTGGGAGGCTAAGGTGGGAGAATCACTTGAGCCCAAGGGTTTGAGGCTGCTGTGAGCTATGATCATGCCACTGCACTCCAGCCTGGGTGACAGAGCAAGACCCTGTCTCAGAAAAACAAGAAAAACAAAGCTCCACACAGTGGCTCACGCCTGTAATCCCAGCACGCCTGGTCTAAAAGTACAATGTATTTCTAATGATGACTTGAGATAAAAAGAAATTGACATTTTCTTCTTTTGCATGCTGTAGTCTTGAGAAGACAGTGATTTATTCAAGAAGACTATTCAGGAGGGATAGCTCACAGCAGCCTCGAACTCTTGGGCTCAAGGGAAGTCTGAGATCATTTTAATTTAAGCTCTCTGTTATTTTTTCCCATTTGTTTGTAAGATCCTTATTTATCACTGCCCCTTCCTGCATTTAAATTTGTTTTAAAAACTTTTTAAAAAAAATATGACCAGGCGCGGTGGCTCATACCTGTAATCCCAGCACTTTGGGAGGCTGAGGCGGGTGGATCACAAGGTCAAGAGATCAAGACCATCCTGGCCAACATGGTGAAATCCTGTCTCTACTAAAAATACAAAAATTAGCGGGGCATGGTGGCGCATGCCTGTAATCCCAGCTACTCAGGAGGCTGAGGCAGGAGAATCGCTTGAACCTGGGAGGCGGAGGTTGCAGTGAGCCGAGATCATGCCAGTGCACTCCAGCCTGGGCAAGAGAGCGAGACTCCGTCTCAAAAAAAAAAAAAAAAAAAAAATCCAAGAGAACTAAAGATAGAAAAGTAAAATCTCTGGCCAACCATGGTGGCTCATGCCTGTAATCCCAGCACTTTACGGGCAGGTCACTTGAGCCAAGAGTCCAAGGCCAGCCTGGGCAACATGGCAAACTCCTTTCTCTACAAAAAAATACAAAAGTTAGCTGTGTGTTGTGGCACATGACTGTAATCCCAGCTACTGGGGAGGCATGAGAATCACTTTAACCTGGGAGGCAGAGGTTGCAGTGAGCCGAGATCGCAACTTTGCACACCAGCCTGGGCAACAGAGCAAGACCCTGTCTCAAAAAAAAAAAAAAGAAAAAGAAAAAGAAAAAGAAGTAAAGTAAAATCTCTCTTCCCTTTCAGTTTCCTATTTCAAGGGTGTGTCTGTGTGTCTGTGTGTATGTTCCGGCAATTTTCTTAACTTTTTTAACTTTGAGAATTCCATCATAGTGTGTCTAAGCGGGGCCCTCTTTTCATTAACTTTGCTGGGAAGTCAGAACATGCTCTCAGTTTCCAGTTGAGTTCTTTCTTTACAGCAGGAAACTTTTCCCCTCCCATTTCTTTGAATACTGCTTTCCCTATGTCTGTTTTGTTCTCTCCAGAATTCCGATTATTCCCAGGTTATATCCCCCGTGTCTGACCGCCTGCCTCTTTCTTTTCGTCTTTTTATCATTTTGCCCTTCGTCATGTTAATTTTATTTTCTCCGTGTCTTGTCTGCTATTTACAGCCTCCATCATGGTTTCCCACCAGAGCTATTGTGGTTTCTGTCTCCTTGCTACACTTCCTGCTCTCAGATGTCTCCCTCTTTATTAGGATCTTTTCTAGTTTCTAGATCTTTTCCAGCACCCCATGGAATCTTATTGAGAATTTGAATTAAATATTCAGATTTTTTTTTAAACTTGTGCTGTAGTAAATTCGCTCCCCCACAGAGAGGCAGCTTCCTCCAAACCTTCAGGGATGTTTATCTTTCAAGCTGCAGAATCTTTCCCCAGATCCTGTGAGCTTTACTTTGCCTGGAAAAGTGCACCCACAGTGCACTTGGGGCGGTCTGAAAACTGCGGGGATACGGAGTGGAAGGAAGCTTGGGGGCGCCCTTGCCTCATCATCCCTCCAGCCACCCTGGCCTCTAGTCCTTGCCCTTGAGTGCAGGGGACTCCCTGGGGTAGCTGGCATCTCCTGTTTTTTTGTTTGTCTGTTTTGAGACAGAGTCTTGCTCTATTGCCCAGGCTGGAGTACAGTGGCGCAATCTCAGCTCATTGCAACCTCCACCTCCCAGGTTCAAGCAATTCTCCCGCCTCAGCCTCTTGAATAGCTGGGATTACAGGCACCCGCCATCATACCTGGCTAATTTTTGTATTTTTGTAGAGACGGAGTTTCACCATATTGGCCAGGCTGGTCTCGAAATCCTGACCTCAGGTGATCCACCTGCCATGGCCTCGCAAAGTGCTGGGATTACAGGCGTGAGCCACAGTGCCCAGCCTTCCTGCTTTGACCTGAACACACAGGGTGACGGCTTGTTTTCTCTCAGTGATGCCTTCCATTTGGCCCCATAGTCACAGTCCGGTTGAAGTTCCTCCAGTTTCCTTGGTGTGGATGGCTAGTTTTCAGTTCTGTTGCAAGTCTTCCCCGTTTTCGGATGGCCATTTCAGGGGTATTTTGTTGGGATAGGAATCAGGGGAGACCAAGGACAATATCCAGAGAGCCATGTCTGTGCCACCTGTCTGCCAGGTGCTCCCAGCCAAGTGTTACATATTCACAATTATCATGTCTACTTGAAACTTTGAAAAGGAGAAAACGTAATTACTTTTTTTTTTTTTTGAGGCAAGGTCTCGCTCCATCGCTCAGGCTGGAGTGCAGTGGCATGATCTCAGTTCACTGCAACCTCCACCTCCTGGGCTCAAACGATCCTCCCACCTCAGCCTCCCAAGTAGCTGGAGTTACAGGCGTGTGCCACCCCGCCTGGCTAATTTTTGTATTTTTTGTAGAGATGGGGCTTTGCCACGTTGGCCACGTTGGAGCTTCCTATTCTTAACGTTCTACATTCCACACTTTTTGGCTTTTTTCCTGGTTACTGTGATACAATATTCTGAGGTCAAAGGCTCTGAAGACAGAAGCTTCTGCATGAAAATAGTATCAGGTGGCAGAGCACAGGCCTGGACAACCTCTGAACCACTCATCAGCTGTTACCAGGCATGCACAATCTCATTTGAGTGCAGCTCAAGGTCCCTTCGCTCCTCCAGGCAGGGCTGACCACACGTGCCCGATTCCCAGTGCATGTGCCCCCTACTTCCCCATCAGCGCACTTACCCATACGTGAGGCACTTGTTCCACTCTTGGTCTGTCCTGATTTTAAAAGGTTCCCCCCTGCTTTGATTTCTGATTGTGAAACACTTCAAGAGTCATCTGCTGTGCTTCTAACATTTTAAAAATTATCATAGAGAGGCTAAAACAACTAAAGCCATTCCCAGTTAATCAAGCCTCCCCGGTGTTTGTGCATCAGAGGAGATAATGCAGGAGAAAGCACTCTGAGAACAGAATGCCCAGGGCCCCGGGGGGCTTTGGAAACCTGGAGGGCTAGATCTGGAAACATTGCCTTTTGAAAAGTGGAAGCAGGCCCAGCGCA
The DNA here is from genome assembly GCF_000001405.40 of Homo sapiens. Lineage (NCBI taxonomy): Eukaryota > Metazoa > Chordata > Mammalia > Primates > Hominidae > Homo > Homo sapiens. Next base: position 50,331,998 of record NC_000017.11, on the reverse strand, counting down.
GTTGCTCATGCCTATAATCCCAACACTTTGGGAGGCAAAGGTGGGAAGATTGCTTGAAGCCAAGAATTCGAGACCAGTCTGGGTAACATAGCAAGACCTTGTCTCTACCAAAAAAGAAAACAAAATTAGCTGGGCGTGGTGTGCGTACCTACAGTTCCAGCTACTCAGGAGGCTGGGGCAGAAGGATCGCTTCAACCCAGGAGTTTGAGGCTGCAGTGAGCTATGACCATACCACTGCACTCCAGCCTGGGTGACAGAGTGACAGCCTGTCTCTGAAAAAAATAAAAATAAAAAATAAGTGTAAGCAACTGCAGTGGACTCTTGAATTCACCTTGTGCCAAGGCTGATTCATATTCTGGGCAAAGCACCAGGAGGGGAATGAGTTACATGGACGAGAAGCAAGTTCCCCCCATCCTTCCTGGAGAGTACCCTTGAGTCATTGACCATCCAGTGTCATCCTGTGACGAAGTAAGTGGTCTGTTCCCCCATGGTAAGGGGTCATGCTGTGCAGAACCAGACCTCCATACTAATTATTTGCTTCTCAGAATTGCTGGGGCTCTGAGGAAGCCCACATAGGCCTGACTCAGTTTTCACTTTGACTCACTGAAAAGAAACTGGCCTGGATTGGCCAGGGATTAACTTTGACTGGACAGCTGATGCCCTCCACAGAGTGGTCTTCAACCCTGGATGACCATCGCCATGAAGCGTCTTGATGTTGGGGAGTTCTGTCCAGGTTGACTGGGGCTCAGGGCCACATCCCTGTTGATCCTTGAGGAGGGGCAGCAGTTCCACCACCAGGCATTCTGGGAAGAGCTAGGTCCCATCATGAAATATCAGAAACTGGGAGGTGAACCTAAAGCTAGGAGGAAGGAAAGCCTCTCCTCTCTCAGGACTGGGTTGTTGTTTGCCCAGGACTCCAAGTAGAGAGGATATTCAGCTTTCATCACCCAGTGGATTTGAACTGAGCACCTACTATGTGCCAGTTACTATTCTTTTAAAACAATTAATTTTTTTGAGACAAGGTCTCTCTCTGTCACCCAGGCTGGAATACAGTGCAAGAATTATAGCTCACTGCAGTCTCGAACTCCTGGGCTCAAGCGATACTACCTCAACTCTTGTGTAGCCAGGACTACAGGTACATGCCGCTGGCCCAGCTAATTAAAACATTTCTTTGTGGAGACGGAGTTTCACTATTTTGACCACGCTGGCCTTGAACTCCCGGCCTTAAGAGATCCTTCCATCCTAGTCTCCCAAAATGCTGGGATTATATGCCTGAGCCACTGTGCCTGGGCCAAGCACTATTCTAAGCACTGGGATATAGGACAGAACAGTCTACCAAAGAGAGAAGGACATAAGCAGAAATGAATGAGTCAGAGAGACGCAGATAGCGGCAGACGCTGTGAGGATCATAAAGAGGCTGAAGCGATAGAGAAGGGCTCAGTGGCTATTGTAGATGGTGTGCTCAGAGAAGCCCCCCTGTGGCAACAGGAGGACAGAAAGCCATGACCAGGACAGGTTCTGGGGGTGTGCATCCCAGGACAAGCACAGGTCCTGTGGCGCAGTGAGTCCGGTGCATTCTTGGAAGAGAAGGAAGGCTCAAGGGGCTGCAGACGGAGGGGCTGAGGGGGAGCAGTAGGACCTGAGGGAAGAGTGATGGCAAAGGAGAAATCCTATACTTGAGGGCGGCTGCCCTGCCCGTAACAGCTGGCTGGGGTGTTCAAGGAGATGTCAGCAGTCCTGGAGGATGAGCTCAGGTTCATTGAGAAGCTGTCGCATGCGTTTTTCTATCTTCTGTTTTCTTCCTCTAGCCTCAAACTTACAGCAGTCCTTAGTAGTTAGAACCTTGTCTCCTCCTATTGTGGAAGGGTCTGAGCCAGTGCCAGGGAGGAAGAGGGTGGGGCTGTAGGAGGCTGGGATAGGTTGCGACAGAGGGGGCAGTAGGAGGAGAGAGCCAAGTGGGCAGTAGAGGCAGAGGCACAGGGCACAAGGATGACCCAAGGGAACAGGTCAGTAGGGCCCAGTGGGTCCCAGGAGTACTGCGGAAGGCTGGGCTTCCTGGAGTTGAGTGGAATGGGAATTGGAGCCCTCAGACTTGTGCCCATTGGGCAGACCCCAGCTGGTGAGGCCAGGGCGTGCTGATAACAGCAGTATCCCCTATAGCAGGTTTCCCAGCTGAGCCCAACCTGTAGAGCTGATGGACTGGGGACCCCATGGGTTCTGTTTATCTGAAATGATACATAGAGGGGCTTGGGCTCTTATGTGGAAGGAGGAATCATGAGCATTTCTTTTATTCACTTTTTGTTCAATTGGTCTACAAAACTTACTGAGCATCTATTATGTGCTAGGCACTGTTATGGGCATTAAGGATATAATAGTGAATTAAGTGGGCAAAAAACCTCTGAGCTCATGGGCTTGGGAGGCCAAGGCGGGTGGATCACTTGAGCCCAGGAGTTCGAGACCAGCTGGTCAACATGGTGAAACCCCGTCTCTACTAAAAATACAAAAATTAGCTGGGTGTGGTGGCATGCCTGCAGTGTGTGTGTGTGCATGCACACACCAGCAAAGAGGAAAATCCAGGAAGGAGAGAGAGGAAGTGGGAGAGGAGAAGGGAGGGAATGGAGGGGCTATCTCCTGGCCCAGCCTGGGAAACAGGTTGAGGATCCTCATGAAGACAGGTGTCAGGCCAGAAGCTGAAGGATGTGGGGACACTCTGGACACCTCTCTGCCCCTCAAAGTCCAAGTGACAGTGGGTGGTATGGAGCTGCCCAGGGCCCTTGTCCCTCTGTTCCTCTACCTCCAGATCTCTACAGAAAGTTGTTTCACGGCCCAGGGGCTCTGGGTGCCCCCAGCATGGACCAGCTGGCCCACGGCATCAGCAGAGGCCTCGAGTGCTGCATGGTTCCAGAATCCACGGCAGTGCTGGGCCCCTTATGAGGGAGCACGTGGGAAGTGGCTGGCTGTGGAGGAGGCTCGGACAGGGAGGCTTGCTGGGCACAGGGAGGCCAGTGCAGAGATGCTGGGGAGGGCGCGGCTGTGCGCCTGGGGTGCTGCAAAGCACTTTGTGGTTGGGCATCAGTGATAACATGGCCTCGTTTGCACTCACAGGCTATTAAGGCCAGGGCTGGAGGACTGGGAGATGCGGGTGCCCCTTCAAACCAACATTCTTTGAACACTTATTAAGTGGAGATGGAGAGAAACAGATGTTCTGTTAATAAAAACTAAATATATTCCCTTTCATTAAAAATGAGGGATTTATTGCATGCATTTGTTACATCCTCTTTTCTGAACTAGACAGTTTATTGTGAGGATTTTAAACTGTTTAAATATTAGGCAACAAAATAAATCTCTCCTTCTGGTGTGAGCAGCATCCCCTGGTGTGATTTGCTTTTGTAATTTCAGCTGACTGCAGCTGCTGACTTCAGGGAAGCACATCAGAGTCGCCGGCTGCGTTGAAGTTGCTGCCAAGCCCATGGCCGCACTTTGCGATGTATGCGTTTTCTGTGAAAACACTCCACAGAAACCCTTTGGGGCCAGTGAACGGTATTTTAAAATTTCCACTCGAGGGCATCGCCCACTCTGGTGGGATAGGGATCGTTTACATCTCACCCCTTATGTGAGGAAGCCCAGGTGGAAACCTGAGGTCACTGGCAGCACCTTTCTGATTAATCCCAAAGGCTCGCCCCAGGCAGCTGCCACACTGCCCTGCCTTTCTTTTTTTAGAGACGGAGTCTTGCTCTGTCGCCCAAGCCGGAGTGCAGTGGCGCGATCTCGGCTCACTGCAACATCCGTGGCCTGCCTCTTAATGTGGCTCCACCAAGAGACATCTGGATCATACTCAGAAGTAATTAGAGCCCAGGAGTTTGAGGCAGAGTGGGCTGCATTCGTGCCACTGCACTCTAGCTGGGGCAACAGAATGAAACTCCATCTCTAAAAAATGAATAAAAATGAAGACATCCATGTCTGTTATCATTTTCTCTAAATTCAAAATTCAGTATACTTTTGGAGACATTACCTCAGGACTAAATGGAATGTAAAGCCAGTCATTCTAAGTAGAATTTTGGGCCTAACGTGGGAAGACAATCTGGGGGAGGGGGTAATAGTAAATCTGCTAGAAGAAACGTTGCTTCTTAACTGGCTCCACTCATATTATTTAAAAATATGTCCTCCTTCTATATGGTCATGGTGATAATAAAAGTGTCTTCTTATTCTATTCCTTTCCCATTCAAATAAATCATCTCTTAATCTAACAAGAAAAAATAAAAAAATAAAAAAGAAGTAATTAGTACCAATTTAAGCCACAGGTAAGTATAACCCTTACTATTTAAAAGGGCAGGCCTGGCGCGGTGGCTTACATCTGTAATCCCAGAACTTTGGGAGGCTGAGGTGGGTGGATCACTTGAGGTCAGGAGTTCCAGACCAGCCTGGACAACATGGTGAAACCCTTGTCTACTTAAAGTACAAAAATTATCCAGCTGTGGTGGCGAACGCCTGTAGTCCCAGCTACTCCAAAGACTGAGGCAGGAGAATCACTTGAATCCAGGAGATAGAGGTTGCAGTGAGCCCAGATCGCACCACTGTACTCCAGCCTGGGTGACAGAGCGAGACGCTATCTCAAATAAATAAATAAATAAATAAATAATATAAGGGCAGGAAGAGGAAGCCTCGTCATTAGACAATCAACTGCAGTCAGAGCCTCAAGCATGGTATAGAGACCAGCTCAGCAAATCTCCCTCTCTGGTTTCTCGTTGTTCTCTCCTCTCCCCCATACACCCCGTGCCCAACTCCTACCCCAGTCCCCGTGGCCTTTTTTCCATTTGCATCCCTGTTCCAGGCTCTCACCAAACGATTCTTTCTGGTTTTTCTTTCAGTGGAAGTGGAGGTGGTTTGTGTGTTAGGGAGATGGTTTTAGTTCCCCCCACCCACCCATGAGTGAAACATTTACCAAACCATTCATTCTCTTAGTAAAATGTATCATTTCCCGCAGCATAACTTCACTAGATTGCTCTGCGAACAAAGCATCTGTCATTTTTCTTCATCTTATCAGAATACCCTCTTTCAGCCAGGTGCAGTGGCTCCTGCCTGTAATCTCAGCACTTTGGGAGACCAAGGTGGGCGGATCTCCTGAGCCCAGGAGTTCAAGAGCATGGTCAACATAGTGAAACCTCGTTTCTACTAAAAATACAAAAATTAGCCGGGTGTGGTGGTGTGCCTGTAGTCCCAGCTACTTGGTAGGCTGAGGTAGGAGAATCGCTTGAACCTGAGAGGCGGAGGTTGCAGTGAGCCGAGATTGCTCCACTGCAGTCCAGCCTGGGTGACAGAGGGAGACTCTGTCTCAAAAAAAAAAAAAAAAAAAAAAAAAGAATACCTTCTTCCATATCCTAGCTTGGTGTGAGCCTAAGATGGGGGAGGGTAACGGCACCTCCCTGGAGGGTAGGAGAGAAAACCCCAGCCTGCCTCAATGGCGAATGTCCTCGAGGGACACATGTTGCCTCTACAGGTAGTAAGGATCCTGATTTGAAAGTATTCACACAGAAGCCGGTTAATTACCTTTTTGGTGAGAGACTGGACCAATCGACTCTATCTAGAAGTAAGGATCTAGGGAAATTTTTCTTGGTTACTTGTTCCAAAAAAGAATTTGTCATTGTAATGGACATCTGCTGTTTCTGCCTCCAAGAACACTTTATCCCTTCTGTCAAAACTGTCTCTTTATTTCTCTCTGGCCTGGCTGGGATTGGCTTCACTCCAGCCCCTGGGTGGTCTTCATTGATCACATTAACATGTGATACAAATCTTCACACTCTGTGCCCACCCCCGTGGGCCCATCCACGTGTCTTTCCCCAGACTTGCTTTTCCCTAATCTGATGTGTCTCCTTCTAGGTCCCTGAGCAACAAGCCAAGCCACTTGCCACTACCCCTGAGTCCACGGCCATTCCCTCTGCTGGCCATTCTCTGTGCACACAAAGTGGACAATCACACATACCACATGAAGCTCTGCCCCTGTGCTTCGAGGGCCAGCCCTGAGTAGAGCCACAGAGCAGCACAGCCAGTGGTATAACTGTCTTGAAAGTTACACCATTGGCTACCCTGCTTCTCAGGCCTTCAAACACAGTCAGAGTTACAACATGTAACTTCCAGCCCAAGGCCAAAGAACTGAAAACCAGGGAGGCTGCTGGTATCAGTCCTGGAGTGCAAAGGCCCAAGAACCAGGATCTTCAGTGTCCAAGGGCTTTCACCCCCGCTTTCAGTGTCCATTTGTGGCTTTCACCCCCTCTTCCCAGCCAACTCATCCAAGAAGCAAACCTGGTTGGTTTTTGTCCTGCATCAGCTGGTTCTAGGCCCCTGACCCTCTACCCCAAGGTGGCTATAGATGTGATAGAAGGAGGAGGCAGGGATTCAACAGTGGTGGATGGCAGAGGGGCGTGGTCATCTGCTTATGCAGTTCACTTGAGCCTGCTGGTCCTGTTTGTGACCAGTCCTGGAGGTAGTACTGAAACCGTGTAATAATACATATTACACATTTATATATTAAATTATATATCATAATATATATTTTTTTGAGACAGGGTCTCACTCTGTCACCCAAGTTGGAGTGCAGTGGCGTGATCTCAACTCACTGCAACCTCCACCTCCCAGGCTCAAGCAATTCTCCCACCTGAGACTCCCAAGTAGCTGAGACCACAGGCTTGCACCACCATGCCCTGCTGATTTTTTGTATTTTTTGGTAGAGAGGAGGCTTCACCATGTTGCCCAGACTGGTCTTAAACTCCTGAGCTCAGGCAATCCACTGGTCTCGGCCTCCCAAAGTGCTGGGATTACAGGTTTGCACCACCACACCCGGACATGTTTTTTGTTTTTGTTTTTGTTTTTAAGACAGGTCTTACTATGTTGCTCACACTGGTCTCCAGCTTCTGGCCTCAAGCAGTCCTCCCACCTGGACATGCTGGGATTACCGGCACAAGCCACCATACCCAAACTCCCTTTTCTTGAGCTAGAACATCCATCTTCCCTTGCCCTTGGACACTGAAGATCCTGGTTCTTGGGCCTTTGCACTCCAGGACTGATACCAGCAGCCTCCCTGGTTTTCAGTTCTTTGGCCTTGGACTGGAAGTTGCACTATTGTAACTCTGACTGTGTTTGAAGGCCTGAGAAGCAGGGTAGCCAATGGTGTAACTTTCAAGCCAGTTATACCACTGGCTCTCCTAATTCTCCAGCTTGCAGACAGTATTGCAGACTTCTCAGCCTCCCTAATTGCATGAGCCAATTGCCATAGAAGTCTCCTCTTCTATGTCTCTATATAGCCTATCAGTTCTGTTTCTCTGGAGAACCCTGACTAATACAGATGCTGTGTTTCCAAGACCCAGAAGCAACCTGGGAGCTCGTTTTCAACTGACGTGGAGTTCTCCACTGTGGATAGTTCAGCCTTGCTCCAGAACCCTAGGGATATAAGTTGTGATTCTCCCACTGGTGCTTTCTGTAAACTTCACACAGAATCTTTTCCTCCCACAGATATCTGTAGTACCATAGAGTACTTTGAGTCATAGGGTCCAAATGGCAGAGCTGCTTGCACTTGTAGGGAGCAGCAGCTCCCTACACCCTCACCCTCTAAGATTCACTGAAAAATCAACCCACAGTAAGGCAGATTAATAAGAGAAAAGCCTTTACAAATGCATTACTACCGTGCCCCATATCCTAATGGGGTACAGATGCTTGTATACCCTACTTCTTAGGGAAAGGGGGGATGGGGAAGTGTGGGTGATTTTAGGGGGATGGTAAATGATTTTTAGGGGAATTCAATGGGGTTGAAGAATATACAATGGTCTGGGGCGAAGTCCGTTGGGCCCGCAGAGGGGACAATGATTTGTGACAAAAGTCTGTCCCGGTTTGTTAACAGGCTTTAGTCTTACTTCCTGTGATATGGGTTCAGTTAATACAAACTCAGAGAAGGGACTGGAGGTAATTGTTTTCTTCTTTGGTAGATCCAGACTTTAGGCAGATAAGGGAACTTCAGCCTGTGTTTTGAAATAAATAGGGCAGGGTGTCCAATCTTTTGGCTTCCTTGGGCCACATTGGAAGAAGAATTATCTTGGGTCACATATAAAATACACTAACACTAACGGTAGCTGATGAGCTAAAAAAAAATTGCAAAAAGATCTCGTAATTTTTTCTTTTTTTCTGAGACAGAGTCTTGCTCTGTCGCCCAGGCTAGAGTGCTGCGGCATGATCTTGGCTCACCGCAAACTCCGTCTCCCGAGTTCAAGCAATTCTGCTGCCTTAGCCTCCCGAGTAGCTGGGATTACAGGCTCTTGCCACCACGCCAGTCTAATTTTTGTATTTTTAGTAGAGACAGGGTTTCCCATGTTGGCCAGGCTGGTCTTGAACTCCTGACCTCAGGTGATCTGCCCCCCTAGGCCTCCCAAAGTGCTGGGATTACAGGTGTGAGCCAGCGCGTCCGGCCAAGATCTCATAATGTTTTAAGAAAGTTTAAGAATTTGTGTTGGGCCACATTCAAAGCTGTCCTAGGCTGCATGCTGCCTGGGGGCCATGGGTTGGACAAGCTTGAAATAGAGGATTAAGAAAAGAGACCAGCATCTTCTGGGCATTCTGCACAACATTACAAGTCCACTACTATATTGATTACATCATGATAATCCAATCAAACGAGTAAAAAATGGCAAACACGTTAAAGCTCTGGTTAAAACGTGCTCTAGAGGGTGGGAGATAAACCCTACAAAGATTCAGGAAACCATGACGTCAGTGAAGTTCTCAAAGGATTAAGAAATAGGGGGGAGGGGAAGGAAAATAATTGTTCTCCTAGGTGGGTCTGTCTGGTCTTTATGTACACAAGGCAAAAGTGTCTTCTAGCATCTATTGATCTCTAACGGCCTTTAATTTAAATACTCATCATACCAGGGAGCCATATTTTGGGGTGAAGTTCCCTGTGCTCCTTCATATTACAGACTGGACTTGCTACGAAACATTTTCCTCCTCAAGCCCTGCTCAAAGATGGTAGTCTTCCATTTCACTCAGTAATTAGATCGGAACAGGATTCCAAGTGCCACCAGCACCTGAAGAGGCCTAACAGGCCTTGAGCTTCCTTCTTAATAATGGGAGCTATAAGATGAAATAATTTATTTGGGAGGCCGAGGCGGGCGGATCACGAGGTCAGGAGATTGAGACCATCCTGGCTAACATGCTGAAACCCTGTCTCTACTAAAAATACAAAAAATTAGCTGGGCCTGGTGGCAGGCACCTGTTATCCCAGCTACTCGGGAGGCTGAGGCAGGAGAATGGCCTGAACCTGGGAGGCGGAGCTTGCAGTGAGCTGAGATCACACCACTGCACTCCAGCCTGGGCGAGACTCCATCTCAAAAAAAAAAAAAAAAAGAAAGATAAAATAATTTCCTCTTTACTTCCTAGGGAATATCTCCACTGGACTCCTAAGAGAACTTCACTGATGTGATGGTTTCCTGAATCTTTGTAGGGTTTATCTCCCACCTGCCAGAGCACGTTTTAACCAGGGCTTTAACGTGTTTGTCATTTTTTACCCATTTGATTGGATTAACGTGATGTAATCAGTGCAGTTGTGCACTTGTAATGTTGGGCAGAAAGCCCAGAAGATGCTGGTCTCTTTGGACTATATTATAACAGACAGTGGGAGAGTTCGCATGCCTAAGGTCAAGACTGTAAATGTGTACAGTTGGCCTCCATATCGATGGGTTCCGCAGCCATGGATTAAAAATATTAGAAAAAAAACAGTAAAAAAAACACAATACAACAATAAAAAATAATATAAATAAAAAATACAATATAAAAACTAAAAACTACTTACAGGTCGGGTGCGGTGGCTCACACCTATAACCCCAGCACTTTGGAAGGCCGAGGCAAGTGGGTCACCTGAGGTCAGGAGTTTGAGACCAGCCTGGCCAAATTGGCAAAATCCCATCTCTACTAAAAATACAAAAATTAGCTGGGCATGGTGGGCGTGGTGGCACAGGCCTGTAGTCCTGGCTGCTCGGGAGGCTGAGGCAGGAGAATTGCTCGAACCCAGGAGGTGGATGTTGCAGTGAGCTGAGATCACGCCATTGCACTCCAGCCTGCGCAACAGAGCGAGACTCTGTCTCAAAAAAAGAAAAAGAAAAAGAAAAAAAAAATACTTAAGTAGCATTTACATTGTATTAGGTATTATAAGTAATCTAGAGATGATCTAAAGTATATGGGAATATATTTGTAGGTTGCATACAAATACTATGCCATTATATATAAGGGACTTGAGCATCCTCAGATTTTGGTATGTGGAGGGGTGGGGGTCCTGAACCAATCCCCTGTGAATATCAAGGGACAACTGTGCTATTGACCATCCCAGGCAGTATGAAACAATTCTTGATCCTCCTTTACAGAGATGGGAAAGAATGCACTTGCCAGGTCAGTAGCTACATGCCATGCACCTGAGTCAATGTGAATCTGCTGTGGCAAAATCACACCCAGCAGAGTGGCAGCCACTGAGGCCACCACCTGACTGAGCTTGTGGTAGTCTACTGTCATCCTGCAGGATCTCTCTGGTTTTTGTAGGGGCCAGACTGAGGAATTAAATGGAGGAAATTATGGAGACCACATTTTACATCTGTAAGGGTGGCATTAATCTCTGCCATCCCCCAGGATGTGATGTGGTTTTCGATTGGCTGGGGTGGGAGGCCATTTGAAAGGCTTCCATTTCACCTGCCTCACTATGATGGCTCTTACCCCACAGGCCAAGGAACCACTGGAAGAGTTCTGGCAATACTGGTTATGTTGATTCTAGTTATATATTAAGAGACCAGGGCCGGGCGCGGTGGCTCACACCTATATCCCAGCAGTTTGGGAGGCCGAGGCGGGCGGATCACTTAAGGCCAGGAGTTTGAGACCAGCCTGGGCAACATGGAGAAACCCCATCTCTACTAAAAATACAAAAATTAGCTGGGCATGGTGGCGCCTGCCTGTAATCTCAGTTACTCTGGTGGCTAAGGCAGGAGAATCGCTTGATCCCGGAAGGCAGAGGTTGCAGTAAGCTGAGATCGCACCTCTGCACTCCAGCCTGGGTGACGGAGCAAGATTCTGTCTCAAAAAAATAAATAAATAAATAAATAAATAAAGAGAGAGAGACCAGGAAAATGACTACCAGGTGGGTCTGTGGACCTAATGGACATACTGTGAAGCTGGTCATGGCTGGGACTATACTTATTACTTGACCCCATATTCCACCACCCTAATAAGGTGCCGTGATGATGCTTCAGTTTCCTTGGTATCAATGTCAATTTGGACTCTATGTTCAACAGTTCTCAAAAGATCTGCATTCTTTCCCCAGTGTATGATTACTCAAGTTCTCCCTGTGGAAGGGCTGGTGGAACCTTATCCTGTCCATATGCCAGCTGATGCAGTGTCTTTCTTCATTCAGGACGTTCTAGATCTTAACTTAGGCTGGAAACAGGACAAGGAATCATGACTTTTTGTTGGGTGGTTGATGTTTTAAAATAAGCTCTTGGGCCGGGCGCGGTGGTTCATGCCTGTAATCCCAACACTTTGGGAGGCTGAGGCAGGCGGATCATCTTAGGTCAGGAGTTTGAGACCAGCCCGACCAACAAGGAAAAGCCCCCATCTCTACTAAAAATACAAAATTAGCTGGGCTTGGTGGTGCATGCCTGTAATCCCAGCTACTTGGGAGGCTGAGGCAGGAGAATCGCTTGAACCCTGGAGGTGGAGGTTGTGGTGAGCTGAGATCACACCACTGCACTCCAGCCTGGGCAACAAGAGCAAAACTCTGTCTCAAAATAAATTAAAAAAATAAAATAAAATAAGCTGTTTTTGGCTGCTCATCTATCTTACCACTAGGAATATTATGTTCTATTAACCATTTCCGGCTTGGCATGGTAGCTCATACTTGTAATCCCAACACTTTGGGAGGCCAAGGCGGGCAGATCACTTGAGTGCAGGAGTTCAAGACCAGTCTGGGCAACACGGTGAAACCCCATCTTTACTATTAAAAATATATCTTAAAAAAGAAAGGAAAAAAACACCATTTACTTAGTTCTCTGCAGCAGGACCTCTGGCTGCCTCCCTGACCTTGCTGCTCAGTGTGAGAATCGTGCCCACCTTCTGACAGATAAGTGCTGCTATCAGAGGCGTTGAAACCAGAGCAACTCCATCTTGAATAGGGGCCGGGTAAAATGAGACCCACTGGGCTGCATTCCCAGACAGTTAGGCATTCTAAGTACAGGATGAGATAGGAGGTTGGCACAAGATATAGATCATAAAGACCTTGCTGATAAAACAGTTTTCAGTAAAGAAGCCGGCTAAATCCCACCAAAACCAAGATGGTGATGAAAGTGACCTCTGGTCGTCCTCACAGCTACACTACCATCAGCGCCATGACAGTTTACAAATGCCGTGGCAATGTCAGGAAGTTACCCTATACGGTCTAAAAAGGGGAGGCATGAATAATCCACCACCTGTTTAGCATATCATCAAGAAATAACCATAAGAATGGGCAACCAGCCACCCTCGGGGCTGCTCTGTCTATGGAGTAGCCATTCTTTTATTCCTCTACTTTCTTAATAAACTTGCTTTCACTTTACTCTACAGACTCACCCTGAATTCTTTCTTGCGTGAGATCCAAGAACCCTCTCTTGCGGTCTGGATCGGGACCCCTCTCCTGTAACACTGCCACTTGGCCTTGATTATTTTGGGCTCCTCTTATCCCTATTACTATCAGCTCCCCCCACCCCCACCACCCCGCTCTGTAACAGCATCTCCCACCCTCACGGCCTCCCCGAGAATGGCCAACGATAGACTTCTCGATGCTGCTGCTCCTCCTCCACCAGCACCTTCTTTACTGCTTTGGTAAAAGAGTGATTTATGGGCTCTCCCAGGGAACATAGTCAGCTGGGGAATTTGCAGGCCCGACACAGGCTGATCCGGTTGAGCAAACCCTCTCCTTTGATCCATTTGATCCCTTCTGCCATCTGCCATGCTGTTTGAACTTTTCTCCTTAACTTAGTTTGAGCCAGTGCTGTTTCTAGGCTTCCAAGAGCCATTCTAGCACCTTCTCCTGGGGTCCTTGCCAGGGGGTAAAATCCTGCATCACAGGAGCACACTCCTATTCAATATTCTTTCCTATCAAGCTCTATGTTTTGATCCTCATCCTCAGAATCCAGTCCCATCTCTACTCTCCTGAATCCTGCCAGCACATGTTGGCAAGTTCCTGCAGCTCCTCCAGGGTACAGTCTCATTCCTTCCTCAGCAGCAGGTCTGGCGCATCCCTGGCCGGTTTTGTTGTGACTTGATAGCTATTTGTCTGGTGGCCAGGAGGGAGGTGCATTTCATCTTGCAAAGCAGAGGCCCTGCACTATCTTCAAGCATGAGGGGAGTTTTAGCCCTTAACAGTGGGCAGGGGGCCGCTTCTGCAGGCCCAGTGGGTTCAGTGGAATCTGGAGATTCAAGATTTTTTTAGTGCATTGACCCAGATGTGCCATCCCAAGTCTCTGAGTTCTGATCCTTCTCTACTGGGGTATGACCTGACAGAGCGGACGTGCTCTGATTGAGAATCCAACCTCTCTGAAGCTGCATTACCCTTATAATGAAGCTTCGGGCTGATCCTTAGCTTTTTCTGCCCTCCAGCTACAGAGTCTCTATATGCTGCCAAGAGACTTTCACACTTTGTCTCAAACTGATGATTAAGTACTCTCAAACTTTCATTGTCTTCCTTTAAGCATTGCTAGCCCCAGAGCCATCTGATTTCACAGTCCTTATATTACTAGTTCACTCAAACCTCTCAAATGCCTGGGAATTTGCTTCCACCAGTGCCTCCCTTCCATCAGTTTCCCATCATTCCTGCACATCCCCAGTGAAAGTTTAAACAAGTACACCACGCTAGAATGCCAGGGGCAATTATTGCTCCACCTTCCAGCTCCAAACACCTATTTTAGAATCTGCTTCCTAAAAATTACTCCTGGCCTCAGCTGCCTCATGTCTGGGTCCCTCCCTGCCAATAGATTTGTGATGGATATTTACACGCTGGAAGTGACTGGGCCATGGTCTCAGAAACAATACTTGTAAGGTAGTAAACGAAGCAGGTTGAGCAGAGGGAGAAGTGGAAAAGTGGAACTGGGTTGCAGTTGCAGCACAGCCTCAACTGATGCTAAAGGGAGCTTTGGACCTGAGGTGGCCCTTCAGAGTTGTCTCAGATCTAGGCAGGAGGACTACGCTTTTGTACTTCTGCACTGACCAATCATTGGCAGATCACATAAAGCTTGGGCTAGGCGGAGGATAGTCTTTGGATGGGAATAAATAAAGCCTGGGCATTTATGAACATGAAACAATGCCTGAAGGCTCAGCTGCGAGAGCTGTGAGCCATCAGCAGCCAATCTTCCCTACAGCTGGAGAATGAGTGGTCTGGTTTTGAAGGGGAGAGAGAGAGGTAGTGCACTCTAGGAGCCACTGACCTGAGGAAGGGGTTGACCCAGCAGAAGACAGAGAGGAAGGGCATAAAGACACCAGGTTCTTGGTGACATCCTTTGAGCTGCAGGATGAAATCCTGCCTGAAGCCACATTTCAAGTATACATTTCAGGTAAGCATGTAGGCAAGTTCTCTTTGTTTAAGCCACGTGAGTTGGGATTTCTGCTGCTGGATAAAATCTTGCCTGAAGCGGCATTTTATTTGCACTTTTCTCTAAAGCATGCAGGCAAATTCTCCTTGTTTAAACCATGTGAATTGGGCTTTCTATCACTTGCAACATAAAGACTCTCCATGGGCTGGGCATGGTGACTCAGGCCTGTTATCCCAACACTTTGGGAGGCTGACAAGGGAGGATTGCTTGAGCTGAGTTCAAGACCAACCTGGGCAACATAGTGAGACCTCATCTCTACTACAAATTTAAAAAAATCAGCTGGACATAATGGTGCACGCCTGTAGTCCCCGCTACTCGGGAGACTGAGGTGGAAGGATCACTTGAGCCCAGGAGATCAAAGCTTCAGTGAGCCATGATTGTACTACTGCACTCCAGCCTGGGTGACAGAGTGAGACCCTGTGTCAGAAAAAAGAAAAGAAAAGAAAAGGCCAGACACAGTGGCTCATGCTTGTAATCTCAGCACTTTGGGAGGCCAATGTGGGAGGATTACTTGAGCCCAGGAGTTCAAGACCAGCCTGGGCAACATAGTGAGACCCCATCTTTAAAAAAAAAAAAAAAAGAGTATCCATGAATTCAAGTACAAACTTTAACAGTTTATTGCCTTTTTAAAAATCAAAAGCTAAAATTAAATTTGTGATTTGGAAAATTTATTAGTAAAAAAGGTTTCTGCATAAATTAATGATGGTTCTTTTCTTGCTCCATAGTGCTACCTGAATACGGACTGAAAATTACTTATGGAAATATTTACAAGCTTATACTGCAGTGTAATTGGTGCTTGTTTGAGTGCTTCATTAATATTTAATTTTGCATCATTTCTTGAGCTAACTCATTGGCACATTTTCAGCATTCCACTGACAGACTTAACATAAATCACATTAATAATAAATGGCATGAGAGCTTTTTGTATTTCTTTTCTGAGCTATCATTTAAAGATAATTTTCTATGACAGGGAATTTTAAATGTACTATTAAAGATAAGACTTTCTTAATGTCTACTTCAGCAACCAACAGGAAATACAATGTGATTTTAATTACATTTATGTCTTGGGTTTTGACACAGTGCTTTCTGCTATTAACTCTTGTGAAGTGTACGTCTTCATAAAGCATTTTCAGCCATCCATGAAAAGACAGACTTGCTCAGACAAGTACTCGAAACTTAAACTATACAAGCAACTCCATGACATGAAGCAAGACAGATGTTTCTTTGTGGGAACTGGGGCTGGTCATGCTTGTCCGAGTGGCAAGGACCTAAATTCTTTAGGTGGCCAATATTTCTGTAGTCAGACAGTCTCCCCAAAGCCAGAAAGAGTGGAACCCACAAATTCCCTGGTCTCAGAAGAGAACATCAGCTTAGCTTGGCAGGGCTGTCTTAGGAGCCTGTCTCTGCAGGCTCACTGTGCTCATTTCTAAATGTACACCTGCAAAAGCATGAAATTAACACTTTAAACAAGTCACATTTGCCAATAAATAATTCAAAAGTTTTATGTGGAAAAGAGAAAATATGATAAACCACTGAAAGCGTATCTTTAAAATGCATGTCATAATTAAGAATTAACCACCAAAATTTAAAAAAAAAACCCTTAAAATAGTTTAAAATTCTTTTTTTTTTTGAGACGGAGTCTTGCTATGTCACCCAGGCTGGAGTGCAGTGGCGTGATCTCAGCTCACTGCAAGCTCCACCTCCCAGGTTCACGCCGTTCTCCTGCCTCAGCCTCCCTAGCAGCTGGGACTACAGGCGCCTGCCACCACACCCAGCTGTTTTTTTGTATTTTTAGTAGAGACGGGGTTTCACCATGTTAGCCAGGATGGTCTCAATCTCCTGACCTCATGATCCACCTGCCTCGGCCTCCCAAAGTGCTGGGATTACAGGCGTGAACCACTGCACCTGGCCAAAATAGTTTAAAATTCTTAAAAAACATTTATGGCAAAGCACATGGATACTGAAATTAAACACAAAAATGATTTCCCCCCCCCATATTGCTTGTAGAACAGTCAGGATTCTTTTGATTGCGAGTGACAGAAATCCAGTATAAAAGGCAATAGTAGATTAAAATAACCAAAAATGCCTGTTTTGTTACAAGTAAGAATAGGGGCCAGGCGTTATGGCTCACGCCTGTAATCCCAGCACTTTGGGAGGCCGAGGCGGGCAGATCACTTGAGTCCAGGAGTTCAAGACAGCCTGAGCAACCCCGTCTCTACGAAAATAAAAAAATTAGCTGGTTGCGGTGGTGAGTACCTGTAGTCCCAGCAACTTAGGAGGCTGAGGTGGGTGGATCAATTGAGCCTGGGAGGTTGCACCACTGCACTCCAGCCTGGGAGACAGAGCAAGACCCTGTCTCAAAAAAAAAAAAAGATGAAATTCTTCCTCCACTCCCCTACATCTCATCCCCACTTCCAAGGGGATCCTAGAGGGCTGTCATAGTTATTGGTTTTGTGTGCTCATCAGCCTTCTTCCGGTATTAGCACCCCTGTTTTGCAGCAAGTGCGCCCACCTCCCTGGAGTCCTGGTGAGGGTGCTGTCAATCACAGTGCCCACTGGCTTCTGCTCCAGCATGGACATGTGACTCAGGCTGAGCTAGCACCTAACATCTGCTTTCCTGTTCTGACAGTTGCCACCTCCCCACTCCCCATGACTTGAATTTGTGGAGCCACAGCTAATCCCTGAAGCCAGAAAGAGTAGAACCCACAAATTCTCTGATGTCAGAAGAGAACATCAGCTTAGCTTGGCAGGGCTGTCTTAAGAGCCTGTCTCTGAGGGCTCACCGGGCTGGTTTCTAAATGTGCACCCACCATCTGTTGGATGATTCATACCCGGCTGGATACAAAGTCGGGGCTCCATTCGGGTCTTTGGACTTGAATTCATTCCAAAATCAAAGGTGTCAAGATTGGTGGCTTAAAATTCTAGAATCATTTTGGGAAATGAGGACGGCATTTGCCCTTGTACAATCTCTTGATGTGTCTCCCATTTTTATAAAAGTGAAAAGGAAGTTCTGAGAGGCTCCCTGAGGCAACTCCTTCCCCATCTGGGATTGCGCCCCTCCAGACCAGAGACTGAGCGCCCCTGAGGGGCTCCCACCCCGACTCCTCTCCCCCAAGACATGCTGGACAGGGCTGATGGGCTATCTTCCCTCTTCCTTCTTCCCTTCCTTTTCTTTCCCCGCTGTTTTTAAACTTCATTTGCAGACATTTGAGTTAGTTAATCATATGCCTTAGTTCATGGCACTTTCTCATCACTAGTCCATGTAAGTCCCCTCTCTTGTTTGTAATTATTCTCTTTTATCCACATATCCTATCCCAGTCTCCAGCCCCTCCCCATCATAGGCACATGTTCTTTTTTTGTTTTTGAGGCAGGGTCTTGCTCTGTTGCCCAGGCTGGAGTTCAGTGGCATGATCACGGCTCCTGCATTCTCTGCCTGGTCCCAGGCTCAAGTGATCCTCTGGCCTCAGCCTCCCAAGTAGCTGGGGACTACAGGCACATGCCACCAATGCCAGCTAATTTTTGTATTTTTTGTAGAGACAGGGTTTTGCCATGTTGGCGAGGATGGTCTCAAATTCCTGGGCTCAAAGTGATCCGCCTGCCTCGGCCTCCCAAAGTGCTGGGATTACAGGCATGAGCCACCGCGCCTGGCCATAGGCTCATAATCTGTGAGTCTTTCATTTGCATGTATTCTTGTACAGGGAGTATTGATGTTTTGTATTTTTTCTAGGCATACATTTTAAATGTTCACAAATGCTATCGGGTTATATATCTCATTCTGTTGCTTGTTTGTTTCACCCATTCTTATATTTCTGAGATCGGTCCATGTGGCCCTGGGTGCATCTAATCCATTGCTTCTAACTTTGTAAAGTACTCCATGGTGTGTGTGCTGAGTAATCTTCATCTGCCCCCAGGGCCCATTTCCCACCTTCCAGTTGGGTTTGGTCTTTGAAAGGCACCATAAGAGATCAGAGGGTAGGCACAAGTAAGGTGGGATATTGATTTGACTAGACAGGCTGGGCATAGCAGTGGTGGCATTATTCTCCCAACGGCCACAGCTCCTGCCCAGAGGCTCTCTCCTACAGCCTGGGGACCGCCTCCTGCCCTTACCCTCAGGCATGGTGGAGGCAAGAGTGCCCCATGGATGCTTGTCTGAGGGTGCTTCCCTGCCCCTTGTTGGTATCCCTAAACGCCACCCACATCATATACGTTATTCCATCATGGAACTCTTCTCAGTCGTCCTGCGGAATCAGACTTATTCAGCATGGATTTGCCACATGTGTTCCTCTTTGCCCACCCAGTGGTAGACTCCTGCCTTGCCACTAACTCCCTGCCACCACACCTATCTCCAGGAGAAACAGCTTCACTCTTCTTTTCACCTCTGGTCCTTTCCTTTCCAGGTGGGGTGCATTCCCCTGACTCCTGCAGCTGTGGCATCTAGGAGAGGGGCCCATCCTTGTCTTTCTAATCACCTGACCCAGCGGTTCTCAACCAGGCGTCATGTCAGCCCCATGGGACATTTGGCAATGTCTGGGGACATTTTGCTGGTCATGACTGGGAGGTGGGGGTGATGAGATGCTGTGGACATCCAGTGGGTGGAGGCCAGGGATGCTGCTCAGTCCATTCCTCCAAAGCATAGGACAGCCCCTCCATGGCAAAGACGTACCTGGTACTGAATGTCAGTGGCACTGAAGTGGAGCAGCTCTGAGTTAACACAAAACCACTTGGACTTTAGATTTAATCCTTTCCTGGGCTTTTGATTAGTTCTTGGGGAGGTGGCGGGAGACCTCCTGAGATCTTGCTTCATGCTGCCTGTGAAAGCAGCTTTGTTAGGCTAAGCTCCTGGCCTCGCTCCACCCTCTCCCTCATTCCTCCCCAGGGCAGGAGGTGTGACATCTGATTCTCAAGTTTCTGAGTTTCCACGGAGGAGCCAGGCAGGCCCTCCCAGCTCCTTCCCTCTGCGTGGGAGCTGGGTGCCCATGGGAAGCCCACATTTAGCATAGTAAGCTACAGAGGACCATTTGCCCAGCACTGCCTGTGACCAGGGGACAGGTCAGCCTGGTTCCGGGGTACAATGTTGGGAAATCTGTTGTTGTTGCTCAGCTAAGCCATGCTCTTTTCCAGCTGTGACAGTAATAAAGCTGACTTTATTTAAATTTTTTTTTTTTTTTTATAGATAGACTCTTTCTCTGTCACCCAGGCTGGAGTGCAGTGGCGTGATTGTAGCTCACTGTAACCTCAAACTCCTGGGCTTAAGCAGATCTCCCACTTCAGCCTCCCAAGTAGCTGGGACTACAGGTGTGCATCACCATGCCTAGCTACTTTTAAAAATTTTTCATAGAGATGGGATCTTGCTGTGTTGCCCAGGATGGTCTCAAACTCCTGGCCTCGAGTGATCCTTCTGCCCTCAGCCTCCCAAAGCACTAGGAATATAGGCGTTAGCTACCACATCCAGCCAAAGCTGACATTGTGATTGTCATCTACCTAGCTTCTTTGCCAATCTCTCATCTGGTTCAGAGCTGCAGGAGAGAACATCATAAAGTGTAATTCACTGGGACTCTTCAATGCCAACAGTCACTTTAATATCACTGGAACCTCCCTCTCTGCCTCAGGCCAGTCCAGGCAAACACGCAGTAGGGCACCGGGATTAGGAGCACTGGCCCATTGTTAGTGCATGGGGATTCCCCATTTACACCTGATAGGAGAAAATGGCCTAGCCAGGTTAAGTGGAAGCAGCGGAGTGCTGGCTCAGGTGTCCGACCAGCATAGGTGGTGCTGAACACAGGGGCTCAGATGATTCACTCAGGACCAGTTCCTCTCTTCCCATTGCTTGGTTTCTTTCTTCTGTGTTGACCATACCCTCAGGAAGGCTCTCCTCTTAGAGTGGCTGCCAGCAGCAACCAGACTTTATATTACAAGTTCAAATCCTACTGAGAACAGCAGGAAGTCTTTTTTTCTGAGCATCCCAGCAGTGCTGTGATTCTATGGCCTGGGGTGTGTCTGTCTCCTGAACCAATGATTAATCAGAACCAAAACCATCTTCCCCACACTTGTCCTGGACAGTGAGAATGGAAATCACACCTTACAGTCTAGAGTAACATGACCTGGTTATGCCACTGTCTTCATTTGCATTTCTCTACTCTTCTGGGACTGTCCTGCTTAAGCAAATGGTTCAACCGTTCATTGCAGCAACTTCCAGGAAGACCTATCAGCTCTTCAGTGGAAAGCATCAACAGTTTGAACCCTAAGATTCTTTGAATATTGTGGTTCAAAATCCTAGCCTGCTTTTCCCACCAATCCAGGACTGTTGTATTGTGATCTCTGCCCTGTCTGAAGCAAGCCAACTCTCCCTCCCCCAAAGACTCACTTTAAACCAAACTTCCAGTTCTCCGTACATCCTGACCTTATCTTTCACCTCTGCTGGAAGCAATAAGCTCAGCTTTGTCTTATCAGTTGGTCGTGATGGTAATGTCTGGGGAGCCCACTTCTGACACTAAGATGGTAGAATCCCCCAATGGGAAGGGGACTGAGCCCATGAATAACTCTTGTAAGTGCCAGTGAGAGGGTCAGCTTCAAATATGTCCCAAGTCCAGAGAGCACAGAGGCTGGGGCTGCATGGCAGCATCAGTGAAATAAGAGCTTTCCTGCCTCTCTTTCTATCATCTCTGTCCTTGAACTTCAGCCCTGGATGAGTCAGAATCCTCTGTTAACAGAAACGGAGAGGAGTGAAAGGCTGGGAGGGCTTCACAGGTGGGCTTCTCTGGAAGCAGATGCAGAGGTGGAGTTTGGCCTTCAGGAGGCTTATTTCTTAGGAAACAATACCTGAGTAAGGGAAGAGGACTGAGCAGGTGTGGGCAGGGGCAAGGTGAGGTGTGATGGCTTGTGGGGAGCCTAGTTAAAGGATAAACTCTGGCATATTAAAATGTTAATGAGGCCAGGTGCAGTGGCTCACACCTGAAATCCCAGCACTTTGGGAGGCCGAGGTGGGTGGATCACCTGAGGTCACCTGAGGTCAGGAGTTCGAGACCAGCCTGGCCAACATGGTGAAACCCCATTTCTATTAAAAATACAAAAAAATGCCAGGTGCGGTGGCTCACACCTATAATCCCAGCACTTTGGGAGGCCGAGGCGGGCAGATCAAGAGGTCAGGAGATCAAGACCATCCTGGCTAACATGGTGAAACCCTGTCAGTACTAAAAATACAAAAAATTAGCCAGGCGTGGTGGTGGGCACCTGTAGTCACAGCTACTCAGGAGGCTGAGGCAGGAGAATAGTGTGAACCCGGAAGGCGGAGCTTGAAGTGAGCCGAGATTGCACCACTGCAGTCCGGCCCGGGCAAAAGAGTGAGACTCTGTCTCAAGAAAAAAAAAAAAAAAAAATTAGCTGGGCATGGTGGAGCATGCCTGTAATCCCAGCTACTCAAGAAGCTTAGACAGGAGAATCCCTTGAACCTGGGAGGCAGAGGTTTCAGTGAGCTGAGATCACGTCACTGCACTCCAGCCTGGGTGACAGAGCGAGACTCCGTCTCAAAAAAATATTTTTTTTAAATGAGTTTATTTGACCATTCAACAATTCATGAATTAGGCAGCACCAGACCACCAGTGGTTCAGTGCTCCCCAGAGCAGGCAGGAAAGGAGACTTTTATAATGTGGCTGCAGAAAGATAAATAAGACAAATAACAAATAACATTGTTATTTGTTAATAACAATGAACAAATAAGACAAATAGCAAGTAACATTTGATGCTTTCCATTGAAGAGCTGATAAGGTCTTTCTGGAAATTCTGCAGTGAACAGTCAAACCATTTGCTTGGGCAGGACAGTCCCAGAAGAGTAGAGAAATGTTAATGAAGGCAAAGACAAATAACATTTTCCATTGGTTAAAGTAGGAAGTCCCTAGTTAGAATTTAGTCAGTGCTTTTTAATTGGTAAAAACTCTAGTTTGAGGTTAGTTGGCAGTTACTGATTGTTTAAGCTTGAGTTTATGTTGAGTTGGGTTTCAGTTTGCTTATGTAGAAAACCAAGGCACTGGAACTGTTCCAGCCTAATAGCCTCTCAGATAATTATTTTAATAACTTAAATGGCCAGCTCTTCAACCCCTACCTCTATCAGTCATTGTACATGGACCCCCCCAGAAAACAAAAGGCATGCTCTTGGGTGAGGCAGCACTTTGCAGCTGAGGCGAACCCTGAAGAAGATGTCAGCCCTCCTGGCCTCCTGGAGCTGGGATAAGTCCTTGCTTGGAGGAGTAGGGGGTGGCACTTTTCTGTCCAACCACTGAGCAGAAAGCAAGCAAAACTGATGGCCCTGCTTCTCTCCAGACACCGGCTTCTCCCTGACACGGGTCCTAACTTGGACAGAAGTGTTTGTAGGGGAGGAAAAAAATAATTTTTCCTTCTACTCACCTTAGGTTTACTAGCTGGGGCTCCTATGCCAAAAGACAGATTAACAAGAGAAAAAAAATAGGAGGTTATTAACATGCATATTTCAGATAAACATGGGAAATGCCCAGGGAATGAGTAAATCCCACAGAAGGGACTTTCAGCATCTTCAACAAAGAACAGTACATTTTTTATTTTATTTTATTTTTTATTTTTATTTATTATTATTATTTTGAGATGGTGTCTCGCTCTGTTGCTCAGGCTGGAGTGCCATGACATGATCTCAGCTCGCTGTAGCCTCTGCCTCCCAGGTTCAAGCGATTCTTGTGCCTCAGCCTCCAGAGTAGCTGGGACTACAGGTGCCCATCATCACACCCGGCTAATTTTTGTATTTTTAGTAGAGACGAGGTTTCCCATGTTGGCCAGGCTGGTCTTTAACTCCTGACCTCAAGTGATCCACCCACCTCGGCCTCCCAAAGTGCTGGGATTACAGGCATGAGCCACCACACCCAGCCACAATAAATTTTTAGACAAATAACAAGACCAGGGGAAAGGACTTGGAATCTCTAGGGGTGGCAGATTGTGAGAACACAAATAAATTGTATATAGAGGCTAGCTTGTAAGGTTTGTTATGGAGATTGTTCTGTTGCTGATAAGGGTCTAAAGCTGTCTCTGGTGGCCAAACTTTGTCCTTCCTGGTAGATGGGGGGAGGGCACCTTTGTAAGTTTATGTCCTACTTTTAGGCAAATAGCGGGAGAGCAGAGGCCTCCTTATATCTGCTTCATCTCAATTGTCTTAAACTCAAAATAATCCTTGTGCCAAAGGGGCACAGTTTGGGGTGGCATATTCTGGTCTCCTACATCTCTCTGCAAGGGGAATTGATGTTTTCACTCTTTTGCAGAATCAGACCTTTTAATGACTAAATTGACACTGTTCTGTGACCTGAAGGGACTGGAGAAAAGATGGCCAGAGTTGTCAGGGGCCTGCCTGGGTTTCCAGCCACAGAGGGGAAGAACTAGCCTGGCAGGATTGAGAGGCAGCTAACCGTCTCCCTGCGGCAAGTGTGGGGGTCAAACTCACCCTCTTTACAAGTCAACTCAACTGCCCGAGTTGGGCAACTTCACAAAGATGAGGTAAGTGAACTGGACCTTTAACAAGGAAAGGCACAAAAGGCCAGAGGAGAAGGAAATAACCTGACTTTGTATTTGTGCACCTGGGGAGATATGCAGCCCTCCTAGATTAAGACCAATCCCCTCAAACAATGAAAGAGATTAAAGGCCCTGGCACAATGAAACAAATAAAAGGGCCAGATGCGGTGGCTCACACCTGAAATCCTAGCACTCAGGGAGGCTGAGGCAGGTGGACTGCTTGAGCTCACGAGTTCAAGACCAGCCTGGGCAACATTGTGAGACCCCCCCCCCCCCATCTCTACCAAAAATACAAAAATTAGCTGGGCATGGTGGCATGTGCCTGTGGTCCCAGCTACTCCAGAGGCTGAGGTGGGAGGATGGCCTGAGCCCAGGAAGTCAAAGCTGCAGTGAGCCGTGATGGCACCACTGCACTCCATCCTGGGTGACAGAGCAAGAACCTGTCTCAAAACAAACAAAAAAGATAAAAGTCATTGTCATCTCTATCATCTCATCAAGATACAAAGACCCAATCCCAGCACTTTGGGGAGCTGAAGCAGCATGATGGCTTGAGCCCAGGAGTTCGAGACCAGCCCAGGCAACAAAGCGAGAGTGAGACCCAGGCTTTATTAAAAAAAAAAAAAAAAAGATCAAGGGGTCCTTTGGAGATTGATGCTAACCCAGCCCCACTAGACACCATGGAGACTTTACCTTGTGCAGGGCCAGTTCTGAGTGGTGTCTTTGTTATGGTATTTAAATTTCTCCTGCTGACTAAGTTAGTCTGAGTTGGGTTTCTTTTTTTTTTTTTTGATGGAGTCTCACTCTGTTGCCCAGGTTGGAGTGCAGTGACTCAGTCTTGGCTCACTGCAACCTCTGCCTCCCGGGTTCAAGCAGTTCTCCTGCCTCAGCCTCCCAAGTAGCTGGGATTACAGGCATGCACCACCACACCCAGCTAATTTTTTGTGTCTTTAGTAGAGACAGGGTTTCACCATGTTGGCCAGGCTGGTCTCAAACTCCTGACCTCGTGATCTGCCTGCCTCAGCCTCCCGAAGTGCTGGGATTACAGGTGTGAGCCACCGCACCCGGCCTGAGTTGGGTTTCTGTTGCTTCTGACTGAGAGCAATACCCGTATGTGGATGAGTGGAATGAAAACCACCCGGGACTCCTGAGCTGGGACCATGGGAAGCGACCTCCCATTACAATGTCAGGGGACAGTCATGTAAACATCTCAACTCCTAAAGGGCCTGTCATGTCAAATTGAGGTGCTGAGCATCTCCTGGCCATCCCTTTGGAGGTTGACAGTGAGGAATTATTTTGACCAGCTTCTTAGAATGTGTGTGTGGGAGAGCAGTGCCGAGCAAGGTAGAAATGTGACTGGGAAGGATGCAACAGAATTTCTACTTTCTAAAAGAAAGTGGAAGGGAAAAACACTGAAATCTAAATCTTCCTTTGAAAAAGCTATTAATAACAGGTGTGGCACAGGGAATGTTTAGGGCAGTGAAACTATTCTATATGATACCATAATGGTGGATACATATCATTATGTTTGTCGAAAGCTATAGAATGTACAATGTGAAGAGTGAACCCTCAAGTAAATGATAGACTTTGATTAATAATAATGCATCAACATTGGCTCAGTTGTAACAAATACACCACCCTAATGCAAGATATTAATATAGGAGAAACTGTGGGCATAGGGGATAGAGAAATATGAGGGACTGTCTGTACTTCCCACTCAATGTTTCCATAAGCCTAAAACTACTCTCAAAAGAGTCTACCAATTAATTAAAACAAAGCTAACAATATAAGGTCATATTTCTAGTCTCATCCAATAAAAAATTATAGTGCGGGGTACAACTGTATTTTCTTCAAAAAAAACCATTCAGTCCAGGCGCAGTGGCTCACGCCTGTAATCCCAGCACTTTGGGAGGCCAAGGAGGGTGGATCACTTGAGGTCAGGAGTTTGAGACCAGCTTGGCCAACATGGTGAAACCCTGTCTCTACCAGACAGGCCAACATGGTGAAACCCTTTCTCTACTAAAAGTACTAAAATTAGCCAGCTGTGGTGGCAGGCACCTATAATCCCAGCTACTCAGGAGGCTGAGGCAGGAGAATTGCTTGAACCCAAGAGGCAGAGGTTACAGTGAGCCAAGATCAGGCCACTGCACTCCAGCTTGGGAGACAGGAGCAAGACTCCATCTCAAAAACAAAACAAACAAACAAACAAAAAAACCGCTCAACACACAGAAAAAATGATGGAAGCCCCAATTTTGTCACACTTCAAATCAGTACAGACCCCCCAGATTCATACACTAAGAGTTTTCCAAAGTTTTCACTATGTTCATTTTCACAGTTTGAACAATCCAATTATTTATCTTAGAAAAATGCCAGAGCCTTGGACAGATAAGCCATATCTAGAACTCTAAGAAACGAATTCATCTACATGTTTTCCACCTCTGGGCAGTCTCCCTCCCCAAGGACAACATTCTTTGCCAAATAAGTCTTGATTCCAACTTGGAAGGGAAGAAGTTTATAAACACACAGGCACAGAGACACACAAAGGCTTCCTGGAGTCTCACAGTTCAGTGAATGAGTCTGTGGCGCTCGCCACTGTTCCCAGATCGCTAGCTGAGTGCTTCACCACATTCCTTTCCCACTCACTTGTCTCCAGCCCACGTTTTGGGGTTCCCCTCCTCCAGGCAGGCAGCCCGGGGCCTGCCGCAAGGGGAGGTGGCCCCTCTCTGTTCTTTGTGAGGACTGGATGCCCATGCCTCTCTCAGCCTAGTTGGGCACCTTGCCCTGTATACTCCTTGGGGACAGCCTCCCTCTGCCAGCTGTCACACAGCAGACAGCCCAACAGACTTCCTCTCATGTAACAGCATGTAATATGTAACATCACCATGTAACCATGCACATAATACTATGTAACATCAGCATGTAACAGTGCATGTAAGATGATGTAACATTATGTAACATCAGCATGGAACATTGTACGTAATGTTGCATGTAACTGCATGTAACATCACATATAACAGCATGTGACATTGTGTGTGACAGCATGTAACATCAGCCTTCTTCCCATATTTCTTAACAGCCACTATGCCAGTGTTTCCCCACTTTTGTCCGTATGTGGCTAGCCAGCTCCTGCTATTCATTTGCAGCCTACACAGCCCTAATGCTACTGAAATCGTTCTCTTCCAGCCCTGCAACAGGACAGAGGAGATATTTATAAGAAATGCCTGCAGAGTGGCATCCCAGCATCCCCATGAAGCCCATCCTTTTCTGAGTCAAAGTCTCAGAAGTCATGTTCTTCCCCGAGAGATATCTGACATTGAGTTCCCAATCTTGCCTCGTGTGTGTCCACTTCTGGTCCTCAGACATGTTCCTTCCTTCACCACGATCTGGGAGACCACAGGGCATTACAGTTCCTCGCATGGCCACAGAGGCAGGCAATCTGGGTCTGAATCCTGGACTTTTGCAGTTATAGCTAAGCAACTCGGGGCAAACCTCTCTAAGCATCCCATTCTTATCTGTAAAGTGGGAATAAGAGTCACGCCTTATGATTCAAAAAACATAATTTTTTGGAGGCTGGGTGCGGTGGCTCATGCCTGTAATCCCAGCACTTTGGGAGGCTGAGGTGGGCAGATCACAAGGTCAGGAGTTTGAGACCAGCCTGACCAATATGATGAAACCCCATCTCTAATAAAAATACAAAAATTAGCTGGACATGGTGGCGGGCACCTGTAGTTCAAACTACTCAGGAGGCTGAGGCAGGAGAATTGCTGAACCCAGGAGGCGGAGGTTGCAGTGAGCCGAGATAGCGCCACTGCAGTCCAGCCAGGGCTACAGAGCGAGACTATTTCAGAAAAAAAAAAAAAAAAAAAAAAAAAGATTAAAAAAAAGATTTTAAAAAAAGTTGTAAAAAAAGAAAATAAAGAGCCACACCCACCATCTAAGGTTATACACAAGGGAACTGCTTGTTCAGCACAAGGCCTGGCTCCCGCTTAAATGCCCACAGTTGGGAGTCATTGTGTTGTCGTTTATTCTCACTTGTCTCCCCCGGGCAGTGAGAGACCCTCTGCCAACGTCACCTTGCTGGACTAAGGACTGGGGAGGCCTGAACAGCACTTTGATTGATTTATCCACCCCATGAGGTTAAATGCTCTACCCTACACCTAAATGGCTGTAGGTTACAGGGTTTTTTCCTTGTTGTTGTTTTGAGACAGGGTGTCACTCTGTCATCCAGGCTGGAGTGCAGTGGCTTGATCTCGGCTCACTGGAAACTTTGCCGCCCAAGTTCAAGTGATTTTCCTGCCTAGGCCTCCTGTGTAGCTGGGATTATAGTAGTGCACCACCACACCCGGCTAATTTTTACATTTTTGATAGAGACAGGATTTCGCCATGTTGGCCAGGCCGGTCTCAAACTCCTGGCCTCAGGTGATCCGCCAGCTTCAGCCTCCCAAAGTGCTGGGATTACAGGCAGGAGCCACTAAGCTCAGCCGCTTACAGGTATTTTTGAACATCAAATGGCTGCCCCTTCTCCGAGCCAAGGATAGAACAATCAGTCACAAAGCCGCAGGACGCCTGTTGACAAGGGCTTCACCTGGGACAACTGCTGTGTTGTACTATCGGCTTTGCCTTAACTCTTGCCGCAGCGTGTGGAGAGTCATGGCGGCTGTAGTCTAAAAGCAGCCTGGTCCTGTCCTCTAAGGCAACTGGGGCTGGGCTGAGACCCTCAAGAATGTGGCCACACATCATGGTCAATAACGTCCTCTCCTTGCCTTCCCTCAAAACCTCTCTTTGAGTTTTGAATGAGAGAGCTGGCGATTGCAGCCTCCTTTGGGATTTAATGAGGACCGTCTGATTATATTCCACCTTGGACTCCTCACAGATATTTTTCCCTCTGTCTGGAATCCCTAACAGACACATTTATACACACACACACACACACACACACACACACACACACACAGCCTGCACATAATAAACTACTGCTCTATTCTTTGATTCTTACCTTTAAAGTCAGTTCCCCAGCCTGGGCAACATAGCAAGATTCCACCTCTGTAAAAAATTAAAAAATTAGCCAGGTGGCACACACCTGTAGTCCTGGCTACCTGGAAGGCTAAAGTGGGAGGATTGCTTGAGCCCAGGAGTTGGAGGCTACACTGAGCTATGATTGGGCCACTGCACTCCAGCCTGGGTGACAGAGGAAGGACCCTGTCTCAAAAAAAAAAAAAAAAAAAGTCAGTTCCCCAGTGCTTAACACAATGCCTAGCAAACAGTGGGCTCTGATTTGCTTTTCCTTAACACATACCAGGGTGTTAATACTTTCCAGACCCATTAAGGAGTTGGTGAGCACCGTGAGGAAAATGCTAGACCAAGAACGCCACACCCAAGACATGCTAACCCCATATCGCCATTGCACCTGGTATTGCCACACAACTCCCTCCATCAGCTTCTACCAAGGTTATCAGCTTCCTGTTCCTTCTGATTCAAATCCCTCAAACTTGGGCCCTTGCTCAAGGCACTAGCCGTTATGAAACCTCTGAAACTTTCTGTGTGTAAAGCAACAGAGAAACCCCAAAAGAGAGATTGGATGATCTGACGACATCAAAATGTAAAACTTCTGAAGGTTAAAGAAACAATAAATTTAAGGGCAAGCCATAATCTAGGGAAACTGTTTGCCATGAATGTGAGGAATAAAAGGTAGTCTGCTCAGCAAATATTTATTGAGGGCCTACCCTTCACGGGGCACTGGGAACAGAACTGAAGGCTGAAGTAAAGCAGTTTGTTCAGTAGCCTCGTGTATGCCCGTGCCCAGTCACAAAAATGTGCTCATGGGAAGGGTTCCAGCCAGAGGAACCAGTATCTGTGAGGACCTCCAGGTGGGACAGAGCTTGGCACATGGAAGGGGCTGAGAAAATGATGATGTGGCTGGATACAGAGAGCGAGAGGACAAGGCTGGGAGGTGAGGGTGTGGGTGTTGGGAGAGGCCAGACCATCCCAGACCTTGGATACCTTTTTAAAAATTATTTTATTTCAAGAGATATGGGAACGTTTGGATGGATTTTAAGAGGGCTGGCCGGGCGCAGTGGCTCACGCCTGTAATCCCAACACTTTGGGAGGCCAAGGTGGGCAAATCACCCAAGGTCAGGAGTTCGAGACCAGCCTGGCCAACATGGTGAAACACTGTTTCTGCTAAAAATATAAAAATTAGCTGACTGTGGTGGCACACACCTGTAATCCCAGCTACTCAAGAGGCTGAGGCATGAGAATTGCTTGAACTTAGGAGGTGGAGGTTGCAGTGAGCGGAGATGTCACCACTGCATTCCAGCAGCCTGGGTAAGAGAATGAGACTCTGTCTCAAAAACAACAAAACAACGACAACAAAAAACATTGGAAGGGTGTGGCCTCTGCTCACTACAGAGGCACTCACTGCCTCTGTGGTCCCCCTACTCCTGGCATTGAACTCACCGCTACCATGACATGCATTCCACTGCATTGTACTGACTGGTCTCCTTGCTTCTAGGCTGTGAGCGACTGTGATAGAGTTTCTGTCTTCACCATCTCTGTGGACCTAGGGTCAGAACAGTACCTGGCACATTAGTAGTTCTCTGTCCATGTTTAATAAACCATGAAGTCACCCTACAGCACCACCTCCCTGCTTGTGTTTGGAATATGTGCTGTTATATGCTGTTCAGTGTGGCCTGTCTGGAAAGAGGCAAAGACACATGGAAACTTGAGGGTGTTACAAGCTGGAGCAAGTGGGGGCACACCCGTGCCAGCCTCCACACCACCACCAAGGAGCTGCTATTCCAGACAGTGCTTTCTTTTTTCTTTTCCTCTTTCCTTCCTTCCTTCCCTTCCTTCCTTCCTTCCTTCCTTCCTTCCTTCCTTCTTTCCTTCCTTTCCTTCCTTCCTTCTTTCCTTCCTTCCTTCCTTCCTTCCTTCCTTCCTTCCTTCCTTCCTTCCTTCCTTCCTTCCTTTCTTTCTTTCCCTCTCTCTCTTTCTTTCTTCTTTTTTTTTTTTGAGACAGAGTCTTGCTCTGTTGCCCAGGCTGGAGTGGAGTGGAGTGATCTCGGTTCACTGCAACTTCTGCCTCCCAGGTTGAAGCAATTCTCCTGCCTCAGCCTCCCGAGCAGGTGGGACTACAGGCACATGCCACCACACCTGGTTAATTTTTTGTATTTAAGTAGAGAGGAGATTTCACCATGTTGGCCAGGCTGGTCTCAAACTCCTGACCTCAGGTGATCTGCCCACCTCAACTCCCCAAAGTGCTGGGATTACAAGCATGAGTCAACACACCTGGCCTGCAGAGTGCTTTCTGTGTACCAGACCTGGGGTGAGCTCTTTCTGGTGCTGTAATCAGAAAATCCCTCTGTGCAATAGTGTTGCTGAGAGGCAGTGCCCCCAAAGAGACCTTCAGTTCCCTAGCAGCTCTGAATCTGAGCTTGATTGACACGATCAAGTAGAAACCCAAGCCGAGTGTGCACTGAGGACCCGCAACATCCACCCCTTCATTTCATCCTGTCACAAGCATGTTCTGAGCATCTGCTATGTGCCAGGCCCTGTACAAAGTGTGAGGCACAGAGGGGTCCCTAAGCCCAGAGACACACACGCCCTGCTTTCAAGGACAAGAAAGACATAAACAAATTCTTATTCAAGTGGAAACTTCATGAATTTGTGATAAATGTCTCCAAAGGAGAAAAGAAAGGGCACTAGAGGAGTGAATGCCAAGGGGATCCAGCCTCAGTGTTCCCAGGCCTCCCCAGGAGCTGACATTTCAGGCCAAGCCTAAACGCAGATAGGAATTACTGGGTGAGGGTGGAGGGAGGGGTGGAGTGGGTGAGCAGAGGAGAATTCCAGGCAGGGAAAAGGGGTGGGTGATGGTCATGAGGGCTCCTGAGTGACCCAAGCAGCTGCAGTTGCATGAGTCTCTACTAAAAATACAAAAACAAAAACAAAACAAACAAACAAAACAAATTAGCCAGGCGTGTTGTGGTGCACCTATGATCCCAGCTACTCAGGAGGCTGAGGCAGGAGAATCACTTGACCCAGGGAGCGGAGGTTGCAGTGAGACAAGATTGCAGCACTGCACTCCAGCCTGAGCGACAGAGCAAAGACTCCGTCTCAAAAAAAAAAAAAAAAAAAAGAGAAATCATATCCAAGGCTGGCCAGGTGTGGTGGCTCATGCCAGAAATCCCATCACTTTGGGAGGTGAAGGTGGGAGGATCACTTGAGCCCAGGGGTTCAAGACTAACCTAGACAACATAGTGAGACCCTCATCTCTACAAAATAAAAAAATATATATATACAATCTATATATGTATATATATTTATATGTGTGTGTATATGTACACACATGTATACATATAATATATATATGTACACACACACACACCCTGGTAGTCCCCGCTACTCGGGACCCTGAGATAGGATTGCTTGAGCCCAGGAGGTTGAATCTGCAGTGAGCTGTGATCATGCCACTGCGCTCCAGCCTGGGCAACAGAGCAAGATCCTGTCTCAGAAAAAAAAAAGAAGAGAAAGAAAAGGCGACAAGACAATATGGAGGATACACACATAATCTGATTTTTGTAAAAATGTTGTGGGCCAGGCACGGTGGCTCACACTTGTAATCCTAGTACTTTGGGAGGCCAAGGTGGGCAGATCATCTGAAGTCAGGAGTTCAAGACCAGCCTGGCCAACATGGAGAAACCCCGTCTCTACTAAAAATACAAAAATTAGCCGGGTGTGGTGGTGCATGCCTGTAATCCCAGCTACTTGGAAGGGTGAGGCAGGAGACTTGCTTGAACTCAGGAAGCAGAAGTTGCAGTGAGCTGAGATCACCCCACTGCATTCCAGCCTGGGCAACAGAGCGAGACTCCATCTAAAAAAAAAAAAAAGAAGTGTGTGTGTATAGAAAATGTCCAGAAGGATATTTACACAACACAATATTTATTGCTTTCTTCTTTAAATTATCCTATATTGTCTGATTTTTTTATAGTGAGCATGCAGAACTACTATAACCAAGAATAAACAATGCTGGCCAGGGGCAGTGGCTCACACCTGTAATCCCAGCACTTTGGGAGGCTGAGGTGGGCAAATCACCTGAGGTCAGGAGTTCAAGACCAGCCTGGCCAACATGGTGAAACCTCGTCTCTACTTAAAAAAAAAAAAATTAGCCAGGTGTGGTGGCGGGTGCCTGTATTCCCAGCTGCTTGGGAGGCTGAGGCAAGATAATCCCTTGAACCTGGGAGATGGAGGTTGCAGTAAGCAGAGATTGCACCACTGCAATCCACCCTGGGCAACAGAGCTCCATCTCAAAAAAAAAAAAAAAAAAAGGAATAAACAATACTGTGATTTCCACTTGGGGAAATAAAACTATCTTCATGTGCCCTCCTAAAAACATTGAGAGGCAGTGTGTTCTAAACCAGTCCCTCGCACTGGCTCTGACTGGCGTCCGGATTTCCTGGGGGATCTGGTAAAGTGCGGAGTCTGGGTCCGTAGGTTGCCAGCGGGGTCTGCAATCCTGTATTTCTAACAAGCTCCCAGCTGACCTGAGGCTGCTGGTCCAAGGACAACACTTTTGAGCGGTGCTATAAAGCAACCCTGGAATCAGGCCTCGGGGCCTGCCTTCGAATGTGACTTTGTCCCTAAGCCACATCCTGCCTTGGGAAGCAGTGTAGCTCTGCCTTGGGAAAAACACTCCACCACAGTGCAGGGCTCTTAGTTTCCTCTTTTGTAGAAGGTGAGACTAGAGCTGTAGTCGTTAAAACTCCCCGCTTTGTCATTGAGCCTTCTTGGCCACTAATGTGCCAGGAAACCAGCTTTTCTTTTTTTCTTTTTTTTTTTTTTTTTGAGACAGGGTCTCGATGTCACCCAGGCTAGAATGCAGTGGCTCAAACACAGCTCTGCAACCTCAACCTCCTGGACACAAGCGATCCTCCTGCCTCAGCCTTTCACATAGCTAGGATCAAAGGCACACACCACTATGCCTGGCTAATTTTTAGTAGAGATGGGGGGCTTGCTTTGTTGCCCAGGCTGGTCAACTACTGGGCTCAAGCGATCCTCCCACCTCATTCCCCCAAAGTGCTTGGGATTACAGGCGTGATCCACCATGCTCAGCCAGGAAACCAGCCTTTCAAGTCACTCCACCTGCCTTTTCATGAGAGGTGAGCCACTGGCCTCCCCAGGGTGGCCTTAGTTGCCCCAGGGGGCTGAGCCCCTGCTGCTCCCACCTGTGTGGGCCTCTGTCCCTCTGTGTCCCTGCAGTCCCTCTTGCCTCCAGGCGATGGCAGCAGAAGACAAGGAGTCCCAGAGGGCGGCCACCCACCGACTCCGGGTGACAGGTAGGCACTTGTAAACGTTTCCAGTGTCCATTAAATCAGTTACAAGATGAACCATACCAATTCAGATTCACATTCTTATTTCTTTAGGATTTCAACTCCAGCTTTTTTCTCCCCAAGAATTGAAGCCCTATGCTATATGGGAGAATTCAGGATAAAAAATACATCAGAGGCCAAGCATGGTGGCTCACGCCTGTAATCTCAACACTTTGAGAGGCTGAGGGGGGTGGAACATGAGGTCAAGAGATCGAGACCACCCTGGCCAACATGGTGAAACCCTGTCTCTACTAAAAATACAAAAATTAGCTGGGCTTGGTGGCGCACGCCTGTAGTCCCAACTACTCGGGAGGCTGAGGCAGGAGAATCACTTGAACCCAGGAGGTGGAGGTTGCAGTGAGCTGAGATCATGCCATTGCACTCCAGCCTGGTGACATAGCGGGACTCTGTCTCAAAAAAAAAAATTACATCAGAAACTATGCAAAGATTTTACCTGCCACCTGAGCTGACTCTCAGGTGCTAAATGTATAGTTTCAAGACAATGAAGGTCAAAGGGGAAGTACACTGGGCATTCAGGCCCAAGAAGGGAGGCAGTGGCTGCAGACTGAGCTGTCCTGAGAGTCAGACTTGGGCTGGGGGCTGAATGTTTATTTTGCATTCTATGCTCACATCCCTGTGGGGGTCTCACCTCATTTTCCATACATGGAAAGAGATTCAGTGAGGCTGGCACAGTGACCACTGTCACTCAGCTTGTTGAGTGGCAGAGCTGGGACTCTAAGCCTGAATTCTTTCCCCTACCCTTCTCCCTCCCCTGGGAGAAAATTTTCATTTTCTGACCCAGCTGCCCTACTCCTATTTACATTGAGATGGGTTTGTTTTTGTTTTTCTTGAGATTAAACTCAGAGTAGTTGAAAATGGCCTGAGACCACAGTGGTCAATAGTTTCCAGGACAGTTGTCCACAGACGGGTTTATGCTAAACCATATTAAAGGTGGAGGAAAACTGGAAACTTGAAATTCATTGAGGCCAAGATAAACTGATTCAAGTCCTGTTTGTCTTCTTTAATTTACTTGTTTTTGGACAGGGTTTCACTCTGTTGCCCAGGCTGGAGTGCGGTGGTGTGTTCTTGGCTCACTGCAACCTCTGCCTTCTAGGTTCAAGCAATCCTCCCACCTCAGCCTCTTGAGTAGCTGGGACTACAGGTGCACGCCACCATACTGGCTAATTTTTCTATTTTTTGTAGAGTTGACGTTTCACTATGTTGTCCAAGCTGGTCTTGAACTCCTGGGCTCAAGCAATCCATTCACCTCAGCCTCCCAAAGTGCTGGGATTACAGGTGTGAGCCACCGCACCAGGCCCTGTTTGACTTCTTACAATTTACTCCACTCCAGCCACACTGGCTTCCACATTCTTCCAACATACCAGACAAGCTGCTGCCTCTGGCTTCCATAGCTGCTGTTGCTCTGCCTAGATGTGTTTCCTCCATATCTTCAAGGGTCACTTCATCTACTGCCTTCAAGTCTTCTCTCAGACAACTAACTTTTCAAGGGGACTACCCTGACCTCCTGTTTACAACTGTATCCACTCTGCCTGCTACTCTTTTTGTTTCTTTTAAATTTTCACAAGGGCACTGTAATATATTTCCCGCACCTCTGATCTCCCTTGTTTTCCCCCATTTTTTTCTGTGGCACTCATCACCTTCTGACATACTATATAATTTGTTTATTATGCTTGTTAATTTATTTCTATGTTTACTATATTGTTTCGTTTTGTTTTGAGACAGAAGTCTCACTCTGTCATCCAAGCTGGAATGCAGTGGCATGATCTCGGCTCACTGAAACCTCTACCTCCCAGGTTCAAGTGATCGTACCACCTCAGCCTCCCAAGTAGCTGGGACCACAGACGCACCCCACCATGCCCGGTTACTTTTTTGTATTTTTGGTAGAGACAGGGTTTTGCCAGGTTGCCCAGGCTGGCCTCAAACTCCTGAACTCAAGCAATCTGCCTACCTTAGCCTCCCAAAGTGTGGGATTACTGGCCTCTACTATATTGTTATTGTTATTATATTTATTGTCTTGAATGCAGGCTCTGTGAAGACAGTATTTTTTTTTCTGTTTTATTCACTGTTGTATCCACAGAGCCTAAAACAGTGCCACATACTAGGAACTCAATAATAAATGAATGAATGAATGGATACATGAGTTAACTTGACGGTTACATGTCAAAATATGCAGGACCTATGACAGCAATATTACCCCATGGATAAATAAAATACACGTGGAATTCATACGTGAACATACAGCTGACATGTGGGGGACATGTGGCAGGCACTGGACAGAAACACAGCAGAGCTTTGAGGGGAACATGTAATGGCACATGTAGACACACATAGACTAAGTGACAGGATGTCCCAGACATGCCATGGGAATGTGAAGGCACAAGGTGAGTCCGCTGACAGATACATGATGGACCCAGGCAGGACAGGTGGCAGGCACATGGAAAGACAGGCTCGTCACAACTCCTTAGGAATGCTTAGACTTCCAGGGCCCTCTGCATTATAATGCAGAGGTCTGGTCGCACAAACCAATGCCTCTCCCAGACAAATCACTTTTGCTTTCCTTAGTTAGTCTAGCTTAGAATGTGTCCATTTTGTTTACTGTTTCAAACACGCAACTTGGCCAGGCCCCGGTGGCTCACGCCTGTAATCCCAGCACTTTGAGAGGCCAAGGTGGGCAGATCACTTGAGGTCAGGAGTTTGAGACCAGCCTGGCCAGCATGGCGACACCTTGTCTCTACTAAAAATACAAAAATTAGCTGGACATAGTGACAGGTGCCTGTAATCCCAGCTACTTAGGAGGCTGAGGCAGGAAAATCCCTTGAACCCAGAAGGCGGAGGTTGCAGTGAGCTGAAATTGTACCACTGCACTCTTTTTTTTGAGACTCTGTCACAGAAAACAAAACCAACTCAGTTTCATTGATCTTTTCTAGTCTTTATTTCTGCTCTGATCTTTATTATTTACTTCCTTCTGCTTCCGTTTGTTTCTGTTTTTTTCTTTTCTTTTGTTTGAGAGGGAATCTCGTGCTCTGTAGCCAGGGCTGGAGTGTAGTGGCATGATTGCAGGCACGAGCCACTGTGCCTGGCCTGTTTTTCATTTTCTAGTTTTCTAGTTTCTTGAAGCGTGATGTTACGATGTTTATTTGTGATCCTTCTTCTTTTGCGATATAGGCATTTATAGCTATAAACTTCTCTCTTAGAACTGCTTTTGCCGCATCCCATAAGTTTTAGTATCTGGTGGGTCCATTTCATTTGTCTCAAGATATTTTTGCATTTCTTCTTTAACCCATTGGTGGTTCAGGATCATGTTGTATAATTTCCATATATTTGTGAATTTCCTGAAATTTCTCTCGTTATTGATTTCTAGCTTCATACCATTGTGGTTGAGAAGATACTTGATATGATATTAATCTTAAGTTTGATAAGACATGTCATGTGCCTAACGTGTAATCTATCCTGGAGAATGTTCTATGTGCTCTTGAGAAGAATGTGCATTCTGCTGCTGTCGGATGGAATGTTCTGTATTTGTCTGTTAGGTCTGTTTGGTCTAAAGTGTAGTTTCAGTCTAATGTTTTCTTATTGATTATCTGCCTGGACCATCCATCTGTCTGTTGCTGAAAGTGAGGTGTTAAAGTCCTTTGCTATTATTGTATTAGTCTATCCCTCCCTTAAGATCTATTAATATTTGCCTTATATATCTAGGTAATGTGATGTTGGGTGCATATAATTTACAATTGTTATAGCCTCTTGATGAATTGACTCTTATCATCATATAATGACCTTCTTGTCACCTTTTACCATTTTTGACTTAAAATCGATTTCATCTGTTATAAGTCTAGCTATTCCTGCCCTCTTTTGGCTTTTATTTGCATGGAATATCTTTTCTATCCCTTAACTTTCAGTCTATGTGTCTCTTTAAAGGTGGAGCAAGTCTCTTGTAGGCAGCATGTAATTGCATCTTTTTTA
Organism: Homo sapiens; assembly: GCF_000001405.40. Lineage (NCBI taxonomy): Eukaryota > Metazoa > Chordata > Mammalia > Primates > Hominidae > Homo > Homo sapiens. The sequence continues at coordinate 50,293,492 of NC_000017.11, read as the reverse complement.
CTCCTTCAGCCTTGCTTTCCTTGAAAAAAAAAAAAAGTGGATTTCCTCCTCATAATATTCTTATGCCTGGAGCCTCTCCCCAGATTACAAGAATACTTAATTTTTTAAATTTTTATTTATTTATTTTGCCCTGGACTCCTTTGGCAAGCTGGTGAAACCTATGGACCCCTTCTCAAAATAATGCCTAAACACATTTTTATTTATTTATTTTGGAGACAGAGTCTCGCTTTATCCCCAGGTTGGAGTGCAGTGGCACAATCTTGGCTCACTGCAAACTCCACCTCCCGGGTTCGAGCGATTCTCATGCCTCAGCCTCCAGAGTAGCTGGGGTTACAGGTGCCCGCCACCACACCGAGCTAATTTTTGTATTTTTAATAGAGACTGGGTTTCGCCATGTTGGCCAGGCTGGTCTCTAACTCCTGACCTCAACCAATCTGCCCGCCTTGGCCTCCCAAAGTGCTGGGATTACAGGTGTGAGCCACCGCACCCAGTCGAGTTTGGAGTGTGAATAATATTTTAAGACACTTGCAACAACTATAAGGTGACAAAAAAAATCTGTGGTTTTGCTGGGTATAGTGATTTGCACCTATATATAATCCCAGCTACTCAAGAGGCTGAAGTGGGAGGATCACTTGAGCCCAGGAGTTTGAGGCGGCAGTGAGCTATGATCACACCGCCATACTCCAGCCTGAGTGACAGAGCAAAACCTCATCTCTAATAAATAATAACATAAACAATTGTTTAAAGTATCTGTGGTTTCTGTGTGATAAATCCACAGGCACTGTTAACATTGCTGTGGCTTGTTGCTTACCCTCATACTGAAGGAAATGATAAATTTCAGTTAGAGGTTTGTGAAAATCAAGATGTAATGTTTTTTCCATTTCAGTTCATAGCTCCCTGAATTCTATCCAGGAAGCTATTGGGGCCCATGGACCTCACATTTAGACTGTGCCCTCGAGCCACACTCTAGAACTGCAGGGAGGGTTATGAAAATAGTGTATGCTGGCTACAGGAATTCAGCTTTTTTTGTTTTTTTTTTTTCTCAAGAGATGAGGTCTCCTTCTCTCACCCAGGCTGGAATGCAGTGCAATGCTCAAATGCTCCTCCTGACTCAGTCTCCCAAATAGCTAGGAGTAGAGGGTCTCACTATGTTCCCCAGGCTGGTCTCAAACCCCTGGCCTCAAGTGATTCTCTCACCTCAGCCTCCCAAAGTGTTGGGATTATAGATGTGAACCACCATGCCCAGCCCAGCAATTAAGCTTTAAGACTCTTTTCCATCAAAGGTGTAAATTTTTTTTGTTTGTTTTGAGACATGGTCTTGCTCTGTCCCCCAGGCTGGAGTGCACTGCTGCAATCTTGGCTCACTGCAACCTCCACCTCCCAGGTTCAAGCGATCCTCCCACCTCAGCCTCCCTAGTAGCTGGGACTACAGGTGTGCGCCACCACACTTGTCTAATTCTTTTTTTTTTTTTAATTTTTGGTAGAGACGGGATTTCACCATGTTGCCCAGGCTAGCCTCGAACTCGTGGGCCCAAGTGATCCTCCCAACTCAGCCTCCCAAAGTGCTGGGATTACAGATGTGAACCACCACTGCCGGCCAAAGGTGTAAAATGTTGAAATCTTAGTAAAGCTCCCAGGGAAGTTGAGCTGGAGTCCTCCACGAGCCCTGTGCATCCTTTATAGAGGGCCTGGTGGAACAGGAACCAAATGGGAGCTAAAAAGGAGGGACACTGTGTAAAGGAATGGTGGTGGGTCACTGGGTTTGTGTCCAGAGGGTTCAACCTCCTGGGAGGAGGCACTGGCTCAGGCTGTCTCTGAGGAAGCTGTTTGGAGCAGCTAATTGTCAGAGGGGCTGCTAGGAATTCTTAGGATTACCTGGGTGCGGTGGCTCATGCCTGTAATTCCAGCACTTTGGGAGGCTGAGGTGGAAGGATCACTGGAGCCCAGGAGTTCAGGAGCACCCTGGGCAACAGAGCAAGACACTGTCTCTACAAAAAACAAAAAACAAAACCAAACAAACAGAAAACTAGCCAGGAATGGTGGCGTGTGCCTGTAGTTCTAGCTAACTGGGAGGCTGAGGCGGGAGGATTTCTTGAGCCCAGGAGGTCAAGGCTGCAGTAAGCCATGATTGCACCACTGCACTCCAGACTGAGCGACAAAGCAAGACCCTGCCAAAAAAAAAAAAAAGAGAGAGAAAAAAAAATTCGTGAAATTAAACTCCTCTAGTTATCATGGCTTATTCCTAGGATTTTAAAGACTCCCCAGGGCTTGTCCTATAACTGAGACTCTGAGAAGCTACTCTGAAGAACTCTGATGCTTTCCAGGTAAAAAAGTCAAGGAAGGGATCCATTTCAATGTAAGTGGTACATATAAGGAAAATAGATTTGGCAACAGTACATCCTGGATTTTCTAGGATATGAGAACTACAGTAATTATATGTATGAATCAGGTTCATGTTTTGGAGAATATTTCTCACTATTTAATATCTTTTGCTAGGGTTTGTGAATTTGCAATTGTTGGTCCAGAATCAAACAGAATTGCTTTTAGAGAGCCAATTACTCTTTGGGTTAGAAAAAGCATCTTGATAAACGTGTTTGTTCATGGAAGGCCAGACCTCCTAAAAATGGAAAGTCTTAGATAAAAAGCATTAAACTGCTCTTCAGAGTGGGCTGCAGGCTGTTTGGCGTTGTTTTGGGGACATAAGGAGAGGATGGGAACCCTAGCCACAGGCAGGGCCAGGGAAGCATCAGGTGAGGATACCCGAGCGGGGTCAGGGATAAGCAGCACACACCACGTATGTGTTTTGAGATGTTACCTTCTCGGCAGGTTCTGCAGAGGATGGGGTTTGAAGCTGCCTAGAAGCTGCCCTCTGCCCCAGGATCCTTAATGAAATACCATTTGGCTGTGGAGGTTCAGGGGACACTAGAGGGCAACGGGCTGGATGATGTCAGCGATTGTGGCTCTCTGGGCTCCCCCAGGAGGGTTCCTGGGAGTGGGGGCCAAAAGCTTCTGCCTGTCCTGGATGAAGATCTGGCAAGTCTTAGGTAGTTCAAAGCGAGGCTCACCAAGCCACTTGCCCCTCACCCACTTCTTCCTGAAACCCCAGCGTAAGTGCCTCATGGGGTTGTAAAACCTGCCTCTAGCAAGCCACTGGGAACTAACAAACACTGTGGTTCTGGGGACAAGTTCTTGGCTGGCTCCAGACACCATCTTGCTACACATTTCCAGGATGTTGAGTCATCTGTTTAGCAAGGACCAGTCTGATTCAGGCTCACTCTGTTAGCCTCATATATTACGTGGCCCAGGAGGAACTAAAACTCCTGAAAACCTGCCAGGGCCCATCACGCCCCTCTCTGTTAGCCTGAAACTTCAGGAAAAGTCAGATCCACACAGCAGCTTGATTAGCAGTGCTTGTCAGGGGTGGGTGGAGCAGGAAGAATGCTGTGTCTAGGCTGGGGTGGGGGGATAGGAGGAGAATGTCAGCTGTAGGAGCCAAGGGGACTGGCAAGGAGCTGTGCAACCACGCAGGAAAAGCATCTGGATCCTCCCTTGAGCTACCCAACTTTATATTAAAGGTAAGGGTGACCTCGGAAGGCTGGGAGTTTTGGGGATTCACAGGTGGCCAACACTGGAGTGGGTCTCTGATCTCTTTTTAGCCTCGGTTAGGAGGATATTTGTTGGCTCAGTTTAATCTGAATCCTGCATGAGAGTTTTGCAAAGAGATGAAGACCTCCTTTGATCCTGTCTTCCTTGTGTGAGAGCTCAGCCACAAATAGAGTGTAGGGTCCTTTCAGTTTTCACCTCTAACAACTCTGACTTTGTTCTCTCCATTCTCAGCTTCCTGCGCCAATCCCCCAGGTCCCAGATCTCCAGTTATATTTCAGGGGTCTTCTATTTTTATCCTTTCCCCTTTGTTTTGTGGATAAGAGGAGGTTTAGGTGCATTTCCCTCCAACTGAGGACTTTGGAAATCTTGGCAGGCTTTGGAAATGTCACATGGCGTGGCAGGAGGAGCGGCTGTGCAAAAACAAATGAGTGTTCCCATCAAGATGTTTGCAATTTAATTCTAGCCTAGCTACTCACTGACCTCAGCCTTAGGGATGTCATGGACTTTCTCAGGATCCATTTCTTCATCTGTAAAATGAGGGAGTTGGTCTATAGGCTACTTTAGGCTCTTTGGATTGCAAGTGATGATAAACCAACTCAAACTAGCTTGAGCAAAATAAGAGATGTCACTGGGTGCTGTGGCTCACACCTGTAATCCCAGCACTTTGGGAAGGTGAGGAAGGAGGATTGCTTGAGCCCAGGAGTTCTAGGCCAGTCAGCAACGTAGTGAGACCTCATCTCTACAAAAAATTTTAAAAATTAGCCAGGCTTGATGGCATGTGTCTGTCATCCCAGCTACTGGGGAGGCTGAGGCTGAGGCAGGAGGTTCACTTGAGCCTGGGAGGTCGAGGCTGCAGTGAGCTGTGTTCACACCACTGCACTCCAGCCTGGGTGACAGAGAAAGACCTTGTCTGAAACAATGAAAACTAAGACAAAACAAAACAAAACAACACCCCCCAGCCCAAATGAGAGATGTGTTAGCTTTTTGGTTGCCAAGGAAGGGAGGAGTAGCTAGGCCATAGTAAGGCAGCTGGATTTCAGAAACAAACAGAAACAGGCATCGCAAGGTTAACAGGACTTTCTCTCTGTCTCCTGTCTTTACTTTCCTTTGAATGTTGGCTTCATTCCTTCTCACTCAACCAGGTTTTTTCACATAAGGGGCTAACATGGCCACCAGTGGCCCCATCTCCATCTCACACTTTTACTACCTGAGCAATCTAGGATCGGACAGATTCCCTGAGCTCCAAATAGAAAATTCTCAGGGAAGGGCTCTGATTGGCCCAGATTGGATCAGTGCCCACCCCTGAACCAGTCAACCGTAGCCAGAGAAGTAGGATCAAATGGCTGCCCCCAGTTCCACAGTCATTATGTGAATGAGGGTGGGGGTGGGGGCAGATGGAGACAATTCCAAGAGAAGCCAGATGGCTGGGCATGTGGCAAAAATGTGTGCAGTATAACCTGTTCTGAATCTAATTGTTGATGAAAGTTCTGCTATTGCTGTGTCAAAACACAAAATTGTCTTCTTGAGCCTCCAAAGTGATCGCAGCTCACTGCAGTCTCGACCTCCCAGGCTCAAGTGATCCTTCTGCCTCAGCCTCCCAAGTAGCTGGGGCTACAGGTGTGTGCCACCATGCCTAGCTAATTTTTCTATTTTTAGTACAGATGGGGTTTCACCATGTTGGCCAGGCCGGTCTCAAAATCCTGGCCTTAGGTAATCTGCCTGCCTCAACCTCCCAAAGCGCTGGGATTACAGGCATGAGCCACTGCACCCAGCCCATAAACAGTGCTTTTTATTGGGTACTAGAAGCATATGAATAGCAGAGCATAAACCTAAATTTGATCTAATGACCTTTGACAGTGTTAAAAGCTCTGGAACCTGGAGACAGGAAACCAGTTTTTCATACTTTTTATTTTGAAATTATTATAGATTCACAGGAAGTTGCAAAGATAGTACAAAGTGGTCCCAATTTTCTTTGCCAAATTTCTCTCAATTTTTTTTTCCAGACAGGTCCTTGCTCTGTTGCCCAGGCTGCTGTGCAGTGGCATGACCATAGTTCACTGCAACCTCAAACTCCTGAGCTTCAGCGATCCTCCCACCTCAGCCTCCCAAGTAGTCCCATAGTCCCAGCCCCTGAGCTGGGACTACAGGTATGTGCCACCATGCCTGGCTAATTTTTTATAGAGACGGGGTTTCACTATATTGCGCAGACTTGTCTTGAACTCCTGGGCTCAAGCAACCCTCCTGCTTCAGCCTCCGAAAGCACTGGGATTACAGGCAGGAGGCACCTGACCTCCAAGGGTTACAGGGTTACATCTCTTTTTTTTTTTTTTTTTTTTGAGATGGAGTTTCATTCTTGTCCCCGAGGCTAGAATGCAGTGGTGTGATCTCAGCTCACTGCAAACTCCGCCTCCTGGGTTTCAGCAATTCTCTTGCTTCACCCTCTGGAGTAGCTGGCACAGGTGCGTGCCACCACTCCTGGCTAATTTTTGTATGTTTAGTAGAGACGGGGTCTCACTATGTTGGCCAGGCTGGTCTCAAACTCCTGACCTCAGGTGATCTGCCCACCTCAGCCTCCGAAAGTGCTGGGATTACAGGGGTAAGCCACCGTGCCAGGCCCTCCAAGGGTTACATCTTATGTAAAGTATCAAAGCCAGGAAACTGACGTGGGTATAATGTGTGTGCCTAATTCTGTGTTGTTTTATCACATGCAAATTTGTGTAACTACTACCTCTTCAAGTAAAATGCAGAACTGCTCCCCCACCAAACAGATCTCTCTGGTGAGACCTCTGTGTAGCCATACCCACTCTCTCCCCATCAACAACTAATGTGTCTCCATCGCTATCATTTTGAGGAGGCTGAGTTTTAAATCAACTTCCGACCCTCTCAGCAGTGTGACCTTGGATAAGTCATTTGTCCTTTTCTGGATGTTGATCTTCTCAGCTAAAGTAAGACAAGGTTGGCTCACATCAACATTCCTCTTGAATTTCCACAGGCTGATATGATCTGAAAATGCTACGGAGATTATGAGAAAGAAAATGGGGTTTTATGGTGAAATAAACTAGGGAAATGATGCTTTCCATAAATACATAATGCTTCTTTACCGTGAATTCTCAGCCCTTTAATACACTAAGGTGAACTGTGAATCTTCTAGTGTGGGAGGTATACGCAGCATTTTCCAAATTTATCTGAACACAGAATGCTCCCCCCACCCTTAAAAAAATCCTCTAGAAAAAAAATCACTTGGAACTAGTTTTTCAGGGAATATGCTTAGAGATATGCTTTTTCAGGTGACCTCTGAGGTCCTCCTGCCTCAGGGATCCCACCCAGATTAAATGCCTAGAAATATATCCTCCCTCGTGGGTTAAATTATGTATCTTCAGCCAAAACCTACGAGTGTGACCTTATTTGAAATAAGGGTCTTTTCAAGTGTAATTAAGATAAGGATCTTGAGATGAGATCATTCTAGTTTAGGGTGAAGTCCAAATCCAACGAAGAGTGTTCTTATCAGAGACAGAAAAGGGGGACACGCATAGACACAGAAGAAAATGATAGGCTAGGCATGATGGCTTGCACCTGTAATCCCAGTGCTTCGGGAGGCTGAGGCAGGAGGATTGCTCAAGCCCAGGAGTTCCAGGCTGCAGTGAGCTATAATCACCCCACTGTACTCCAGCCTGGGTGACAGAGCGAGACCCTGTCTCTGAAAAAAGAAAGAAGGAAGGAAGGAAAGAAAAAGAAACAAAGAGAAAGAAAGACAAAGAAAGAAAAAAAGAAAGAAAGGAAGAAAAAAGAAAAGAGAGAGAGAAAGGGAGAGAGGAAGAAAGGGAAGGGAGGGAGGGGAAGGAAGGAAGGAAGTAAGGAATGAAGGAAGGAAGGGAGGGAGGGAGGGAATGCTCTGTGCTGTAGAGGCAGAGTCTGGAGGGCAGCCATAAGCTAAGGGCCACAGCCGCCAGAAGATAGGCAAGGGCAACCTTAGCCATGCTTGGATTTCAGACTTCTGGCCTCCAGAACTGAGAGATAATAAATTTCTGCTCTTTTAAGCCACCCACTCTGTGGTTCTTTGCTACAGCAGCCTGAGGAAACACATAACCCTCTTTTCAGACTCTTGGGGTATTTCATTTTTATTTATTTTTTGTAGAGATGGGGTTTCACTTTGTTGCCCAGGCTAGTCTCGAACTTCTGGGCTCAAGCTACCCTCCCGCCTAGACCTCCCAAAGTGCTGGGATTACAGGCCTGAGCCACCGTGCCCCGACAAGGGGTTTTTATTTTTTAAAAGAGCAGTGGCTGTTCACAAGTGCAGTCATGGTGTACTGCAACCTTGAACTCCTGGGCTCACTTGATCCTCCCGCTTCATCCTGCGGAGCAGCTGGGACTACAGGTACATGCCACCGAACCCTGCAGAATCTTAGGGGGTTTTGAAGGAAGGAAGGGTCTCGTTTAAGTTTCTCCAGCCCCCAAGCTCCTTCCCTCCTCAGGCCTTTGCATATGCTGACCCCTCTGGGAACCTGAATGGTGAAAATACAGCAGCCCTGTGAAGACTGGGAGGAGGGCATTGGGAGGGAGGGAAGTTCCAAGCAGAAAAGCCACCAAAGGCCCTGGGCCAGGCCAAGATTTGGGATAGTCAAGTCCCAGAGAGAAGGCAACTGTGGCTGCCACGCAGTGAGAAGGGAGGAGAAGTAGGAGAAGACGCTTGAGGGCAAGGGAGGGGCCACACACTGCCTAAGTCCTGCCAGCTACGGTCAGGGGTTTGAAGTTTATTCCAATGGGCAACTTTAAAAAAAATTTTTTTTTGAATAGGGTCTCGCTCTGTCACCCAGGCTGGAGTACAGTGGTGCGATCACAGCTCACTGCAGCTTCAACCTCTTGATCTCTTAAGCAATCGTCCCACCTCAGTCTCCCCCTGCCCCACCTCCGCACTACCCCGCCCTGCCATCGGATAGCTGGGACCACAGACTCACACCACCATGAGTGAAGCCAAAAAATACAAACATACTTTTTGTATTTTTTTGTAGAGACAGAGGTCTCTCTATGTTGCCCAGGCTGGTCTCGAACTCCTGGGCTCAATCGATCTTCCCTCCCACCTTGGCCTCCCAAAGTGCTGGTATTACAGGAGTGAGACATGGCGCCCAGCCCATTGGAGGATTTTTTTTTTGAGACGGAGTCTCGCTGTGTCACCCAGGCTGGAGTGCAGTGGCACGATCTCAGCTCACTGCAACCTCTGCCTCATTGGAGGATTTTAAGCACGGGAATAACAAGTCTTGTTTGCGCTTTAGAAAGATCTCCCTAAGTGCAGTGTGTGGGATAAACTGCAGGGGGTGAGATGGAGACAAGCCTGGAGGCAGAAATCAGGTAGTTCATTAGGATAGGCTGGGCTAGGGATGAAGGTGGCTTGGTCGAGGGCTGTAACCGTGAAATGGGAATAAGTGGGCCTAGGTCTATTTTGCAGGCAGCGCTGTCAGGATGATGGAGTGAGGGAAAAAGAAATCACAATAATTTCTTAGTGTTTTAGCCTACACAGCTGGGCGAATGGGGAGCGACATCTATTTATGATAGGAGACCTTGGGAAGGACTGGATTTGAGGGGGTGGTGGAGGGAAATTCGAGCCTGCTTTTGGCTGGGAGATGCTCATTAGGCATCCAAGAGGAGGCGTGAGGTAGTTAAATATGTGAATCTGAGTCCCAGGGAGAAGTCTCGGCGGGAGATTAAGTCTTGAGATTCATCAGACCAGAGATGGTCTGTGAAGCCGCAGATCAGGATGACAGCCACTATGGGAATGAACAAAGATGAAGACCGGAGACCCCAAGACAGACCTCCGGGGCAGCCATCACTGAGAGAGGGCGGAGGAGGAGGGGGAAGTGAAGGCTCCTGAGGAGAAGGCCATGTGGAGGAGGGAAACCAGGGGAAGGTGGAGTCGGAGACATTGGAAGAACAGGTAAGGAGGCCATGGCCAAGCGTGTCAAATGCCACTGAGAGATAGGCAGGGGAAGGGACCTTTGGCCTTGGTGACATGTAGGTCACTGATGATCTGGACTAGAGTCATCTCCTGTAACGGTGGGGACAAACGGCTGCTTGGAGCAGCACAGAATGAAAGTGGGGAGGGGGGAGGTGGAACAGCAGATGCCAGAAGGGCTGGGGGCCTCCAGGGAGAGTTTCTAAAGGAGGAAGGGTGGGCATGTTATAAGCGGATGATAATGATCCGGGAAGGGGAGAAAGGCTCTGCAGAGACAACTGCAGGGCCAGGCCCTAAGGAGCAGGAGGGCTGGGGCCCAGTGCAGGCTGGAGGAGCACGATGCAGCTTCCACTGTGCTCTGGCGGGGGAAGGGGGCACGCGTGGATACTGGGTGGCAAGTGTGGGGCATGGAGGTGAGGTGTGCTGGTGTGGGTGCATCCTTTCTTTCTCTGAAGCGTGTGGTGGCATTGCCAGCTGAAATTGAGGTTGGGGGTGTGGGAGATTTGAAATGAGTCATTTCAAGAGCGGGGAAGTGAAGCTGTGAAAGCACATTGGAGGAACCGAGGGCCTGCGCGAAACGTGTGGTTTTGATTTGGAAATGAGTCTAGTCACACAGGGGTGCTGGTTCTTGAGCCATAGTTGGATCCAACTGGAGTTTGGAGTTTGGAGTTTCTCTGGGTGAGCACAGTGAATGGGGAAAAGGGGTAAAGGATGCAGGGTAGTGACTGTAAGGATGGTTTAAGGACATGGTGATGGCGCTGCCAACAGGCAAAGACTGCTGGTTCAGAGGGCTGGGTGGGCTCAGAGAATTGCTGGCATGGTGTGGTGGTGACATAGGACCTACCTGAGCTGGAAGTACAGGAGGTGATGTTCAGAGTGGGAGGCTTGAGGTGATCAGAGCTGACAAGATAAGGTATGTCCACTTGAGACTGTGGCCAAGGTAGAGTGGAGGAAAGCCTGTTGGTGTTAAGGAGCTTCTCTGAATATTCTTACTTGGCCCTTCCCAACTTTGTTTTTTGTTTGTTTGTTTATTTGTTTTGAGACGGAGTCTCGCTCTGTCACCCAGGCTGGAGTACAGTGGCGTGATCTCAGCTCACTGCAACCTCCGCCACCCAGGTTCAAGCGATTCTCGTGCCTTACCCTCCCAAGTAGCTGGGATTACAGGTGCCCACCACCACGCCCAGCTAATTTTTGTGCTTTTAGTAGACAGGATTTCACCATGTTGGCCAGGCTGGTCTCGAATTCCTGACCTCAAGTGATTTACCCACCTCAGCCTCTCAAAGTGCTGGGATTACAGGCATGAGCTACCGTGTTGGGCCCCTTCCCAACTTTGGATTCAGAGCTACGTCCTACCAGAGCCAGAAGGGGCCACGCTCTTCACTGTACAGATGGGCACACCAACGCCTGGAGATGTTGGATGCAGAAGGCGAAATGTCAGAAGCTGGAGTCCTGCATCTCAGCTGGAAGGTGAGGTAAGATTCCTGCTGGTGTTTATCCCTCTCCTCACTTCCCTCAGCAGCAGCCCCTTTCTCCTCCCCTCCTGCATCCCTGGAGCAAGTGCCTTAAGGCCTTCCTGCTTCAACATGCCCCCCACCCTACAGCCTTTCCTGCATTTCCCTGTCCTCTGGGGAGTCCCTGCAGATAGAAATTCAACTGCACAGCCACGAGGAACATCTCCTTGATGTTAACTAGACTGTGTTTCTTTACAAATATCTGGTGGCAGATCTCTTCATTCATTCATTCATTCATTCATTCATGCACCCATTTAATCTTCATTCATTCATTCCATCTTTCATTATTCACTCATTGGGTTTGAGCAACTAAACCAGCCACGAGGGATGAAATTCTCCGTCACTGTGAAACTGCTCATTCACCCAACTAGCCAGCTCACTGTTTCTGTCATTCATTATACACCTCATAAGTCCTGCATAGGTCTGAGATGTGGGCTTCATGTATGTCTGGCAGGCATCCAGGCTTTCCCATCATGTGTCTGTCCCCTGGGTCACATCCATGTCAGGTGGGTACCACAGTCTAAAGTCCTTGTATTCTCTTCCACATACCAGGGCTGATAATTTATCAGTTGCCATTGATCAAAGTTCACAAGGCAAATCTTCATAAACTTCTAAAGCTGCCTACAGTTTCCCGTAAACAAATCTCTAAATTTACAAAAGCAATGCTTGCTGATTGTAAAAAACACACAGTGCCAAAGCATACAAAGGAAGAAGACCCGCTTGCAATTTGCTACCTACATCCCACTCTTGGGGCCAACAACTATTGGAAGTGTGGTGAGTGATTGACTTACATCCTTCTAGATCTTATCTACATATTTGCAAAGAAAAAATATACATATATAAAATAAAATATGTGTGGGTTATATCCTTACAAACTGAGATCATAGGCAGTTCCGCAACTTGCCTTTTCTCTGTAACAATAAGTGATGGATGCTTTGCAGGGTTGGTGCTACAGATCCTATTTATTCTTTTAAAAGGCTGCATAGGGAGCTCTGGTGGCACAATGAATTAGTGCATGATACTTATTGAGCTCTTTTGTATGAGCACTTCTGAAGGCTCATTTCTAGAAGTGGAATTGCCAGGTCACGTGCATTTTACATTTTAATGGATACCCAGTGCCAGGCATAGTGTTTCCTACATAGCAGGAGCTTCGTAAAGATCTGTGGCGTGATTACATGGTGCCAGATGGCCCTCTAGAAAGGTGACACCATTCCCACTCCCACCAAGGATGACCAGAAGAGCCACAGAGGTTTCCATTTCTGTCACCAGGTCACAGCAACACTAGGTTTCAGGATGGCCACTTTCCCTAGGGCCACTCTGCTACTCCCTAGGAGGAGTTAAAGGCCCTGTGATGAAAGGAAGGCAACGTCTGGGCCGAGGGTAACTTCTCCTCCAGGTCTCCCAAGCCCATTTCTCAACATCCTCCTGCTATCACGGTGAGGGCAACATCAGCTGCAGGACTTCTCTAATTGGAACTAGCCACATCTACACAAAGAACCCACATGTTTTCTGCCACCCCTGACCAATCCCTGAAAGTAAAGGGAAACTTCCACTTACGCTTGGGCTCATTCTCCTATGGCCAACCCTGGCACTATATTGTCAGTAACTGCTGCACTCCTTCCAGGGCCCTATCTCACTGGGAACCCACACCCGGACAGTCCCTGTTCCTGGCATCTTTGGGGCTGCCTGTGCCATCAAGCTGCCCCCAGCTCTGCCACCTGCCTGCGTCCTGATGCCCCCAGGATGAGCATTATTGGGAGAGCACTAAAAGAGGCACCCCTGTTGGCATACCAGGGCCAGTTCTACCTCCAATCCTCCTGAGAGCTTTGGCCAGCATTGACATGGGGCTCTCTGCCTGGAGAAGGAGGCTGGCATTGAGTGGGCTGTGGGGGCGCAGTGCAGAGGCAAAAATCAGGGTGGAGGCACTCAGCCCTGTCTGAGTCCCAAGGCATTGGCATTGTCCCGCCCCATTCTGCATGACTATGCCAGGCCCCCATGGGTCGAACCCCAGTGAAGACTCTTCTCCCCTAGGGGGTTAACTCCCACGAGCGAGCGGGGCTGGTAGAGAAGGGTGGAACCTGCCACCTCCTCACCTTCCTGTAGGAGATTCCAGGGTGGGGCCGTTCAAGGTCTCCTAAAGCCCCACTCCACGGATGCCCAGCCCCACCCACTGCTCTCCTGGGCTTTTCCCCACCCCCATTGTCTCCCAGCAGGTGGTTTCCTGCTATCAACAGCAGAATGGGCTGTCCCAGGGCTGCTTCCTGGATCCAACCCCCTCACAGCCAACTTACCAACTTCTCATGGTAAGACAGCCAGAGAGCTGGGCTCCATGTGTCCCAGGAAAGCCTTGGGCGGAAGGGATTGGGAAACCCACACAAGGGACACGCGTACCCCATTTCCAGGCTGTTTGGCACACAGAGACATCAAAAAACAGACAGCCAATACATCTAGAACAAGCCTCTCTCCGAGGGCGGCCCATGGATGGACTGTCCTCCCAGACCTCCCAGGTGGCTCATCAGTGGTGGGATTGCGGCGCAGCGACCCCATCACCGCACCCCTCAGCAGTGCCTGGGCTCACCTCTCCACCCACCTCCCCACACAGCCAGAGGCAGGCCCTCAGCCGCAATCAGTAACATTCAGTGAGGACATGTGTTTATCATGTGTTGTGGGTGGGTGCAGTGAGTTCTCTATTCAGGTAGGAGTGGAAGCTGGCTCAGGGCTCATCCAGTCCAATGTCCCACAGGTATAGAAGTGCCCTGATAAAATCTCAGAGCTGGCTGTCCAGTCAAGATTTGCATACCTCCAGAAATGGGGCTCTTACTACCCCTCACAGTAGCCCATTCTACTGTTGGGCACCTCCAATGGTCAGCATTTTCTTTCCGGCAGCCTCTTTCTTGGGCTGGGGGGTGGGCGGAAACTGTCACTCCAGCCTAACCCTCAGGACAAGAGAGGCAGCTGGGGTGGAAACAGAAGCAGAAAAAGTAATAAGTTAAATCCAAGAATGAACAGAGACACGGCAGGATGGGCAGGGACATTCCTGGGGTGCCAGCAGTCTCTAGCTTGATCCAGGAGGCACTGGGGAGGAGGTTGCTGATGGCAAGATTCCAGGCAGGAGGTGACTCAGAAGGCCGGGTTGTCAATGCCCCTCTGATCCCCGGTATATTCTTCAGGCCTGAAGCTGTAGGGAGGGGGTGGCTCTGTGGGAGTTGGGCCCAGGCTGGGCTTCAGAATCACCTGCAGGGAAAAGAGAGAATTCAGTCTTCTGGGCCCTGGCCCTGGCCACCACTCCCCCATCCCAGCTGAGGCATGGTTACCAGGGAGAGGGGTGACCCAATGCTGGGTGCAGAGTGCCCTCCAGGATCGAAGGGCCCTCCACTGTCTCTGCTGCACAGCCGGCCAGAGGCAAGGTGGGGATGGGGATGAGACACCCACCTCACTGTAGGGGGGTGGGGGCGCAGAAAGGGATACTCTGACCCTCTCTGGGGGGATGATGGAGGGCAGTTCCAGGGGCCCCCGGCAATCCACTGGGCTGTCTGGCTCCGGCTCTCTGCAGTTGCGACAGAAGCACTTAGCCAGGCCACAGATGCAAAAGACGGACAGGATGACCAGGAAGATGATGACGAAGATCCTGGGGTGGGGACCACCAAGAGTACCCTGAGTCCCCAGGCCACCCTGGGGACTCCCTACATCTCCCCGCTCCCGCCGCCCACACTGCCCCCTCGGCAGGTGCCTGGCCTTGTCCACACAGGACCAGGCCCCTCCAAGGACTGCACCCAAAGGAGCTGGCCCTGGGCTCACCTCACGGGGCCAGGGAAGAGCTCGTTCTCCTGGCAGCAGCTGTCACCACAGCATTTGAATCCTTTGGGGCAGGCACTGGTCAGAGGGCACAGAAAAGGGCAAGGAGAAGTTGCTGGCACCAGAATGGAGAGGCAGAAGGATCCCAGCCTCCCCAAAATACACCCAAGATGCTCATGGCACAAGCCACCCCTTAGTGGGGTGGGGGGTATGGCCCCCGCTCTGAGCTCAGTAGGAGGACTCTGGGGAAGGGCGTGTGCACTTGTGCCCAGTACGGCTCCCTGTTGGGCCCCACGCCCCTCATCTGTAACACGGGTAGAAGAAGTATCCTGTTGACCTCAGCAGGCAGGTGTGGGGAAGGGGCATTGCAGCGGCCATGACACTCCTCATCCAACTCTAAGGAGGTGCGGGGAAAGAGGCCACGTGGCATGTCCAGGAAGAGCCAGTTCTCGCTGGCGCCCATGGAGTATGAGGGGTCAGAGAACGGTGCTTTCAGAACACCCAGGGCTGACCTAATGGAAACACTTTTCTGCCCAGTGACCCTTACCCAAATTCCACCTTGTGCTCAGGCTTCTGGGATTTCTCTCTTAGGGTTAGCCCCCTGCCTCCGACCCAGGGGACCCTCAGAGGGGAGACAGCCTGGCACTGCAGTAGGAAGGACCGGGATCCAGCTACAGACCTGCCTGCAAGTGTGGAAGTCCCCGAGTTTGTTGGTGGAGGTAGAGGGTGGGGTCTCCCTCTTTGGCTGGGAAAGTGGGGGGACAGTTTCTGGCTGGATTGGGACTGAGGACGGATGGAGTTTCTGGCCTCCCACACCCCCCAAGGCATGCAGGGCATGATTTAGGTTGCTCCTCCCCGCTCCCCAGATTGGAAGTTATGGCCTCTAGACTTACAGGATGAGACCACATTTGGCTGCAATCTGTGGAAGAAAAGAGAGGTCGGGGGTCAGGGTCATAAACTGGGGATAGTGGGGGTAGGGTCTCCACTCAGATGCTGCCCAGGTACCTCACAGGCAGCAGGTCCCCAGTAGACTCAGCCTCTTCCTGCAAGCCACCCCCCACCTCACTCCACCGTGTTCCCAGGTCAGTGCTTGGAGCCCAACTGACCCCTGGCTGGCCCCAGCTCCCCTTCCTCTCTCAGCACATTCCATCACCCCCGGGTTTGTAAGCTCATCCCTTCTGACCACCCTTCCAACCTGGCTTCCACCGTGACACCCATGGCTCAGGGCACTAGCGACTTTCCTTATCCCACCTTCAGTCACTGCAGACACTGTGGGCAGGAGGACTCTTCCTATAATGCAAATCTCATCACCAAAGAATCTTGCTGGAAGCCCCCTTCGGTGGCTCCCTGGGGTAGAGACCTCCCGAGTGAGCAGCTGCACTCCCTCCCCTTTCGCTTCCCCTAGTTCTTTCTCTTCCTCTCACACACACCCGCTGGGAGTTCCCTGAACATACCTGGCTGTTTTACACCTGTCCAAGCCTCCATTCATCCTTCAGATCCCTGCCTAAGGGATTCCATGCTCTGCAAAGCTGCCAGGACCCCGCCTCCCAAATCAGCTTCCCCCTCTTCTGTACCAGGTCTGCAGGGCACCCAGGGCATCTTACAGAATTTCCCTCCATTGATAGCAATTGTGTGTCAAAGCCACACTGACTTGGAACACTCTTCTAGGTGGCTGCAAGGCTGGCTCCAGCTCCTCCCTCTCCAGTTACCTTATTCAAAATTACAACCACCCTTTTCCCTTAGTGTGCTTAACTTTTCTCCACACCTCTTGTCAACATCTAACATACTATATATTTACTTTATCTTGTTAATTGTCCTTCAGTTGTGTAAAAGGCAAACTCCGCGAGGGCAGGGATTTTTGCTGCATCATTGTTGAAAACCCAGTAGTCAAAATATTTGCAGAATGAATGAACGTGCATTCATCAATTACCTAGTTTCATTTCATCCTGGCTGCTCCCAGACTGTGGGGGAGGGATGTAGGTGCCAGAACATAGGAAATGGGTGGTGGGGAAGGGCATCTCTCACCCCACCCTAGCCTCCTGGGACAAACAACCAAGGCTAAAAAATAGGAAGCCAGCTTTGGCAAAACCACCGTTATCTTTATCTTTATACCTTTATAAAATATTTCAATTGCAAATCACAACAGTAAAGATAAGAATACCAGTGATAGCCAATAAGAGTTGGGGTAATTCCCCTTTTCCACGCTCAGTCCCAGGCTGAGTACCATCTCACAGGCTTTGTCCCCTTGTGGGGACAGGAACAGGAAGGAACCCCTGCAGGTTGGCCCAGAAAGGGTGAGTCTGTGAATCCAAATCACACAGCACACAGGAATGACTATAGAATTGGAGACAGGCTGGGTGCGGTGCCTCATCCCTGTAATCCTAAATACCTTGGGAGGCTGAGGTGGGTGGATTGCTTGAGGCCGGGAGTTTAAGACCAACCTGGCCAACATAGCGAGACCCTGTCTCTATTCTTTTTTCTTTTTTCTTTTTTTTTCTTTTTGGAGATGGAGTCTAGCTCTGTTGCCCAGGCTGGAGTGCAGTGGTGCGATCTCGGCTCACTGCAACCTCCGCCTCCCAGGTTCAAGTGATACTCCTGCCTCAGCCTCCCAAGTAGCTGGGATTACAGGCACGTGCCACCATGCCTGGCTAATTTTTGTATTGTTAGTAGAGATGGGGTTGTTGGTCAGGCTGGTCTGAAACTCCTGACCTCACGATCTGCCTGCCTCGGCCTCTCAAAGTGCTGGGATTACAGGCGTGAGCCACTGCGCCTGGCCTCTATTCTTTAAATTAAAAATATATATATACAGAGAGGGAACTTGGAGACAAATCGAGGGGTCCATCCAGGCACTCAACAGCACCCCTTCCCCCTCAGACCCCACTCTGGCCCTTGTCCTTTTCCTGGACCCCAGCTAATAAGTAATGGATAATTAACAGGTTTAGTAAATTAATCTCAAGTTCCGGTTTGGGAGGGGGAGGAGCTCTTCTCCCAGATTGTCTCCCCACATTTTAACCAGGGGGTAGTCTTGTCTGGGGTGGTTCAGAGGCTGAGTTTTATGGAGCGTCAGGGTGGTCTTGGGCTGGGAGTAAGTAAATCTCAGCTTACTTAACTCCAGAATTGAAGGTATTAACAGCACCTCGCCCCTGGGGTTGGTGGGAGGGGTAAACCAGAGGATGCCCAGCCCAGCATTGACACAAACTGACCGCCCAGTGATTTAGAAGGAACACCTTGCTCACTAACCCGGGTCCACGGAAGGGTTTTGGCAGAGCCTCTCTGAAAGCTCAGCCCAGATGTGTGAAGGTGCCCTGTTCTAAAATCCTAACTATGGAAGACCCTGACTTCCCTCCGGTTCTTAAATGGAAATAAGACACAAATGCATGTTCTAGACCCGTCTCTGTTCCCAGGATAAACACCCATCCCAGGACCGGACAGCTTTCCCCCATCACCTGTAGAGTTTACTTGGGAGGAACAGAAGGGCGGAGGGAACACTCGAACCCTACACCTCCCTCTCAAAATCACAGATTTCAGAGGTCACCCCAGCCTTGGTCAGGCAGCCAGGTCAAATCCCACCACAGGCTGGGATTACTTACCCCTAGAAGGGGACAAAAGAGCCTTCTCTCCCCTAGGGAACAAGCAGAGACACAGTCCCAAAGAGGGTGGGGACATCCCAGGGTCCCCCAGCACTGGAGGAACTGAGCTGGGGCTAAGTGCTGGCCCAGGTGTCCAAAGCTCAGGCGGGAAGGAGCTGGAAGGATAAGCTGAGGCTAATAAGGGGTCCAAAGTCCCTATTCACAGAGACGTGCTAGGTGTCAGATAAGGTGGTGGGTGGTGGCCACTTCCCACCACAGGATCCCCCTCAGAGGTGGGAGAACCCAGCCTCTCCCAGAGCCTCCTCCGCTGCCCCCACCTCCACCTCCACAGCAAAGAGAGAAAGGAAGTAGCTAACTGTGTGTGGTCAGGAGGAAATCCTGATTCTGGAAGGTGGCGACCAGGCTCCAGAAGCAGGCTCCTGACCTACAAGGGTAGGGCCCAAAAGTTCAACAACCTTACCTCCCAGTCTCACCTTTTGGGGGCCAGCCAGCAGGCTGAACAGCAAGGTGGGCGCGAGGCCGGGGACCCAAGCTTGGGACATCCTGGCTTGGGGGCCACTGAGCTTTCCTGTGTAGAGAAGGCGGGGCTGCGACCTCTCCCACTTCTCTCCACCTATGGGGCCCCGCCTCGGGATGGGGGCGGAGCTGCACCGGGAGAGGCGGACTCGGGGCAGGGAGGGGCTGGGAGGAGGAAGGGAGGAAGGGAGGCGCAGAGGTCTGGGTTGGGTTTTGGGATTTGGGAGGTAGAAGAGATTAACGGATTTTTAAAAAAGCGGTCCCGGGCGCGGTGGCTCACGCCTGTAATACCAGCACTTTGGGAGGATCACTTCAGGTCAGGAGTTCGAGACCAGCTTGGCCTACATGGTGAGACCCCCCGTCTCCACTAGAAATACAAAATTTAGCCGGGCGTGGTGGCGGGTGCCTGTAATCCCAACTACTCAGGAGCCTGAGGCAGGAGAATCGCTTGAACCCGGGAAGCAGAGGTTGCAGTGAGCCGAGATCGTGCCAGTGCACTCCAGCCTGGGCGACGGAGTGAGACTCCATCTCTAAATAAATAAATAAATAAATAAATAACCTAAATTTAAAAAGAGGTGGGATCAACTCCACACCGCTGAGCTGGGCCTTCCTAACTCCCAACTCCTCCACTCCTAAGTGCCCCAGACTCCAGGGAGGGGTGCCGGGACCGGCGGGAGTGGGAAGGGGACGTGGAAGCCCCTTCTTATCTGGACCTCTGGGTCTGGTGAGAAGTCAAATGGGGGCAGAGGTTGAGGGAGGGGAAGGCGAAGGTTCTAGGGTAGATTTTGAGGGGTTATGGTTGGGGGATATCACCCCATTGTGTTTTGACCAAAAAGGGAGGGACAGAGCAGCCTGGCTGATTTCAGAGTGCCCTGAGATTTCCAGGTCGAGGAAGGAAGACCAGGAGCACAACGTGGGTACCTTCGTGTCCCCTCCCCTCTTGAAATCCTACAGGAGGTGTTGGTGCATTTTCTCCCATTGACAAAACGGGAACTCAAGGCCCCAGGGTTTAGACTGCCCCGGGGTCCGCAGCTGGGGCTGGTCCTCTGCCAGGCCCGCCGGGGCGCGGGCGAGCAGGCCCATCCAGATTCCTGGAAAGACCCCGCGGAGGCCGCCCCAGTGCGGAGGGGCCTGATTCTGAGCCCCCTGCGGCCGCCGCCTCCAGCACTCCAGGCGCGGAGCTTCCGGGAGCGGCCGGCAGGTGGCAGCGTCGCCCAGCGCGGGTGCCCCCGGGAGCCGGGAGGGGCGCGGCCGGGGCTTGTGGGCTGGGGGCGCTGGGCGAGGGCGAGGCAGGAGCAGTGCAGCCAGGACCGCGGGAGGGGGAGAGGGGGTGATGGAGCGTGGGGCGCTGCTCCCTGGCCCGGCCAAGGGGGACCCTGAGAGGCTCAACGTCATGTCCTTGGGCGCCTCCTGCTGTGTCGCCAATCTGTCTTGACCCCTGAAAAACACCCCCGACGTCGTGGGCGTTTCTTCTCTTTCCTTGCTCTCTGCCTCTCACCCTTCTCCCTCATCTCTCCCAGTCATGTTCTCTGTCTTATATTTAACCCCTCTGTGTCTCTCCCCGTTTCTCCCAGCCTCTGTTTTTCTGTTTCGGTTTCTTCCCATCTGTCCGCACCCAGTTTCTCTCGAGTTCCCAGCCTTTCCCTCTGTTCTCCCGTCTGTTTCTCCTCTCTCTGTTCACCTCTGTCTGCCTCGGCGGAGGCGTCTGTTTTTCTCGGTTTCTCTGGTCCCTTCTCCTTGTCCCTGGTTTGGTCCTGCACCCCCAGTCTCTCGGTCTGTTTCTTATGCTGTCTCCCTGCTCTCTCTCTCCCTTTCCCTGTCTCTATTTCCCATTACCTCCTAGCCCTTTTTGCCCCTTAAGAAGATAATCTTCTAGTCTCCTGATCCGAGGGGTATTGGGATCTGGCCCCTCTGTATTTGAAGTGACTGTGAGCTTGGAGAAGGGAAGGGGCCGCCGTCTCCCCTCCTCCCCTGCAGGTGGACCTTGGCAGGGGGACCTCGTCCTGAGAGTGCTGGAGCCTCCACCTCTTGAGTCGTTGCCAACTTGGGCTGCCAGGGTTCTTCTTGTCCCCACCCAGGCCCCACTGCAACAGCAAGGCCTGGGGTCTCTACCCCACACTCCCTGCTATCCTGCCCAGGCTGGGAGCCCTACAGAGGTGTGGCCCTTACGGGAGAGGAAAATGGGAAAATGGTTGAGCTTAGAGGAGGAAGATACCCTGCGGGGTGAAATGAGGGTGCTGAGAAGGGCATGTGGGAACTCAAGGGACAGATGTGGGGGGTCAGCAGGAGTGGGGGTGAGGGAACTAGGCGGGCACCAGTGCCCTGAAGAGGGGCAGGAGGAGGGGGAGGAGGCTGGCATAGCTGCTCTCTGGGTCTCTGGCATCAACCTGACCCAGATCTAGGGTTGCCGGACAAAAGACAGGAGGCCCAGGTAAATCCAAATTTCAGATAAACGATGAATAATTTCATTTTAGTATAATTATGTCCCATGCAATATATATATATTTTTTGAGAACCAAGACTGGAATGGAGTGGTGTGAGCTCACTGCAACCTCCACCTCCCAGATTCAAGCAATTCTCATGCTTCAGCCTCCCAAGTAGCTGGGATTACAGGCATGTGCCACTATGTCCAGCTAATTTTTTGTATTTTTAGTAGAGACAGGGTTTTACCTTGTTGGCCAGGCTGGTCTCCAACTCCTGGCCTCAAGTGATATGCCCACCTTGGCCTCCCAAAGTGTTGGGATTACAGGCGTGAGCTACTACACCTGGGCCCATGCAATATTTGAGACATACTTATGCTAAAATTTACTTTTCTATCTGAAATTCACATTTAATGGGATGTTCTGTGTTTTTCTTTGTTAAAACTGGCAACCAGGCCAGGCACAGTGGCTCACGCTTATAACCCCAGCACTTGGAGAGGCCGAGGTAGGAAGATCACTTGAGCCCAGGAGTTTGAGACCAGCCTGGGCAACATAGCAAGACCCTGTCTCTGCAAACAAAGAAAACAAAAGCAATTAAGCCGGTGTGGTGGCATGTACCTGTAGTCCCAGTTACTCTGGAGGTTGAGGTAGGAGGATCACTTGAGCCTAGGAGTTCAAGGCTGCAGTGAGCTGAGATCACACCACTACACTCCAGCCTGGGTGACAGAGCACCACCCTCGCTCTAAAAAGAAAAACAAAACAAAACAAAATCTGGCAATGCTATCCACATCGCTACAATGTCCTAGGAACAAACTCCACCCCCACCCCACATCTTCCAATGAAGAAGTGAGGTCCTTAGCACTTGACTCACCAGGCAGAGTCTGAAGGGCTCTTGAGCCCCTCGGCTGGGCCCCCAGTTCCATGACACCAAACTGCCCTACGTTCCTTCCTGCAGATGGGGACAAGATGAGGAGCCTGGAAGTGGGTGGTCCCAGGCCAGGCCAAGAACACCAGGGCCTGTTAGCATTCATCATGGCCCCAGGGCCCTCGGATTTTTGGTGGGTGAGGTCAGAAGGGGGTGGGAGCACCATGGACCCCCCTAGACTGAGCAGAGAAGGGCTGTTCTAGAGGAAGGAGGGTCCTGGACAAGGCCAGCATCTTCTGTTTGGCACGTCACCTAGCACCAGGAGGGCAGCGTGTGCAGGTGCTCAGGCATACACGAGCACAGAAACCCAGAGGCCTCATGTAGTCAGCGGCCCCCTAGATTCAACACCAAATTCCATCTGGGGTTTCCCAAGAGCAGCCACTTCGAAATGTCTTCATAAACGCTCGCTGGGCCCCCAGTGCATTCACTAAAGAATGAGCTGATTGTGCATCCTGCCGGGGCCCAGCTGGAAGGAGGGGCCTCCGAGGCCAGCCGGCCCACTTACGCCCTTCTCAGAGGAGGCAACCAGGGCCTGGAGAGCGGGAAGGCCAGGTCGCACAGGACATGAGGGGCTGAGTCAGGATCAGAACCATGCAGCGCTCAAGACGCCACACCCAGCACAGGTGGCACTCACCTCGGGCCTGGGGAGCCCTGCTCCACTGCTCTGGATGGAGGATCACTCAGGGTGGGTGGCCTCGCCTAGCCTGGCTCAGCCCAGCCCAGGGGGCCAGGCTTGGGTGAAGGGGAAGAGCCAGGGTGAATTCTGTTTTACTTGGCAGTCCCCCCCACCCCCATACTTTGGTGGACACTAATATCTGTAATGGCTGATGGCACTAGGCTGGGATCTCTTTTCAAAGCCAGCAGAATGCTCTGCTCTAGCCCGGCTCTGCCTGTAGGGGCAGTATTGTGTCGTGTTAGTCAGTGTGCCACTGAATATGTTGTGCTGTGTGACCTTAGACGAGAAATGGAACTTCTCTGGGCCTCTCTCAACAGGAAGGAGAGGGAGGAGTTGGATAACAGTACCTCCCTCATCATATAGGCCATGATGAGGATGAAACAGGCCGCTCAGAGTCTGGCATACAGTAATGGCAAATAAATGCTAGCTGTCATTCCTGGCAGAGACAAGGGGCCCATACTTCCTTCTCTGCATTTCACATGGAGGCAGAGTGGGGTGCCAAGGAGTGCAGGGTCTCGCTGCTTTTGGACTGCTCACCTCCCTGGATGGGCTGCAGCATCCAACCCCAGTTTCCCCAGGAAGCTTTGCTCACTAAACCCCTCTGCTGTCCACTGGGCCCCACTTAAGGCCAGTCAGGCCTGAGAAGGTGGGGCTGGTGACAGATCCCAGAGGATGTCCGTCCAGGTGCCGACCACTCCTGAACGTGGTCTGGGACTGGAGATGTGATTCCCTCCACTCCCAGTTTGTTCCCCCTTTCTACTCCCGCACAGCCCACTGAGCGCTGCCTGGGTCTACTTCACAGAGGAGGCCCGCCTCTCCACATGGGCTGAGAGCTCATGGAGACTGGAGGCTGTGCCTGTCACAGGTGTCCTCTCCCTTTATCCCCACTGCCATCGGCACCCCGTGCAGCCTGGCTCCTCAGGACTCTCGTAGCCATATTCAACAAGGCCTCTAGCTTGGTCACCTCATTGCCAAGGAGGGACAGGCCATGTTGGGCATGTCGCTCTCTTGTTCCCTAATCGGAGGCTCCCTGCTGCCACCTGAATAAAGTCCCATCTCAGAGAGACCTTCAGGGTCCCCCATAACCAGTCCCCACCTGACCCCCACCCCCCACCATGTTCTCCAGCCCCTCCTCTTACTCTTTCTGCTTCTCTCCTTGCCTCTGTCCAGGCAGTTTTTTCCACCTAGTTTCTTCCCCAAATCCCTCCCAGAAACCGAACACATTCTTCCCCATCCTTTAAAGCTCAGCCCAAATGCCACCTCCTCCAGAAAGCCTACCTGGACTTGGATCTTCCTTCAACAAGTGATTGTCTGCTCCCTGCTCGCCCCTACCCAGGCCTCTTCCCTGGGCCTCTCTGACAGCCCTTAGCCATTTTCCCTTGAAGACGTGTGGACATGTCCTAATGCTCCCACCCTGCTGCAGGGGCTGGCCAGCTCTGATTCAGCATGCATTTCCCCCTGGTGCTTTGTTCCAAGTAAACACTGGCTCTGTTGTCGTTGAATCCAAGCTGGTTAGGGGCCTTCCTGGGTCAGGGGCCAGATTTCTCTAAGGGGGTAGGGAATTCATTTCCAAAGTCCTTGGTGAAGGACTCGTGGTTGGGGTGGGAGGAGTTCAGACTGACTGGGCTCCCCACCACACTGGCTGTGTGGTTTGGGGAATCCACGTCTTCTGCTTCCTGCACCCCCTCCAAAGGGTATGCTCAAATTTGTGACTCCCCCTCAGCAAGTGAGGAAGATGGCTCCGTAGGGATTGAGCGACTCCTAAGGGGGTGTAGCAAGGAATGCTTGGCTTACGGTCCGCCTTCCTGGAGGAGGCAGAGTCCAAGAATAGGACTTCTTGGCCATGGGATGGGGACCTCAGTCCCCTTTCCAACTTTTTTTGGAAATTGAAGCCCACCAGCCCCTTTCTCATTCTTGGGGTGATGGGCATGGGGGTGGAGGAGATCACTTCTAGAGTCAGCTCCAAGTTTGAACCATGAATCTGTGGGCCGGGAGGGTGGAGGGAGGGCAAACCACCTGAGAATTAACAGTGCAGGGCACTTATTATCCCAATGAGCAGGTTGGAGGGACTCACTGATGCTCACTTTCCTGGAGGCTTAGCAGAGACAAAAACGCCATTTGGGAGCCATTATCCTTCTAAAGTGTAGGTTTCTGGGGCACAGGCCAGGGTGGAAAGGAAAACACCTCAAAGAGCCTGGATGGGTGTCAGGTGGGGAGGGTTAGGGGAAGGTTGAGCTGATGAGCTTTGGTTTCTGGAGTGGCAGATGGAGCAGAGCCATGAAGGCTTGGGCAGGAGAGACTGAGCTAAGACTAGCGTGAGGGTCTTGAGAGCCCCCATGCCTGGCCTCCTTCCTCTGGGGCCCCCTCCTTCAGTCTACTGTCTGAGACCGGATCCTGTAGCCAGACGGAAGAAAGGAATTTGGTATCCTCGATTTCTAGCTCTGTTCTTGTTGGCTCCTGAAAAGAGGGTTCTGCTGCACCCTGCTTGTGGATTCCTTTGTTTCTGACCCAAATGTTACTGGGGTTGTAGTTAGACCTAAAAGAACTTTTCAGATCCAAAGGAACTGCGGATTCAGGACAACCATGGGAAGGGGAGCCCTTCCATGGTCTGGGGCTTAGACTAGAGTGGGGCGCAGGCCCAGCCTGAAGCTGTAAAGGCAGAGAATGAGTGTGAGCAGTGGGTGAGGGATTCAGGCTGGCAGAGATCACATTCTTCCTCAAATCATAGTGCCTCTAAGCAGCCACATCATCTGGTTCCCAGCTGAGGACAGACTTGGCTTTGGTTGTGTGGGAGCTGCATGTGCACATGTATGTACATTACGTGCACATGTGTGTATGCAGAGCATCCCAGCCTCCTGTGTTGATTGGCAGCTCCCACTCACACCCCTTACCCCACCGCCAGTGCCTGGCTTCCTTATCTCCGGGCCAACCTTTAGGGGGCTGGCTTCAGGATCCCCGCACCCCAGTGGCCCTGTTAGCACCTCCTCTCTCCCTTGTTAGCGCCTCACAACCCCTCTTCCTCCTCCGGCCCCAGCTGTCCCCCCAGAGAGAGGCCCTGTGGCTTGCAGCCCAGTTCTCGCCTTCTGATTCCACTTCAGCTTCTACTTTTTGAAGCTTGGTTTTTCTCCCAACCCCTAACCCCCCTGCCCTCTCCATTTCCCTCTTGTCCATGTGGAGGGGTCTTCTGCAGAACATCAGAGCCTGGGGGAGGAAGCTGGATCCCCCCACAACTGAGCACGACTTCTCTTCCAGGCTGGGGCTGAAAGGGTGGCGCACAGACAAAGTGAGCCCCTCCCCATCAGCCTTCCCTGCCTGGAGGGTGGGAGGGGGGCAGTTTGGGAGGGACCCCTGTACTAGGGGCTAAAGCTAAATCTGGTGCCAACTCTGCCCCCTCATGGGGGCAAAACCTCATTCTGTGGCAGCACTGAACGAGTGGGGTGAGGCGGCAGGGCCCCTGGGTAGAAATGTCCTTTTCTGCCTGTCCACTCCAGGCAGCTGTGCCCGACCTGAGCCTGGGTTGCTGAGTGGGACAGGGTGGTCCTGTGCCCGGAGTCAGGTTGTCAGGCCTCCAGGACTGTAGGTTTCCTCTACGGAAGGGCCCCTTCCCTGCGGGCTTTGATGTGTCTGCGAGGTTCGTGGAGGATGTTTGGCTTCAGGGCCCAGTGCCAGGATAAACTCCCTCTGCCTGCTGGGCCAAACCACTACCTCCTCCCTGCCTGGCTCTCCTGCCTCCCCCAGCCTTGGGCCTGGCCTCCTCCAAGGCTAGCACTGCCCTGCCTGCTTACTGCGGTGGGCACCAAGACGCCACTGTTACTGCTACTGGGGAGAGACCTGTGGGCAATCCTGGTCCCCAAGGCTGGCCCAGCAGTGCCTGCTGCTAGGTAACCGAGGTCCTGCTCCAGGTGGGGGATGCTGGACCCCAACTGCCAGCAGGGATGGGGATGAGATGGAGCAGGGGGGAGGGGGTGTCTACGTGGAGCTGCTTGCACAGGCTTCAGCTCTTCCAGATGTGCAGAGGTTCCAGATGTGGGGATGACTCAGCCCGGAATGAGGAGGGGTGGGCGGTGCATGGGGGAATGGTGAGCAGGGGGATCTGAGGCCCTGAGCAGCTGCCAGCTGCTGCCTCCTGTCCTCCGGAATTTGCAGCCCCTCAAAACCCCAGAGGTGGGCGAAGTGGTATTTAATAGCTGCTGGGAGCTGCCCATATGTGTGGCCCTCAAGTGTCCCACCATGTGCTGGGAAAGAGACCTCAGGGCCAGGGGCTCAGCTAGGAGAGAGAGAAAGGGAGAAAGTGGAAGGCGGGCAGAGGAAGTGGGAGGAGGACCGAGAGTGGCAGGGAGGACGGAGAGTGGGAGGGGCAGGGAGAAGCCCAGGACTAAAATGGTGGCCCCTACTTGGGCCCACTTTCAAGTGTGGCACTGGGAGGAGAGTGTATTGGTTCAGAGGACTGTGTGTGTGTGTGCGCACGTGTGCGTGTGTGCACGCATGCAAGCAAATGTGACCTTGCTGCTGGAGTGGAGGTTATGCGGGTGGAGAAGGAGCTGTGTTGGGTGAGCATTGTGTGTCTGGTGTGTGTATGCTGCGTTTGTGAGCTGGGTGCTGGATGATGTGTATGTTGGGTGTGGCAGAGTGCAGGAGCATGTTCTATACCATCTGTGTGATAGAGAAGGACTGTGGGTACAGCGACTGTGTAGTGATGGGCTGTGATGGGGAAAGGGTGTTTGTTTATGCCAAGTTACATGTGCCTTTGGATGCAGAAGGTGGGTCCCACAAACCTGGGGAGTTGAGTGGCATCTGGGCCTATCAGACCAGGACCCCAAAGACCTGGGGCTTCCTTCAGCCTCCCCTGGGGGGCCTTGGGGACCAGTGTCCAGCATCCTGGAGCTGTGGTTTCTCCTGCTGGGCCCTGGGCCATATGGTCTCCCTTGCAGGGCAGCTGGGAGACCCCTGAGCTTCAGAGGCTGGCACCCTGCAAACTGCAGTGCAGGGTGTGCGGCGGGCAAGGTGCCTCCCTCCCCATCCTGGAGAGCTGCTGTCCTGGCCTCCTCTCTGGCCTGCAGGGGAGTCTGCTGGCAGGGCCACCAGCTGCTCCCTGGAGAGGCCCACCTGTGCCAGCCACCCTTGCCAGGGTAAACAGGGCACTAAGTGTCTGGGCTGGTGCCTGCCTCAGGCTGGGCATTGCCTCTCCACACAGGGCTCAGCTCCCAGTTGTGGCTTGGGTTGCCTCCTCCAGCTAAATGACAGGCCTGATGCCCCAGGCCCCATAAACAGTGTTTTCTTGGGAGGTGGGGATCATGGGGGCTGCTGAGCAGACAGATAATCAAGTTGGATTGGGAAGACAGCATGTTGACTCCTCTAAGGCGAGGAAGGCTTTTGTGACCCTTTCCCAGTGCTGCGGGGTCCTTGCCCCTTTTGGGTGACACTGGTTGAATCCTCTGTTATTCTCCCAACACACACACACATACTCACACTCACACACCACCAGCCCTCCGCTCCAGGTTGTCGGCATCAATTTACTTGTGAGTGCAAACAAGCGGTGGCTGGGATCTGGTCAGCTGGTCCTGTGCTGTGTGTCCCCTCTGTTCACAATCCAAGGCTGAAGCCTGCAGAGGTTGGGGCCCGTCTCTAAATCGCTGCATGACGGTGTGCACTTGGATGTGTACCTGGCCCTCCAGACACTGTGATGCTGCCACCCAGCCCTGCCCCATTCCCTGGACATCTCTGTGGCCGGCTCTTTCTCGGTCCACCTCCTTGCCGCCCCCTCCACCCTCCCCTCCCTGTGACTGACTCAGAGTGAGAGGAGCCTCTGGTTCCTCAGCCCTGCCTCTGACTCCCCTCCAGGCTCCTACCCCCAGCGCAACCTCACAGGGAGGAGGAGCCCTAGCTCCACCCCTTTGAAGCAAAGCCCCCTCAAGGGGACGGGAGGAGCGGGCAGGTAGAGGCTGGACCTGGGGGAGCCAGGTCTGCTGGCCAAGGAGCAGGCTTCCAGAGAGGGCACTGAGCAGGGGCCAGGCTGCCTGAAATAGAGGGGCGTGCAAGGATGGCAGGGAGCAGGAGGACGCTCTGCAGACACCTGAGCCCGCCAGCAGCCGGGGAGCAGGCATCTGGGCCCAGCCACCCACTGCTAGTCTTGAGGAGGGAGGCAGTGGAGGAGCGGCGGGTGTCCTCCTGGGCAGCCAGCAGAGGCCCTGCCCCCACTTCACTGCGGTGGGGTGGAGAACAGAGAGAGCGGTGCGGTGCGGAGCCCACAGGGCTACCACAGCGGGCCCTGTGGGTAGGAAGGGGGTGCTGCCATCCTGGGGCTCTGGAAGCACCCCTTCCCCACTCTCCCTCCCTCTGTCATTGCCCACCTCTGTTTCTGTCTCTGTCCTTCACTCTGCCGCTTCTTTGTGTGTGCCTGTCTTTCTCTATCTTCCACTCTCTTCTCCCTTTTCTCCTCTCCCTCCCCCTCTCTCTTTTCCCTAAGGGGAGCAGCTCCAGTATCTGGGGCCAGCTTCCCAGAATGGAAGGTGGCTTTGTCCAGGGAGAGGGAGGCCCCTGACCCAAGCCTGTGGTCTCAAAACAGCCACATCCGGCTCCCCACTTCTTTGCCCAGACCCTCCTGCAGGACCTCTCTGTGCCTGGGAGTCCTTGAAGCCAGAGCCCATTCTGCTTTGCCAGGTGGTATGGGAGCCCCAGTGCCCCCATATTCAGAACTGCTTGTCTCAGCAACGGGGATGAAGGCAATCTCTCTCTCTCTTCTCTCTCTCTCTCTCTGTCTCTCTCATCCCCAAGAAGGCAATGCTCTGGGTGGCTGAGAGGCTGGAGTCTGAGCCCCATCGCTGGGTGACCAGATACCCCGTGTGCCCAGGACAGTTCAGACCTATGTCATTGCCTGGGTGTAACTGCTACGAGCACTCCAAAGTATCCTAGTTTGGACTAAAAATTACATCCCCCATGGCCAGTCAGACCCTGGCAAGGCTCACAGCCTCTCCCACTCCCTTCACCCTCCCAAGACAGCTGTATAGCCTGCTTGGGCCTCACTCAAGGACAACAGGGCCAGAGAGCAAACAGGGGAGCAGGAGCTGTATAAATAGCCCATTTTGGGGGAGCCCCCTCAGCACGGTGTCGGGCGGGTCTGCTTGCTGGAGAGGGAGGAAGGAGAACTGTGGTTGCCCCCAAGCAGCATGTAATTTAGGATTTATTTTGGGGCACTCTCTATAGCTCGGGGTGGAGCTGAAGTTAATTTAAAGGTTTAATGGGGTCGGGGGCTGGATGGGGAGGAGGAGAGGGAAGCCCTCCCACATTTGGCCTGGCTGGGAAGAGGGTCCTTTGCCAGTTGCCTGCCAACTTCTATCCCTGGGTCTGTTCCTGGGAGGTTTCTAGGACACCTCAGCTCTTGTTCCCAGATGCTCCATGCCTCTCCCTGAGTCTCAGGGTGCTTCTAGCCTGATGGAGAAGCTGGTTCTACCTTTGTCTGATGGAGCAGGCACAGGCTCTGCCCTCAGGGAGCCCTCAGTCTGAGGGGAGACAGGACACAAGCCCGGCCTTCAGAGTGGCCAGTCATGATGGCATCCCCCATCATGATTTTAATTTTTAGTCTTTACTTGTTCACGACTCTATATCTGTGTCTCTTCCTGGAACTTAAGATCCGTGACAGCAGGGACTTCTATCTGCCTCTCACAGCATCTTCGGCACTTGTCTAGCACCAAGCAAGCAATATTTCCTGAATGAATGAATGAATGAATGAACTGGGAAACAGCACCAGATCTGAAAGCCCCACGTCAAGAGGCAGCAGTGGATAAACTCTAAAGTCCTTCCGCATTCCAGCCTGTGTGATGTGGCCCTCCACCTTGCCGCCTCCCACCCCTCTGGCCACACTCTTCAGCCACCAGCCACTATGAGCACTGGCTGCCCTGGTGTCAGCCCCAGTTCCCACCTCCACCCCTTTCCTCACCGCACTCCCTCTTCCTGCAACTGCCTTTGCTCCCATTGCCACATGACTAAATCCTGCCAGTCCTTCAAGGCCCTACGCAGAGTCACCTCCAGGAAGCCCACTCAGATCCCTCCACTGGATCTAAACGTCCATAGCTTTTTCTCTGGGCCTCTTCTCTCACTGTGTCTGCATAGGCCTGCTGGGGTCATGGCTTCTCTCCCTTTTATGCCATAAGGCCCTGAGGGCCAGGATTGCCTGCAGTTGCCCTGGAGGCCGGTACCTTGTGGTGGCTCCATTGGAGGAAGTGTGAGCTGCTCAGTAGGCAGGTGGTCGTGTGTGCTCCTCTTTGCCCCAGCTTCTGGAAGCGCTGGGTGAGTCTCTGGTGAAAGGTGTATGTGGTGGTTGTTGGGGGTGTGGGGGGTGATTTCAGAAGCTAGGGAGGGCAACCAGGACCCCAGTGGGGTGGGAGTAGCACGAAGTTTCCCTTAGAAAGATGTTGAGCCTTCTGGTCTGAGAGACGAGGAGGAGATCGAGAGAAAGAGTACTATAGGGGAAAGACCGGGGGAGGGAGCGTAGAGGGGTGGGCAAGGGCTGGGGGACAGACAGAAGGAAAGGCTGGGGGACAGGGAGAAGCCTCTGGGTCCCTAGAACACATGTCCCTTCTTGGGCCTCACCTGCTTCATCTCTTGCCATTGGCACTGTTGGCTGTGCCTTGTCTAAGACCTCCTCCTGTGAGGCTTCAGGGGCTCTGGCTACTCATTCTCTGGCCTCTTTGCAGGCTGTGCCGGCTTCCTCTCTCTCCACCTTCTCCAGGGCACCTCCATGCGTCCAGCCATCTCATGGGCACCTCCACTTGGATGCCCTGCAGGTGTACCAAATGCAAGTGCAGCAGCAAACTCCCCAGCCCGACGATCAAGCTGAAACCTGGGGCTTTCAGATCTGGTGCTGTTTCCCAGTTCGTTTGTTCATTCATTCATTCATTCGTTCATTCATTCTTCAGAAGCCCAGGAGCCAGCCTGAGCAGATCACTGGCCCCCATCCTTCTGCCCATCAGTCACCAAGTCCTCTGGCTTCTGCCTTTTAAATCTCTTATCAGTCTGGCCACCTCTTTCCACCTGGCTGCCACTGGCCTGGGCCTGGCTACCATCACCTCTCACCTGGGCCTCTGTGGCAGCCTTCTAAGAGGTCACTCCACCTCCGTTCTGATTACCTTCCAACCCATCCTCCACAGCCTGCCCAGAAATCTTCCTAAGATGCACCCTAACAGCTCGCGCAGCTCCCAGGACCCTGGCCGCTCCCTCCAGGCCGGATGCTCCCGTGGGCCCTGCCCTAGGCACTGTCTTACCTCTGGGCCTTGCAAATGCTGCTCCCTCTGCCCTCCATGCTCTTCCTCCCGGGCTCCTCCTGGTCACCCCTCACTCTGGGAAGCCTTCTCTATGCTCTTCACACCAGAGGTTGGGTCAGGAGTCCCCTTCCCGGAGCTGCTGTCACCTTAATCTCCCCCATCACAGCACCCAGTATGGTAAATAGCGCCTCACCCTCTTCATCCGGAAGTTCCACCAGAGCAGAGGCCGTAGCAAGGCCTGGGGCAGAGTTTGCTGATGGAACATGCATTTGGGGAGACTGGGAGGGCAAGAGAGAAGAAAACTGAGGGCTTCCTCGAGGGGCTGGGCCTCTAAGGCAGTGTGGCGGGGGACCTCCCAGAGGATGGAGAGGAAGCCTCAGTTGGGGTGGTTGGGTGCTGGCCCTGGGCTCACAGTCAAGGTTGCCCTGTGCCTGCACTGTCCGTGGAGGCAGCCCCCACCCCCACACAGGCTGCTTGTCCTGTGGAGGTTTCCCTCCCCAGGAGACGGAGAGAGTCGGCAGGACTCCCACTGTGGGCCTTGGAGGGAAGAAGGCCTCTGCATCCTGGGGTGGGCCAAGGCTGCCTGCCAGCACCCAGCACCCAGCACCCACTGGCATCTTCCACAGCAGCCTTGGGTCTGCACAAACTGGCTACAAACACATATGACTGCATCTCACTCCAGTCCACAGCCATGCCAAGGAGGAGGATGCTACTCCCTGGGGCCCGCCTGCAGAGAGCCCCACGAGATCTTCCTTGAGGATTTGTTTTCTACCTTGAACTTTCACAGGCATTTTACTTCCTACCCCATGCTATGTCCTTGTATGTTTTAGTATCAAAATAATGCTTTCCATCACTTACCATTGGAAAAAAACGGACACTCGAAGAGATAAGGCAAATTATCAGGCCTGAGCTGTTCTTGCCCCTCTTCCTGGGTTTGGAAAGAGTGCAGAACCAGGAGCGATAGGCCTGGGCCCAGGCTTGGCCCTGCAGACGATGATGGCTAAGTCATCCATAGAATGGGCTGGTGAGCCTGCCGTGCCTTGCCTTAGGACAGTGGCCACCACTAAATGGAGCAGTGGGTGTGAAGACTAATGATTCACACATGGAACTTGAGGTGTCGGCTGGCTGTCTGGGGGCTGGGCCCCTCTCCAGGCCCCTCTGAGACTGGAGAAGCTGGAGGGAGCCTGAGGCCGACACCCCCAGCATGGCCGCCACCCAGATTCCCCCGAGCAGGCCGGGGACTGGGGGTCCAGGCAGCAGCTGCCCCCTCCCAGGCTAGAGGAAAGGGTGAGCTCACCCCCTGGCCCAGGCAGAGTGAGGGGGGTAGGAGACATAATTAAAATGCCAGAGGTTAGGAGGTGAAGTTACAATGGAAAGAATGAAGCCCCAGCCCTGCTGCCGCTGCTTCTCCCACCCCGCTCCCTTTGCCAAGCCCACATTTGATTTTTATTTCGGGAGCCGCCAGCACAGCACTTGGGAGGGAGTGGAGAAACCTCACTCCGGCTTGCCTTGCCAAGTCTGGAGCTGGGGCCACAGAGTGGGGAGGGGGCTCCTGGGACCCAGAGGAAGAGCCCAGAGGCCCCCACCCCAGGACCCAACGTCCTCAGGGATCAGGTGCCAGGGAAGGGTGGCACTTGGGGCAGGGAGTGGGCTTGGGAGGCCAGGAAGAGAGACCTCGAAACAATGAAGGCATTCCTCGATGTTTGCATGAGGCTTTGCGCCTTCACTTTACTCTGGAGGCTGACCCCGGCCTCTTTCCCACTCCCAGCGCTAACTCCGCCTGCCCCCAACACTGGAGACTTTCAGTGCCCACTGGCATGTGCATATTTGTGAAAGGGTTGCTGTGTGGCCCTGGGGAAGTTACTACCCCTCTCTGGACCTCAGTCTTCTCTCTGTGAAATGGGCAGGTTGGCAAGATTAGCAGGTTCAAACTGGGCTCTGCAAGGGTGTTGGAGGCCTGGGCCCTGCCCTCTCCTGGCCACCCTTTCCTGAGCACATCTCTTATCTGCCCCTTCTAGGGACTGGGGAGGTGGAGGCAGCGGTTGGCCCATCCCCTGAGCCCCCGCCGCCCCCCTGCAGACGGGAGCTGCTGGGGCCAACTCACATTTTCCTGCTCTCGGCTTTCTCCTCTGCCCATAATGCACTCCAGATGGTCTCTCCATCGGAGAGCCGAGGCAGCGGATTCCAGAGGGAAAGAGGTTGGGCTCCTCTTTCCACCGGGATGGAGAGGGCTGGGGTGAGGGCCCTCTGAAAAAATGGGGTGGGGGTGGGTCCAACTCCACAAGAGGAGGGTAGGTGGAGGGGAGATCTCCCGAGGCACCCCACTGTGCCACAGAGACAGGCCACAGCCCAAAGACCTCCTGGGTTCCCCCAAGGCTGTCTCCCTGTGGGGCAGCCCCACCCAGGAGCTGCTCAGGGGCTCCCGGGCCCTGGGGTGGAGGGGAAAAAGGCCTGCCTTTTCCAGTGTTTGGGAAAGAGCCAGACACAACTGGGTTCAAATCCCAGCCCTGCCACGTAGAGGCTGTGTAGCCCCTTGAGTGGGGCACCTGACTTCATGGAGCCTCAAGTCCCTCACCTGTAAAATGGGATGGGGCCAGGCATGGTGGCTCACCCCTGTAATCCCAGCACTTTGGGAGGCCGAGGTGGGTGGATCACTTGAGGCCAGGAATTTGAAACTAGCCTGGACAACATAATGAGGCCCTTCCTCAAAAAAAATAAATGAGTTAGGTGTGGTGGCTTGTGCCTGTAGTCTTAGGTACTTGGGAGGCTGAGGCAGGAGGATTGCTTGAGCCTAGGAGTTAGAGGGTGCCTTCAGTTATGACTGCGCCGCTGCACTGGAGCCTGGGCAACAGAGCAAAACCGTGTGTGTTAAAAAAATTTTTGTAAATGGGATGGCTAATACTGACCTTGGGGTGTCTGTGAGGGCCACATGGGATGATGTACAGAAAAGGCTTCTCATGTCCCTGGATGTTCAGGAAATATCCAGCAGTTGCCTGTGGAACCCTCCCCTCCTAGTACACAGCTCACCTCCCACTTAGGCAAAGTCTGAATGCTGAGAAAGCCTGTCCCAGGTCTGACTCGGCCCCCTCCTGCTGCAGCTTGACAGCACTTCCTTGGAAGACCCTCGGGGGATTTTAAATCACCCTTGGGAGACTGCTCTAGAGACAGGCCCAGGGAAGGAGGGTGCTACGAGCCTGAGGCTGAACCCAAGCCCAGTCCGACCTCCTCCCTGGCCCGGCCCCTCCACTTCAGCTGAGGCAGGACTTCCCACTGGGCCTAGAGAGCCACGTCGAAGTAAGAGGGCTGGGAAGGGGGTTGTGAGCAGGGGGCAGCCTCTCCCCGGCCAGGCCCCGCCTGCCCCTGGACTTCCCTGCCAGGACAGCCTCCCAGCCACGCTCACCCTCTCCGCCTCAGCAGTACCAGGGGGAGCGCTTCGATTTTTCCACCAGAGGAGCCAAGAGCGAATGAGAAACAAATCCAGCTCGACTGCCTGTCCCACTGCCTGCCCCTGCAGTGCATGGAGGGAGGGGAGAGTGAGCCCCCAGCCCTTTCCCTGCCTCCATTCCTAGGCACCAGCACCCAGGGGCGAAAGTCTCAGCCCCCTGGTTAGAGGGCGGGCAGTGGGTGCAGGACCTCCCTGGCCCACACCCACCATGAGGCGGAAAGTCTGGGGCCTTGGCTTATTGCTCCCCACCCCAGCCTTGGACAAGAACAAACACTGGAGGCTGCCCCCCCACTCCCCACTGCAAGTCTTGGGCTGGGGCCTCCATGTTGCGGGGGAGGGACAGAGTTGGATGGGGGTACAGTCACTGCTCTCAGATGGCCCCAGCTAGATAAAGAGATGGGGCCTCCATGACGCCTCCCGCTCTTCTCACTGAACTCTTTCCCCGCGGAGGGTCCCTCCCTTCACTGAGCCTCTTCCCCACATTTGGCCCCCTCCTCCACCTGAGCCCCAGTCCCTCACTGCATCCCATCCCTTCTCCATCTGCCCACACCACCGGGGCTGCCCTGCCCCTCTCCAGCTTCTCCACAGGGAGGTAGGCAGGACCCTACCACAATCCTATACCCCCAACAAGCAAGCTTGCTGGCTTCCCCCCACCCCCACCTGCAACCCCTGCTGTCCCCCAGGCTCAGAGGGCCCTACCCTCCTGCTCTGCCACCCACAGTCCCTGTTCTCCCTGGGCTGCCTCCACCTCCCACTTGATGAACTTCCTTCCCATCCACCGACAAATACACACTAGTGTCCCCCCACCATCCTGCGCTCCTGAGCCCCCAGATCACCTCTGGGCTCTCTCCTCCCCACCCCAGCCTCAATTTTTTTTGCAAGCACGGTCTCTACTTCCATCAATGTGGCTTACAGGTGAGACCCTGGAAAGAGCCACACCCAGGAATAAGGGCAAACTGGACCTAGACCAGCTTCACTGCATCAAGATGACTTCCCTGTATGCTATCTGGCTACCAGGAGGCAATCAAATTCTCCCTGAAAGAAGATGACATCAGCCACAGCCTCTACAGTCTGTCACCCGCAACATCCAACATTCCACAAAATTTGGCCAGGCAGCTCTCTTCCTCTTCCTCCTCCTCTTTCTTCCCCACCTTCTTCCTCCTCTCCTCCGTTTTCTTCTCTATTTCTTCTTCCTTTTCCTTCTTCTTTCTCCTCCTCTTCTTCCCCTCCTCCTCCTTTTTCTTCTTCCGTTTCTTTTCCTTTCCTTCCCTTCAAAAACAATTCAGTCTTCTGGTTGACATTAAACACAACAAAACAAAAACAATTCAGTCCAGAAGATATTGGGGAGGGTGGAGTAAGCAGGGGTCCCCAGGGGTAGGGTGGATGGGAGATGCAGTGGCTCAGCAAATGGTTCTGGAGCTCAAGTTAAGTGAGGAGGGTGTTGCCGATGTTGGGGGTGGCCAGAGCAGGAGAAAGAGGGACAGAGGAGGACATCCAAGTGGGAGGGCAGCCCAGTGTGGGATGTTAAAACCCAAGCAAGGTAGGGAGGATGTCCACTTGGGTCCCAGCTCAGCAAGGGAGAGTGAGTCATGAGAAAGGTGAAGAGGGCATCTGGCCAGGGTAGTGGCCAAGCCCCAAGAAGGGGAGTTCAAGGGGGATGAGAAGGGCATTCCTGCAGGAGTGGGCAGGGCATCCAGGGGGAGCTCGATGTGCAACCTCAGAGCCTGAGTGGAGGAGCACGTCCATGTGGGGAGGTGAGGGTAGGGTGGCCCCAGGCAGAGTGTCAGAGCCCACGAAGGCTGAGGGTTGCTTCCGTGTGGGTAAAGACGTGGCATGCTGGAGTCTGAGGGACAAAGAGGCATCCATGTTGTAGGCTGGCCCAGGGCAGGGTGTCAGAGCCCAGGATCGCTGAGGAGGGTCTGGGTGGGGTGGAGGGCATGGGATATCGGTTGCCGTGGAGGCTAAAGCAAATCCATCTTGGATACTAATCTGCCATGTTGACTTCTGAGTAACCCCAGTTCCAGGGATGCGTCTAAGATATCTACTTTAACTACTGTTAGCTAAATCTTGCCCTTAGGCATCTGCACATAGCATTCTTGCCTTTCCCCAGGGGGCCGATTTCAACTGTCCTAACATTGCCGCCCTGTGGTATACAAGCCCTGGGGTTGGGGGGCAACAGTGTGGGGATCCGCCATTTTGCTTGCTGATGTCAGACGTGACTTCTCGTTTTAATTCCTTGTTAAATGTTTCTTTCTGAGAAACTGGGTTTGTCAGCCTCTTTCTTTAGCCTCTCAGCTTCCTCACTTTTGGGAATAGCTTCATTACCTTTGGGGATAGGTTTGCCTGGACCTGCCCACTGCAGAACAGTTATATTCAGTAGAACTGACCCAGTGAGAAAAAGTGAGCTAGGTTTCTCACTGTTGGCAAAGAGAATTATAATATGGAAAAGAAGCCTGGGTGCAGGGGCCTATGCCTGTAATCCCAACACTCTGGGAGGCCAAGATGGGCAGATCATTTGAGCCTAAGAGTTCAAGACCAGCCTGGGCAATGTGGTGAGACCTTGTCTCTACAAACAATACAAAAAATTTGCTGGACGCAGGGGTACGTTCCTGTAGTCTCAGCTACTCAGAAGGCTGAGGTGGGAGGATCGCTTGAGCCCAAGAGGTCAAAGCTGAGGTGAGGCATGATCAGGCCACTGCATTCCAGCCTGAGTGACAGAGTGAGACCCTATCTCGAAAGAAAAGAGAAGAGAAGAGAAGAGAAGAGAAGAGGAGGAGGAAACAAGAATGAACTCTCTGATGTTCTCACCTGTAATCCTATACACCTGGATTGGAATTGGAGGTAATGGGAAGAACTCATTATTTCCAAAATACATGGAGAGATGTAGAGGCTGGGTGCAGTGGCTCATGCCTATAATCCCAACACTTTGGGA
Organism: Homo sapiens; assembly: GCF_000001405.40. NCBI lineage: Eukaryota > Metazoa > Chordata > Mammalia > Primates > Hominidae > Homo > Homo sapiens. Next base: position 50,254,869 of record NC_000017.11, on the reverse strand, counting down.
GACCGAGGTGGGAGGATCACTTGAGACCAGGCATTTGAGACCATCTTGGGTAACATAGTGAGATCCCATCTCTACGAAACAAGAATAAACAAAATAGCCAGGTGTAGAAATAAATATTGATGCAAATGCATGTATGTATGTGTTTATGTTGTGTGTGCATGTGTCAATGTGTGTATACTTATGTGTATACATACAGATATTTTCTGGCTTTATCCATTGAGAGGGCCTGGGAGCCATGACATATTAATAATAATGAGTGTAGTTAGCACCCAAGCCTTTTTTTTTTTTTTTTGAGATGGAGTCTCACTTTGTCACCAGCTGGAGTGTGGTGGCACAATCTCGGCTCACTGCAACCTCCACCTCCCTGGTTTAAGTGATTCTCCTGCCTCAGCCTCCCGAGTAGCTGGGATTACAGGAATCTGCCACCAAGCCCGGCTAATTTTTATATTTTTAGTAGATACGGGGTTTCACCCTGTTGGCCAGGATGGTCTCTATCTCTTGATCCACCCGTGATCCACACGCTTCAGCCTCCCAAAGTGCTGGGATTACAGGCATGAACCACCACGCCCAGCGCCTTTTTTTTTTTAAATCAGCTTACATCATGCTTTGATAGCACCCAAGTCTTTTTTTTTTTTTTTTTTTTTTGAGAAGGAGTTTCATTCTTGCTGCCCAGGTTGGAGTGCAATGGCATGACCTTGGCTCACTTCAACCTCTGCCTCCCGGGTTCAAGCGATTCTCCTGCCTCAGCATCCTGAGTAGCTGGGATTACAGGCATGTGCCACAACGCCCGGCTAATTTTGTATGTTTAGTAGAGACGGGGTTTCAGCATGTTGGTCGGGCTGGTCTCGAACTCCCAACCTCAGGTGATCTGCCTGCCTCAGCCTCCCAAAGTGCTGGGATTATAGGCGTGAGCCACCGCACCCTCCGACAGCACCCAAGTCTTAATGTCTAAGTGCCATTGTCCACTGGAAGAAACCAGGGCTCCTTAGCAAAATGGCTAATTACAGGGATAAGGCAGGGAAAGTACAAGATAAGCCTGAATCCTCTTGTGCCAGAAAATAAAGTGCTCAGAAATGATTAAACAGAGTGATCATAGGAACCAGCAATTCCATTCCTAAGGATACCCAAGAGAAATGAAAACCTATGTTTGTACAAAACTTGTGCAGGCTTACCTTGTTTTATTGCACTTCATTTTAGTGTGCTTCACAGATAATGCAGTTTTCACAAATCAAAGGTTAGCGCCAACACTGCACTGAGCAAGCCTATTGGCTTCATTTTTCCAACAGCATGTGCTCACTTTGTGTCTCTGTCACTTCCGGTAATTCTCAGAATATTTCAAACTTTTTCATTAGTACTGTATCTATCTGTTATGATGATCTGTGATCAGTGGTCTTTGATGTTACTATTGCAATTGTTTTGGAATTCCATGAACCATGCCCATAGAAGATGACAAGCTTAATCAATCAATGTTGTGTGTGTTCTGATTGCTCCGTCAACCAGCCATTTCTCCATCTCTCTCCCTCTCTTTGACCTCCCTGTGTCCTGAGACAAAACACTATTGAAATCAGGCCAGTTAATAACCTTACAATAACCTCTAAATGTTCAAGTGAAAGGAACAATCACACATCTCTCACTTTAAATCAAAGCTAAAAATTATTAAACTCATTAAGAAAGGCATGTTGAAAGCTGAGATAGGCCAAAAGCTAGGCCTCTTCTGCCAAATGGTTAGCTAAGTTGTGAATGCAAATAAGAGTTCTTGAAGAAAATTAAAAGTACTACTCCAGTGAACACACGAATGATAAAAAACTGAAATAGCCTTATGCTGCTGATATAGAGAAAGGTTTAGTGATAGAAGATCAAACAGCCACAACATTCCCTTAAGCCAAAGCCTAATCCAGGGCAAGGCCTCTTCAATTCTATGAAGGCTGAGAGAAACGAGGAAGCTGCAGAAGAAAAGTTACAAGTTACCAGCGGTTGGTTCATGAAGTTTAAGGAAATAAGCTGTCTCCAAAACATAAAAGTACAAGGTGAAGCAGCAACTGCTAATGGAGAAGCTGCAGCAAGTTATTCAGATCTAGCTAAGATCACTGATGAAGGTGGCTACACTAAACAACAGACTTTCTTTTTCTTTCTTTTTTTTTTTTTGAGATGAAGTCTCGCTCTGTCGCCAGGCGGAAGTGCAGTGGTGCAGTGGCATGATCTCGGCTCACTGCAACCTCCGCCTCCTGGGTTCAAGCGATTCTCCTGCCTCAGCCTCCCGAGTAGCTGGGACTACAGGTGCACGCCACTACACCCAGCTAATTTTTGTATTTTTAGTAGAGGTGGGGTTTCACCATGTTGGCCAGGATGGTCTTGATCTTTTGACCTCGTGATCTGCCCACCTAGGCCTCCCAAAGTGCTGGGATTACAGGCATGAGCCACTGTGCCTGGTTCCCAGACTTTCGATGTAGATAAAACAGCCTTCTATTGGAAGAAGATGCTACCTAGGACTTTCACAGCTAGAGAGGAGAAGGCAATGCTTGGTTTCAAAGCTTCAAAAGACAGGCTGACTCTCTTGTTAGGGACCAATGCAGCTGATGACTTTAAGTTGAAGCCAATGCTCAATTACCATCGCAAAAACCCTAGGGTTGTTGTCTGGGTGCAGTGGCTCATGCCTGTAAACCCAGCACTTTGAAAGGCCAAGGCAGGTGGATTGCCTGAGGTCAGGAGTTCGAGACCAGCCTGGCCAACATGGTGAAACCCCATCTCTACCAAAAAATACAAAAATTAGCTGGGGGTGGTGGCCTGCACCTGTAGTCCCAGCTACTGGGGAGGTTGAGGTGGTAGGATCTTTTGAAACTGGGAGGCAGAGTTGCAGTGAGCCGACATCACACCATTGTACACCAGCCTGGGCAATAGAGTAAGACCCTGTCTTGAAACAAAAAACAAAAAAACCCAAGCCCTAGTCTTGTTAAGAATGATGCTATATCTACTCTGCCTGCGGTCTAGGAATTGAACAACAAAACCTGGATGACAGCACATCTGTTTACAGAAACGTTTACTGAATATTTTAAGCCCATTGTTGAGGCCTACTGTTTAGAATAAGATTTCTTTCAAGATACTACTGCTCATTGACAATGTACCTGATCACCCAAGAGCTCTGATGGAGATGTACATGGAGATTAATGTTGTTTTCCTGCCTGCGAACACAGCATCCATCTTGCAGCCCACAAAACAAGGAGTAATTTTTACTTTTAAGTCTTATCATTGAAGGAATTTATTTCCTAAAGCTATAGGAAATGCCAGAGATAGTGATTCCTCTGCTGGATCTGGGCAAGGTAAAGCTTCTGGAAGGGATTCACCATTCTAGATACCATGGAGAACATTTATGATTCATGGGAGGAGGTCAAAACACTAACATTAATAGGAGTTTGGAAGAAGTTGATTCCAATCCTAATGAATGACTTTGAGGGATTCAACAGTTCAGTGGAGGAAGTAACTGCAGATGTGGTTGAAATAGCAAGGAACTAGAATTGGTAGTGGAGCCTGATGATGTGACTGAATTGCTGCGATCTCATGGTAAAACTTGCACAGATGAGGAAATGCTTCTTATGGATGAGCCAAGAAAGTGGGTTTTTGAGATGGAATCTATTCCTGGGGAAGATGCTGTGAACATTGTGGAAACAACAACAAAGGATTTAGAATATTTCATAAACTTAGCTGATAAAGCAGCAGTAGGGTTTGAGAGAATTGACTACAATTTTGAAAGAAGTTCTACTGGTGTAAAATGCTTTCAAATAGTGTCACATGTTACAGAAAAATCTTTCTCGAAAGAGTCAATCGATGTAGCAAACTTCACTGTTGCTTTATTTTAAGAAATTGCCAATTGCCACAGCCACCCCAACCTTCAGCAGCCACCACCCTGACCAGTCAGCAGCTATCACCATGGAGGTAAGACCATTCATCAGCAAAAAGATTATGACTTGCTGAAGGCTCAGGTGATTGTTAACATTGTTAACTTTTCTTTTTTTTAAGCAATAATGTATTTTCTTTCTTTCTCTTTCTTTCTTACTTTCTTTCTTTCTTTCTTTCTTTCTTTCTTTCTTTCTTTCTTTCTCTTTCTTTCTTTCTTTCTCTCTTTCCTTCCTTCATTCTTTCCTTCCTTCCTTTCTTTATTTTTTTTAAATAGAGATGAGTTCTCACTATGTTGCCCAGGGTGGTCTTGATTTCCTGAGTTCAAGTGATCCTCCCACATTACTTTTTTTTTTTTTTGAGACAGAGTCTCACTCTGTCGCCCAGGCTGGAGTGCAGTGGTGCGATCTTGGCTCACTGCAACATTTGCCTCCTGGGTTCAAGCGATTCTCCTGCCTCAGCCTCCTGAGTAGCTGGGATTATAGGTGTACATCAACATACCTGGCTAATTTTTCTATTTTTAGTAGAGACGGGGTTTCACCATGTTGGCCAGGCTGGTCTCGAACTCCTGGCCTCAAGTGATCTGCCAGCCTTGGCTTCCCAAAGTCCTGGGATTATAGGAGTGAACCACTGTGCCTGGCCAAACATAACTTTTATATGCACTGGGAAACCAAAGTACTCACGTGACTCACATTATTGCAATGTTCGCTTTATTGTGGCAGTCTGGAACTGAATTGGCAATATCTCTGAGGTATGCCTGTATGTGAATTTTTATAACATTTTTCATAATAGCCACAAGTTAGAAACAACCCCCATGCCCAGCAATGGATGGATAAACAAAATATAGTACAGTCTTACAATGGAATATTATTCAGCCATAAAAAAGGATGAAGTAATTGTACATGCTATAACCTGGATAAACCTCAAAAACGTTATGCTAAGTGAAAGAAGCCAGTTACCAAAGACTACATATTGTATGATTCCATTTGTATTAACTATGTAGAATAAGGAAATATACAGAGACAGAAAGTAGATTAGTAGCTGCCAGGGGCTGGAGTGGGTGGGAGGATAGGGGGATGATAGCTAAATGTTACAAGACTTGTTTTAGAGGTAATGAAAGTGTTCTAAAATTGGCTGTGGTGATGGTGGCACGTATCTGTGAATACACTTAAAACCATTGAATTGTACACTTTAAATGGGTGAATTGTAACATACATGAATTATACCTCAATAAAGCTGTTCAAAAAAAAAAAAAAAGAAAAGAAAAGTGCTCAAAGAATGAGCAATGGAGACGTGTCAAAACAATACGGAAGCCAGCTAGAAGGGGCTTCCACTGGCTGCAGCTGGAAAGTTTGAGCGTCACAATAAATAATAATATCAATGGATTATAACTTACAGAATAAAATAGGAATCCATGACTCTATACTGTTGTAAATACATGAATACGTGGGATGTTTGTTGAGGAATGGGCTATTTACTTATTCTCAAAGCACCTTTCCACAAAATACTTATTAATTACAAAGAGAAAATCAGTAACTTTGCAGGGGAGAAACCTATCAGACACCACCTTAATCAAATGACCAAAGTGGACATGAACAGCAATGGGATAAATTAGAATCATGTACCATCTATAGGATGCAGTGAGAAAGACAGCATCACTTCTGTGATATTCCTGCACACAATACATAACCTGAATCTAATCATGGAGAAACACTGAATGAGCCCAAATTAAGGGGCATTCTAGAAAATAACTGGCTCATAATCTATGAAAGTGTCATCGAAGTTAAGAACAGATTAAAAAACTGTTCCAGATTTAAAAAGACCAGAGATAACTGAGAACTACATGGAATATGTGATACTGTACTGGATCCTTTTGCCATAAAAACATTATTGGGCACACTGGTGAAATTTGAATAGAGTCTGTGCTGTGGATTAGCTGGCAGTAATCTACCAGTGTTAATTTCCTGATTTTGATGGTAGTTTTATGGTTACCTAGGAGGATGTCCTTGTTCATAGGAATTACAAATGGAAGTGTTTGAGTGGTGATGGCAACTTAATCTCAAATGATTTCAGGAAAAATGTTCTTTGTACTATAGTTGTGATCTTTCTGTACATTTGAGACTGCTTCAAAGTTAAAAAAAATTCTACTATGACTTAGAAGGGATTGAAAAACATCCATGCATGTGAAGAAGAAACTGGACTAATACCTGAAAACCAAGAGAAAAGCAAACCATAGAAAATACAATCTCACAGGAGATCCAGATACTGGAGTTATCAGTTGGAGTTTTGAACTAACTATCATTACTTTGTATAAGAAAATAGATGAAAAGCTGGATAGTTTCACCAGATGATTGGAATTAATAGAAAATGAAAAATCAAGTGGAGTCCTAGAGTGGAAAAAAATATAATAACTGAAATTGAGAATTCATTTCACAGGACTACAGGCAGATTAGATAGAGCAGAAGAGGGAATTAGTGAATCGGAAGACAGGTCAGTAGAAAATACTTCGATTGTAGCATAGACAGAAAAAGGGTAGAGAACACAAAAATGTCATTAATATTATATGCAGCACAATAAAAACTTCTGTCATAGGTATTTCTGGAGTCCAAAAAGGAGAAGAGAGAGAGAATGGGGTAGAGACAATATTACTGGCCAAAATTTTTCTATAACTAACACAAGACATCAAGCTAAACAGGTTTAATACAAAGAAATCATACTTAGGCACATTGTACTTAAACTGCAAAATATTAAATTCAAAGGGAAAAATCTGGAAAGCACCAAGAAAACAAAAGCATATTTCTCCAAAGAAACAACCATAGACTGACAAATTGAAATTATATTTGAGATGAAAATCACAAAATCTAAATATAGATTTTTTTTTAAACCTAGCCCAGGTTGAAGTGCAGTGGTGTGATCTTGGCTCACTGCAACCTCTGCCTCCCGGGTTCAAGTGAGTCTCGTGCCTCAGCCTCCTGAGTAGCTAGTGAAATTCCTGAGGTCAGGAGTTTGAGACCAGCCAACATGGTGAAACCCTGTCTCTATTAAAAATACAAAAATTACAAATACAAAAATTAGCCAGGCTTGGTGGTGGGCAGCTGGATAGTTTCACCAGACAATTAGAATTAATAAAAAATGAAGAATCAAGTGGAGTCCTAGAGTGGAAAAAAATATAGTAACTGAAATTGAGAATTTATTTAACAGGACTAAAGGCAGATTAGATAGAGCAGAAGAGGGAATGGATTCCTATTTCACCAATTTTCCTTTTTCTCTCTATGCTACAAGCAAAGTATTTTCTACTGACCTGCTTCCAATTCACTAATTCCCTCTTCTGCTCTATCTAATCTGCCTTTTGTCCTGTGAAATAAATTCTCAATTTCAGTTATTATATTTTTTCACCACTCTAAGACTCCACTTGATTCTTCATTTTTTATTAATTCCAATTATCTGGTGAAACTATCCGGGTGCTGCCATCAAGCCTGGCTAATTTTTGTATTTGTAATTTTTGTATTTTTAGTAGAGACAGGGTTTCACCATGTTGGCCCAGCTGGTCTCAAACTCCTGACCTCAGGTGATCTACCTGCCTTGGCCTCCCAAAATGCTGGGATTACATGCATGAGCCACTGTGCCCGGCCCTAAATATAATTTGAATGTATTTTGAATGGATGGGATTAACAGCAGATGAAATATCACAGAAGAAAAGGTCAGTAAACGTGAAGATATATGAAGACATTATCAGCAAAAAGTTTCTGAAAGGAAGAACGTGGAAAGAAATAACCAAAAACATAACAGAGCCATGGTTATTCCCAGGATATATCAAGTGCTCTCACATACTTGTAGTTGAAGTCCAGAAAGAGAGGAGAAACAGGAAAACAGAAAAATATTTGAAGAAATAATGACCAAAAGTTTTCCAACTTTGATGAAAACTAGAAACTCAAAGATCCAAGAATCTCAATACCAACTATAAAGATAGTAAACGGCAGCAAGATTCATTATAATCAAACTGCTGAAAATCTGAGATGATGAGAAAATCTTAAAAGAAGCCAGAGGGAAAAAGACATTGTATATGGAAGGACAAAGATAACAATTATCATGGACTTATTGTCAGAGACAACGTAAGCCAGAAGATAATAGAACACAATTTTTTAAGTTGTGGAGAAAAAAAGTACTCTCAACGTAGATCTCTAACCCAAGTGAAAATATCTTTAAAATGATGGCAAAATAAAGACTTTTTCACACACACAAAGAGTAAGAGACTTTGGCATCAGTCGACCTACACTATAAGAATGTTAAAGAGACTAGGCATGGTGGCTCACTCCTGTAATCCCAGCACTTTGGGAGGCCAAGGCGGGTGGATCACTTGAGGTAAGGAGTTCAAGACCAGCCTGCCCAACATGGTGAAACCCTGTCTCTACTAAAATACAAAAATTAGCTGAGCGTGGTGGCAGGCACCTGTAATCCTAACTACTAGGGAGGCTGAGGCAGGAGAATTGCTTGAACCCAGGAGGCAGATGTTGCAGTGAGCCAAGATCATGTCACTGCATTCCATCCTGGGGGACAGAGTAAGACTCTGTCTCAAAAAAAAAAAAAAAAAGAAAAAAAAATGTTAAAGAAAGTTTTTCAGGCAGAAGGAACGTGATACCAGATGGAAACTTGGAGCTACACAAAGGAATAAATAAAACAAGAAATGGAAAATATGTGAGTAAATGTAAAATATATTTTTCTCATTTAAAATTTAGTTTAAAAGATCATCAGCTACCTAAAGAAAAAAGCATAACAATGTACTATGGGGTTTATAACATATGTAGAAATAAAATGTATGATAACAATACCATGAAGCATAAAGGGGCGAAAAGAAAATATGCCAGTTTAACCGGGCGCGGTGGCTCACGCCTGTAATCCCAGCACTTTGGGAAGCCGAGGCAGGCGGATCAGAAGGTCAGGAGATCAAGACCATCCTGGCTGACACGGTGAAACCCCGTCTCTACTAAAAATACAAAAAATTAGCCGGGCGTGGTGGCGGGCGCCAGTAGCCCCAGCTACTCGGGAGGCTGAGGCAGGAGAATGGCGTGAACCCAGGTGGCAGTGCTTGCAGTGAGCTGAGATCATGCCACTGCACTCCAGCAGCCTGGGTGACAGAGCGAGACTCTGTCTCAAAAAAAAAAAAAAAAAAAGAAGAAGAAAATATGCTAGTTTATGTTTCTAACTTTTACATGATGTGATATAATGTTGTTTGGAGGAAAACTGTGATAAACTAAAGATGCGTATTGTAAACCTTAGAGCACGGGTTGGCAAACTTTTCCTGTAAAGGGCCAGATAGTAAATATGTCAGGTGTTGAAGGCCATACAGTCTCTTTTGCAACGATTAACTCTACTGTTTTATCAAGAAAGTAGCTGTAGAAAATATTTAAATGAGTGAGCATGGCTGTGTTCCAATAAAACTTTATTTGTGGACTCTGAAATTTGAATTTATGCCATTTTCATATATCCCCAAAATATTATTCTTTTGAATCATTTCAACTTAAAAAAATTTTTTTTGAGACAGAGCCTTGCTCTGTTGCCCAGGCTGGAGTGCAGTGCCACAATCTCAGCTCACTGCAACCTCCGCCTCCCAGGTTCAAGTGATTCTCATGCTTTAGCCTCCCGAGTAGCTGGGACAAAGGTGTGCACCCCCACACCTGGCTAATTTTTGTACTTTTAGTAGAGACAAGGTTTCACCATGTTGTCCAAGATGGTCTCAAACTCCTGGCCGCAAGGGATCCGCCTGTCTTTGGCCTCGCAGAGTGCTGGGATTACAGGCGTGAGCCACTGTGCCCCCACCCATTTCAACTTTTAAAAAATGTAAAGCATTTTGGGAAGCCAAGGTGAAAGGATTGCTTGAGGACAGGAGTTTGAGGCTGCGGTGAGTTATGATGGCTCTACAGCACTTCACTCAGGGTGAGAGAGTTAAGACTTTCTCTCAAAAACAGAGAGAGAGATTCTTTTGCTGTTCGTAAGCATAAGGATCAGGTATTCATGGTCATGTGTAAGACGTGCCTCCCTCCAACCTTGTTACGATGTGGACGTCAGCACATACCCATTTGATGATCTGACATGAGGGGAAAAAAAGTAAAAAGTAGGCTGGGAGCGGTGGCTCAAGCCTGTAATCCCAGCCCTTTGGGAGGCTGAGGCTTGTGGATCACCTGAGGTCAGGAGTTCCAGACCAGCCTGGCCAACATGGAGAAACCCCGTCTCTACTAAAAATACAAAAAAATTAGCTAGGCATGGTGGCGGGTGCCTGTCATCCTAGCTACTCGGGGGGCTGAGGCAGGAGAATTGCTTAAACCCTGGCGGGTGGAGGTTGCAGTGAGCCAAGATCGCGCCACTTCACTCCAGCCTGGGCAACAAGAGCGAAACTCCGTCTCAAAAAAAATAAAAATAAAAATTATTCTTTTTTTTTTGAGATGGAGTCTTGCTCTGACTCCAGGCTGGAGTGCAATGGCACAATCTTGGCTTACTGCCACCTCCACCTCCTGGGTTCAACTGATTCTCCTGCCTCAGCCTCCCAAGTAGCTGGGACTACAGGCACGAGCCACCATGCCCGGCTAATTTTTGTATTTTTAGTAGAGACAGGGTTTCACCATGTTGGCCAGGCTGGTCTCGATCTTTTGACCTCATGATCCGCCTGCCTTGGCCTCCCAAAGTGCTGGGATTACAGGCGTGAGCCACCTCGCCCAGCCGTAAAACTTATTCTTAACAAATCTCTCAGCCAGAAGAATTTCAAATAACTTACGTAGATAGTCTGCCCTCAACCAGTGGAGCATAACTCCCCACTCCTTAAATGTGAGCTGGCATAAAGACTTCCTTCCAAAGATTACAGTGTGGAAAGGGAGAGAAATGAGTAAATTTAGAGAAACCTGGCAAATGCTAACCTCAGCTGGGTGATCAAAGTCAATATCAATATGAGAAGTCAGGCCGGGCGTGGAAGTTGCAGTGAGCCAAGATCGCACCACTGCACTCCAGCCCGGCCACAGAGCGAGACTCTGTCTCAAAACAACAACAACAACAACAACAACAACAATAATAATAATAATAATAATAATGATGATGATAAGTCAGGTTGTCAGTATGTACTTTTTTTTATTTTATTTTTTGAGACAGGGTCTCCCTCTGTTATCTAGGCTGGACTGCAGTGGTGCGATCTCGGCTCACTGTAACCTCCGCCTCCCAGGTTCAAACGATTCTTCTGCCTCAGCCTCCCAAGTAGCTGGGACTACAGTCCTACTCCATCATGCCCAGCTAATTTTTTATATTTTTAGTAAAGACAGAGTTTCATCATGTTGGCCAGGCTGGTCCTGAACTCCTGACCTCAAGTGATCTACGCGCCTTGGCCTCCCAAAGTGCTGGGAGTACAGGTGTGAGCCACTGCGCCCGGCCTGATGGTATGTATTCTTGACCTGATGTGATGAAAATGGCACTTTTACCTTTGTAGTCTTCCTTCGTAAAACCGATAACCCTAGTTTAACCATGAGAAAAACATTAGGTAAATCCCAAAGGAGGGATGTTCTATAAAATGCCTGACCAATACTCCTCAAAACCATCAAGGTCATTAAAAAAAGGATAGTCTGAGAAACTGTCACAGACTTGAGGAGCCTGAGGAGATATGATGACTAAATAAATGTGATATCTTGGATGGGATCCTGGGTCAGAAAATAGACATTAGGTTAAAACTAAGGCAATCTCCCAAGTGTCCATTCATTGACAGATGAAGGGGTAAACAAAGTGTGCGATATCCATACAATGGAACATTATTCAGTGTTAAAAAGGCAGCTGGGCACGGGGGTTCAGGCCTGTAATCCCAGCACTTTGGGAGGCTGAAGCGGGTGGATCACTTGAGGCCAGGAGCTTGAGACTAGCCTGGCCAACACACTGAAACCCTGTCTCTACTAAAAATAGAAAAAGTTAGCTGGGGGTAGTGGTGCATGCCTGTAATCCCAGCTACTCGGGAGGCTGAGGCAGGAGAATAACCTGAACCCAGGAGGCGGAGGTTGCAGTGAGTCGAGATCGCGCCACTGCACTCCAGCCTGGGGGACAGAGTGAGACTCTGTCTCAAAAAATGAATAAATAAAAAATAAATAATAAAAATTAAAAGGAAAGAAATTCTGACACATGCTACAACATAGACATTATGCAAAGTGAAATAATAAGCCAGTTACAAAAAGACAAAGACTGTTATGATTCCACTTACATGAGACACCTAGGATATCTAGAGAAACAGAAAGTAGAATCATGGTTGCCAGGGGCTGAAGGCAGGAGGAAATGGAAAATTGTTTAATAGCATAGAGTTTTAATTTTTTAAGATGAAAAAGTTGAGATTGGTCGCACAATGGTGTGTATATGCTTAACACTATTGAGCTCTATACTTAAAAATAGTGAAGATGGTAAATTTTATGTTAAATGTATTATACCACAGTTTAAAAAATACTAAGGAAATCAGGCCAGGTGCTGTGGCTCACACCTGTAATCCCAGCACTTCGGGAGGCTGAGGCGGGTAGATCACTTGAGGTCAGGAGTTTGAGACCATCCTGACCAACATGGTGAAACACCATCTCTACTAAAAATACAAAAATTAGCCAGGCACTGTGGCAGGCACCTGTAATCTCAGCTACTTGGGAGACTGAGGCAGGAGAATCATTTGAACCCGGAAGGCAGAGTTTGCAAATAAGCTGAGATCATGCCACTGCACTTCAGCCTGGGTGACAGAGTGAGATCCCATCTCAAAAAACAAACAAACAAAATACTAAGAAAATATGATTAGAGTATGAACTTTAGTTAATAATAATGTATCATTATTGATCCATTAATTGTAACTAATATACTATGCTAATAATAAAGAAAACTGGATACAAGATGTATAAAAATGCTGTACTATGTTCATGATTTTCTGCATGTCTAAAACTGTTCTAAAAATAAAGTTTATAACTAAAAAAAACCCAACATTCATAGCTCATGGACCATAAAAAACAGGCCATGGGGCATATGCTTACCACTGCCTTAGAACAAATACTAACAAATTTTAAAGCAGTATAGGTAATTAGACATTAGTAGAGATAAAATAAATATTTTAAAATATTCAATTAATTCAAAAGAAGGCAGAAAAATAGGAAAAAGAAGTAAAGTATATATGGGGCTAATAGAAAATAGCAAGATGGTAGATTTAAGCCCAATGATGTTGACAATTACATCAAAAGTAAATTATCTAAATATTCTAAGACCGAATTATCAAACTGGATAAAATAAAACAAAGAACAAGACTCAACTTTATGCTATCTTTAATACGTAAGATTGGCACCTAATAATTTCAGAGAAATGATGGAAACCAGGAGACAATTATATGATGTATTTGAAGGCCAGGCACGATGGCTTATGCCTGTAATCCCAGACTTTGGGAGGCCAAGGTGGGATGATCACATAAGGCCAGGAGTTTGAGACCAGCCTGGCCAACATGGTGAAATTTCGTCTCTGCTAAAAATACAAAAATTAGCCAGGCATAGTGGCAGGCGCCTGTAATCTCACCTACTTGAGAGGCTGAGGCACGAGAATTGCTTGAACCCAGGAGGTGGAGGTTGCAGTGAGCCAAGATCACACCACCGCACTCCAGCCTGGGTGATAGAGTGAGATTCGGAATCAAAAAAAAAATTATATATTTGAAATGCTATAAAATAACTGGCAAACTAGACAAGTGAAAATATTCTCTAAAAGATGAAGAGGCTGGGCATGGTGCCATGCACCTGTAGTTCTAGCTACTTAGGAGGCTGAGGCAGTAGAACTGCTTGAGCCCAAGAGTTTGAGGCCAGCTTGGACAACATAGTGAGACTCTGCCAAGAAGGAGAAGGAGGAGAAGAAGATTCCATTCTGACATGTAAGAAGCTTGGAAGTAAGTTGTCACTCTGCCAACAAGTAAAAAGCTGAACCAACTGAAAAATCAACAACTTCCTCTTGGATTCATCACAGGGAAAGCTGCTGTACTCAAAACTGGAGAAATAGACAGGTGGAGATGGAGAATCACAATTTACCAGAGGAGAAGAAACACATCAGCAAAAATCCCCCCGGGAACCAGACCTGAACTGTAATTGATGAATTGTTGGAGGCTCAATGTGAACAAGTCTGAGAGTTAAAAATTCCAGGGGGAGGCCAGGTGCGGTGGCTCAAGCCTGTAATCCCAGCAGATTGGGAGGCTGAGCTGGGCGGATCACCTGAGGCCAGGAGTTCGAGACCAGCCTGGCCAACATGGTGAAACCCCATTTCTACTAAAAAAAAATACAAAAATTAGCCGGGCATAGTGGGACATGTCTGTAATCCTAGCTACTCAGGAGGCTGAGGCAGGAGAATCACTTGAACCCAGGAGGCAGAGGTTGCAGTGAACCAAGATTGCACCACTGCACTCCAGCCTGGGCGACAGAGCGAGACTCCATCTCAAAGGAAAAAAAAATTCCAGAGAGAACCTAGTTACAGGAGGGACCCCCCAACACACACACACTTTTGTAAGTTTTACTTACCTCCAGGAGGTTAACCAGGTTCTCATGTGAAATATGCCAGAGCATTCTGTTCAGCTTCACAAGGCCTGCCCTCAAGAGGAACTATTTTACCAGAGCCTAAACTATTGGGGTTTGTTTTTTTTTCAGAGCCTACAATTTCACAGGCTCTTTAAAAGATTGAGATAATCATCGGTTAGAGAGCACTTCCCCTCTCCCACACTTTACCACTACATTACTAAAGAAACTGCAGTTTATTTTGCTCAGCACATCAATCATGTCTTGCTATCCAAAAAAAAAAAAATTACGAGACATGCATACTGAAGGATAATAGAACATAGTTTGAAGGGACAGAGCAAGCATGAGAGCCAGACTCAAATATGGCAGGGATGTTAGAATCATCAGGCCAGGAATTTAAAAATAACTATGATTAATATGCTAAGGGGGGGGCGGGCACAGTAGCTCACGCTTGTAATCCCAGCACTTTGGGAGGCAGAGGCAGGCAGATCACCTGAGGTCAGGAGTTTGAGACCAGCCTGCCCAACACAGTGAAACCCCTGTCTCTACTAAAAATACAAAAATTAGCTGGGCGTGGTGGCGGGTACCTGTAATCCCAGCTACTTGGGAGGCTGAGCCAGGAGAATCACTTGAACCTGGGAGGCGGAGGTTGCAATGAGCCGAGATTGTGCCACTGCACTCCAGCCTGGGTGACAGAGCTAGACTCTGGTCTCAAAAATATATATATGCTAAGGGTGCTAATGGATAAAGCGTACAGCATGCAAGGCCAGATGGACAATGTAGACAGAGAGATGGGAATTCTAAGAAAGAACCAGAAGGAAATATTAGGGATCAAAAACACCATAACAGAAAAGGTGAATGCCTTTGATGGGCTCATCAGTAGGCTGAACACAGCTGAGGAGAGAATCTCTGAGCTTGAGAATATGTCAATAGAAACCTCCCAAAACAGAAGAGAAAACAGTCTTCTTTCTGAAGACTGAAAACACACACATACATGCACCACACATGCACACACAAAGCCCAGAATAGAATATCCAAGAACTGTGGGACAATTGCAAAGGGTGTAACATACACATAATGGGAATACCAGAAGGAGAAGCAATAAAGGAATAGAATAAATATTTGAAGCCATAATGACTGAGAATTTCCCAAATTAAAGTCAGGCACCAAACTACAGATCCAGGAAGAATTTGAGAACACGAGGCAGGATAAAAGCAAAAAAAAAAAAAAAAAAAAAAAAAGTCTAAGCATATCCTATGCAAGCTGCAGAAAATCAAAGATAAATACAAAATCTTGAAAGAAACCAGAGGAAAAAACCAACTTCCTCATAGAGGAGCAAAGATAACAATTACATCTGGCATCTCCTCAAAAACCACGTAAGCAAGAACAGAGTGGAGTAAAATAGAATCATGCACCGCATAAAGACATTTCGATCAATGATGGACCACATACAATCGTACGGTGGTCCCATAAGATTATTACACCATACCTTCACTGCAGCTATTCTACATTGAGATATGTTTAGATACACAGACACTTGCCATTGTGTTACAGTCACTTACAGCATTCAGTACAGTAACGTGCTGTACGGGTTCATAGCCTAGGAGCAACAGGCTATCTCACACAGCCTAGGTGTATAGTAGGCTCTGTTATCTAGCTCTGTGTAAGTTCCCTCTATGATGTTTGCACAACAATGAAATCACCCGATGATGCATTTCTTCAAATGTATCCCTGTTGCTAAGTGATGCATGATTGTATTTAAAAAGTGTTGTGAGAGAAAAACCATCTACCTAGAATTCTGGGACCTGTGAAATTATTCTTCAAAAGTGAAGAAAAAATAAAATGCAAAATTATGTATCTTCAATTTACAGAAGATAACACAGGAGAAAGCCTAGATGATCTTGAGATTACTTTTTAGATAAAACACCAAAGGCTTGATTCATGGAAGAAAAGATTGATAAGCTGAACTTAAATAAAATGAAAAACTTCTGCTCTGCAAAAGACACTGTTAAGAGAATGAGAAGACAATCCACAGATGGGGATTGTCTTTTTTTGCAAAAGACATATTTGATAAACAACTCTTCCAAAATGTACAAAGAACTCTTAAAACACAACCATAAGAAAACAAACAATCCAATTAAAAAATGGGCAAAAGATCTAAACAGACACTTCACCAAAGAAGACATACAGATGGCAATTATATATAAGAAAAGATGCTTAACATCATATGTAATTAGGGAATTACAAATTAAAACAACAATGAGATACCACTGCATACATATTAGGATGGCCAAAATCCAGAACACTCACAACACCAAATGTTGGCAAGGATATGGAACAGGAACTTTCATTTGTTGCTGATGGGAACGCAAAATGGCACAGCTACTTTGAAAGACAGTTTGGCAGTTTCTTACAAAACTGAACACATTCTTATCATACGATCTAGCAATTTTGTCCCTTGATATTCATCCAAATGAGTTGATCACTTATGCTACACAAAAAACCTGCAGATGAATGTTTATAGCAGCTTTATTTGTGATTGCTGAAACGTGGAAGCAATCAAGATGTTTTTCTGTAGGTGAATGGATAAATAAGCTGCAGTGCATTCATACAATGGAATGTTATTCAGTGCTAAAGAGAGATGAGCTATCAGGCGGTGAAAAGACATGAAGGAAACTTAAATGCATATTACTAGCTGAAAGAAGCCAATCTGGAAAAGCTACCTACTGTGTGATTCCAACTACATGGCATTCTGGAAAAGGCAAAACCTAGTAAAAGATCAGTGGTTGCCAGGGGTGGGGAGAGATAAGGATGAACAGGCAGAGCACAGAGGATTTTTAGGGCAGTGACACTATTCTGTATGATGCTACAGTGGTGGATATATATCATATACATTTGTCCAAACTCAGAATACTTAACACCAAGAGTGAACCCTAATATAAACTATGGTCTTTGGGTGATAATAATGTATCAATATGAGTTCATCTATTGCAACAAATGTACTTTTTTTTTTTTTCTTAAGACAGAGTTTTGCTCTTGTTGCCCAGGCTGGAGTGCAATGGCATGATCTCGGCTCACTGCAACCTCTGTCTCCTGGGTTCAAGTGATTCTCCTGCCTCAGCCTCCCAAGTAGCTGGGATTATAGGCACACACCACCACGCACAGCTAATTTTTGTATTATTATTAGAGACAGGGTTTCACCACATTGGCCAGGCTGGTCTTGAACTCCTGACCTCAGGTGATCCACGCACCTCGGCCTCCCAAAGTTCTGGGATTACAAGTGTGAGCCACTGCTCCCCGCCCAAATGTACTATTTTGATAGTAGCAGAGACTATATGGGGACAAGGGGTTTATGGAAAATCTCTGTGCCTTCTGCTCAGTTTTTTTTTAAAAAACAAGAAGTTTATTTAAACAACAAGATGCTTGACTTGAAGGGAAAACTATCTAGGATTCTTTTTTTTTTTTTTAGAGCAATTTCTCCCTACTTAAAGACAGATTACCCTACCTGTAACAGCTATGTACAAAAAAGTTATAAAATTGTCCTTGGTTTTACAATGATAAATGAAAAACATTAAAATTCTCCAACTGAACAGGTATGCAAGGATTTTTATGTTTTGTTGTTGTTGTTAAAACAGTGAGAGCAAAATAACTTACTGGAATATAAAGATAGGAGCTGAATGAACATGACGCTAATGGAGAAAGGGGGTATTTTCACAGAATCAGTATTTTTCCCCATCCCGTCTCCACTTGATGCCAATCAAAACATACCATTGGCTGTTTAGTTTAAAAAAATGCACTATGCTTGTGCACATATATCAGTTACTTTATGTACAATAAAGAAATTGGGAAGGGGGAAATCAAATAATAGAGAAAACTATATTGTAATAGTCAGGATTGGGTGGAACCAAATTGCAGTTTTCTAATTGAGAATGTAATCTCGTAATCTTGGTCTTTAAAGAATTGAGTTCTGTGGTAAAGAAGCAGGTTCGGGCCGGGCACGGTGGCTCACGCCTGCAATCCCAGCACTTTGGGAGGCCGAGGCCAGTAGATCACGATGTCAGCAGGTCGAGACCAGCCTGACCAACATGGTGAAACCCCATCTCTACTAAAAATACAAAAGAATTAGCTGGGCGTGGTGGCGAGCGCCCGTAATCCCAGTGACTTGGGAGGCTGAGGCAGGAGAATTGCTTGAAACCGGAAGGCAGAGGTTGCAGTGAGCCAAGATTGTGCCACTGCACACTCTAGCCTGGGCAATAAGAGCAAAACTCTGTCTCAGGGAAAAAAAAAAAAAAAAAAAAAAAAAAGCAGTTTCCCTTCTCAGTAGACACCTCCCATCTGCTGTTGGAACACATCAACTGTATCTTCAGCCTCCATTTCCAACTGTGCAGCTGTCTCTGTTTCATTGAGTGGTTGCCCGTCAAATTGGAATCTGATTTGCCTCATTGACAATCCCTGTCATTCACAATAGGCTTTTATTAGTTTACTGAGTGGTGTATGCCTCTTAATCTTAAACTGCACCACAGAACCATCCTGCCCCACCACCTTCAAATCAATATAATCATTGCTCTCAGTCTTTACTCCTTCCTCGGGCTTTTCATGGGCCATGGCGAGCGCCAGAGTGTCCTCAGATGCTGCTTCACAAAAGAGGTACCAGGTCCTCACTGAACAAGCACACAAGCAGCACCAGGAGGGGCAGAAGAACCCTTCTGCTCAGTTTTGCTGTGAATCCATCCACTGCACATCCTACAGGCAATTGAGATATTATGATACTATAATGACTCTGCACTAATAAATTAGAAATTTTGGATAAAATGCTCAAAATTTTTGAAAAACACAACAAATCTTATGGAACACCATGTATAGTCCTACATCTATTAGAAAAATTGTATCAGAAATTAAACATTTTCCTACAAAAAACACTTCCAGATGGCTTAGCTGCTTAATTCTTCCGAACATTAAATAAAGAAATAATACCAGTTTAACACAAACTCCTTCAGAGAATAGAAAGAACACTTCCTAACTTTTTGGATGAGGGCAGCATAACCTTGATATTAAAACCGAACTAGGACATTACACCAAATGATAATTACAGAACAATTTATTTCAAAACACAGACATAAAATCCTAAACAAAAATAATAGCAAATCAAATTTAGTACTAAATAAAAAATGATAATGCATCATGACAAATTTTAATTCATTCCAGAAATGTAAGGTTGGCTTCACATTTGAAAACCAGTTATATAAATCACAGCATTAAAAGTATAAAGGAACAAAATCATATTTCAGTAGATGTTTAAAAAGCAATTGATAACAATTCAACATTTATTCATGATAAGAATTCTTAGCAAGTTAAGCATAAAAGGAAATTTTCTTAATCTGATAGTGAATTTTAAAAACACAGCAAACTTTACATTTTATGGCATGAAGTATTGAAAATCATCCCTTTGAGAGTGGAACAAATTGAGGATGCCCACCACCACCATTTCTGTTCAATATTGTATTGGAGTCCTAGCCAGTGCAATAAGGCAAGAAAAAGAAATAAAAAGTGTAAGGTTTGAAAAGAAAAAAATAAAACTGTGGCTCTTCATTGATGACATGATTATGTAGGTAGAACATTTTTTAAAACTACAGATATGTGCCAAGCCCAGTGACTCATGCCTGAAATCTCAGTGCTTTGAGAGGCCAAGGCAGGAGAATCACTTGCAGCCAGGAATTTTAGACCAGCCTGGGCAACATAGGGAGACTACAAAAAATTAAAAAATTAGCCAAGTGTGGTGGTGCATGCCTGTGATCCTAGCTACTTGGGAGGCTGAGATGGGAGGATCACTTGGACCCAGGAGGTTGAGGCTGCAGTGAGCCATGATTGCACCACTGCACTCCAGCCTGGACAACAAAGCAAGACTTTGTCTCAAAAAACAAACAAACAAACAAACAAACAAAACCCTAGAACTACAGATATGCTGTAAGTTATTAAATTTAGCAAGGTTCCTGGAAACAAGGTTGACGTTGAAAACTTTCCAAAAGTGGGCAATAGCAATTAGAGAATGAAAAAAAAGTCAATGAAAAAAATCAAATCCCAAACACCTAGGAATAAATCTGACAAAATATTCTCATAATTTTTGTTTGTTTGTTTTTACTGGAGATGAGATCTCACCATGTTGCCCAAGCTGATCTCAGATTCCTGAGCTCAAGCAATCCTCTCAGCCTTGGCCTTCCAAAGTGCTGGGATTACAAGCATGACCCACCACACCTGGCCTATGCTCATGATTTGATACAGAAAACTATAGAATATTAATGAAGGGACAAAGACCTTTTAAAAAATACATAGAGATACGCTGTATTCATAGATTGCTAGTGTCATGTTATAACGTGGTCAATTCTCACCTCAATTGACCTACAGATTCAATACAACCTAATATAACCTCATTTACTGCTGGTAGGAATGTAAAATGGTGTAACTTCTTTGGAAAACAGTTTTATATTTTCTCCAAAGGATAAACATAAGGTTACCTGTGGCCCAACAATTCTAATCCTAGGTATATATTCAATGAAAACATATGTCCATACAAAAATTTGTGCATGAATGTTCAAAGTGGCATTATGCGTAATAGCCCAAATGTGGAAAAAACAGATGAATAGGTAAAGAAATGTGGTATATCCGTGGAATGAAATATTACTCAACTGTGAACAAGATTGAAGTACTGACAGGGGCTACAACATAGATCAACTTTGCAAACATTATGCCACATGAAAGAAGCTACTCACAAAAGACCACATGTTTATGATTCCATTTATATGAAATATCCAGAACAGGCTTATCTATAAAGACAGAAAAATAGAATTAGTGATTGTCTATGGTTGGGGGTAGAGTGGGAGAGAAAAGGGAATGACTGTTGATGGGCATGGAGGTTTTCTTAGAGGGTGATGAAAATATTGTAAAATTGATTGTGGTGACAGCTGTACAACTCTGTAAATATGTTAAAAATCTATTGAATTATACACTTATTTACATGGGTGAATCATGTGGTATGTGAATTACATCTCAATAAATCTATTTTATAAAAACATTTTTAATCCTTGAAGGTTATTTTCTTTTTCTTTTCTTTTCTTTTTTATTTTTATTTTTATTTATTATTTTTTTTGAGATGGAGTCTCCCTCTGTCACCCAGGTTGGAGTGCAGTGGCAAAATCTTGGCTCACTGCAACCTCCGCCTGCCAGGTTCAAGCGATTCTCCCACCTCAGCCTCCCATGTAGCTGGGATTACAGGCACCCACCACCACGCCCAGCTAGTTATTGTATTTTTAGTAGAGATGGGGTTTCATCATATTGGCCAGGCTGGTATCCAACTCCTGACCTTAAGTGATCCACCTGCCTCGTCCTCCCAAAGTGCTGGGATTACATTTTGGTGGAAATCGACAAGCTGATTCTAAAATGTATAGGGAAATGCAAAAGGCCAAAACTAATCATCATAAATAAGTACAAAAATGAAGGGCTTAAACTACCTGTTAGTGAGACTTATTACAAAACTCTAGTAGTGCAAACAGTTGGTATTGGCAAAACTTACAGACAAATAGACCAATGGGACACAACAAAGAGTTCAGAAACAGGCCCACAGCTATATGATCCAGTGAAATGACATAAGGAAAGAATGACCTTTTCAACAAATGATACTGCATACATTTAATATTCATGTGGGAAAAAATGAACTTTGACCACTACTTTAGACCACAAAGAAAAGTTAGTTCTAGGTAGGTCATTAATCAAAATGTGAAGAACAATAGAAACAGACTTCCCAAATTCTGGAAAAAAAAAAAAAAAGTTATTTGTCACCTAAAATTGTATACCCAGTAAAATTATCATTCAAATGTAAGGGTAGATTAAAGACATTTTCAGATGTACACCTTCTCACAAATCTATTGGAGGATGAGCTCCTGAAAAAACAAGAGAATAAAACACGGAAGAGGAAGACATGGGCTTTATGAAAAGGGGGAATCCAGTCTTGGAAGGATGGTTCAGGAGATTACAGCTTGAGGGCTGTTCACCTGGGCTGGAGAGCAACCAGTTGGATTAGGATGGATAGAAAGCCTTCAGAAGAGATTGCTTCAAGAAAAGGAACCGAACAGAATTCTTGATGTGTCTGAACATCCTAACGGGCGATTTGGACCACTGGGATTGAAATGGTGGTAATTACACGGAAAACTAAATGAACATCACCAACAACACAAGAAAAGTATGAACTCCAGGAGAACAAAGAGCAGAAGTGATCATAGCACACGACACAGCTCAGATAAGAATGACGATTATGTAGTTATAGTAAGGTACACACTGAATATTGGCTAACCAAAATTATCATGCAACCACATTCGGAGGCTGGTACGACTGGAAGTGTGACTGAATGTGGTAAAGGTTAGGAGTCAAAGAGAAGTAAATCAGCCAGGCACAGTGGCTCACACCTGTAATCCCAGCACTTCGGGAGGCTGAGGCAGGCAGATCACTTGAGGCCGGGAGTTCGAGCCCAGCCCGGCCAATATGGTGAAACTCTGTCTCTACTAAAAATACAAAAATTAGCTGGGGATGGTGGCATTTGCCTGTAATCCCAGCTACTTGGGAGGCTGAGACATGAGAATCGTTTGAACTCAGGAGGCAGAGGTTGCAGTGAGTCTGGATTGTGCCACTGCACTCCAGCCTGGGCGACAGAGCAAGACTCTGTCTTAAAAAAAAGAGAGAGAGAGAGATTGAGAGAGAACTAAATCCTCATCTTCCATACTGGGAAGTCAAAAGATGATTTCCCAAATTGAAATATCAAGAAGTCATAATGAAAGCAAGTTATTTCGAGATACAGAGAATATCTATATAAAAAATAGCTGATCGCATTGAAGATCACTGGCGCTGGGGAGAAGGAGATAGTATGAAGGAGGACGGGACTACTGCCCTTTTTTAACCTGCCCCATAGATTCCTGGCATCTAAATTAAATTATGCACACATATACTTTTGGTAAAAATTAGAAGTACATTTTTAAAGAGTAATTGTGAATTGCAAAAGAAAAAAGAACATTTTAGAATACAGAGACTAACAAAGGAGAATATGTTCATGATCTTGGTATTAGACACAAAATTCTTAAACAAGACCCACATACACACACAACTAACCACAAGGAAAACATTAATAAATTGGATTTCAGTAAAATTAAGGACGTCTGTTCATCAAAAGACATCACTGAGTGAAAAGGCAAGCCACAGAAAGATATTTCCTTCCTTCCTCCCTTCCTTCCTTCCTTCCTTCCTTCCCTCCCTCCCTCCCTCCCTCCTTCCTTCCTCCCTCCCTCCCTTCCTCCCTCCCTCCCTCCCTTCCTCCCTCCCTTCCTTCTTTTTGAAACAAGGTCTCGCTCTGTTGCCCAGGCTGGAGTATATGGCTCACTGCAGCCTCAACTTTCTGGGCTCAGGTGATCCTCCCACCTCAGCCTCCTCCTGAGTAGCTGGAACCACAGGCACGCACCACCATACCCAGATAATTTTTTTTTATTTTTAGTAGAGACAGGGTTTTGCCATGTTGCCCAGGCTGGTCTTGAACTCCTGGACTCAAGCAATTTGCCCACTTCGGCCTCCCAAAGCACTGGGATTACAGGCATGAGCCACCATGTCCTGCAGATATTTTCAATATATGTATTTAGCAAAGGACTTGTGTCCAGAACTTATTTAAAATATCTTATAAAATAAAAAAAGTTTGACAATCCAATTTTTTTCAGAAAATGGGCAAATGATTCAATATACTTTTCATAAAATAAGATATCTAATTGGCTAATAAACATATGAAAACGTATTCAACATATTTATCAGAAAATGCAAATTAATACCACAATGAGATACTACTACATATTCACTAGAATGGCTACAAATTAAAAGACAGACAATGCTACTAATAAGGATGTGGCCACTGGGACTCTCATACGGATGGGAGGAGTGTAAATTTCTGCAACCACTTTAGAAAAAACTCTGGCAATAACTACTAAAGCTGAACATATACATTCTCTACAACCCAGCAATTTCACTTTCAAGTATATGCCAAATAGAAGTGCACCTATATATGCATTAAAGGGGCATGTGCAAGTTTGTAACCACGTTACTTCTAATGGTAAAAAAAACAAAACAAACAAGCAAAAAAAACTTGAAGAGGGCCAGGCACGGTGGCTTATGCCTGTAATCCCAACACTTTGAGAGGTTAAGGTGGGAGGGTCACTTGAGCCAGGAGTTTGAGACCAGCCTGGGCCACACAGTGAGACTCCTGTTTCTACCAAAAAAAAAAAAAAATTAGCCAGGTGTGGTGGCATGCACCTGTGGTCTCTTCTACTCAGGAGGCTGAGGTGCGAGGATCATTTGAGGCTGGAAGGTTGAGGCTGCATTGAGATATGATTGCACCACTGCACTCCAGTCTTGGCCACAGAGCAAGACCCTGTCTCTCAAAAAACAAACAAACAAAACAAAAACTTGAAGAGTCAAATGGGCCATCAGCAATAGAATGGGCATACAGAAGTTGTGGTATATTCATTCCATGGAATAGGAGGCAAAGGCAAAGGGCAAGCTACTGCCACGTGCAACAGCATGGACAGATCTCACAAATACCATGAAGCTAGTCCCAAACAGAAGAATATACTATATGTTTCCATGTATATAAAATTAAAAATAAGCCAAACTGTTCCATAGGGATAGAAGCTGGTTATCTAGAAGAGGGCAATAACCGGATGGGGTATGAGGGAGACGTCTGAGGTGTGGGTAATGTTCCATATCTTCATCTGGTTGGCTGTCACATGGATTGTTCACTTTGTAAAGGTTTGTTGAGGTATGCACTTAATATGCACTTAAGATTCGTACACTTCACAGTAAGTAAATATATATATGCATGTAAAAAATTGTTCTTCCCCTCTTTTTCCCCTTCCCTCTTTCCTTCCCTTCTCTTTCCTTCCTTTGCATACTCTTTCCTATTTTCCTTACTGGAACAGTTCAGCCCTGAAGTCATCAGGTAGGCCAGAGCGAGGTTGGCACCCATGGTGATGAGAGTGGGAGCCACAGTGTCCCAGAACAAGATATCAGAGCCAGAGTAGGGCAATGAGGGAGGGGGAGGGGATGGCTGGTATGATCAGTTAGCTTGACTGGGGTGAGGGCATCCATGCGTTGGAATGGTCCCGTACAGTTTATCAGATCCTAGTAGTTGAGGAGAGCATCCCTACATGGGGATGGCCTGGCATGGGAAATCAGAACCAAAGTAGAGGTAAGAAGGATTCTAGGCCAGGCACGGTGGCTCACGCCAGCAATCCCAGCACTGTGGGAGGCCAAGGCAGGTGAATCTCTTGAGGCCAGGAGTTCAAAACCAGCCTGGCTATTGTGGCAAAAGCTTGTCTCTACGAAAAATACAAAAATTAGCTGGGGGTGGTGGCACGCGCCTGTAATCCCAGCTACTCAGGAGGCTGAGGCACAAGAATCACTTGAACCTGGGAGGCAGAGGTTGCAGTGAGCCGAAATCATGCCACTGCACTCCAGCCTGGGTGACAGAGTGAGACTCAGTCTCATTAAAAAAAAAAAAAAACGATTCTACATGTAGGGGTTGGGGTGGGCACATTGGGGGTACCAGAGCCTAAGAAGAGTAAGGAGGGCATCCACCTGAAAAGGAAGTGGCAGCAGAGATGGAGAGTGGTAAAGAGTGGTTACAAAGAGGGGGATTTATCAAATAACTGTATATGTTAAGGATAATAGAAGCCAGGTTTCTCATTGTTGGAGAAGGACATTACAAATAGGGAAAGAGAGAAAACTAGAATGAACCCTGTGGTGTTGGACTGGAATTGGAGGCATCTGTAGGAATCCATAGTTTTCAATATATACAGGTAAATAAAGAAATGTAGCTGCGAATATGTGTAGGATTGTGTATTCCTGTATTAGTCAGGGTTCTCTAGAGGGACAGGACTAATAGGATAGATGTATATATGAAAGGGAGTTTATTAAGGCAAATTGACTCACACGGTCATAAAGTGAAGTCCCACAATAGGTTGTCTGCAAGCCGAGGAGCAAGGAAGCCAGTCCAAGTCCCAAAATCTTGAAAGTAGAGAAGCCGACAATGCAGCCTTCAGTCTGTGGCTGAAGGCATAAGAGTCCCTGCCAACCACTGGTGTAAGTCCAAGAGTCCACATGGCTGGGGAGGCATCATAATCATGGTGGAAGAAGAAGGAGGAACGAAGGCACATCTTACATGGTGGCAGGCAAGAGGGTGTATGCAGGGGAACTGCCCTTTATAAAAAAAATCAGATCTTGTGAGATTTATTCACTATCATGAGAACAGCACAGGAAAAACCTGCCCCAAGATTCAATTACCTCCCACTGGGTCCCTTCCATGACATGTGGGGATTATGGGAGCTACAATTCAAGATGAGATTTGGGTGGGGACACAGCCAAACCATATCAGCTAATAACTTCCTAAATATCCCACCTCCTAATACTATCACTTTGGGAGTTGGTATTTCAACAGATAGATATTAGGGGGCCACTAATATTCAGTCCATGACAGATGCAAAATGATTATTATCTTTTTTTTTTTTTTTTTGACAGAATCTCACTCTGTTGCCCAGGCTGGAGTGCAATGGTGCAATCGTGGCTTACTGCAACCTCTGCCTCCCAGGTTCAAGCGATTCTCCTGCTTCAGCCTCCCAAGTGGCTGAGACTATAGGTGCCCACCACCACGCCTGGCCAATTTTTGTGTTTTTAGTAGACACGGGTTTTCACCATGTTGGCCAGGCTGGTAGCTTTTGACCTCAGGTGATACACCCACCTCAGCCTCCCAAAGTGCTGGGATTACAGGCATGAGCCACTGCGCCTGGTCCCAAATGATAATTATCTAATTCCATCATTCCTTCTGTCATTCTACTTACTGAAAAAGCTTTCTCTTTCCTTCCTTCCTTCCTTCTTTCCTTACTTCCTTTCTTTCTTTTTCTTTCTTTCTTTCCTTTTCTTCTCCTTCCTTCCTTCTTTCTTTTCTTTTCTTTCTTTCTCTCTTTCTTTCTGTCAGTATTAAGGTTATTATTTTAATGCTCAAGTTGTTCAGATGCAGCCAGTGAGACCTCTTCAAGCTGGCTTCTGTGTCTTTTTGATTCATCCCTGCTATAGAGTGAATTATGTCCCCTCCCCCTAGCATTCCTATGTTGAAGGATTAATCGCCAATATGACTATATTTGGAGATATAGCCTTTAAAGAGGTAATTAAGGTTAAAAGAGGCCATAAGTGTATGACCTCAATCCAATAGGACTAGTGTCCTTATAAGAAGAGAAAGAAACACCAGGAGGATGTAAGCACAGAGACAGGCCATGTGCAGACACAGTAAGAAGGCCACCATCTGCAAGCCAAGGAGAGAGGCCTCAGAGAACCCAACCCTCTCAATGCCTTGACCTTGGACTTCTAGCCTCCAGAACTGTGAGAAAA
Organism: Homo sapiens; assembly: GCF_000001405.40. Lineage (NCBI taxonomy): Eukaryota > Metazoa > Chordata > Mammalia > Primates > Hominidae > Homo > Homo sapiens. The sequence goes on along the minus strand of NC_000017.11, from coordinate 50,226,985 downwards.
TAAATGACTTATGTTAGCCTCCCATCTGTGGTGTTTTATTATGGCAGCTCAAGATGATTTAAATAGTCACCATCATTCTCTGAGCAGTTCCTTACTTTCTGTCACAAGATGTCCGAGGCAATATATAAGATGTCATTTTGTACATTCCCTGCCCCAGCCTTGAAACCAACCATTTCTCCAAAGAGTTCTGGTTCCTTTTAGTGGAAAATGATACCTAGAAACCAAAATGTAGGTGTTAGGTGCTCATTACCATTGGAATGTCACTACTTTGAAGCCTTCTTTGTGGGCAGCACTAGGGAATTGTGAAATAGCTTTGACCAAAATGCTGATAGTGATATGGACAATAAAGTCCAGGCTGAGGTGGTCTCAGATGGAGATAAGGAACTTGTTGGGAACTGGAGCAAAGGTGACTCTTGTTATTTTATTTATTTATTTATTTTTGAGACGGAGTTTCGTTCTGTCACCCAGGCTGGAGTGCAGTGGCATGATCTCGGCTCACTGCAAGCTCTGCCTTCCGGGTTCATGCCATTCTCCTGCCTCAGCCTCCCGAGTAGCTGGGACTACAGGCGCCCACCACCATGCCTGGCTAATTTTTTTGTATTTTTAGTAGAGACAGGGTTTCACCATGTTAGCCAGGATGGTGTCAATCTCCTGACCTCATGATCTGCCTGCCTTGGCCTCCCAAAGTGCTGGGATTACAGGCATGAGCCACCACACCTGGCCAACTCTTGTTATGTTTTAGCAAAGAGACTGGCAGCATTTTGCCCCTACCCTAGAGATCTGTGGAACTTTGAACTTGAGAGAGATGATTTAGGGAATCTGGTGGAAGAAATTACTAAATGGCAAACCATTGAAGAGGAAGCAGAGCTTACAAGTTTGGAAAGTTTGCAGCCTGATGAAGCAATGGAAAATAAAAACCCATTTTCTGGGGGAAATTCGAGCCTCCTCCAGAAATTTGCATAAGTAAGAAGGAGCTGAATGTTAATCACCAAGACAATGGGGAAAATGTTTCCAGGGCATGTCAGAGACTTTTGTGGCAGCCTCTCCCATCACAGGCCTGGAGGCTGAGGAGGAAAAAATGGTTTTGTTGGGCCCAGGATGTCCTGCTGTGTGCGGCCTAGGGACTTGGTGCCCTGTGTCTCAGCTGCTCCAGCTGTGCCTAAAAGGGACCAAGGTATAGCTGTGGCTTCAGAGGGTGCAAGCCCCAAGCTTTGGCAGCTTCCACATGGTGTTTTTCCTGCAGGTGCACAGAAGTCGAGAATTGATGTTTTGGAATCTCTGCCTAGATTTCAGAGGATGTATGGAAATGCCTGGATGTCCAGGCAAAAGTTTGCTGCAGAGGCAAAGTCCTCATGGAGAACCTCTGCTAGGGCAGTGCAGAAGGAAAATGTGGGGTTGGAGACCACACCCAGAGTCACCACTGGGACACTGCCTAGTGGAGCTGTGAGAAGAGGGCCACCAACCTCCAGACCCCAGAATGGTAGATCCACTGACAGCTTGCGCCATGCACCTGGAAAAGCTGCAGGCACTCAATGCCAGCCCATGAAGGCAGATGGAAGGGTAGCTGTACCCTGCAAAGCTACAGGGGTGGAGTGGCCCAAGGCCATGGGAGCCCACCCCTTGCATCAGCAAGCGCTGGATGTTAGACATGGAGTCAAAGGAGATAATTTTGTAACTTTAAGGTTTAATGATTGCCCTATTATATTTCAGACTTGGATGGGGCCTGTATCCCCTTTGTTTTGGCCAATTTCTCCCCTTTGGAATGGGTGTATTTACCCAATGCCTGCATCTCCATTGTATCTAGGAAGCAACTAACTTGCTTCTGATTTTACAGGCTCATAGGCGGAAGGGACTTGCCTTGTCTCAGATGAGACTTTGGACTTGGACTTTTGGGTTAATGCTGAAATGAGTTAAGACTTTGGGGGACTGTTGGAAAGGCATGATTGTGTTTTGAAATGTGAGGACATGATATTTGGGAGGGGGCGGGGGCAGAATGATATGGTTTGGCTGTATCCCCACCCAAATCTCATCTTGAAGTGTAGTTCTCATAATCCCCACGTGTTGTGGGAGGGACCCAGTAGGAAGTAACTGAATCATGGGGGCAGGTTTTTCCCCATGCTATTCTCATGATAGTGAACATATCTCATGAGATCTGGTGGTTTTATAAAGGTAAAGTTCCCCTGCATATGCTGACTTGCCTGCTGCCATGTAAGACGTGCCTTGCACCTCCTTCACCTTCCTCTGTGACTGTGAGGCCTCCCCAGCCATGTGAAACTGTGAGTCCATTAAAACTCTTCTTCTTTATAAATTACCCAGTCTTGCATATGTCTTTATTAACAGTGAGAAAATGGACTAATACATTAGGTCATGAGGGTGGAGCTCTCATTAATGGGATTAGTGCCTTATGAAAGAGACCCCAGATAGCTCTCAAGCTCTCTTTCTGCTATGTGAAGATGCAACAAGAAGTTAGCCATCTGCAACCTGGAAAAAGGCCTTCACCAGAACCTGACTGTGCTGGCGCCATGACCTCCAGAACAATGAGAAGTAAATGTCTATTATTTATAAGCCCACCCAGTCTGTGGTACTTTGTTGCAGCAGTTCAAACTAAGACAGCAACAAATATAATTTAAAAAAATATTTCAGGCAAAAGCCCTCAATGGATTCTAAGATTAATGGGTGCAGGCTGGGTGTGGTGGCTCATGCCTGTAATCCCAGCACTTTAGGAGGCCAAGGTGGGCAGATCACTTGAAGTCAGGAGTTTGAGACCAGCCTGGCCAACATGGTGAAACCTCATCTCTACTAAAAATACAAAAATTAGCTGGGCGTGGTGGCATGTGCCTGTAATCTCAGCTACTTTACTTGGGAGGCTGAGGCAGGAGAACCGCTTGGACCCCGGAGGTGGAGATTGTAGTGAGCCAAGATCATGCCACTGCACTTCAGCCTGGGCAACAGAGTGAGACTCTGTCTTAAAAAAAAAATTAAATTAAACTAATGGGTACAGATTGGATAAGGAATGGGACTTGATATAGTTTGAGATCCTCCCCACAGAAAACAATGGGAAAAGAGTAACTTTACAGTGGATAGACCTTGTAGATGCCACCTTAATCAAGCAATCGAAGTTAACATCATCAGTAATGGGGCAAATTGAAATCATGCACCACCCGATAAGATGCAGTGAGAAGAACATGGCATCACTTCTGTGATATTCCTACCTCAAGTTCATAACTTGAATCTAATCATTAGGAAACATCAGACAAACCCAAACCAAGAGACACTCTACAAAATCATGACCTGTGATCCTCAAAATTTACAAGGTCATGAACAGCAAGGAAAGACTGAAGATAAATGCACTGTATGATACTGGATTGGGTCTTTTTGTGACAAAGGATATTTGGGACAAATGGCACAACATAAATAAATTGTAGTAAAGTGTTTATATTTTTATGGTTGCATTGTGGTTGTTTAGGTGAACATTATTGTAGGATTTACACATAAGAATATTCATGGGTGATGGAATATCGTGTCGGCAATTTACCATCAAATGCTTCAGGAAACAAAACTGCTTCGCACTATTCTTGGAACCTTTCTATAAACTTGAAATTATTTCCAAATAAAAAGAAAAAAATGGTAACAAAAAGCTTATAAAAATTATGTGTATGGGAAAAGTACGTGTGTGTATATATGCTAGCAGCCAAGGGGGAATGTTTTGGACATTGAGTGTTTCTACCTGCCTTAGCATTTGTTTCTCCTTCTTCCAGAAACAGCATCCAGATTTTATTTTGGGGAACTGCCCTTCCCCCACTCTTGGTCAATGCCTTGCTGGTGTAGGCACATGCCCAAGTCAACCAGCATATTTCATCCGCCAGCCATGGTCACTGGTTTAGAGACGGGCACATGACTTAAGTCCATCCAATACGGGCAAATCTTGAGATTTTTTTTTTTTTTTTTTTTGACAGACTCTCTGTCACCCAGGCTGGAATGCAGTGGTGCAGTCTCGGCTCACTGCAACATCCATGTCCTGGGTTCAAGCAATTCTCCTGCCTTAGCCTCCCGAGTAGCTGGGATTACAGGCACCTGCCACCACCCCCGGCTAATTTTTATATATTTAGTAGAGACAGGGTTTCGCCATGTTGGCCAGGCTGATTTCGAACTCCTGACGTAAGGTGATCTGCCCACCTTAGCCTCCCAAAGTGCTGGGATTACAGGCATGAGCCACCGTGCCTGGCAAATCTTGGGATTTTTTTTTTTCCCTCTTGAAACTATTGTGAAAGAGTTTCTGTTTTTCTCCTGGGGTTGCTTAGCTTTTAGAAAATAAGCCTGAGGCAGCTGGGTGAGACCACCGCACAGAGCCAAGCTGTCCAAGAAGAAAAGCTATTTCAGAGAAAAGCAAAAGAAGAGGTAGAGAAACTGAGTCTTCTTGATCTTATTTTAGCCGATAGATCCAATTGTACCTACCTTTTTGGTTAAATAAGCCAAATAGCTTTAATTTTCTGTTTAAGCCACTTTGAATTAGGCTGTTGGCACTTGCAACTGAAAAAATCATGACTAATATTAGGAAATTCCTAATTCAGCTGGGCTGGAGTTGAGAGTGGGAAAGGGGTGGGGAGAGCTGTGGCTGGCAGTCAGACTTGGCAGGGCCTCTGGGCATCAGGATCCAGTGGGCGTTCTGCGGGCCTGAGAAGCACTTGAAGGTGCTTTTGAAGAAGTGGCAAGAGCGGGTGGCAGGGAGACAGTGACCAAGCAGAAGTCTTTGAGTGACTTTGGACAAAGCTTGGGCCCAGGCTTATTCCCAATCGGCGCCACCTAACAGTTTGCTACCCAGCCCGGAGCCCAGTGGCCACACCCTTGGCACATCCCTGACCAGAGACACCTGCAGGCTTGGCCCTGGTCTTCCCTTCCAACCCTGTGGTTACTAGGCCCTGCATTTCTTCACCCTGCCTTGGTTGACAAAATACCCTGTCTCCAGATTATGCAATCAAGCACTGGGACAACCCTATGGGGGAGGTGAGGCTGGGATTATTCCCATTTCACAAGAGTAAAAATTAAGGCTCAGAGACGTAAAGCAACCTGTCCAAAGTCACACAGCTATGTGGCGGGCAGAACCAGGACCAGGAGATAGGGCTTTTCTCTCCAAGTCCACAGCTCTTTCCAGAACTCTCTTGAGTTTTAGAATTTCTGAGCTAGAGCTAGGAGATGGCACAGCTTCTCTGGTATGGGGGATGTGGTGGAAGACAGAATCCACCCCTTGGGTTTTGAAACCTCCCTCGAGTGAGCGGGGAGGGGTGGAGCCAGACTTTCAGAGGCTCATGAGGCCCTCAGGAGAGGGAAGTGGGCTGAAAAGGAAAGTAAACTAACAACTTTACTTGAGGAATGATAATTGATCTAATACATGCTACATGCTTACTTCCACCAGGCACTGTTCTACCTACTTTAGGTTCTCACAATCTTATGAACAAGATCTATGATCCCCATTTTAGAGATGAGGAAACTCAGGCACGGAAAAGGGAAGTAACTTGTCCACAGTCACACCGCTGGGAGAAGGAGCGGCTGGGATTTGAACTGGAAGTCTGAGCCCGCAGGCCAAGCTCTCATAGCGCGACTGCACTGCTCCTTCTGTGCGCCAGGCACTGTGCTAGGAGCCAGGATGAACCTGACAGTTGTACCCCAGTCCTCCCAGAGAGGATCCTCAGGAGGGTGGGATGGGAGTGGGCAGCCAGGCAGAGCGGGGCGCTGGGAGAGACCCTGCAGCAGAGCGGGACGGCCAGGGACCCAAGGGAGTTTTTGAAGAGAAGTGTAGCCAGAAACGCCTAGGGGAGAGCGGGGGGTGGGATGGTAGGTGGAGAGGGGCCTGTTCCAAGCAGAGCAGGGCAGGGTCTGCGCTGGGCAGGATGCCCGGGGCCTCGGGGCTCAGGAGGGGAGCGCTGGGGGACGGAGGTGGCTGGAAGGCCGGAAGGCAGTGAGAGCACGTTAGCTAGTCCTGAGCGGCAGGGCCTGGGGGTGACTGGGGAGCTCGGGTCCTCCCCAGTGGGAGGGGACCACGGCGCAGGAGGCAGAGCGGGGAGGAAGGATGAGGCACCTGGTGGCAAGACCACTCTGGCTGCTGCCTTTCGGAGAAAGACTTGGGCCCTAGGAGGGAGGGGCAGGGAGAGGAGCTGGGAGGCTGTGGCAGGAGTTTGCAGAGACTGCAAGGCAGGAGGAAGGAGACGGCGCTCGGGGAGAATCCACAGGTGGAGAGATATTAAGGGAGAACCCCATTTGATGGCCATTTTGCAGCGGAGAGTTAAAAGCCCACACTTAGCTGCCAGACCTCAGTTTGAAGCAGAAGTCGCCATTCATTTGCAATGCGACCAAGGGCAAGTGACTTAACCTCTCTGAACCTCGGTTTCCTCATCTGTAAAGCAGAGCTAATGACCCATGTATCTCATTGTGAAGACCGTTGTAAAGATTGAGACAATGTAAGCAGGCGTCTGGACCTGAGTCCTAAGTAAACCCGAGCATTCTGGACACTGTCCTTTAGGTCTTTTTGCAGACATCCAAGTCTGGGGGAAAGAGTCTTTGGGGCAAGGAGCATAAAAAGTTTCTGGGTCCTCTCCTAGCCTCTCCCCTCCAAGCTGGGTGGCTTTGGGGAGAAGCTCTCTGAGCTTCTGGGTTCTCGTCTATAAAATGGGGATACTAGCATTTTCCTCACTGGACTTTGAGCAGAACAGCTGGGACAGAGCTGTTGGACATGGAGCAGAGCATTGCTTTTGTTTGAGCAAGAGCTAGTGACCCACCAGAAGGCTGTGACAAGGGTCAGCTCAGCTAACACAGCAGGGCTGCGCTGGACAAGCAGGGCTCACAGGATCCTAGGGGCCTCCCTGGATTCCCTATGGGATTTCTTTATCTGCCATGGAATGCAGCCTCGGCAGCAACGGGAGTGTTCTCACACTCAACATCAGCAGCCCTTACTGGGCATTGAGCTCATACATCAACCACCCACTTTAAACAAGTTTTAAAACAACAGTGTATTTCTAAAATCATTTTTGAAATGCAACTGTGTAAAAGTAACATGAAGGATAATTGTTACATATCAGGGAGGGTGATGATACCTTCTGAAAATTTCCGCCAGTACGTCTGCGCCCTGTGTGACAGTAGGAGCCATAAGGAGTTTTCATATCCTGTCAGTTTCTTTTCTTATTCCTTATTCGTACCAAATTAGAAAAATCCTAAACCACAATTATAGGTCATTAGAAATGGCAGCAAATGTTTGGTGGCTCTGACAGATGGTTCTGGATTCAGACCAAACAAGAATTCAGAAATCACAGACCTCTTTCTTCCTAAAGACTGCTCTCCCCTCTCTCGGACATTAGGTCAACAGGTACAAAGCTTTCAAAAGCCAGAAGACTAAGTATTTCACCCAGGGAGAGGGGGGCGGCGGTGGGGGGGAGCAAGCAGAGTCATAATCCTTTCTTTGGTTGAATTTGACTCCGGAAAGAATTCTTTAAGTTCTGAGTAATGTTTGGATGTGGTTTTTAAATAGTCTTAATAATATGTCACCGATTCCTTTCTCCTGCTCAGAAACAAAATCACCAAGTGCTGAAAAAGAATCAAAATAAAAATGGAGCAGTCATACTGCTGTTTGGTTTTAAGAAATTCTGCTAACTTGCTCCTCAACAGTAAATATTGTAATTGGTGATGTCTGGACAATACAGATATTGAATATATTGCCATTTGAGCAAGTCACTCAGGATCTCAGAAGTGGCCTTGAGTGGAGAAATGGGGGGGGTTTTGGTTTTGTTTTGTTTTGTTTGAGAAAGAGTCTCACTCTGTTGCCCAGACTGGAGAGCAGTGGCATGATCTCAGCTCACTGCAGCCTCTGCCTCCCAGGCTCAAGTGATCCTCCCACCTCAGCTCCTCACCACCCCACCCCAGTAGCTGGAACCACAGGCATGCACCACCATGTCTGGATGATTTTGTTTGTACTTTTTGTGAGACAAGGTTTTGCCATGTTGCCCTGACTGGTCTTGAACTCCTGGACTCAAACAATTTACCCGCTTTGGCCTCCCAAATGCTGGAATTTCAGGCATGAGTCACCAGACCCAGCAGCACATCATTGATTTTTAGCCAGCTTCACATGGGGCCACAAGAATGTTTGAAAAAGATGAAATGAAACCATTTCCTTAAGTCATTGACTAGGCCACTGAAGATCAGTTCTAAGATCTTAAACAGCTTGCTCAGATGACAATATATGTAATAACTGACAGTTCAAACCTCACCTTAGAGGAATAAAATGTCATTATCTTTTTTAAAATTTTGGTATTACACAAACTATCACTGGGCAAAAACTTACATTTTTCAATGAGGAGTATAAGATAGCCGGATTTATTAAAATCAAACTATTTTCTCATAATATTTGCAATTGACACCACGTGATATCCAACACTGTCATTTGATAAAGGAAATTTGCCAAAAGTTGGTTTTTCATTCTCTGTGAGAGAAATGTGTATCATTAATAACACGGCTGTGTTACAATCTTCTCAGATAGTATTACTTTGTAGCTGTGTTTTACTAAGAGGAGTGCACTTTTAAATGCTGCCTCTGTCATTTTGTTTTTCTTCCTGCCTTTACTGGGGGAAAATCCATTAATTTTGTCCTGGAAAGCTTATTTTGCTCTTGTTCTGGAAAAAAAAGAAAAGTCTCTGATGGTTTACCAGAAAGGTCACTGTGCTGTGTTTGAAAATGATGTGAAAATCTTGATGGCTTTATGCCACTATTTGACAAAGTTTCATAACACACAACTCACTGGGGATTAAAATGGAATAGATCACCAGTCCAGTAAAGTTAAGTTCAGATCTTCAACATCATACTCACTATTTACACTTTTTCAGCTACTTGTGTGAAATTGTCAGATGTGTCCCAGTTCTCAGAGATTTACATATTTTTGAACTAGATGCTTGTTCACTATGTATTTACTTTTCTTCTTTCTTCCTTTTTTTTTTTTTTAGCCCAGCCATATGCTTGGACACTACGTATTTACTTTTATAACACTATTCTCAGTTGTAGTATTTGGGTTACTATTTTTCTCACTCTTCTTAGGCTTTAATTAACCACTTTTGAATCACTGGCTTATTATTTGGGTTGAGGATATTACACATCACAAAAATAATAACCAAAAACCCATAAGTGACATGAAAATATGTCTCTGGAGATGATCTGCCCAAGCTGGATCAGCCAAATTCAAATTAGAGGATGCACAACGTTGGAGAATGTGACAGTTATTAAGAACAAAATGGGGCTGGGTGCAGTGGCTCACGCCTGGAATCTCAGTGCTCTGGGAAGCTGAGGCAGGAGGATTACTTGAGCCCAAGAGTTCAAGACCAGCCTGGGCAACAATGTGAGAGCTTATCTCTAAAAAAAATTTAAGGATTAGCTGTACATGGTGGCGTGCGCCTGTAGTCCCAGCTACTCAGGAGGTTGAGGCAGGAGGGTAATTTGAGCCCAGTTCAAGACTGCAGTGAGCTATGATCACACCACTGCACTCCAGCCTGAGGGACAGAGTGAGAACTTGTCTCTGAAATAAATAGATAGATAGATAGATAGATAGATAAATGTACAAGATGGGATTGTTGCAAGAATCTTAATCAATTAATCAATTTTGCATTTCAGATTTATGAGTAGAGCAATTCCATCCTTTTTTTCCTTAGAGGTTTCCTATGGACCACTTGTATACCTTTAGGGACCCCCCCAGTGGTCCATGAACCACACTTTAGGAAAATTCTATAGCCATTAAGTCTGTCGTCTGAACCATGAAATGTAGTTGGGTGGGGGGAATTGTCCTGTTACCCTGGTCTCTGGCCACCTAGAGCTGGAAGAGTGCATCCTTGGCTGAGTGACATGTTAAGTGGGAGGGACCTTGATAGACACATAAGGGGCATCAAGAGAGACCCAGGACATGTAATGAGCAGAAACCTGGACAGCTCAGTCTGGAGGATATTCATGGGATGATGTAGGATCTGTCAGGACTCAGCTCATGATGGGCGGCTCTGGTCCCCTGATGTCCCTTGGTTAGGTGTTCTGTTTCTACCAGGGTCCTGTAGCATGCAATAAGCTGGTTTTGACTAGTAAATAACCCCCCAGAACTCTAGAGGTCTGCATTGTAATTCTCCTATTGTGGTGTCAGCTTTTCTTGATGTCACAAATACCCCCAATGCCATAGGGTCTGTGGGTCTTAAGGGCCAAGTGGCAGGACCATTTGCACCACACCTGGAACTGTTGAACAGCTCTTTCTTGCTCTGTGTCTCATTCAAATTTGACAGCCTTTAATGTCACCTGTAAAACATATTCCCAAAGGTAGAATATGTTTTCTCCAGAGTCTGAGGAGGCCTACCAGATGAGCTTTCTTATCTGCTGGGCAAGAATTTCTCCTTTTCTTTGGAGGGGATGTCTAGTCATGCTTCTGACTACCAAACCACTAAAGATCTCACTGATGTTAGTAAGACACTAAATCTTTGTAGGAGTTTTTTTCTTCCCATCCCCTGGAATGCATGCACTTACCAAGGCTCCTTGGCACTTTTCTGGTCCAATTAACATGATGTCATCTGAAGAGTAGACCAATGCAGCCAGGCGCCATGGCTCACGCCTGTAATCCCAGCACTTTGGGAGGCCGACTTGGGTGGATCACCTGAGGTCAGGAGTTCGAGATCAGCCTGGCCAACATGGTGAAACCCCATCTCTACTAAAAATACAAAAATTAGCTGGGTATGGTGGCACACACCTCTAATCCCAGCTACTCAGGAGGCTGAGACAGGAGAATCGCTTGAGCCTGGGAGGCGGAGTTTGCAGTGAGCTGAGATTGTGCCACTGCACTCCAGCCTGGGCAACAGAGTTAGACTCTGCCTCAAAAAACAAAACAAAACAAAAAACAAAAAAACTGTGGTGGCCCTGTCACCAGAAGTATGTAAGATCTAAGATCTAGTTTATAATTCCCTGTCTAGGGTTTTATAGCTCAAAACCAAGTACTGAACAGAGCTTGGCCTAAATTAATGGTTTTCAAACTTGGTTCCATGGTATCCTGGGGGTTTCTTATAATTCTCGGGGGGTTTCATGGAGATTCATATTCAGGGGATCATTTCTCATCACTGCTGTGACCATGGCAACTCCATTCTTGTCTGTTCACAGATTAGGACTCTGCAGAAGGTTTTGTTTGTGGAAAGGCTTTTACTGCTGAAAGCTAACAGTAGGACATTCTATGGAATACCTGACCAGTACTCCTTGAAACTTCAGTCACGAAAAACAAGGAGAGACTGAGAAACTCTCAAGAACCAGAGGAGACCAAGGAGACACAAACACCAAATGCAATGTGATATCCTGGGTGGAATGCCGGAACGGAAAAGGGACCTTAGGAGAAAAATTCATGAAATCCGAATAAAGTCTGGAGTTTAGTTCACAGCAAAGCACCAGTGTTGACATCTTCATTTTGGCAAATGTTCCATGATGATGTAGGAGGTTAACATTAAGAGAACTGGATAAGGGATATATGGGAACTTTCTGTACTTTCTTTTCAACTTTTCTATAAATCTAGAATTATTAAACCCAAATTGTAAAAGTTTATTTTTAAAAGATAGCATTCAAAAACCGTCAGACAAATGAGCTCCAAATACATCCAGAGATGAGAAGAAAGACGGTGACCTGATTCTGGAAGTTCAGATGTCCATGTTGGTGACCTGATTCAGGAAGTCTTTCAGGAGGATATCAAGCTTGGATCTTGGATAGAACTGGGATGCGAGGCACTGGTGATTGGGCAATATCCCTGCCTGTAGGATTCTTTGTGGAATGCTGGATATTCATATTCTGGTCTTTTCTTATCTCTGGTTGCCTCAGGGAAGTAAGAACCCATCTGGGAAAGAGAGGACAGGACTGAAGAGGGACTCAAGGAAGTTGAGCTTACTGGATTGGGGGTGAATGTTAAAGTTCCAGTTTGAACAGGTTTGGAGGGAGAGACGGATGGTGGGGAGGGCATCATACCTTCACCCTTGCTAAATACTTCCTCTTCTTTCCAGCAGAGCCCAAGCTGGAGACCAGGAGAATCTAGAGGAAGGAGGTGACACAGGCCTGCTCCTAGTCTGATGGGAAAACCTACGTTATACCCTCAAAGAACCCCAATCTGGTATGGGAGACACACTCCCTGACTTCAGAGAGCTCTCTGTCTGAACGAGTGGACGCAATGCCTACCTTTAAGGAGACCGTCTGTCTGATGGGAGGGACACAGCTTCTTCCTCCAATCCGAAGGGGAGATGGGACACATCACATGCACACTGCTGGTAGCTGGGCTGACCTTTAGACATTAGTATTCAGGGACAAGGATAGCCTGGGAGGAAGGCTTGAGGATGACCTGTGGTCCTTTGTGAAGAGAAGGCCAGTGTAAAGGGTGCCGGGATGGAGCTGATGCGCCCCCGGGGAGTGGGCCCTGCTCAGACCTAGATGTCCATATTGGTGACCAAGCTCTGATCTGTTGTCCCCACAGGGGTCTACCAGCTGAAAAGCAGTGAGGAGACAGGGAAGGACAGGAGACACACAGAGCCATATATGGAAGAAGATCTGAAATGGAGTGATAAAGATAGATATGAGGCTGGGCGCGGTGGCTCATGCCTGTAATCCCAGCACTTTGGGAGGCTGAAGCCGGTGGGTCACCTGAGGTCAGGAGTTCGAGACCAGCTTGACCAACATGGTGAAGGCCTGTCTCTCCTAAAAATACAAAAAATTAGTAGGGCATGGTGGCATGCGCCTGTAGTCCCAGCTACTCTGGAGGCTGAGACAGGAGAATTGCTTAAACCTGGGAGGCAGAGGTTGCAGTGAGCTGAGATCTAGCCGCTTCACTCCAACCTGGGCGACAGAGCGAGACTCCGTCTAAAAAAAAAAAAAAAGGAAAAAGAATAGATATTAGTATATGATAAAAATGCAGGCAGAAGCGAAGAGAGATTCCTGCTCCCAGACCTCCCCTCACCCCCTACCCTATCCCCCACCCCTGCCCTGGCCCCAGCTGGCACCCCATTTGCATCTCCCTGTGTCCATGCTCCCCAGTCAGGCGTTACCTCAGTATTTTCTTTCACTAGGGGTCAAAGGCAAAACAGAGCCAATATCCACATGTGCCAGCTTGTGGGGGAGGAGGAACTCTGGAAAAGAAGGAGAGTGAGAGCAGGTACAGCCCCCATCTACCATGTGGTACACACCAGGCTGGGTCAGGAGGAGGGGGCAGGGAAGAGCCGTCCCGGGGGCCTGTGCAGAGTTGGGCACAACACAGCAGTCAGTAATAGTTGATGACTGACTGAATGAGTAGCATGCAATCAATATTAGAGAATGGGCCATAGCACAGTGGTTAAAGCCTGCGTTCAAATCTCAGCTCTGCAACTTCCTAGCTGTGTGACCTTGGGCAAATTACTTAACCTCTCTGAGCCTCAGTTTCCTCATTTGTAAAATGAGGATAAGAATATTGAAAGGAACCTACATCCTAGGATTGTTGCGGCCTTGCATCTAGCTCATGCCTACACGGAACTTACAACAGGGCCTGGCACACAGGAAACACCAAAAAGCCCTTAGCCTGTGTCGTGCAGGTACTACATGAGTGTGATTTTCCTGTCTGTGACATGCATGTGTGCTCACTGGGGATATGGTGTGTGCAGGGGGTGCTTCTGGGCTGGTGACAGTGAGGGTGGCAGGTGGTATTGGAGAGTGGGAGGAGCACTAGCTTTGTGGCCAGGCCAGGCAGACATGGGATCTATTCACAGCTTTACCACTTCCCAGCCAGGGGGGAAGCCCCAGCAAGGGGCTTCCCCTCACAACAGAATGAGCATAAGCCCTTCCTGGGGCATTGTCAATGAGGAGGTGCAAAGTGCTTCTTCAAACACTACCGAGAGCTGTAATTTTTTTTTTTTTTTAGATGGAGTTTTGCTGTTGTTGCCCAGATTGGAGTGCAGTGGTACGATCTCAGCTCACTGCAACCTCTGCCTCCTGGTTTCAAGCGATTCTTCTGCCGCAGCCTCCTGGGTAGCTGGGATTACAGGTATCCGCCATCACGCCCAGCTAATTTTTTTGTATTTTTAGTAGAGACGGGGTTTCATCATGTTGGTCAGGCTGGTCTTGAACTCCTGACCTCAGGTGATCCACCCACCTCGACCTCCCAAAGTGCAGGGATTACAGGCGTGAGCCACCGCGCCCGGCCAAGAGCTGTAATTCTTTCCAACATTCTGCGTGGTCTGTTGTATGTGGCTGTGTGTGTCTAGAAGCCATGTAGATTTGGAAATAGGGGACGTGTGGATCAATGAGAGAAGCCTGATCTGGCTGTCAGGACACCTGGGTTCTTTCTGAGCTTGAGAAAGGGGATCTTGCACAACGCCTCGGCCCTTCTGACTCTACAGCTATAAAATAGAGATATTAAGGCTGACGTCCCAGAGCTGTTGTGAGGATTAAAGGAGATGTCGTGTGTGTGGTGGTCAGCTCACAATAGTTCTCCAGCAAAAGGGAGGGAGGCAGCTCTGTTCTGATCTTTCCAACTACTGGTGGTGCCTGTGGTCTGTTTCCAGCCACGTCATCCCGTGATCCTTTCCATGCATGCACACAGATGGAAGCCTGTTTATGCAAATAGCCACTTCTTTAGATGAAGGGGGAGGGCATCCCTTGGACCATCCCGGGTCCCTTGGACCAGCTGGGAGTAACAGATAAGCCAGGCTGCCTGGGTTTGAATTCCAGCTCAGCCACTTGCTAGCTTTGTGACTTCAGGCAACTGACTTGACTTCTCTGTGCCTCTCTTTCCTCCTTTGAAATTGGAGACAATTGGAGCACCCATCTCAGAGGGCTTTTGGAGGAGTACAAAGGTGTAAAGTACTTACGGCAGAGCCTGGCACAATCATTTGTTGTTATTCTGAAGTTGGGCCAGGTCCGGAGGGTGTGCTCCGCTGCCCAGTTCCCATGCCTTTCCTGGCCAGCAGATATCTCATCCCCTGGAACAGTCCCTCCTGAGCTCTGACCAGTCTCCCTCAGGCGGAAGTTCCTAGAAGGGTGCAACCTGGGGCAACAGCCAGGACAAGCTGCTAAAATGATCGCACTTCAGAGGAGGCCTCCGGATGTCAGTGGGACAGACTTTGTTGGAAAGCGAATGTTCATAATGTTCAGGAAAGACAAGTGAAGGGCACCCTTTTGCAGGTCCCCAGCTGGGTAGGAAAGAACCAGCCTTTCTCAGCTCTATTCTCTCTCCTCACTCAGACTCCCTCCCACCCAAAACTCAGAAAGAGCCTTAGGGCAGAGTCAGAGTGGTCTTTGGCAAGGTCAGAGGTCTGATACTCTGAAGTTCAAATCTCACTGCCCTGCCAGTGACCTCAAGAGGAGGAGAACCAGGAGTAGAGAAATGTAAAGAGGGTGGCTAAAGGGGGTGGGGTGGGGGCTGGGGGAGGTATGATTGGAATGAGAGAAGAAATGGTGGGCTGTCAGAAAGAGGGAAACAGAAATTGTGGGGATCTGCTGTACCCAAAATAGGCAGAGGGCCACATGTGCGTGTAGATGTGTGTGTAAGTGTGCATCGGTGAATGTGTGAATGAATGAACGTGCCTGAGAGCACAGGTGGGTTTGAGTGGGTGTGAGTGCCTGAGTCTATCTGACTGTGCAGAGACAGGATCATAGACTCACCCATGGGTAGAGACTTTTTCTGTTCATCCCCCTTATTTTCCAGTTGAGGAAACTGAGGCTCATTGGTGGGGAGTGAAATGCCCAGACATGCTGGGAGGGGGTGGAGAGGAGCTTTTCCTAGCTTGGTCTTCCCTTCAGTGTCCCCTCCCCCGACCCCCCAGCTATTTCTTGAGATCAGAGGGAGGGGGCAGGCCAGGGCTGCTGGGGAGAGGAGGGAGAGAAGGAGGGGGGTGGCAGGCAGCCTTGCAGGGCACAGGGGCTCTGCGGGAAGGGTCCAGACACGTGGCCTCCCCCTTTTCTGCGGACGTGGACTCCCCACCCAGCAGAGACGTGTCATCCCTGGAGCGGGCAGCAGAGCCTCTCCAGCTTTTCTGCCAGATCCAGCCTCGAATGCGGGGAGGGCCCTTCAGAAGGACACTTGGGCAGATTCCCAGTCTGACAAAGCTGAGCCCTAAAAGGGAGTGGGTGAACCTGGGCCCACCCAAGTTCAGGCCCTCCCCTCCCCGCCTCTCCTCAGTGTCCCCACCTGGGAAATGGGAGAAAGTCAGGGAATTCTATCTGCCTTGGGAAGGTAGAATCTGGGTGAGGGGCGTGCAAGTCTTCGAAGCCTCCTTCCGATGGCAATCGGGGAGCAAGACCTCATCCCAGGCCTGCCTGTGGCTTCCTCCCCCACTTCAGAGCCCCCTGCCTGGGAGGGGCACCCTCTCCCTGAGTGTGGGGGAGGAGGAGAAAGAGGGTCCACGTCAGGAGAGGGAAGCCGCAGTCAGAACAGACATTCCCGATGACTCACAGCCCCGGAACGCCTTGAGAGCCGCAGGGGACAGCCCCCTGTTCAACTGGGGCAGCTGGAGACCCAGGACCCTGGGGGGCAGGGAAGCAAAGCGAGGGGGAGGCAGGGGTCAGAGGCAGAGCCTGGAGACAGGATTGAAGCGAAGGTCCCTGAGAGCAGCTGAGAGACGGAAGACAGCGTACCGCCCACCTCGTCCTAGCCACATACTGTGGTCCTCACACAGCAGAAGGAGGAAGACTAGATCTTACAAAGGACCCCCTCCTAGACCACCATGGAACTCTGCTTCTTGTGAATGCTTGAAAAGAGGAGGAATGTCCTGCCCCTGTCCCTTTCTGGGTCTGATCCTAGCACCCTCCTGCCCTGAGGAGGCAGGGGGATGGCTACAATGACCTCAGAGCCCCCACGTGATTCTCGCCCACTCCAACCCACTTCATTGTCATGCTTCTCCCATGACCTCTGTCCCCTCCACCTTCTGGGCCTCAGGTTTGAGGAGGTTTGAGGAGGGCAAACTGAGGCCCAGCCTGGTCTTGGGGGGCGCTGGAGGAACACAGCTGCTCTCCCCAGGCCAGTCTGACCCAGCAGAGCTCTGGGCTCAGGGCCTCTGTGTTCTGCTCTTCCTCCCTCCAGCGAAGATGCAGCTAAGCCTCCAGTCTACGTGGCAGGCAAGGGGGGAGCTTGCAAGAGAGGGGAGCTGGGAATGAGGTCAGCGGGTTGGATGGGCCAGGCCATGGCTGCGAAGGCATCTGGGCTGCAGCAGTCTGGAAGGTAGGGGCCTCCGGGTCAGGCCACTCCCAGCCCAAACCCGCCATCCACCCGCCCACCATGGCCTCCTTCCCGTCTCCTGCTCCTCCCCTCCCTGCAGCCCACATTCCGCCCGCCCAGGCCAGATGGTTCCCATCAAGGCTTTTCCATGTGGCAGTTCCTCCCTGCCCACCAGGCTCCCTTCCCCCTCTGGCCACATGGCTCAGCTGAGAGTTGGGGAGCAGCTCTCCTGGGCTGTCCTCCCAGGACCAACTGGGATTATGTGGGATCCCCGTGTCATGCTGTCGCCGCCATCCTCAGTGACCTCCCTGGCCCTGCGAGCTCCCCAGCCCTAACCGCCTGGGCTCTTGAAGTGTCATAGGGTTCTTACCTCTGATCCCTCAATCCTAGCTGTGTGACCTCTGGCAGCTACTTTCCTTCTCTGGGCCTCAGTTTTCTAATCTGTAAAAGGAGGGAAGAAAGGAATAAACTCGAAATTTCCTTCTAGCAGAATGTCTCTTATTCTGTGATATTTCCACCTAGAGACTCTAAAGCTCCGAGATCCAGCAGAGGTCAAACCGCAACTCTGGAGGTGTTATCTGGTCTACCTCTTTACCTGCTCCCGGCCCCATTTGTTTGTTCATCTCCATATCCATGAATTCCTCCCAACCCACCTATACTTTCCTCGAATCGTCCCCTCCCTTTAAGGGCCCTGGCCTTCTAACTTGAGTCCTTCTGCTGTCACCAAGGTATAAGTCCTCTGGGTGAGTTCTCGGCAAAAGGATCACAACCATTCTCCTCTCAAAGGCAGTCACCAACTCTCTATGGCCACCACTGAGTATAACTCCTTCCCCCAGAATCCCAGGCCTCCAGAAGTTGGCCCCAGCCTACTTTTCCAGCCTTATCTTCCTCTGCCTATGGCCTTATCTCTCTTTCTGTCTGTCTGTCTCTCACTCAATCTATGTCAAGCTTCCCAGGCTGGGCGGTGCCTTTCCTCCCACTTAAACACTGCATTTGAACCCTGTCACCCACCCTCCCAAGCCTGGCTGGAAAGCTGCCTCCTCCGTGCAGCCTTCCTTATCTCTCATTGGCACTCCCATCATCCTTTGTGTCCAGAGGCTTCCATTTACTGAGCAAGACATAGACCAGCAAGATGGTCTCACTACTACCCCAGTTCACAGACTGGGGAAATGAAGTTCCGAGATGGAGCATTTACTCAAAATCACACAGCCAGTGCTGCCTCAAGGGAGGGGCATTTTTGTGTGTGTTTTATTCCTCTTCCTGGCTCCCCACTCTCCCAGAATAGGAGCTATTGTCCCCAGAGCTCTCCCCAGCACACGGCTGGCCCCAGAAGGCCTGAAGTAACCACTCAGTGAAAAGGATCAACTACAGGGCCGGCAACAGGCACCAAACTCAGCATATTGTCCCCCAAGCAGGGTCCTTGCCCAGCCAGAAGCCCGGGATCATCCCTGTTCCTCACCAACCCCACCCCACATCCAATCCAACCCCAGCACCTGTAAATTTTGCTTCCCAAAGGGCTCTCAAGCCCATCCTCTTCTCTCTGTCTCCATTCCCACCTACCGGATCCAAGCCCCTCACCTGGGCAAGTATAGCAGCCTCTCAGCTGCTCCTCCACCTTTGACCACAGCCCTCCTCCCGCAGGTACCTACTCCATGGAGTGCCCATGGCTTTCTTTTACAAATGCAGACCTGATTGTGACCCTCCCCTGCGTCAGGCCCTCTGCTGGGGCCCATAGCTGAAAGGAGGCAAACTACACCTGTGATGGGGCTTCTCTGGCCCGCCCAGCCTTTGCCTGTGGTGCTCCAGCCACACTGGCCTTCCCTGAATTCCTTGGGCATCCAGCACTCGCCATGCCCCCTCCTGCCTTTGCATATGTGGTCCCATCACTATCCACCCTGCCTCCTATCCTTTTCCCATCAGCCTACCCAGGGAAGCCTTCCTAGGGCTCCAGGACTAGAGCAGACCCTCTGCCATGTCTGCCCATTCAAAGCTCTGCATTCTTCTTCTTAGTAACCTTAATGGTTGCACCTCCACGTTTATTCATGTGATTTCATTGCTGTCTGTGTCTTTACCAGACACAAACTCCATCAGGCAGACACAGGGTCTGTGCTGCTCACCATTGAATGCCCAGTACCCAGCAAAGTGCCTGGCACGTGACTATTGTTGCATGAATTTATCAGCAAATGAATGTAGCTCCTTAGCAAAATGGGGTGGGGGTGGCTTTTGGGAAGAAGGCAAGGTCATGTTATCCATACAGGATCCTTTCTGTGTCCGAGCCAGACTGTCCAAAGGGGCCCCTGCCAGGACCCCTGCCCAACACCCCGCCCTGAAACTCCAGAATCTCAAGTTTGCCAGGAGGAAGAACTCGTGGCTGGGGCAGAAGCAGAAGACAGAAGACATCGGTGGCCAAAACTTCCCTGGGGTGGGGGTTGTGGGGGGTGGGTATCAAGGAAGGAGATCAAGATCTGGAAGGTACCTCTGCCCAACAGAGGCTTCTCCTCAGCACCCCCCTTCTTTTATTTAAATTCAGGATTCAAAGGAACCCTGGCATTTATCTCCCAAACACAACACGGCAACCAGACATCTGGCTGTGATGCGAGCCCTGCACCACCCGCCCCCCGGCCACGCCCCCTATGGCTGCTGCCCTTTCTCCCCTGGAGCAGCTCACGAAGGCTGCACGCCCGCCTACAGCATGAGGAGACCCGGCAGAGCGCCATACCCCAGGATGGGCACCAGAGAACCGGGGACTGGGGAAGAGGAGATACCGGAAGAGAATAAGAGAGGAAAAGAGGGAGGGGGAAAAAAGTATGTGGGTGGAGAGGTGGGACAACGGGTCAGAGACCGAGGAAAGAAAAGGAAAGGAAAAAAAAAACTAAGAAAAGGAAGAAAAACGCATGAAGAGAAAAATTTGAAGGGAGAGAGGTTGGGGGTGGGGGAGAGAAAAGGTAAATGAATAGAAGAAAGAAAGGAAGAAAGGAATGGAGAAAAGCAAATGGGATAAAATAGGCACGGAATTGAACCAACCCAGAAAGGTGTAAATATTCAATCAATTCATGGGGCCAACTTTCTCTTTTTTTTTTCTTTTCTCTTTCTTTCTTTCTTTCTTTTTTTTTTTTTGAGAGAGAGAGTTTCGCTTTTTTGCCCAGGCTGGAGTGCAATGGTGTGATCTCGGTTCACTGCAACCCCCGCCTCCTGGGTTCAAGTGATTCTCCTGCCTCAGCCTCCCAAGTAGCTGGTACTACAGGCCCATGCCGCCATGCCGGGCTAATTTTTGTATTTTTAGTAGAGATGGAGTTTCACCATGTTGGCTAGGCTGGGGTCTCAAACTCTCGACCTCAGGTGATCCGACTGCCTCAGCCTCCCAAAATGTTGGGATTACAGGTGTGAGCCACCGCGCCCTGCCAAGCCAACTTTTAAGAAGAACTACACTGCCTCCAGACATCAGGAGCAGGGAGGGATATGACAGAAAAGCTGCCAGCTACCCAGCTGGGAGCTCACTCCAGCAGGAAAGATGGGGCTGACCCCTCACTTCTGACTACCAGAGAGCAGCAGTGAGAACTGGGGTCCCCTAACTCAACAACATCCCCCATCCAGTGCATTATTCTCAGCTGGGGCCTGGCTGGGACCTGGTGGGGTGGCTGGAGAGGGCTTGGGAGCTGGGGCCATGACAGACCTCGTGTCACCTGGGGCCATACCCCCAGCCCTTCTCTCTCCAGCTCCCAAGTTCTCCTCCTAGGACTGGGGTGGGGGTGGTGGAGGCAGCGGTCAGAGAATGGGGTGGGATCCGTCCAGGACTAGAAAACAAAGTTCATCTTCAAGAGCCTGGAATGAGGGCTTGTTCTAGGGGAGAATGAGGGGGAGGCTGGGCCTGGCTATGGACATTTGAGGGCTCGGGTCACCTGGAAAGAAAAGGAAAGGGGGAAGGAGAGCAAAAGAGGCAAATGAGATCCAGAAAAGGAGCTCTGGAGACAGAGGGGGATGGAGAAAGCAGCGAAGAAACTTGGAAGACAGAGGAGGGATGCAGGGGCCTGAAAGGAACGCAGGATCCGGGCTGGGAAGAAAGAGAAAGAGCAGGGGACAGATGCCTCTCTAGACTCCTGCCACAGCCAGACTCCTCCTCCCAGTCGCTGCCCTCTGACCTTGCTTCCTGGCCTCCCACACACTCCTTAGCCCACTCCAGTCCGGCTTCCTTGTCCATCTCTCCACCACAGCAGCTCACGCTGCGGGGATCAGTCACCACCATTCTGCTAAGTCCAGGGAACATTTTACTCCTTACCATACTAGTTCTCTCTGCAGCATATAACTCTCCTTCCTTCTAGTACCATCTCTTTCCTCTGCACTCATGACCCCCCAATCCCTCTCACCCAGCCCTCCTTCTCTGGCCACTCTTGCCCTATCTCCTCCTCCTCCACCCAGCCCTTACACCCTGAGGGTCCCCGAGGCTCAGTGCCAGCCCCTCCACACTCCCTCCCTCCATGCTTTCTCTGAGACAACACCATCCACAACCCCAGCTTCAGTTACCATCATCCTGGGACCCACATTTGTCTCTCCTCTGAACTCCTGACCCAAGTGCCCAAGGGTTTCCTCCGTATTTCTAATTGGATGTCTCACAGGCTTCAAACACTCAGCATGGACAAAACCTACTTCATCATCTTCCCCCTAACCCTGGAAAGGAAGGAAGGAGGGAGGAAGGGAGAGAGGGAAATCCTAGGAGGCTGGAGGACTTGGGTTTGGGGCTAAGGCATAGAAGAGCAGAGCTGTACCTGGAAGCTGAGGAACCTAGCAAAGGGCTCCGACTGTGCAATGCTAAAGCGAGGGAAGAAGAAGGGCCTGCACACACCCGGGGTCTATCCCCAGACTCTGCTCCAGGCTCCCTCAACAGGAACTGTGCAGGGCTCCATGATAGAGACTCATGGAGAGCTTCATCCTGGGGTCTTCACTGCACCCCCACTCTTAGACCCCGCCCTTCTGTCTCCTCAGACCCTCTCCTAGGAACCCCCTCTTTATCATCAGTCTAGGGCTAGAGGTGGGAGCAGAGAAGCGTTCTGGAGAATTGGAGTTGGGGGAAGAGCAACAGAACCTCAACTGGGGGCTGCAGCAGCTGGAAAGGGTGACCCCGATGTGCAGGGCAGGGGTGCATGCCCCCCACCAGGTGCACAACACCTGGGCTACCTCTTCCAGGTGTGTTCTCCTCCTTTGTCCCATACCATGGAGTCCAGATGGGGCACCTGAGGAGCTCTGAGGGTGGGGGCCTTTTCCCTCCTTCTTTGGTGTTGGAGGGGGGCACTTGGGGAAATTTGGAGAAGGAGAGAACTCAAGCTCAGCACTTTCCTCTTTCTGTTTTTCTTCTTAAGGAATTTTTTTTCCCTAACTGCTGATGACTTTACCATTTCTTGGGGGTGTGGGGAGGAGATTTTGGCTTTTGCTCCCCCCCACTTTAAGTGCCGGACAAAGTCTTACATTCCACAAGAAGCCAGAGCTTCAGAGTTTCCTAAAGATGAGGTGGCGTCTCCTCCTCTCACAGGCACAAGCTCCCTCCTCCTCCCACCCCCCATCCCCCCAGTCTGCAGCCCTCAATCCTGGCCAGGAAGGCCCAGCCAGGCTGGGAGGAGACCCCAAGCACATTCTTCCTCTCACTGTCATACTGCAGAAATTAAAGACACATCTTCAGCCTGGGCACCCGCCAAGCGTTTTAAGTCGAAGAGTGGCAGGGGAGGCCTTGAGCCTCAGCTCCATGCCACGTGTAAAGGATGCTTGGAAACTGTCTGCCTCGGCCCCTGGGAGGAAGGCCTGGAACTGGACATTGGGGTGGTGGCTGTCACACGCCAGGCACACAAAACTCCAAAGCCAGGGATCCCCAAATATCCTTCAGAACCCCAGGCCCATGATGTAGCAACCCCCAATTCACACCTTGGAGGTTTCAACTCTTCTTTAAGATGGGCGTGGGAAAGCCTGGATGGGAAACATATGGGGAGGGGCGGGGAGCTGCAGGCAGGAGCCCTTCTTACTACGAAAACCCAAGAAGCAAGGAAGTGGACAGGTCACTAACCCTCATACTACCAAGCCCTGCGGCACCCTGCCCTAGACCACCACTCTAAATGTCTGTTCCCTCCAAAAACAGGACCCCTGTCGCCTATTAGGGAGGGGTTCTCTTGGAACTGACCCACAGTAGGGGGCAGGACTTTGGTGGGTTCAAGAACTGCCATCTCAGCACCTCAGCCCCCTAGTCCTGCCCTGCAGTCGCTGGCACTAGGCGGGGGCAGACCCTGGGCCACAAGTTGCTGCCACATGGTCGGGATAATTGATGAAGGTCCATCCCTCCATTGCTGTCTCCAGCCCTGCCTCTCTGGAAACTCTATATTTTCCCTTTAATTATAGCCCCTGCAGTCTCCCTCTGCTGCCCCACCCGCACCGCTCATCCTGGCTGCCCACGGCCAGCCGGCCAGCCGACGTGGCTCCCTCCCCTTCTGTTCCTTTTTTTTCCCCTTTGCCTTCGTTGCACAAAACCAGCTGGGGGAGGGCGTGGAGAGGGGCGGGGGGAGGCAATGGAATCTTGGATGGTTTGGGGGAGGCGGGACTCCCCGCTTCCACGTTTGCAGCTCTGGAGCACCCGGGGTGGGGAGCTGCACAGGAGGGAGAGAAATGAACAGGGCACTGCAAGGAGACCCCCAGGCCTTCTCTCAGCCCTACAGAGTTTCTCAGGACGAGGTAGATTGGGGTTGAGGCAGAGCCTTGTTGGGGGAATGGGACATGGAGGAAGAAAGGACGTGGAGTTCTAGAGCCATCTTCCTTAGATATAGCCTGCTGTCCTTCGGGTCCCCAGACCCTTTCAGAGTGTACAGATGATTCTCTCTGGTTCCTAAGGCATAGAGCAATGACCGGGATTTTCAAGAAAGAGATGAGGCAGTGGGAAGTAGCCCCTAAAACAAAGTCAATCATCCTCTGCAGCCCATCCCACACCCCCAAAGGAAAGTTTCACCCAGACACCCAAAATATCCCATACATCCCCAACACTGAGTCCAGGTACAACTGGAGAAGGGGCTTTATGCAGCTCCCAGAAAGACACCCCTTTAGCTAAGTGCCCTCCCTCCACCCAGGTTCTCTCTGGTTTGACTGTGCTGGGAAGGAGGGTCTCTAAGCAGCCCCTGGCCACAGCCATGGCAAACAAAACTCTTCTCTAAGTCACCAATGATCACAGGCCTCCCACTAAAAATACTTCCCAACTCTGGGGTGGAAGAGTTTGGGGGATGAATTTTTAGGGGATTGCAAGCCCCAATCCCCACCTCTGTGTCCCTAGAATCCCCCACCCCTACCTTGGCTGCTCCATCACCCAACCACCAAAGCTTTCTTCTGCAGAGGCCACCTAGTCATGTTTCTCACCCTGCACCTCAGCCTCCCCACTCCATCTCTCAATCATGCCTAGGGTTTGGAGGAAGGCATTTGATTCTGTTCTGGAGCACAGCAGAAGAATTGACATCCTCAAAATTAAAACTCCCTTGCCTGCACCCCTCCCTCAGATATCTGATTCTTAATGTCTAGAAAGGAATCTGTAAATTGTTCCCCAAATATTCCTAAGCTCCATCCCCTAGCCACACCAGAAGACACCCCCAAACAGGCACATCTTTTTAATTCCCAGCTTCCTCTGTTTTGGAGAGGTCCTCAGCATGCCTCTTTATGCCCCTCCCTTAGCTCTTGCCAGGATATCAGAGGGTGACTGGGGCACAGCCAGGAGGACCCCCTCCCCAACACCCCCAACCCTTCCACCTTTGGAAGTCTCCCCACCCAGCTCCCCAGTTCCCCAGTTCCACTTCTTCTAGATTGGAGGTCCCAGGAAGAGAGCAGAGGGGCACCCCTACCCACTGGTTAGCCCACGCCATTCTGAGGACCCAGCTGCACCCCTACCACAGCACCTCTGGCCCAGGCTGGGCTGGGGGGCTGGGGAGGCAGAGCTGCGAAGAGGGGAGATGTGGGGTGGACTCCCTTCCCTCCTCCTCCCCCTCTCCATTCCAACTCCCAAATTGGGGGCCGGGCCAGGCAGCTCTGATTGGCTGGGGCACGGGCGGCCGGCTCCCCCTCTCCGAGGGGCAGGGTTCCTCCCTGCTCTCCATCAGGACAGTATAAAAGGGGCCCGGGCCAGTCGTCGGAGCAGACGGGAGTTTCTCCTCGGGGTCGGAGCAGGAGGCACGCGGAGTGTGAGGCCACGCATGAGCGGACGCTAACCCCCTCCCCAGCCACAAAGAGTCTACATGTCTAGGGTCTAGACATGTTCAGCTTTGTGGACCTCCGGCTCCTGCTCCTCTTAGCGGCCACCGCCCTCCTGACGCACGGCCAAGAGGAAGGCCAAGTCGAGGGCCAAGACGAAGACAGTAAGTCCCAAACTTTTGGGAGTGCAAGGATACTCTATATCGCGCCTTGCGCTTGGTCCCGGGGGCCGCGGCTTAAAACGAGACGTGGATGATCCGGAGACTCGGGAATGGAAGGGAGATGATGAGGGCTCTTCCTCGGCGCCCTGAGACAGGAGGGAGCTCACCCTGGGGCGAGGTTGGGGTTGAACGCGCCCCGGGAGCGGGAGGTGAGGGTGGAGCGCGGCGTGAGTTGGTGCAAGAGAGAATCCCGAGCGCGCAACCGGGGAAGTGGGGATCTGGGTGCAGAGTGAGGAAAGCACGTCGAAGATGGGATGGGGGCGCCGAGCGGGGCATTTGAAGCCCAAGATGTAGAAGCAATCAGGAAGGCCGTGGGATGATTCATAAGGAAAGATTGCCCTCTCTGCGGGCTAGAGTGTTGCTGGGGCCGTGGGGGTGCTGGGCAGCCGCGGAGGGGGTGCGGAGCGTGGGCGGGTGGAGGATGAGAAACTTTGGCGCGGACTCGGCGGGGCGGGGTCCTTGCGCCCCCTGCTGACCGATGCTGAGCACTGCGTCTCCCGGTCCAACGCTTACTGGGGCAGGAGCCGGAGCGGGAAGACCCGGGTTATTGCTGGGTGCGGACCCCCACCTCTAGATCTGGAAAGTAAAGCCAGGGATGGGGCAGCCCAAGCCTCTTAAAGAGGTAGTCGGGCCGGTGAGGTCGGCCCCGCCCCGGCCCCATTGCTTAGCGTTGCCCGACACCTAGTGGCCGTCTGGGGAGCCGCTAGCGCGGTGGGAGTGGTTAGCTAACTTCTGGACTATTTGCGGACTTTTTGGTTCTTTGGCTAAAAGTGACCTGGAGGCATTGGCTGGCTTTGGGGGACTGGGGATGGCCCCGAGAGCGGGCTTTTAAGATGTCTAGGTGCTGGAGGTTAGGGTGTCTCCTAATTTTGAGGTACATTTCAAGTCTTGGGGGGGCCTCCCTTCCAATCAGCCGCTCCCATTCTCCTAGCCCCGCCCCCGCCACCCCACCTGCCCAGGGAATGGGGGCGGGATGAGGGCTGGACCTCCCTTCTCTCCTCCCTCGCCCTCCTCCTGTCTCTACCACGCAAGCCACTCCCCACGAGCCTGCCCTCCCGATGGGGCCCCTCCTATTCTCCCCCCGCCCTCCCCCTCTCACCCTGTGGTTTTTATTTCACTTGGCTTCAGCGCCAATGGGCTGAGGTTGGAGTTGGAAGCCACCGCGGACTAAAGCTTTGTTTAAATTCCTGAGAACTGGAAAGAGTTACAGCCTCCCTGGCCAGGCGCCTCGGCGCTGTCACCCGCGCTGATGAGGAGCAGGCGAGCTTTTAAGGATTTGAGGAAAGAAGAACGGGGGGAGGGGCGGGAAGTGAAAAATCCAAGTGTGCCTCTTAGACCCGGGGGAAAGGTGGTTAAGCTGGGGGTTGCAGTCACTACTGACAACGCCCCTCTTCCGCCTGTCCCAGTCCCACCAATCACCTGCGTACAGAACGGCCTCAGGTACCATGACCGAGACGTGTGGAAACCCGAGCCCTGCCGGATCTGCGTCTGCGACAACGGCAAGGTGTTGTGCGATGACGTGATCTGTGACGAGACCAAGAACTGCCCCGGCGCCGAAGTCCCCGAGGGCGAGTGCTGTCCCGTCTGCCCCGACGGCTCAGGTGCGGCTGCGCTCGGGGCCTGGGGCCTGGGGCCTGGGGCCTGGGGCCTGGGGCTGGGGCTGGGGGTGGTCGGCGCTCGCTGGCCCTCCGTGCTGGAGGCCTCTGCCGACGGGAGCAGCATTAGCAAACCTTGGCTCTAACGCGCGTCTCTTCGTCCCCTAGAGTCACCCACCGACCAAGAAACCACCGGCGTCGAGGTAATCTCCTGCCCTCGAATTTTGCCCCTGCGCGGCCCGTGACTCCTCACAGTCCTCCCTTCTCTAACCTGGCCTCTTGTTTCTTCTCCCCCAATCCCACAGGGACCCAAGGGAGACACTGGCCCCCGAGGCCCAAGGGTAAGCGTTGCACTCTGGGCTGTGGGGGGCTGCAGGTGGGCATGGCTCTCGGCCCCACGCTCACCCCGGCCCCGCCCTCTCCCCCTGCAGGGACCCGCAGGCCCCCCTGGCCGAGATGGCATCCCTGGACAGCCTGGACTTCCCGGACCCCCCGGACCCCCCGGACCTCCCGGACCCCCTGGCCTCGGAGGAGTAAGTGGAGAGGCCTTGTGTGTCCACTCTCCCCTGTTTTGTTTTTGTTTTTTGGCAGATGACATAATTTTATACTTTGAAATAATTTCAAACTTACAGAAAAGTTGCAAGAATCCTACAGGAAACTCTCACATACCCTTCACAGTTTGTGACATGTGCTTTATTAGTCTCTGTTTATGTATATGTATCTTTTTTTTTCTGAACTGTTTGAGCAAGTTGCTAACATCAGGCTCTTTTGCGCCTAAATACTTAGGTGTGTTTTTCCTAAAAACAAGAGCATTCTCTTAACTGACCTACACAATGATTAAATTCACTCTCTAATGTGCAGTCCGTATTCAAAGTTCACCGATGTCCCGATAATGTCCTTTATAGATTCCACCCCCCACCACCCCAATCTGGGATCCAGTCCAGGATTATGTATTGCGTTTAATCATCATGTCTCTAGTTTCCACAAATGTAGAACGTTCCTCAGACTTTCTTTGTCTTTAGTGGCACTGGGAGTTTTGATGAGTCCAGTTGTTTTGCAGACTGTCCCTCAATTTGGGATTGTCTCATTAGATTAGATGCAGGGATGCATCTTTGCAGGAATGTCTTAAAAGCAATGTTATTCTTCTCAGCACATCACACCAGGAAGTGCATGATGTCAGTTTCTTCCATCCTCAGTGCCGTCTTCTGCCTTTCAATTCACTGTCCTCACTCTGACTTCTCTTGTTTGTTCTAGAACTTTGCTCCCCAGCTGTCTTATGGCTATGATGAGAAATCAACCGGAGGAATTTCCGTGCCTGGCCCCATGGTGAGCCAGCAGGGGGAGCATGGATGACAGAAGAGAGAATGGGTATCCAGAGGAGGTGGGCATAGGCGGCTGGTATAGACAGCTTGGGAGGTCCAGATCACCTTTGGGACCTCAGAGTCCAGAAAGGATGCAGGACGACTGGGTGGTCCCAACAGGCATGAATGACTACATCCACATGCTTTCCTACAGAGGGATCACCATGACCCCCCTTTCTTCTCCCTCTATAGGGTCCCTCTGGTCCTCGTGGTCTCCCTGGCCCCCCTGGTGCACCTGTGAGTATCCAGGACGTCTTCATATGCCTCCTTGGGCTTTGGTCTTTTGGAGGGAAGACTGGGATGAGGGCAGGAGAGATGCTCAGAGATCTCTTGGTAAGATTGGAGAAGGTTGACAGGGACTTGTCTTCTAACCCATCTTTTTCCTTCTTCTCAAGGGTCCCCAAGGCTTCCAAGGTCCCCCTGGTGAGCCTGGCGAGCCTGGAGCTTCAGTAAGCACTCTCTATACAGATTCATACTCCTTCTACAAACACACAGACTCTCCTATAGAAGAACTCCCAGGCCTGGGGTCTTCCTTACCTCTTCCCTTCAATCCCAGCCTTCCCCTTCTTTTTTTCTTATCCATATTCTAACCACCTCTTCTATCTTTTCTAGGGTCCCATGGGTCCCCGAGGTCCCCCAGGTCCCCCTGGAAAGAATGGAGATGATGTAAGTATCCCCAGCAAGAAGATACCATCTGACCCCATGGCCTCCATGGGTTGGGTCCTGCAATTTCCACTCCACCACATTTGGGAACGATACTCAGAGGAAGGAGGGCAAGTCCTCTCTGATGCACGGACTGCCCTGGAACAATGATCTTTTCGCTTAGTGAGATGATTCCATGTCCCCAACAAAGTGACTGTTCTCCTCACCCCAGCCACCTTAGAGCAATCCCCAACCCCATCCCTTTGGGGAAATTGGTGCGCAGATGGTGAAATTAAAATGCTGGTGACAGAAGTAGACAGAAATTCCTTTAGAGGCACTCAGATTTCACCAAACGAAGGTTTCACTGTAGATTTAAACTGAGCTCTAGATTCAAAGATAAGATTCTGGGCCCCCAAACCTGACCTGCAACAATCCAAAGAAGACTGAGACCTTCTCCACTTTTCCAGCCCCTAGGCGGTGGTGGGGAGGCAGAGGCATGATGGTCTTTTCTCTCCCTCTCAGGGGGAAGCTGGAAAACCTGGTCGTCCTGGTGAGCGTGGGCCTCCTGGGCCTCAGGTGAGCAGGGGGCTGTGGCTGAACCTGGGCTTCACTGCACTTGGGCTTCATTTAGGAGCTGGGTCCACAGTGATGTGTTCTAATGGCCCTTCCTTGTCTTCTTCATCTCTCTCCAGGGTGCTCGAGGATTGCCCGGAACAGCTGGCCTCCCTGGAATGAAGGGACACAGAGTGAGTCACCTTTGAGTCATTTAAGCTCCCCAAGTCCCTAGCATACCCCCATCCAGTCCCAACCTCTTCCCCAAAAGATACTGAGTTGCATCATGGTGGGTGGCAGCTACAGAAGTCCCAAGGGACAGAGAGTGGACATCCAAAAGCACCTCCCTCCATGGGAAAGCAGTCCCGATTAAACGATTGGGTGAGATCTAGAGCCAGTTGGGGTTTAGTCTAGCTCAGAAACAAAGGGATGGCGGTGATGACCTCCCAAGGCTCTTTCTCAGATCTAGGTGGATGTCAAGGCTGTTCCACCCCCTCCACAGGTTCTTACCTTCTACCTCTTTCCTGCTTTAGGGTTTCAGTGGTTTGGATGGTGCCAAGGGAGATGCTGGTCCTGCTGGTCCTAAGGTAAGAGGCTGTCTGAACATCATGGTCCTCCACATCCCCAGAGTCCCACCATGAATGAATTTCTCACTCATTATTCTCTGATCTACAGGGTGAGCCTGGCAGCCCTGGTGAAAATGGAGCTCCTGGTCAGATGGTGAGTGTGCCCAGTTCCAGAGGGCAGGGATGGGGCAGGAGGCAGGGGCAAGATGGAGGCCTGGGGGAACAAGGCTGTCTCCCATCTCATCTGACTTCTCTTGGTTTGGTTGTCAGGGCCCCCGTGGCCTGCCTGGTGAGAGAGGTCGCCCTGGAGCCCCTGGCCCTGCTGTAAGTACTCCTGGCCCCTTGGGGGATCCCTGAGCTCTGGAAGGGGCTCCCCAGGAACTCTAGGGACTGGCCAGTGCTCAGTGGACTTAACGGGGCTTCCCCTCTCTCCTGCAGGGTGCTCGTGGAAATGATGGTGCTACTGGTGCTGCCGGGCCCCCTGTGAGTGTGGCCTGTAGGCCTCAGGGCCTGGGAGTGGGGAGGGGTCTCAGTATCTGCTCTTGGGGCTGACAATGGGAGCAGGTTATGTTGGTCTGAACCCCAGGACTTCCTCTGTCCCAGGGTGTGACTTGCAGCTGCCATCTCTTCCTTCTCGCTGACATCTCCATTTCATTCACAGGGTCCCACCGGCCCCGCTGGTCCTCCTGGCTTCCCTGGTGCTGTTGGTGCTAAGGTGAGACCCCCCACTCTCCTCTAAGCATGACCCTCATGGGCCAAGGGGTTCATGTCTCCCTGTTCCCCAAACCAAAGGGACCCAGAGTGGCAAGAGAGCAGCCCGTTCACTAACACCTTTGTCCTGGGTTCTCCGTCTCTGATCTTAGAGTCCTGATCATTGCTCTCCTGTCCCTGTCTCCCCTTCCTCCTGCCATCCCGAGAGGCAAGGTTGGGTTTCCCAGGGTGGCTTCTGATATGTCCTTTCTTCTGATTCAGGGTGAAGCTGGTCCCCAAGGGCCCCGAGGCTCTGAAGGTCCCCAGGGTGTGCGTGGTGAGCCTGGCCCCCCTGGCCCTGCTGGTGCTGCTGGCCCTGCTGTAAGTGTCCCCGACTCAGTGTCCCCTTTGCCACTTTCTAACCTCAGAGTCCTTGCCTGTTGCTGACACTCCTTTCTCTGTGCCACAGGGAAACCCTGGTGCTGATGGACAGCCTGGTGCTAAAGGTGCCAATGTAAGTATCCTGCCAGGCTTCAGTCCCACTCCTGCCGCCTGCAGCCTGCCTGCCCCTTTCCCTCTGCTCCTAGGCTCACGCCCTGGCTGTCTGCCTCCCACAGGGTGCTCCTGGTATTGCTGGTGCTCCTGGCTTCCCTGGTGCCCGAGGCCCCTCTGGACCCCAGGGCCCCGGCGGCCCTCCTGGTCCCAAGGGTAACAGCGTGAGTACCAAACTCTCCCTTCTGCCCACCCCATGCACTGGCTCCAGTGCGGCTCTCATCTGGGGAGCAGGAAGACGCAGGCCAACTGAGCGCCCCCGACTCTCAGCTCATCCTCTTCTCCCCCCTTGCAGGGTGAACCTGGTGCTCCTGGCAGCAAAGGAGACACTGGTGCTAAGGGAGAGCCTGTAAGTCTCCCCGCCATCCTTCTTGCAGCCCAGCCCACCCTGCCCTAGGAGCCCCCTGAGGGAAATCCAGAAAGGAAGAGGAGCCCCTAGTCTTCTGGGGGAGTCCCTGCCACACCCCCAGGAACCCCTGACACTGGAGGCCCAGCCTCAGCCGGCTCTGAGGCTGGCACAGGATGGCCCCTCACCACAGGCCGCCTCCTCCTCTCGGCCCTCTCCAGGGCCCTGTTGGTGTTCAAGGACCCCCTGGCCCTGCTGGAGAGGAAGGAAAGCGAGGAGCTCGAGGTGAACCCGGACCCACTGGCCTGCCCGGACCCCCTGGCGAGCGTGTAAGTGTCCCTGCCCGCCCCCTCCCGCTCCACCCTCATTGCCTGGCTGGTGCCTGTGTGTCGCGGAGTTCACTGGCCTCCTCTCCTCCTGCAGGGTGGACCTGGTAGCCGTGGTTTCCCTGGCGCAGATGGTGTTGCTGGTCCCAAGGTAACCTCTCCTTGCGGCCGGGGGGCTGACCCTGCCGCTCCCTGGGCATCTTCTTCCTCTTTTGGCCCGTGGCAAAGAGCCACAAACTTGAGACCCTAACTGTTCCTGTGACTTCCCCCAACCAGGGTCCCGCTGGTGAACGTGGTTCTCCTGGCCCTGCTGGCCCCAAAGGATCTCCTGGTGAAGCTGGTCGTCCCGGTGAAGCTGGTCTGCCTGGTGCCAAGGTGAGGCCCCAGGCTTTCAGCCTGGCTTGGCCAGGCCCTGACCATCCCGTGTAGGGTCTGGGATGAGGCGTTCTGGATCAGGCCCAAGGGTCTGCCCTCTGGAGTCCTCCCCCACCTCCATCATGCTTCTCCCCAAGTCCCACTCATACCTCTCTGCCTCCCTAGGGTCTGACTGGAAGCCCTGGCAGCCCTGGTCCTGATGGCAAAACTGGCCCCCCTGTAAGTATCACTCCCCCTGAACCCCCTGCCATTGTCCTGTCTGCCTCCCTGCTGTCCTCACTGCTGCTTTCGTGCCTCCCATCCTTAGGGTCCCGCCGGTCAAGATGGTCGCCCCGGACCCCCAGGCCCACCTGGTGCCCGTGGTCAGGCTGGTGTGATGGGATTCCCTGGACCTAAAGGTGCTGCTGTGAGTATTAAGTGAGGATCCATGAAGAGCCAGGGACAAACACACCTGAGACTTGAAGGAGTCCTGGGCTCTGGGCTCAGCTGTGCCGCTGACCTGCCGTGTGGCCACTCACTCTCACTTTCTGGACCTCAGCCTCCCTATCTGTAAAATGAAAGACTTCTCGGCGGGGCACGGTGGCTCATGCCTGTAATCCCAGCACTTTGGGAGGCCAAGGCGGGCAGACCATGAGGTCAGGAGTTTGAGACCAGTCGGGCCAACATAGTGAAACCACGTCTCTACTAAAAATACAAAAGATTAGCTGGGTGTGGTGGTGTGCACCTGTAACCCCAGCTAGTCAGGAGGCTGAGGCAGGAGAATTGCATGAACCCGGGAGGTGGAGGTTGCAGTGAGCTGAGATCACGCCATTGCACTCCAGCCTGGGCAACAGTGCGAGATTCCATCTCAAAAAAAAAAAAAAAGAAGAAAGAAAGAAAGAAAAAATGAAACACTTCTCCAGGCTCCATGACCACTGCTCTGTCCTGGAAATAAGTGTTGTTGGTGGCCCTCCACCCCGACACGTGGGGATAGGACAGGCCTTTGATATGATAGGCACCCCCAGTCTTGGTGGATTCTTTGAGGTCCAAAAGGAGATAGCAGAGAAGATGAAAGCCCTTTGCAGTGCAGGCCACAGCGGGCATCTAACAGGGAAAAGGCAGAGGAGCCTGGAAGGGCATCTTG
Organism: Homo sapiens; assembly: GCF_000001405.40. Lineage (NCBI taxonomy): Eukaryota > Metazoa > Chordata > Mammalia > Primates > Hominidae > Homo > Homo sapiens. The sequence continues at coordinate 50,193,225 of NC_000017.11, read as the reverse complement.
GGAGGAGTGGGCTCAGAAAGGGCCCAGCAAGAAGCACCTGCAGGGGCATTCCCCGGGGGCCAAACAGTCTTTTGAAAAGAAAGTCCCTTAAAAAGTCCCACTCAGAGTAAATGAGAGGCCCCAGGAGGCCCTGGCTTCTCACTTCAGCCCCCTCAACCCTAACTCCCTTTCTCCACAGGGAGAGCCCGGCAAGGCTGGAGAGCGAGGTGTTCCCGGACCCCCTGGCGCTGTCGTAAGTATCTCCTTTCCATCCCTACCTCCTTCCCATTGCTGCCCCGGCACTTTCTCCTCCCTGCAGGAGGGGTGCTAGAGGCCACGGTCCTCAGCTGCTCGGGGCCTCCTAACCCTGAGTTCCCCTTTGCTCTCTCCCTGCAGGGTCCTGCTGGCAAAGATGGAGAGGCTGGAGCTCAGGGACCCCCTGGCCCTGCTGTGAGTGTCCCTGATGGGGAGATCTGGGGAGCAGAAAAGGGGAGACACCCTCAGCCCCTCGTCTCCTCGGCCTCCCCGTGACTGTAGTGTTCTCTCTGTGCAGGGTCCCGCTGGCGAGAGAGGTGAACAAGGCCCTGCTGGCTCCCCCGGATTCCAGGTGAGGCCTCATGGCTGTCAGGATGCTGGGAGGTAGGGGTAGGAAACACCTCTTTGGTCTCTTCCAGATTCTAAACCTTCCCTCCCTTCTTCCCCCATTTCCCACCTACAGGGTCTCCCTGGTCCTGCTGGTCCTCCAGGTGAAGCAGGCAAACCTGGTGAACAGGTAAGAGGGAGCAGCCGGCCAGAGGGGTGGGAGATGCAGGGAATCCAGAGGGACAGGCCCCCGCTCCTAGCTAATCAGACAGCCATCAACTAGAGGGATTGAGGTTAGACGCCGGAAAGAACTTCCTCCCATGAAGGGAGCAGCACAGAGGGAAGTGGGGGCTGCATGATTGCTAGTCTGGGTGACTTCTTTTAAGAGCTGCTGGAATATGCTGTGACTTTCCCTCAACCCTTCTATTGATAAATCTTGGTCCATAGTTTGGGGAGGGGGGAAGCCTTTGACACATCCCTAGGAGGAAGAGAGGGGCTGTTTGGGATAATCTCAATTCAGTGCTGAGAAGGGGTTCCTCTCTAATCACGGCCAGACCCCAGGAGGAAGGACCGTGCTTTCCAGCAGAGTGGCCCCAGGTGGGTTTTGCTCACTGTCTGTTCCTCTCTCCCTCCCCCTCAGGGTGTTCCTGGAGACCTTGGCGCCCCTGGCCCCTCTGGAGCAAGAGTAAGTAGGCCTCTCTCGCTGCATCCGTCAAGGTGCGTCGTACTTGGCCCTATCTCCAGAGCAGCCTTCACATGCCCTGTCCTTCCCTTCTAGGGCGAGAGAGGTTTCCCTGGCGAGCGTGGTGTGCAAGGTCCCCCTGGTCCTGCTGGTCCCCGAGGGGCCAACGGTGCTCCCGGCAACGATGGTGCTAAGGTGAGGGCAGCGTGGAAGGGGCTCTGGCAAGTGGCCCAGGGACCAGGTCTCACCCCTCCTGCAGCAGGGGATGGCGGGCCATGACCAAAGCCATGGAGATAGGGTGTGGGGTGGGGGGAAAAGACCAGGGCAGGGGCCCACACACAGCCTGGAGTCTGGGCTGTGAGTCTTTTCATCTTTTCTCAAGGCTTGTCGTTGGCCTTGGAAACAAGCCTGGGAGATACCAAGCGGGGCTTAGGGCTGTGACCCACTCTTGGGGCCCCAGGCCTCACTCCAGTCTTCTTGGTTGTCACATAGGGTGATGCTGGTGCCCCTGGAGCTCCCGGTAGCCAGGGCGCCCCTGGCCTTCAGGGAATGCCTGGTGAACGTGGTGCAGCTGGTCTTCCAGGGCCTAAGGGTGACAGAGTAAGTTCAACCTTCCCCCTCCCCTGAGCCCTACATGGCTCCCATCTCTGCCTGCTTTGAATCTCTCAGCATCTCTCCTTCTCTCTGGGATCTGTCCCTCTTCTCGCTAATCCTCCCTTCTTCCCCTTTCCCCTCTGGCCTTTTTGCTGATGAATCCTCTCCCTGTGGTCCAGGCCCATCTATCCCCATGGGTTACCATGGTGATGAGAGGTGGGGGCATCTCCTTGGTGGAGGCTCCCTTATTCATCCCGCTACACAAGTCAGGGGCCTCTTAACCTCAGTTCCACCTGAGTCTCCAGGCAGGCACCCTTTTTCCTGAAAGAATCTTTGAGTCCTTGGCCCAGGTGGAGGCAGGGCAGAGCTGCAGAGGGCCTCTCAGGAAACCCAGACACAAGCAGAACACTATAGGTCACCTCCTTGCCCCACACTGGAAATCTCAAGCTTATCCATGTCTTTAGGGTGATGCTGGTCCCAAAGGTGCTGATGGCTCTCCTGGCAAAGATGGCGTCCGTGGTCTGACTGGCCCCATTGGTCCTCCTGGCCCTGCTGGTGCCCCTGGTGACAAGGTGAGGTGGCCGCCTCCCCACCTTCTGCCCTAACACATAGCCTCCTCAGCAGGCCTGGGCACGGTTCCGTGGGGTTGCGTTGGGAGAGCAGGTCCTGCCAAACTGAGCTGTCAACCTGGGAACCTGGAGGGACCAGAAGGAGGGGAGGCTCTCCTGGGGTCATCTACTAGGAGTATTCAGGGGAGGCCCTGACCCTGAGCCTCTTGTCCCTTGCTCTCAGGGTGAAAGTGGTCCCAGCGGCCCTGCTGGTCCCACTGGAGCTCGTGGTGCCCCCGTAAGTACAGAAGACCTGTTAAGACCCCATACTTGGCCCTTCCCTCCCTTCACACAGCACCCCTGGCCCTGTCTGTGCCTTCACCCCTTGCCTCTCCCCTCACCGCATCCCCGCCTTCCCTCCTGTCAGCGCATCTCTCCAATCTGACTCCTTTTCTTCTAGGGAGACCGTGGTGAGCCTGGTCCCCCCGGCCCTGCTGGCTTTGCTGGCCCCCCTGTGAGTACCAAGACCCCCATCATTTTTCATCACCGACTGGGACCTGGGACCTCGAGGGACGGAATGAGGACAAAGGCGTCAGCCATCCTCAGGGGAGAAGGGTGGAGACGGGATTGTTTCCCACCCAAGCATCTTCCTGCCTCCATTACTGCTCCTCCCCCAGGTAGTGGAAACTCCTGCCTCCTTCCCTCCATTCACCGCCCTGCTTCCTCCCCCAGGGTGCTGACGGCCAACCTGGTGCTAAAGGCGAACCTGGTGATGCTGGTGCTAAAGGCGATGCTGGTCCCCCTGGCCCTGCCGGACCCGCTGGACCCCCTGGCCCCATTGTGAGTGGCTTGGCCCTCTGTGCCCACGAGGCTGGTGGGCTGGGACCCAGGACGGGTCCAGGCTTGATGCCTCTGTGCTCTCCTACAGGGTAATGTTGGTGCTCCTGGAGCCAAAGGTGCTCGCGGCAGCGCTGGTCCCCCTGTGAGTATCACCCGCCTCTCTGTTGAGCCTCTCCCCTCTCCCCAGGCAGCGGTGGCAGGTGAGGGCAGCTGGGTCGGATGAGTTGGCTGTTCTCCCTCTGACTGTTCCTATGTTCTCTCCTTCCAGGGTGCTACTGGTTTCCCTGGTGCTGCTGGCCGAGTCGGTCCTCCTGGCCCCTCTGTAAGTCTCTGCAGCAGAGTCCACTGCTCTAGGTTGGGGGTGCTGGGTGGGGGCTGCCAGAAGGATGGTGGGGCTGACTGAGGACCCAATGATGCACCAGAGCCCCCTGGAGTCTGACAGCCCCTCCTATCCTCATCCAGGGAAATGCTGGACCCCCTGGCCCTCCTGGTCCTGCTGGCAAAGAAGGCGGCAAAGGTCCCCGTGGTGAGACTGGCCCTGCTGGACGTCCTGGTGAAGTTGGTCCCCCTGGTCCCCCTGGCCCTGCTGGCGAGAAAGGATCCCCTGGTGCTGATGGTCCTGCTGTAAGTGCCAGCTCAGATCTCTGCAGCTCCGGAGGTGTGCAGAGCTGGGGAGGGGTCCCTGTGCTGCTCTCTGGCACCTCACCCCTGTTTGCCTCCCAAAGGGTGCTCCTGGTACTCCCGGGCCTCAAGGTATTGCTGGACAGCGTGGTGTGGTCGGCCTGCCTGGTCAGAGAGGAGAGAGAGGCTTCCCTGGTCTTCCTGGCCCCTCTGTAAGTGCCCCCCTCACCTTGGGGGGCCCTGAGAAAAACCATCACAGGACTTGGAGTGGGGCGGAGCCAAGGAGAACAGATTTGGTAGAGATGACTCCAGCGGACTCAAGGGTCCTCCCAGACCCTATCTCTGGCCTGACTCTTTCTTCTCCCTTAGGGTGAACCTGGCAAACAAGGTCCCTCTGGAGCAAGTGGTGAACGTGGTCCCCCTGGTCCCATGGGCCCCCCTGGATTGGCTGGACCCCCTGGTGAATCTGGACGTGAGGTGAGCAGTCCCCAGCCCCCATGCCAGTACCCTCAGCATGGCCATTGTGGCCTTGCCTAAGCCCTCTTCCCCGGCTGACTCTCACTTCTCTCTCTCTCTCTCTGCAGGGGGCTCCTGGTGCCGAAGGTTCCCCTGGACGAGACGGTTCTCCTGGCGCCAAGGTAAGATGGCAACACTCCATGACCACAGCCTTGTCTGCTGCTTCCCTGCCCCATCCTGGCCCTTCACCCGGGGCTGACCCATATTCCCCTGCTCTCCCCGCCAGGGTGACCGTGGTGAGACCGGCCCCGCTGGACCCCCTGGTGCTCCTGGTGCTCCTGGTGCCCCTGGCCCCGTTGGCCCTGCTGGCAAGAGTGGTGATCGTGGTGAGACTGTAAGTAGCTGGGCTCCAGTTCCCTGTACCTGGTCAGGCCAGGGACTCTTCAGGCCTCCTTAGAGGCCTGGGGATGGGTGTCGGACTTCACCCAGGCAGGGGGAGGAAAGGAGATCCTGCAAGATGTCAGGGCCTTAATCCAAAAAACTGAGTTAAAGCTCAGCCCCAAGTCCCCTCTCCCAGACAGGACCGCCTCTCCCATGAGTTGGCCCCAGCTCCCGTGAAGATTGCAGTGGGGAGGTTTCCCTGGGAGTTGGGAGAGATGGCCACAGTGGGAAGCAGCTGAGGAGAGAGAGATCCAGCAGAGGGGAGGCCTCATCCTGCAGCCCCAGCCTCAGCCTTCCCTGGCCAAGAGCTCATGCTTTCCTTGCTCTCCCCAGGGTCCTGCTGGTCCCGCCGGTCCTGTCGGCCCTGTTGGCGCCCGTGGCCCCGCCGTAAGTACCCTGCTGTGTCCCCCATGCCTTTAGAACTCTACAGATGCAGACAGTGCCCCACTCGATGCCAATGGAACTTCCGCCTGACAGTTTGTCCCTTTCTCTCTTCTAGGGACCCCAAGGCCCCCGTGGTGACAAGGGTGAGACAGGCGAACAGGGCGACAGAGGCATAAAGGGTCACCGTGGCTTCTCTGGCCTCCAGGGTCCCCCTGGCCCTCCTGTAAGTATGCTCAGCCCCTCCCCAGTCCCCATGCTGTGCTGTGGGATAGGAGGGGGAGCTTCGCCTCAGTTTCCCCCTCTGGATAGTCATTCTTTCCCCTCCCTAGTGGGGACTGGGGTCTGAAGATTTGTGGGCATGTCCAAGTAGCTTCTGAGAGGGTGAGGGGTACACAGAGAGGGATTATGGGAGAGGTCTCTGCCTATGGACACCCTCGGGCTAGATTTCCAGAATAATGAAGGGGCATGGGTTGCCCACACTGCCCTTGTCTCTCCAGCCAGGCCCTCAGGCTACATTTGACGCTCACTGGGCCTGAACTGCCTTTTTTATCTGTCCTTCAGGGCTCTCCTGGTGAACAAGGTCCCTCTGGAGCCTCTGGTCCTGCTGGTCCCCGAGTAAGTCATGCCTTCTCTCTCCTCTTCCTGAGCCCCAAGCCCAGGCTCACCTCGGGGACCCTTGCCAGGGACCCAGGCACCCTTTGCCTCTCTGGAGAAGGGTTCAGGGACAGGGAGTGGGCAAAGAGAGGAAGAATCCTGAACAAACAATCTGATCTAGCTTTGGCCTCTCTGCTCCCCAATCCGTCCTCCCCTGGCTCAGCGGCTGGGAGGAGCTATGGCATGTCCTATGGAAAGAGGCTGAGGCTGGCTCTATGAGCCGTGGGGCCAGAGCCAGCAGGGAGGGTGGTGGGCCTCTCCTCCAGAGCTGGGGTTGTTCGGGCTTCTGGCAGCCTTTCTCAAACCATTTCCCCCACTCCAGGGTCCCCCTGGCTCTGCTGGTGCTCCTGGCAAAGATGGACTCAACGGTCTCCCTGGCCCCATTGGGCCCCCTGGTCCTCGCGGTCGCACTGGTGATGCTGGTCCTGTTGTATGTAGCCCCTCATCCCCTCTGCTCATGGCCCTCCAGCCCCCAAAGCACTTGGATGCCGGTAATCCCCACTCTCTTCCCTCTCTGTGCAGGGTCCCCCCGGCCCTCCTGGACCTCCTGGTCCCCCTGGTCCTCCCAGCGCTGGTTTCGACTTCAGCTTCCTGCCCCAGCCACCTCAAGAGAAGGCTCACGATGGTGGCCGCTACTACCGGGCTGATGATGCCAATGTGGTTCGTGACCGTGACCTCGAGGTGGACACCACCCTCAAGAGCCTGAGCCAGCAGATCGAGAACATCCGGAGCCCAGAGGGCAGCCGCAAGAACCCCGCCCGCACCTGCCGTGACCTCAAGATGTGCCACTCTGACTGGAAGAGTGGTGAGGGCCTGCCCTAGCCTCTCCCTCCCTCCTACTCCTGCCATGCCAGGGTCCCCATGCCCATATGTGCCCCTACCATATGGTGCTGGCTGCTCCCTTTCCCTGACTCCATCTTGCCCTGCCCTACCACAGGAGAGTACTGGATTGACCCCAACCAAGGCTGCAACCTGGATGCCATCAAAGTCTTCTGCAACATGGAGACTGGTGAGACCTGCGTGTACCCCACTCAGCCCAGTGTGGCCCAGAAGAACTGGTACATCAGCAAGAACCCCAAGGACAAGAGGCATGTCTGGTTCGGCGAGAGCATGACCGATGGATTCCAGGTGCGTGAGCTGGACCTCAGAGCCAGTGTTAGGAGATGGGCTAGCCCAGTGCTCAGAAGGGACATGAAGTCCTGGAGTAGGTCTCTGCTAAGGGTGATGGACAGAGCTGGGCTGGGAGGCAGGGGTCTCAGGTCCCTGATAGTGGTTCAGACACAGGCTGCCGATGGGCAGGTGGTGCCTCCTCTCGATATAACGGTGCATTGGGCAGCTCTCTGAGGACCCTGGACAGGGAGGCCAGGCAGGACTAGAGGTTCCCGCATAGCGGCTCACTCTTCCCTCTCTCCCCTCCCCTGCAGTTCGAGTATGGCGGCCAGGGCTCCGACCCTGCCGATGTGGCCATCCAGCTGACCTTCCTGCGCCTGATGTCCACCGAGGCCTCCCAGAACATCACCTACCACTGCAAGAACAGCGTGGCCTACATGGACCAGCAGACTGGCAACCTCAAGAAGGCCCTGCTCCTCCAGGGCTCCAACGAGATCGAGATCCGCGCCGAGGGCAACAGCCGCTTCACCTACAGCGTCACTGTCGATGGCTGCACGGTGAGTGCCCAGAATCCCCAGGCAGGGCCCCACCTCTCCGGCCTTGGGCTTTTTGGCCAGGCCATAGTGCCCTCTCTCCATCACTCCCACGTGGTAATGCCCCCTCCCGTTGTCTCCGCCCCACCCCAGAGTCACACCGGAGCCTGGGGCAAGACAGTGATTGAATACAAAACCACCAAGACCTCCCGCCTGCCCATCATCGATGTGGCCCCCTTGGACGTTGGTGCCCCAGACCAGGAATTCGGCTTCGACGTTGGCCCTGTCTGCTTCCTGTAAACTCCCTCCATCCCAACCTGGCTCCCTCCCACCCAACCAACTTTCCCCCCAACCCGGAAACAGACAAGCAACCCAAACTGAACCCCCTCAAAAGCCAAAAAATGGGAGACAATTTCACATGGACTTTGGAAAATATTTTTTTCCTTTGCATTCATCTCTCAAACTTAGTTTTTATCTTTGACCAACCGAACATGACCAAAAACCAAAAGTGCATTCAACCTTACCAAAAAAAAAAAAAAAAAAAGAATAAATAAATAACTTTTTAAAAAAGGAAGCTTGGTCCACTTGCTTGAAGACCCATGCGGGGGTAAGTCCCTTTCTGCCCGTTGGGCTTATGAAACCCCAATGCTGCCCTTTCTGCTCCTTTCTCCACACCCCCCTTGGGGCCTCCCCTCCACTCCTTCCCAAATCTGTCTCCCCAGAAGACACAGGAAACAATGTATTGTCTGCCCAGCAATCAAAGGCAATGCTCAAACACCCAAGTGGCCCCCACCCTCAGCCCGCTCCTGCCCGCCCAGCACCCCCAGGCCCTGGGGGACCTGGGGTTCTCAGACTGCCAAAGAAGCCTTGCCATCTGGCGCTCCCATGGCTCTTGCAACATCTCCCCTTCGTTTTTGAGGGGGTCATGCCGGGGGAGCCACCAGCCCCTCACTGGGTTCGGAGGAGAGTCAGGAAGGGCCACGACAAAGCAGAAACATCGGATTTGGGGAACGCGTGTCAATCCCTTGTGCCGCAGGGCTGGGCGGGAGAGACTGTTCTGTTCCTTGTGTAACTGTGTTGCTGAAAGACTACCTCGTTCTTGTCTTGATGTGTCACCGGGGCAACTGCCTGGGGGCGGGGATGGGGGCAGGGTGGAAGCGGCTCCCCATTTTATACCAAAGGTGCTACATCTATGTGATGGGTGGGGTGGGGAGGGAATCACTGGTGCTATAGAAATTGAGATGCCCCCCCAGGCCAGCAAATGTTCCTTTTTGTTCAAAGTCTATTTTTATTCCTTGATATTTTTCTTTTTTTTTTTTTTTTTTTGTGGATGGGGACTTGTGAATTTTTCTAAAGGTGCTATTTAACATGGGAGGAGAGCGTGTGCGGCTCCAGCCCAGCCCGCTGCTCACTTTCCACCCTCTCTCCACCTGCCTCTGGCTTCTCAGGCCTCTGCTCTCCGACCTCTCTCCTCTGAAACCCTCCTCCACAGCTGCAGCCCATCCTCCCGGCTCCCTCCTAGTCTGTCCTGCGTCCTCTGTCCCCGGGTTTCAGAGACAACTTCCCAAAGCACAAAGCAGTTTTTCCCCCTAGGGGTGGGAGGAAGCAAAAGACTCTGTACCTATTTTGTATGTGTATAATAATTTGAGATGTTTTTAATTATTTTGATTGCTGGAATAAAGCATGTGGAAATGACCCAAACATAATCCGCAGTGGCCTCCTAATTTCCTTCTTTGGAGTTGGGGGAGGGGTAGACATGGGGAAGGGGCTTTGGGGTGATGGGCTTGCCTTCCATTCCTGCCCTTTCCCTCCCCACTATTCTCTTCTAGATCCCTCCATAACCCCACTCCCCTTTCTCTCACCCTTCTTATACCGCAAACCTTTCTACTTCCTCTTTCATTTTCTATTCTTGCAATTTCCTTGCACCTTTTCCAAATCCTCTTCTCCCCTGCAATACCATACAGGCAATCCACGTGCACAACACACACACACACTCTTCACATCTGGGGTTGTCCAAACCTCATACCCACTCCCCTTCAAGCCCATCCACTCTCCACCCCCTGGATGCCCTGCACTTGGTGGCGGTGGGATGCTCATGGATACTGGGAGGGTGAGGGGAGTGGAACCCGTGAGGAGGACCTGGGGGCCTCTCCTTGAACTGACATGAAGGGTCATCTGGCCTCTGCTCCCTTCTCACCCACGCTGACCTCCTGCCGAAGGAGCAACGCAACAGGAGAGGGGTCTGCTGAGCCTGGCGAGGGTCTGGGAGGGACCAGGAGGAAGGCGTGCTCCCTGCTCGCTGTCCTGGCCCTGGGGGAGTGAGGGAGACAGACACCTGGGAGAGCTGTGGGGAAGGCACTCGCACCGTGCTCTTGGGAAGGAAGGAGACCTGGCCCTGCTCACCACGGACTGGGTGCCTCGACCTCCTGAATCCCCAGAACACAACCCCCCTGGGCTGGGGTGGTCTGGGGAACCATCGTGCCCCCGCCTCCCGCCTACTCCTTTTTAAGCTTTTTCTTTCTTTCTTTCTTTTTTTTCTTAAATTCTTGCTTCCTCTTCCCCCCTCTTCTCCGTCCCTTCTCTTTCCCTTCACCTTCTGCCTGCTCCTTCCCAGAGGCCCTGAGAAGGCGAGGCCCGGAGGGAAGGTGACTGTTCGGCTCCCCCATCTCAGGTAAGGGGGACAGCGAGTGTGGTCAGCGGGGGACAGAGAATCCAGGGCGTCAGAAGTCCAGAGAGAACCAGGCACCCGGAGCCAGGGAGACAGCGAGACGACAGCTGGTCACCTCTCTCACCTCATCTCAGGTCTAAACCCAAAAAGAACAAAAAGCCCGCACTCCTCCCTAAGGTCTCCAGAGAGATGGACAAGTCTGTAGATACCATCCATCAGCAATACTAATATCGTGATGTCATTAAGTATTCATGGCCGTTCATTATGGCCTTCAATAATTCATCATTAGCACTTCTACCACACTTAGGACAGTGTAGAAAGGGAATCAGTGTAGAGAGGATAAGAATGATGGCATATAAATGAAGGCTTATTCATATGCAAATTACCCAAAGTTGTGTGATGCCTATCCATCTCTCTTTCTCTCTTTTTTTTGAGACAGAGTCTCACTCTGTCACCCAGGCTGGAGTGCGGTGGCGCAGTCTCAGCTCACTGCAACCTCCGCCTCCCAGGTTCAAGCAATTCTCATGCCTCAGCCTCCCAAGTAACTGGGATGACAGCCATGCACTACCACGCCCAGCTAATTTTTATATTTTTAGTAGAGTCAGGGTTTTACCATGTTAGCCAGCCTGGTCTCGAACTCCTGGCCTCAAGTGATCCACCTGCCTCAGCCTCTCAAAGTGCTGGGATTGCGGACATGAGCCACAGCACCAGGCTCCATCTCTTGATCAATGTGTTGATTGCTTGGTGATGCCTGCCATGCTGCCCAGGAAACCCTGTCCACTTGGACCTCTGGGACTTTAGGACCCTGGCTGTCCAGGCCACATCCCCATCTGCCCTCGTGGGGGACCCAGGGACATCCTGAGCCTGGCATCCAAGGCTCTACCTGGCCACTACCCACCTGCCCAGGCTCACTGTCCCCTCCCCTGCCCACATCTGTCACACCAACCAAAAAGGGTGGCCAACAGTTCTCACAAATGCACTGCATTTCCCCACTTCCAGGCCTTCTAGATGTCCTTTCTCTCTGCATGCTCAACACCCTACTGTCCGGGCCATGCTCAAATGTCTCATTCTCTTCCCATTCCCTTGCCCAACCCAGCCTGAGCTCAGCCCCTCTGAGTTTCCAAAGCTCTCCAGATCCACATAGCTCCCCTCGGTCCTTCATCCTAGGATTGTGGATGTGGTCATGTTTCCATCCTGTTATTCTCTCCAGACTAGAGGCCAGGTGTTGCAATGCAGGGCTAGGCAGAGTCTGTGCTTAGGTACTGGGGAGACTAAAGAGAGAGAGACTGAGCTAGAGAGGCCACCCATTAGGTGAGAGCATGGCGCTGTGTGTGCTTGGTGCACAGGAGTGAGCGAGTGTGAGAGGAAGAGCAAGTGGAAGGCCCATGGGGGAGCAGACAGCAACGGAGGGCGCAGGGCAGGGCTTTCTGCAGCAACAGACATGTCCTAGAGCTGCACCGCCCAGTGCGGTAGCCGCTAACCACATGCAGCTGTTGAGCATGTGAGATGCAGTTAGTGTGACTGAGGAATGCAGTTTCCACTTTTACTGAATTGCAATTAGTTTTACTAACTATATGTGGGATAAGGGTTACCATACGGGGCAGCAGAGCTGTAGGCAAAGGAGTGAATATGCCTCTTGTCACCTCTGTACAAATCTACATGTGGGTACGTGGGTGTGTGTGCACACGCGTGGGCATGTATGTGGACACACGCACTGTGGGTCAGGGCTGCAGCGGGGGCAGCCTTGTGTGGCAGTGCCCCATGGGCAGCTCTGAGCCTGCATCACGTGGTGTGGGGCCGGTGTGTGGTTTCAGTGTGTACAGGACAGGAGGGGAGGGGGACAAAGGGGCCATTGTGCCACATTCCCAACTCAAACCCTCCTTTCCGCTGACATCACAGCCGCCCTAAATACAGCCACCCAGACCCGCTCCCCGAGACCCTCACTATCTCCTGCAGGGTGTCACAGAGCCTGCCGCTCTGTCAGACTCACCTTTGTCTTCTCTGTGAGAAGGACCAGGCTCCTGATTTTTGGCTGATTTTTCAGTCAAGCCCAGATGGAAAATTCTAGAAAGGGAGGAGGCTTCATTTGGATTTTTAATTTCTGCTGCAATCTCAGAATCCTGGGTCCCTTTTGGGACCTAAGCCCCATCTCCTGGCAGGATTTTCTATCACCGGAATACAGTAGATTTTCCCTCCTTTTTTTTTTTTTTCCCCAGCACCTTAACTCTCAGCTTCCCAGACTTTCTCCAATGACAGAGCTGGGTGGGTGGAGGAGGAGAGGGGTTGCAAGAAAGCTTGCCGGCTGGGGTGAGGAGACTGTGTGTGGAGCAGGCGTGAGCGTGGGCCGCGTGGGAAAGAATGCGAGGCTGCCGTCAAGCCCAGCGTCCACACGAGGAGGCCTGCGATGGCGTCTGAGGGAGCAAGGTGAGTGCCACCAAGGGGTCTCTGTCTCCTGGGGGTGCCTGGTGATGAGAATGTGTCTCACTGTCTGTGCCCACCTACCTGTGCACAAATAAATGTATCTGTGTTCACAGGGGCCTATACACATGTATGTGTGTGGGTTGGGGTGGGCGGGCATCTGTGCATGATGAGGGCAGCTTCCCCACACGTATGGCAGTGAAAGCAACCCTGTGTGAACTGTGAGAACACATGGACTGTGGCATTTGGGACATATGTGTACATGGGCATGACAGAGGGCATAGGAGGGTCTGTCTGTGTGATATGGATGAATGGGGCGGGGGAGCAGAGAGGAGTGTGGGAAAAATTAGTGGGGGCTCGGTGTGGGAGGAGACCACTCTCCTGAAGTCCCCCAGCCAGTGGGAGCCCTGGTGCTGGGAAGGCTGAGTCTCCCTGTCCCCTTCCCCTGTGTGCGCTCCAGAGGGTATCAAGTCAGGCCGAGGGCATGTCCACAGTCAGGGAGGCAAGATCCTGGAAGCAGGAGGGGTCTTGTCCAGGAGGGTGGCAGGCCCTCCCCATGCAGAGATTTCAACCCTTTGCAGAGGATGTGCAAGGCAAGGCCAGGAGGGAGGTGAGTTTGGCACATGCTAATGCTGGAGAAAGTGGGATTTTCTCTGCAAAAGACAGTGGGAGGAACTGGGAAGGGGGTACTGAATGAGAAGGGACAGAGAACCATGATGGGGACTAAAACATTTTAGAGAGGGAGGCCACATACACGTGCAAGTTCTGGATGAATTCACTGCTGTGGGGCAAACTCTGCCCGCAGGCCAGGGCTTCGCTGCTGAGTTCACGGAGGCCTAGGAGAGCAGGTGTTCTGTAGAAAGCAGGGAAAGGGGCTGAGTTCTGGGTGTGAGTTAATCTGGGATGGAGATACAGGAAGAGCCATGAAACCAGCACAGCCCAATAAAGATACAACCCAAGGTGCGGATGTAATTTTTTATGATCTAGCAGCCATTTAAAAAAAGATAAAAAGGGCTGGGGGCGGTGGCTCACGCCTCTAATCCCAGCACTTTGGGAGGCCGAGGCGGGCGTATTGCCTGAGGTCAGGAGTTTGTGACCAGTCTGGCCAACATGGTGAAATCCTGTCTCTACTAAAAATACAAAAAAAAAATTAGCTGGGCCTGGTGGTGTGCGCCTGTAGTCCCAGCTACTCGGGAGGCTGAGGCAGGGAAATTGCTTGAACCAGGGAGGTGGAGGTTGCAGTGAGCCAGGATAGCGCCACTGCACTCCAGCCTGGGCAATGGAGCAAGACTCCATCTGAAAAAAAAAAAAAAAAAAGATAAAAAGGCTGGTGCTGTAGTGCATGTCCTAGCTACTCGGGAGGCTGATGCAGGAGGATCCCTTGAGGCCAGGAGTTTGAGACCAGCCTGGGCAACACAGTGAGACCCTATCTCTACAAAAAAAATTGCAAAAATTAGCCAGATGTGGTGGTGAGTGCCTGTAATCCTAGCTACTTGGTGGCTGAGGCAGGAAGATCACTTGAGTTTGAGGTAACAGTAAGCTATGGTCATGCCACTGCACTCCAGCCTGGGCAACATAATGAGACCTCATCTCAAAAGAATAAATAAGTATCTACAGGTAAAACTAATTTTAGCAATGTCTTTTATTTAACCTAATGTATCCCCAAATCCGATCGTTTCACCATTACACTGAGGTACATCTCAGTTTGGACTAGCCACATCTTAAGTGCTCAGTAGCCACATGGCCTGAGGCTGCTGTACTGGATGGTGCAGCTCTAGGCAGCAGTTCCGTACCAAAGATCATACAAATTTAGGCTTCCACTCCCAATTCACAGGGAGAGATTGAACTTTTTACAAGGTGCAGGTGGAAATGGAGTTCATTTAGCCTGAATCTTAGGGGCCAGGGAGACCCCAGGGACCTCTGGCCTTGTGGGATTGTGTGTGCTTGCATGCAATAATGTGTCCATCCTTGGGAGCTGCCAGAGTGTCCAGTTCCCACAAATTCTCACAACAGCCCCAAGGCGGTTATGATGATCATCTTATGAGTAAACTAACCCTCAGCTGGCTGAGCCAGCTGTTGTGTGGCAGGATCATGATTCCAGTCCTGCTCCGGGGCAGCGTGCAGCAGGGGGCTGAGGCCGGCCCTAGGTGGCGACTTGAGTCACCAGGTCTGGCTGATAGAGAGGTGGTGAGGGAATGTCTGAGCGTCAGGCCACGTGTGGGTGCTGTGTTTAGAAGGAAGGTGGAGGCCACCCACTGGGTAACAGGGGCAATGCCATCATGGGACTGGAGGAGACAGGGGTGGAGCAGAGTGTGCAGCTGGGCCAAGTCTCCCGGTGGAGGTGGCGGTGGGGGCGGCTGCCCTTCTTTGTCCTGGGCTGTGGGGGGTGGAGCTTGACTGCTGGCTGGAATCTTGCACGCCAGGGAGGGGCTGTTGCCCAGTGGGGAGGCGCTAAGTATGTCTGTGCCCTCCCGGCATGCTGCCGGGGGCCTCTGGACGTGTGTGCCCAGGCAGGGCTCAGCGTCTTCTGCAGGCACGCCATCCTCCCAGCTACTTGTCTGGGCCGCTTCCTCTCAGGCCGGCAGCCAGGCTCCCGTGTGCTCTTTGGAGCTGAGCAGAGAGAAAGGCGCTGCCAAGACCCCAAGGCAAAGCCGGGAAGTGAGGAGCTGGCCTTGCACTCTCCCAGCCCTGGCCAGCACAGGAAGAGCACAGGAGGCCCAAGAGCTGCCTGGCTGCAGGGGGCGAGCCCAGAGATGAGGGGTGGGCAGCCTCCTCCTCAAGGGAGCAGGGATCAAGGAGCCACCCCAGGCAGCAGGCTGGCTGCTGGAGCCTCCGGTCTGCGCAACTCCTGGTTTCCTTCAGGAGAAAGAAAGAAATAGCCAAGGAGAAGCCAGAGGCACCCGCTAGTCAAAGAACCCGTTTGGTTATGGCGTGGGCACCTAAAGAGCTAGTCATTCAACAGGCAATTATTAAGCACGTACACTACACCTCAGCCTGCCTCAGCAGATGCTCACGAAACCAGTGTTTGATGAGTTGATTGACTAACTAATGGGTACAGGGAGGCTCAGGAGATAATGGAAGAAGCTTTAGCCATGGCCTTGCTCAACCCCTGTGCCCTGAGAAGGGGAGCAACCTCCTTAAGAACACTGAGCACAGGAACGGTAGCTCACAGCGGTCATCCCAGCTACTCAGGAGGCTGAGGCAAGAGGACCACTTGAGGCCAGGAGTTCGGGACCAGCGTGGGCAATGTAGTGAGACCCTGGCTCTAAAAGAAAGAACGCTGAGCAAACCCAGACACATGGTATCCCTTCATGCCTTCCTTCAGAACATCCTTCCTGAGCACTCACTGTGTGCAGGCACTGCACCTGCTGCAGGCTGAAAGAATCGTATGTTCTAGTGCGGAAGAGGACTCGGAATATGTGAGCCGAGACAGCGCGAATCCTCTCAGAGAGCAGGAAGGCCTCGCAGGGCAGGCAGTGGGACCGCAGTGGGACCACAGCGGGGACAGGGAAGGCCTCTCTGAGGAGGTGCCCTTTGGGCAAAGACAGAACCTGCAGTGAGGGGCTAGTTGTGTGGATGTGGGAGCCAGGGCCTCCCAGCAGAGGAAAAGGAGAAGGAGGCTGGAGTGGTGATGCCAGCCCTTGTCTGTGTTCTCTCGGAGTTGCCACTAGGGGAGGGCCTTGCCAGCTATCCCTCTTTTAGCCGGGCCCCTCTCGGGCTGAGTCCCTGGCCTGTCCTCACGTGGGAGTGGGAGTATATGAGCCTGGACATGGCCAGATGGCAGTGATCGGGGCAGAATCGGCCCCATTTGGTTGTGTCCACCTGGGAAAAACAAGCTCAGGCCTTCTCATGGCCAGCTGAGCTCTTCTGAGCTCGTGTGGGGTCAAGCTGTGCTAGCACCACTCAGTCCAACAAGGGTCCCAGGCTGTGCTGTGTCCTCTGCACCCCTGCCCATCTCTGGAGGAGCTCAGCAAGGCGGGGGGTAGTCCTTGAGCCTAGGGCATTCCGGGACCCGCATTCCAACCTCCCTCTTTCCATATCTTTTTTTTTTTTTTTTTTTTTTTGAGACAGAGTTTTGCTCTGTCACCCAGGCTGGAATGCAGTGGTGTGATCTCGGCTCACTGCAACTCCACCTCCTGGGTTCAAGTGATTCTCCTGCCTCAGCCTCCCGAGTAGCAGGGATTACAGGTACGTGCCACCATGCCTGGCTAATTTTTGTATTTTTAGTAGAGATGGGGTTTCACTATGTTGGCCAGGCTGGTCTCGAACTACTGACCTCAAGTGATCTGCCTGTTTTGGCCTCCCAAAGTGCTGGGATTACAGGTGTAAGCCACCACGCCCGGCCTCGCTCTCCATATCTAGATTGGCTTCTCTCCAAACACAACAGACAGAGGGACTCTCCTTCCAGGGAATCTTGAGGTGCCAAAGAAATCTACAGGTAAGGGTCTGGATTTCCTGCTTCCAGAACCCCTCAACCCTGTAGAAGGCAGGGTGGAGGCAGAAGTGCCAGGGTCAAATTCAAGCTTTGCCACTTGCTTGTTCTGTAGCCTTGGGTAAGTCACTGACTCTCCCTTGGTCTCTGTTTCCTTGTCTGTGAAATGGGGATAGTGATCCAGGCATACCTCACTACCAGGTTCGTGGGAGGGCTACAGATAGCAGGTCCTTCCCTCTTTCTTCCAGAGAATTTGAGAAAACAGCAAAATGCCAAGAGTCCAAAGGGCAGGCCGGCAGGCACTGGCTGCCTATGGGGCCTCCCAGAAAGCACAAAGGGAAACAGAGCCAGTGAGGACGGGAGAGGCTGCCAGCAGCAATTGGTGAGCAGAGCAGCAGATATTTATTCTGAATGTCCTTACTCCACACACTCTCACCCCACCCCACCCCCTCTCCCTGCTTGTTTAGAGCCTGGGTTCCAGGAGGGCCAGGAGCTGGAATCAGCAGGTGGGATGTGCCACTCGTGGTGTGGACAGAGAAGGGAGGATGAAGTCAGGGCTGGACCTGGAACCACTGTGGGAAGAGAGAGTGGAGGGCTGAGAGGGCCAGATGCTGGTTCTCCTGACTTCCCCACCCTGACACTCCAACTGCGAGTGCTTGGCATTGGGGTCATAGCCCTGGCACTGGTGAGGACCCCCAGCAGCGGCCTCAGAGGGGCAGACAAGTCTATGTGCCTCTTCCCCTGACCTCTCCCAGACCCCACCATTTGCCCCAGCCTTGTGATAAAGGCCATCTTGTTCCCAGAAATAAGGCTGGCATCACCCACCAGACCTACCTGGCTAGGCTGTCAGTGCTGGTCCAGAATGAGGGGCACCTGGGCGCTGTCCACGCGGGGAGGCAGCCGCTCACCTGTGTGCACATTGAACATGGGCAGGGTGGAGAGTGGCCGGGGCACCTCGCGGCTGGCCGCCATCTGCCGCAGCTCCTCTGTGTTCCCGTGGATGGTGCAGTGGTGGACCATCTGGATGCTGGAGGCACAGGTGGGGAGTCATCAGCTCTGGGAGTCAGCTGCCCTGGAGTACAGCCTGGAACTGCCTCTGAGCCACCCTGCGGTCCTCCCCACCACTTATGTGGGGAGAGACTCAGACACATGATGCAGGGGCAGAAAACAAACAGAAAGCTCTATGGGGCCGGGCGTGGTGGCTCATGCCTATAATCCCAGCACTTTGGGAGGCCAAGGCAGGCAGATCACTTGAGGTCAGGAGTTCGAGACCAGCCTGGCCAACACGGTGAAACCCTGTTTCTACAAAAAATAAAAATAAAAATTAGCCAGGTGTGGTGGTGGGCACCTGTAATCCCAGCTACTCAGGAGGCTGAGGCAGGAGATTCACTTGAACCTGGGAGGCGGAGGTTGCAGTGAGCTGAGATCGCAAGAGACTCCATCTCAAAGTAAAAAAAAGAAGAAAAAAAACAAAAAAAAGAAAGCTCTATGGTGCCTGCTCAGTGCCCAGTGGTCAAGACATAGGCTGTGGGTGTAGACAGCCTGGGTTCAAGGCTGTGTGTCTTGGGCAAGTTGCTTAACCACTCCATGCCTTAGTTTGCTCAACGGCCAAATGGAGATAATAACACCTACCACCAGGCCGGGCGCAGTGGCTCACACCTGTAATCCCAGCACTTCGGGAGGCCGAAGCGGGTGGATCACTTGAGGCCAAGAGTTCAAGGCCAGCCTGACCAACATGGTGAAACCCCATCTCTATTTAAAAAAAAAAACCAAAACCTACCTCCTAGGACTGCTGTGAAGATTGAAAGAGAAAATGTGGCTGAGTGTTTACAACAGTGCCCACCACGTGATAAGCGCTCACAAGATATGGAGACATGAATAGACATCCACAGGGGCCATATTCTTCCAGAAGCCAGTGTTTGCTGAGCTTTATATTATGTTTTTATATTATTTATTTATTTTTAAGAGATGGGGTCTCACTTTGTCGCCAACTTCAGTGCAGTGGCACAATCGTAGCTCACTGCAGCCTCTACCTCCTGGGCTCAAGCGATACTCCTGCCTCAGCCTCCTGAGTAACTGGGACTATAAGTGCAAGCCACCATGCTCGGCTAATTTAAAATTTTTTTTGTAGAGACAGGTGTCTTACTATGTTGTTCAGGCTGGTCTTGAACTCCTGGCCTCAAGGGACCCTCCTGCCTCTGCCTCCCAAAGTGCTGGGATTACAGGCATGAGCCACTGCACCCAGCCAAGAATTGGTTTTCTTAGAGGAGCTGGGGCCCCAGGCAGGGCTGAAGCGACCCCACTTGCCACTTGGTTACTGATGAGATGAGGGAGGAGAAGTGATCCCCACCCATGTTCAGGTCCCAATTAGTGGACACAGACTCCGGTTAGAGCCTGACAGTTTAGACTGCAGAAAAGACCTAGCTTCACGCTGAATGGGCCATGCTCCTCCTGCGGGGAGGCCAGCAGGAAGAGGTGGAGTCACCATCTAAGGCCAGGGGAGGGTCAAGATGAGCTCTTGAGTCTGGAATTCAGTGAGCTGAGTTGTCCGAAACCCAATTTTCTATTCCCAGGCAAGGGGAGACTGAGGGGAAAGAAAGCAACCAGTGTGTGGATGCTGAGATAGAGACAGCTGGGCAGGTGAGGCCCTGGCAGAGGAAGGCCTCAGTCAGTGGGCCCCCTCCTTATTCCCAGCCCCACATCTGGACCTCATTACTCTGGCAACACACAGGTGGAAAAATGTGCTGGGGATGTTTTTCTAGAGCAAGAGCAGAGGCCAGACCCCGCAGTGGCTTCCCCACGGTCCTTCCACATCAGCACTTGGGCAGACAGACAAACGGCAGGCATTCCTACACACTCAGGCACACGCACAGACACACACACACGTGGCCTAGGTCTCACCCACACCCACTCCACCACCAACACACAGTCCCGAAAGCACTGCCTCTGGCACAGAAATCCCCAGGAGAGGGTCGTGGGGCCTGGAGGACTCTGTGACCGCTGAAATCTGATCTAGGTGAAAAGCAGGCAGCAGAATCATAACTTGTGGATAATCTGAAAAGTGGCAGACATTGAACAAGTGAAAAATTGGATTTTGTAGAAATACATCAACGTGAAATCCAAACCAGCCAAGGCTAACGTTGCACATGGTAAAACGGTTATTGATTTCACATTGACTGAGGCAGCAGATTTTTCTGACAACATCAGAGCTACAGAGTTGACCCGGGGAAGGCTGGATGTGGAGGAAATACTGGTCACAAGAGAATATCCCCAGTGCCAGTAGATGTTAGTGTTTAAATTTGGTTCAGTCCAAAAAAATTGAGGAATAAAATCTTCCTAGTGAAATGTACATGAAAAATCACTGATCCCCATGGGGAAAAATTCTATAAAATTGAAAACAGAAAATAAAAGCAAAGCCTTTTAACTGCTTTGTATAGAAAGTTGCTTGAGGAATTAAGTCAACTTAGCGTAAGTCAACTTAGCGTACATCTCTGTTCACTTTGGAAACTATATTCCCCATAAAAATTCATAAATGTTGGTATAACCCTGATGCCTGCAAAGCTTGTATTCTTCAACCCAGTGGCTCAAAAACCCAGTGGGTCAAGATGGTGGGATCAAAATGGTGAGTTTAAAACTGGGGGCCAGGCCAGGTGCAGTAGCTTTAGTCCCAGCTACTCAGGAAGCTGAGATGGGAGGATCGCTTGAGCCCAGGGAGTCTGAGGTTGCAGTGAGCTATGATTATGCCACTGTGCTCCAGCTTGGGTGACAAAGTGAGACCCTCTCTCTAAAAATTTTTTAAAAAATAAAATCCGCCCAGGCATGTGCACACACACATGCATATGTGCACGCACCGTGCAGGCCCGCTGTCTGGCCCACAAGCGCAGCCCTCCTCCCCAGGACACCTGGCATGTTACATGCCTCCACCATCTGGCATCTCCGGTCCACCCCTCCCCGGAGGAAACAATGGGGCCACTGTGACCCACACAGAATTCTGGTAGCCTCTGAGGTCACCACAGAGATAACCTCACCAACCCCTGCACCAAGAGCACAAGTCTGTGGAGGCCAGCCGTGGGTGACCGTCCTTGATCCTCTTTCTGGCCACACAGGTAAAGGTGAGGGCCGGAGCTCAAGAGGAAGCCTCAGCGAGGACCAGGAACCGGGACACACCTCAGCCATCCTGTGAGGGGCAGCCCAGTGGAGACTTCCAGCCGCCCTGGAGGTCCTTGCACCCAAGACACTTCACCTACCCCAGGGAGAGAAGCAGAAAGGCACTTCGCCACTGTCTCCATCAGTGCTGTTGAACTCAAATACTGCCATGGGTGGAGGCCAGCAGGGCAGCGTGTCCCTAGCAAGACAGCGACTGGGCAACGCACCTGTGCCAAACCCTGCCAGAAGCCCAGCACGTCCAAGGTGATCCTGAGGGCTGTGGCGGACAAGGGGACCTGCAAGTATGTGTCCCTGGCCACCCTGAAGAAGGCTGTTTCCACCACGGGCTACGACATGGCCCGAAATGCCTATCACTTCAAGCGTGTGCTCAAGGGGCTGGTGGACAAGGGCTCAGCAGGTGACCGGCAGGGGGGCCTCAGGCTCCTTCACCCTGGGCAAGAAGCAGGCCTCCAAGTCCAAGCTCAAGGTCAAGAGGCAACGACAGCAGAGGTGGCGCTCTGGGCAGCGCCCCTTTGGACAGCACAGGTCACTACTGGGCTCCAAACAGGGGCACAAGCGGCTTATCAAGGGGGTTCGAAGGGTGGCCAAGTGCCACTGCAATTAATGAGGCAGGCCAGGCAAGCAGTCAGGGGTGCCAAGACCGCCATTGGCTCAGTGCAGTGGGAATAAAAGGAACATAACTTATTTCACATCTGCCTCCTGGAATCTAGGGTTCAGGGTATTGGGAGAGGAAGAGGGCTGGGGGCACATAGGAGGGGTAAGGCCATGAGTAGGGGAAACCAGGCCAAAATAAGAGAGGAAGGATTTGGAAAGGGCTGGCAGAATTGGAAGCACTCATAGACACCAGCTAGTCCAACCTCGTGATCTTGCAGGTGGAGCATCTGAAGCCAGAAAGAAGGGTGACAGAGTAATTGTGTGGCAGAGCCTGGCCTGGACCGCAGGTGTCTGACTCATACTGATACTGGGAGTCTCTTAAGTTGCTTCTCAAGCCCTTTCCCCCAGAGTGGCAGCAGGTCCCATTCCCCTGTGTCACAACAGGCTTTTCTTTTTTGGGGGAAAGAGTTTCACTCTGTCGCCCAGGCTGGAGTGCCGTGGCACGATTACGGCTCACTGCAGCCTCAATCTCCCAGGCTCAAGCGATTCTCCTATCTCAGCCTCCCAAGTAGCTGGGACCACAGGCATGCTCCACCACGCCTGGCTAGTTAAAAAATTTTTTTTTTGTTGAGATGGGGTCTCACTGTGTTGCCCAGGCTGGCCTCAAACTTCCAGGCTCAACCAATCCTCCCACCTCAGCCTCCCAAAGTGCTGGGATTACAGAGGTCAAGGGAAGGGGTGAGCATCACCCTGGAGTTATTTATTTTGTCTCTGCTGTTCATGGCATAGTTTGGTGGCGGGGTCCAACAACTGTCTAGGTGGGCTCCCACCCCACCCCCAGCTTTCCTTTACTCACTCGGAGGTAGCCAGGTCTCTCTTCAGCCTGTGGAAAAGTGAAGGAGAGGGTTAGCCCAGCTCTGGGTTTCGCCCCAAGGTGCCCCAGGGCTCCAATGTGAGTGGAGGTCTGTGTGCAATTATCCACAATGCCCTCCTGGTGCCAGGCCAGGCAGGTCTCAAGCCCCAAGTTGCCTAGAAAGGGGCCCCACACTCCTTTTGTGCCTGAGAACCCCATTCCCATGGTGTCTGGGTCCCATACAGCACAAGTGCCACTGTGAGTCCCATGGGTGTGAGCTCCAGCAGGTGCTCCCCCGCCCTTCATGCCCACATTCACCTTCCCTCCCGCCGGCAGCACATGACATAGGCCAGCAGCAAGGTGAGAAGCAGGGCCACCAGCAGGGGCACCAGGAGGGTGACCAGAGCATCCACCAAGAAGTCACGGTCTGGGGCCTCAGTGGGTGGGCAGAAGAACGGGTCATGCTCCAGGATCCCATCACCTGGGGTGGGCACCTCATCTGCAGGCTCCGGCACTGACTTATCCACCTGCACAGAGAGCTCAGGGCTGACGCAGGAAGTGGCTGGCTGGACACAGAGGTCCCCAGGAACATGGCAGGGGCCAGGACTAGGAGGCAGGAGACACAAAGTCCAGCAGAGGCGGGACAGTGCACTGGTTAGCGCACAGCTCTAGGGTCTGACCTCCTGGTTTGAATCCAGACTCAGACAAGTGCTTAGCTAGGATGATTATGTGCCTCTGTTTCATCACCTGTAATGTCAGAAGGATAATAGTAGCACCTGTCTCCTGGAGTGGTGGTGAGCATAAAATATGTTGATGGGACAGTGCCAAGCACATAGCAAGTGCTCAAGAATGTTGTCAATTACCAGTCGCTGGCTGTGGACCCTGAATGAGTCCCTGCTCTGTTGGTCAATTCACAGGAACAGTGTACACCAGCCGTGGGATCCTGTGAACCTCAGCTCAGTATCCAAAGAGCTGTTGTGAGCATCTTTGGTTTATAGTGTGAAGAGCTATCAGATCCTTGTTGTAAGTGGGTTTGCTAGGTGGCACCTTACAGAAAAGCAGACAGAGCTGTCACGCAGAGGCCCTTGGTAGGGAAAGGGTTTGGGAACTGGACTGTGATATAGCTGTTGACCTGGGCAGATCTGGGGCGCGGGAGTTGGAGACCCCACATGCGGATTGCGGACTCTGTTGCCCTCTTGTGGGGGAAAGGTAGAACTTCAGGGGTGTGTGTGTGTGTGTGTGTGTGTGTGTGTGTATCCTCAGACTAAGCCTGTGGGCAATACTGAGAGCATCAGGGAAAGAAATGGTGACTGGAGCAATCAGAGAGACGGAGATAGGAAGCAGCATGGGAGGGAAGGGGGACTGGGATGGGGGCCATGCCCCACCCCACCCCCGGACCCAGGGTCCCTCCTCACCAGGGTCACATTGCACCAGTCAACGCGGAAGTGGGGTGCCAAGGTGTCGTAGCAAGACAGAAGTGGAGGCTGGCCCTGGGCACAGCGGGCGTGGCTATCGGGGGATGCCACCATCTTCAGGCAAGTAGAAAAAGGTGAGGCAGAACCCACCTTAATGTATACCCTGGGACCAGATAGAAGTCACTGTCAGCAGAGTGGGGGCAGGGGGCACGAGGCACCACTCTGCCAGGGGTTGTTGAAACTTTCCTAATTGTAGGCTATGACCTGGGGATGGGATGAGGGAGACGCCTAAGAGGGAGGATTAAGGGAGGAACATGGCACAGCTGGGGTCTGGCAGGAGTCACAGTCCTCCCAGAGATCTGAGATCATGGTGAGAGTACACAGGGCACCCCATTCTTCTAGGGGGTCTTACCCTCCCTACTAAGGAATGTCTTTTAATGGATGTATCTGGTACGTCCTCATGAGGCACCAGGAAGTACAGAGTTCAGGGTAACTAGGGTCTAGGCTCTGGAAGGACAAGGAGATGCGGGTATAGCCAGAGGAGAGTGGTGAGGGGTGTGAAGCTGGGAGGTGGAGATGTGCGTGGTAAAGCCCCACCTGGAAATTAGGGAGACCCTTGTTCTATGCCCGCCACAAGCTGCATCCTCCTCTTTCAGGAAGTCCTCTAGGGTTGCACACCTACCCTTCTTTTCGGCCCTCAATGGGAAGGGGGACACGGCCCCCACGGTCCAAGGCAGAGGTGACGTTGAGCAGCTGAAGCTCTCCGGGCTCCCAGAGTCCCCCCAAGGCTGAGAGGAAGCGGCTGGCAGGTGTTGAGGGCAGCACCTCCTCCGCATCGTGGCTGCGCACCAGGAACTCGGCTTGGTATGGCAGCAGGGGGCCTGGGAAGGCCAGGTGGACACCTCAGGCTGCACCCAGCCCCAGCTCTGCCCCGCAAAGCCTCCTTGAAGCTCCTCCCCACATCCCTGCACACCCCTTCAGGCCCCTCAATGCCCCATCCATCACAGACCCCAACAAGCCAAGTCCCAATAGTCTCTGCAACGCAGCGAGTAACAGAACTCCAGAGCCTGGAATCCCAGCCCAGCACCCATTCCCTGAGAGCCTTGTCCCCACTTTCCAGGATGCCCTGCTCCACTCCTCTCCAAGCCTCTCCTGTCCACAGCCCCCTCCCCCTCCGGGAGAGATTCCCCAAGACTGGCATTGGTGGGGAAGGGATGGGGCACAGCTAGAGGTACCTTCTGGGTCCCCAATCTCCAGCACCAGCCTCTGCCGAGTGGTATCAAAGCTGTCCCGATTGTAGGCTGTGACCTGGGGGATGGGAAAGACATCTGAGAAGTGGGTTAGGGGAGAAACGTGGCACAGCGGGGGCCTGGCAGGAGAGGACTCAGATACCAAATTAGAGGTATGTAAATTATATGTAAATGACTGTGAATGAGCACCCAATCCCAATTCATAGGGCTGCTCCTAGGAGGCCACTCTGGCCCACCCCTGTGATTTTCTCAGGGTCCCTGACGGCACCTCAATGACCTGGAGCCCACGATCTTCTGGGGTGGCAGAGCCGTAGAGGAAGCCAGGGTGGTGGGGGCTGCGCTGGGTGTAGCGGAGCCACCGGGGCAGGTCTGGGTGTCCCTGGAGGTGGGCGTGGTAGGTGATGTGGACAGCGGGTGGGACAGCTGGTGGAAGCGAGGAGAGGGGATTCGAGTCACAGCAGGAGCCCTGCGGGGTACACCCCAGCCCGCCCGCCTGGGTGCCTGTCAGGCCGCTCACCGACATGCTCAGGAAGGCTCAGAAACGTCTCATGGTCCAAGGTGTGCACAAAGACACGGCCCACAAGTGGGTGTAGCGTGGTCTGCTGGGCCTCGGTGTCCCCCAGCCCTGCCAGGAGAACTGTGGGGACCCCACAAGTCCCAAACACACAGGCCAGCCTCAGTCCTGGGCAGGGGATAAGCTCCCTTCCCCACCAAGTCCTTGGAGCCCCTAAGGGACCGAGAGAAGCGCTTCCTTTGCTGCCTCCCAGGAAGGGATTGGGGTGGGGATGGGGGAGCAAGCCCTGCTGGGCTAGACATTTTAATCGTCTGGGTTTCGGGATTCGAGGGAGAACCTCTCCCACAACCTTTCCATTCCTTGTTTTAGGCCCCTATTAATGGTGCAGTGGGCAGGGACTGATGTTTGACTGGGAAGTGTGTGTGTGAGGGTGTGTGTGTGTGTGAGGGGATGTGGGGGGGTGTGTGTGTGAAGGTATGTGTGAGGGTCTGTGAGGATGTGTGTGAGGGTGTGTGTGCAAGTGAGTGTGTGTGAGAGGGTGTGTGTGAGGGTGTGTGTGTGTGAAGGTGTGTGTGGGGGGTGTGTGTTTGCGGGGGGTGTGTGGGGGTATGTGGGGGTATGTGGGGGTGTGTGTGGGGGGTGTGTGTGACGGTGTGTGGGGTGTGTGTGTGACGGTGTGTGTGAGGGTGTGTGTGTGAGGGTGTGTGAGGGTGTGTGAGGGTGTGTGTGTGAGGGTGTGTGAGGGTGTGTGAGGGTGTGTGTGAGGGTGTGTGTGTGAGGGTGCCGTGAGGGTGTGTGTGAGGGTGTGTGTGGGTGTGTGTGTGTGTGAGGGTGTGTATGTGTGAAAGGCACTGGGAAAAGAATCCCATGCTAAATGCCCAAGAGCCCAGAGGAGAGGAAGACGGGGCCAGGAGCCTACAGAGGAGGAAGGGTAGCCATTCTGGGCCTGGAGACCCCCACCTTCCTCCCCTAAAATACAGGGAAGAAGAAGGCCTGCCCTAGAGGCCAGTAGGAGCTGAGCAAAAGGAATCCTAAGTCCAAGAGAGGAGCAGAGGACCTGGCCGCCAGCTCCACCCTCCCTCCCAGGGCCAAATTTAGCCTGGGCTTAGAAGCTGCGGCCCAGCCAGCTCATTAAAGGGCCCACGACCCTTTGGGCCTGTGCTGTCAGACCCACCCGGGCCCTAGGACACCTCCAGCCCTCAGAGCTCCCAGCCCCTTCATCCCAGAGCCCAGCTCCCAGCCCCATTCCCTGGATCCCCAGCTGGCCATGGCATTAACACCCCAAAGCCCTTCTGGCGCCTGCCTCACCCAACCCAGATCCCTCTTCTGTGGGCCCTCCACACCTCCGTCTTACCACCCCTAAATCCTGCCCCCTCATCCTGGGCCTCCCCGCTGAACAAGGCCCCAACTTGCCCACGAGGAGAGGAGTCCAGAAGAGTGTCTCAGCCATGGCTGCCCGGCCTGGCCCGCCCGGTGAGTGACAGAGACAGGGGGCAGGGAGGAGAGGAGGGAAGGAGGGAGGTGGCTCGGGGCAGCTGGGTCCCAGCGTCAGCCTCCCCTCCCCGCCTGGAGCATGCACCAAATCTGGGATAGACACCCTCCTCGCACTCATTGTCCCTCCAACCGTCCCCTCCAGTGGCCACAGTGTTTTTTAAACCACCAACCAGGCCACCTCCATCCTCCCTTAAAACTCTAATGGTTCTCATGGCCCCTGAGTTCCCAGCTCATCCCCAGTTGGTGGCTTTCTGGCCTGTCCTGAACCTGGTCAGCTGGTCTAGAATCCCATCCTCTGCCCCTACCCTTCCAACCCCAGGCCCCTGCTCAGCCTCACTCCGCTCCTGCCTAGCTTGGCAGACTCTCTCAAGTCTCCAAGCCGTCGTCCAGGCTATTGCCTCTGCCTGCAGTTCCCTTCCCACCTTCATTCAAGCAGCAACCTTCCAGTCACCTTTCCAGACTCTGCACAGATGTCCTCTCCTCTCTGAAGCCTTTCTGACCTCCCTTCTTCTGCTAGGCCAAGCTGGGTGTCCCCTTAGCCCCTGCGTGCTTTCCTGGGCACAACACAATCACACAGACTGCTCCAAGCTCCTCGAAGACTAGGATCTTGTCACGTTTGTATCCTTGGGCCTGGCACAGGGCCTGGTAACTAGTAGGTGTAGCTGGCTGGCGGCAGCTTCCTTAACAGCAAACGTAGGTGCCATCCACCCAGCCTTTATCCCCAGTCCAAGCACTTCAGCGTGGAGGTCTAGCAAGCCCTGGACAGGACCAGCCAGCTAGAGACAGGTGAGCGGAGGAGGCACCCTCTCTGGCCCATGGAGTCAGGGTTCATTCGGCGCATAGACTTGGAGGCCTGGAGGTGGGCCACCTTGGCCACTTGCTGGGGATGAGGCCTTGAGTGCACCATTTGCCCTCTAGCCCATTTCCACAACTATAAACTGGCAAGAATAGTGCTTGCCTCTTGGCATCATTGTGAGGACTCCACAAAGTAATGAATGCAGCGCATATTTATGAAACACCTGCTATGTATCAGACATTGAAATTGCAAAGATAAGCAAACCTCTGCCCACATGGAGGTCACCTGCCAGTGGGTAATACCAGCTAGCGCTGCCAGCTACTGTGCTGAGAATCTTACATATATCTACCTATATTACCTCATTCCATCTCCTCAGCAGTTCCATGAGGCAGGTATTATTACTGTGCCCATTTAACAGATGATAAAACTGAGGCACAGGGGTGTATACCTTCCCCAAGGCCACATTGCTGATGAGTAGAATGCATGTGGACGGCTTAGCCCAGTGCCTGGCTCAGTCGATGACTGTGCTGCTGATGTACTTGCCCGGCCCTGCTTCCCCTTCCTTCTTGCCTCTGCCAAAGGATCTCAGTCCAGGGGCGATGGGGCGCGGTGTCCTCTCCCCAGGTCTCTCACTTAGGGCAGGCACAGGGGCACTCTCCCCAGGTGCCCTGAGAAGGGGGCGGGGACCTATGGCTGCCAGGGTTCCCAAATCCTTGGTGCCTGTGTGACCTCTCCTCCAGGGCCTCAAAAGGACAACAAAATACCCCAGGCAAGGATCACTTGGGTCCAGCCTAAGGGCACAGGTGTTGGCCTGCAGATGGGGTGACTGGTAGGCAGGTTACGCAGTCCTTGTCCCTTCCTCTCTCTCTCTCCACCTGACTGACCCGCTCATCCCTGGAGAGCCACCAAATTCCAGAGTCAGCGTCCCCTCAGGCAAGGCAGTATTTGTCCCAGCATCACCTGGCCATCTCTCTGTCTTCTCAGAGACAGAGGGAGGGAGGAAGAAAGGTTCTGGAGGCAGAGGAAGAGCCCAAGGGTTCTGGGGGAGCAGGCAGAAGTGCCAACCCCCTGGGCACCTGCCCAGCCTCACCCCTGAGCTTCTCCATGTGACTCCCCGCCCCCTGCCGTCCCCCTGGCTATTTTTGGAGCCACCCACTCAGCTGTCTTAAGGTAGCAGTGCCTGGCCCCAGTGTCACCAGGCCCACAGAGGCCAGCCTTCCTTAATGAAAAGCTGCAGCTACTTCCCCATCAGATCCTCCCTGCCCAATTCAAGGGAGCCAGGGACTGTCCCACAAGCCAGAAAGTCCCCAGAAACCCTTCTCAGGCCCCTCAGCCATCAGAGGACCTTCCCACTCAGAGCTGTCTGGATTGCAACCTGCTGCTTGTAACACACAGCACCTTCTGTCTATTGGGCCTAGGGGTGGGAAGGGAGGTCACAGGGTCTTTAAACTTCTTAGTTTGAAAAATTTGCAGCATACTATAATAAGCCCCCGTGTATCTGTCACCTGGCTTCAACAATTATCAACTCATGGCCAGTCTAGTTTCATCTGTACCCCTCCTGATTAATTTCATCCATCAATATTTCAGTGTGTATCTTTAAATGATAATGACTCTTTTTAACATAATCACATAACACGTTCAGCTATTAACATCATCAATAAAATTCCTTAATATCAAACTTCTAGTGTTCAAATTACCAATTTCTCATAAACATACATATTTTTACAGTGTATTTGTTTGACTCAAGATACAAAGAAGATACACACATTGCAACTGATTGATGATTTATAGGGCTTTTTTTTTTTTTTTTTTTGAGACAGAGTCTCGCTCTGTCACCCGGGTTGGAGTGCAGTGCCATGATCTCGGCTCACTGCCACCTCCACCTCCCAGATTCAAGCAATTCTCCTGCCTCAGCCTACAGGCACGTGCCACCATGCCCAGGGGTTTCACCATGTTGGCCAGGCTGGTCTCAAACTCCTGACCTCAAGTGATCCACCCACCTTGGCCTCACAAAGTGCTGAGATTACGGGCGTGAGCCACTGTGCCTGGCCAAGGCTCTTTTAAATTTCTTCAAATCTATAGGTTCCCATACATCCTTTCTCTCTCTTTTTTCCTTCCTCCCTTCCTTCCTTCCTTCCTTCATACTTTCCTTCCTTTCCTCCCTCCTTCCTTCCTTCCCTCCCTCCCTCCTTCTTCTTCCTTCTCTCCCTCCCTCCCTCCTTCTTCTTCCTTCTCTCCCTCCCTCCCTCCTTTCTTCCTTCCTTCCCTCCCTCCCTCCCTCCTTTCTTCCTTCCTTCCCTCCCTCCCTCTCCTTCCTTCCTTCCTTCCTTCCTTCCCTCCCTCCCTTCTCTTTCTCGTTCCTTGAAGGAGCCAGAAAATTTCTTCTGTAGTTTTTTGCCCTCTGGATTTTGCTGATTGCATCTCTATGGTGATCTTTAACATGTTCCTCCCACCTCCATACTTCCTGTACGTTGTATTTCCTGTACATTGTTACTGTAATTTGTAGTTGGATCTAGAGGCCTTATAAGGTTTATGTTCAATTTCCTTCGTTGAGACCACTTCATAGGTGGTGACAGTGTTCTTCCATTTGAAGGCACATCATGCGTTTCTGTGGTCTTAGTAGTGTCTTGCCTCCGCCATTAGCGTTTTATTTTTTGTGTGTGTGCAGAATAGTGATATTCAGATTTGATCACTCTGATCACCCCTTCCTTTATTAGCTGGAATAATTATAGACAGAAACTGCCCCTTGCGATTTGGTTACTGAGTGGGAAAGTTCGTAAAAGGAAGACGGGAGAAACGCTGGACTCTTCCTGTATTAAACAGTTTCTGAATAAAGAGCTGTTTCCCTAGCATCCTCCAAACTCTGGCCAGTCCGAGCTTCTTTGGTAGTAGTAGAATGATGATACATGGTTTACACCTATCTGACTGCTTCAGTCCATTGCAACTAGGGTCCCTTCTGGTGCTCACATTGCCTATCTTTAGCTCTCCGTTTTGTCATCCCCAGTTGGGGCGTCGGTCAGGAGAGCTGGAGGGGTCGGGGCTCGTACCCCACCTCGCACAGCTGGTGCCCTTGCCGTGCCCTAGGCTCCGCCGGTACTTCCCCGGCCTCCGCCTCACTCCTGCGGCCCAGCCCTGTCCTGAGCTAGTCGCTTCTCTGTCCTGGCCTTTTTGACATCCGCATCCGTCTCTCCAGCTTTCTGCCCCGTCTCTGCCCACCAGTGCCTAAATGTAAGCCCTCTGGTCCTTTGTCCCTGTATCTCCCCATCCCAGTGAATGTTTGCTGAATGAACGAATGACTGCTGTCCAGTGTGTCTCATTCAGCTTCAGTTTCTGTGCACCTGTCTCTAAGTCTCTTGAGGTCTGAGGCCGTGTTTTCTTTATCTGCATCTATACGTTGCCGTGAGGGACAAAGGAAAGGGCTTCTCGTCATTGTGATCTGATTCTCGCATCTGCCTCCCAGACTCCACCCACATCTTTCTCCCCTGTCCCGTACGCCGCCTCCAGCGCAACAACAAAGACTGCGACCTGGCCAGTCCGCCACGAGAGGGCGCGTTCGCTGGCGCCAGCCCGGTCTTGCGCCTGCGCGATGTTGGGACGGAGCGGGAGTCGGGGGCGGGATGCCTGCGGAGCGCGCCGCCCCGGGCTGGGGATGCGCGTCAGCAGTGCGTGCTGGGGGACGCAGTTACAGGGGGCGACGCAGGAGGGAACCCAAGGCCACGAGCTCCATCTCGTCCTCCCCTTCCCGACCCAGAAAACGCTCTAATCTACAGGGGGAGGAGAAGCCGCACGGAGGCAGGGGGCTGGACATAATGATCTCTTCCCCATCCCACCTCCACCCATCCCACCATCTGTATCAAGCCTCCGACTTCCAAGGACATTTCCATATCCCCCCAGACATTTTGGGATACCAGCCTGGAGACCTAAATGTACCCAGAATCCCCCGCCTTTTTATCGGTGGATTTCAGCCCTCAAAGCGTTCCGTGAGCCTCTGACCGCCCAAATCCATCACACATGAGTTGGAATGCCAGGGACCATTCCCGGCCAAACGTTAGATTACAGGAGTAAGAGAGAAGAGGAGGGACTGTCCGAGGTGCCTCGGCACTATGGCTGCACAGCTGGATCTCTGGACACGGAGCCCTGGACCGTTTCCACCCAGACACTCCCATTCCATCAAGTGGGGGTAAGAAGGATCAATGAGATAATGGAAGCGAAAGCGCTTTGCAAACTGTAAAGCTCTGGAGAAAGTAAGGGTGTTTTATTTATTTATAACTGACAGTGCAAGGTAATAGCTGCCCAGGGCCAGCCCACAGGCACAGCCCAAGAGCTGGAAAAGGTCAGATTTAGAAGCCACCATTCACTGATAGAAGGATTAGGAAAATAAGACCAGGCACGGGGGCTCACACCTGTAATCCCAGCACTTTGGGAGGCCGAGGTGGGTAGATCACGAGATCAGGAGTTCCAGACCAGCCTGGCCAACATGGTGAAACCCCATCTCTACTAAAAATAATTAGCTGGGCGTCGTGGTGGGCACCTGTAATCCCAGCTAATCAGGAGGCTGAGGCAGGAGAATCTCTTGAACCCGGGAGGCAGAGGTTGCAGTGAGTTGAGATCACGCCATTGCACTCCAGCCTGGGTGACAGAGCGAGACTCCGTCTCAAAAAAAAAAATTTAAAAAAGAAGGGTTAGGAAAATAAGAGGCAAAAGTCTCTGACATCTGTAGACAGCATGATTATTTATATGGAAAATCAAGAGATTCTACGGGCATATTATTAGAGTGATTAAGTGAAGTCATGCTGGACAAATGTCAACATCCAAATACAAAAAACCATATAAAATTCAGCAGTGTTTCTACGCACTAGCAATAGTTTATTAGAAATTGTAGTATCTTTCAAAAAGAAATCATTCACAATAAAATTAAAATTGTACAAAACCCAGAAAAAAATTACAAAACACATTGCAAGATATTTAGGAAGTAAAACATAGGCTACAATAGTAATAAATGGAGAGCCATAGAGAAGTATTAGGTTAAGTATGAGATGCCTCCATGTTATGAAGACGATTCTCTCCACGTTAATCTGTTGATTCATTGCAGGTCCAATAAATATTCCAACAGGATTTTTCACAGGGCTAGGCAAACTGATTCTAAAATTCATAGAGAAGAGCAAAGACCCAAGAAAAAAGTAGACAGTTCTGAAAAAGAATAAGGAAAGAGACCTGGCCCTAACAAATACCAAGACTTTTTTGAAAGCGATAGTAATTAAAACAATGTGGTATCGGTGCCGGGCTAGACAAAGGAATCAATAGAATAGAGTGCCCAGAAACAGATCCAAGTATATGTGGGAATGTGATTTATGATAGTGGCGGCACTGCAACTCAGTGAGAAAGAATAGACTTCAGTAAAATGTGTTGTGACAATTGGCTTTTCCTATGAAAAATCTTCACACCATCCATAAATATGAATTCCAGATGGATTAAAGACCTAAAAGTGAAAAACAAAACTTTAAAATAATTAGGAGAAAATGTAGGAGACCTAAGGGTAGGAAAGCATTTCTTAGACAAGAGACACACTCAAAAAAGATCAGCCGATTTTTATTACATTACCCCCCAAAAGCCCTCTGCTATGAAAATGATATTACAAAGAAAGTTAAGAGACAAGGAGCAGCCTAGGTGGCAATGGTGACAGCATACACAACAGATAAAGGGTTAGCATTCAGAATATACAGACCTCCTAGGAATCTACAAAATTAGCTGGGTGTGGTGGTGCGCACCTGTAATCCCAGCTACTTGGGAGGCTGAGGCAGGAGAATTGCTTGAACCTGGGAGGCAGATGTTGCGGTGAGCCAAGATTGCGCCATCCCACTCTAGCCTGGGCAACAAGAGCGAAACTCCATCTGAAAAAAAAAAAAAAAAACCTCCTAGGAATTAGGAATCAATATGGAAAAGACAGAACTTTTATTTTATTTTTATTTCTTCTTTTTTTTTTTTTTTTGAAACAGGGTCTCGCTCTGTCGCTCAGGCTGGAATGCAGTGACACAACCTCGGCTCACTGCAACCTCTGCCCCTCCAGGCTCAAGTGATCTTTCCACATCAGCCTCCCAAGTAGCTGTGACTACAGGCACATGCCACTATGCCCGGCTAATATATATATAAAACATATATATATGACATATATACATAACATATATATAACATATATATCTATATATATCACATATATATAACATATATATATATTTGGTAGAGAT
Source organism: Homo sapiens (assembly GCF_000001405.40). NCBI lineage: Eukaryota > Metazoa > Chordata > Mammalia > Primates > Hominidae > Homo > Homo sapiens. The sequence continues at coordinate 50,158,955 of NC_000017.11, read as the reverse complement.
GGGGTCTCACCATGTTGCTCAGCCTTGTCTGAAACTCCTGGGCTCAAGCAGTCTTCCCACCTTGGCCTCCCAAAATGCCAAGATTACAGGTGTGAGCCACCAAACCTGGCCTATTTTTTTCTTTCAAGGTACTCATCAAGTAGTAAGGACAGACATTTTTTGTGCCACTCCAAATAGCATCCCTTCCTTCTTCCTTGATAATCAGAACCCCATTCTGATTCAGGTGTTTGGGCTTTGTGGGAGGCTCGGCCTTCCTCAACCCCATCAGGTGAATGATGATTGGTCTAAATATAGCATGCTAATTTAGTTCCTCTGGTCAATGATTGGTTTAGGTGTGGACGTTTATGCAATTCTGGAAGGTCTCCTGGTGGGGACCCCTGGGAAAGAGACTAATAAGAAAGCATCCAGTTTCTTCGGTCTCTGACGTTGTTGTCTGCACAAGAGAGTTAAGGCAGCCATCTTGGGACCATGAGGGAGCCAGTCTAAGAGGCAAATCAACACAATGAGAGGGTGTTGGAAAAAGACAAAAAGAACCTGGTCCTTGATGTCACAGCCAGGCCTCTGAATTAACCACCCCCAGGACTTCTTGTTACGTGAGCTAATAAACGTTCCTTTTTGCTTAAACCCCTTCTAGTTGGGCTTTCTGTTGTAACTTGCACCGAAAACTACAATAGGATAGCAAAGGATATGAACATAAGTGATTTGCCTAGAGGAAACCCACATGGTCAATGAGAATAAGATGCTCAGCCTCATAGGCAGGGAATGCAGCTTCAAATGAGATGCCACTTCATGCCTATCAGATTGGCAAACATAAGTCTAACAAGAGCAAAAGTTGGCAAGGATGTGGTAAAACAGGATGTCTTGTACAAACGCTGGTGGTGAGAGGATCAATTGGTTCAGACGCTGTAGAGAGCAGTTTGGCAGTACTAGTCAACTTCAAAGTGTGCCTGCCCGACAATCCTAGCTTTCTAAGTATATGCCCTAATAATGGGTTCAGAGAAAAGTCCAAGCATGTTCATTGAAGCCCTGTTTATATAACAGCAAAACAGGCCCGGTGCAATGGCTCATGCCTGTAATCCCAGCACTTTGGGAAGCTGAGGCAGGCAGATCACTTGAGCTCAGGAGTTTGAGACCAGTCTGGCCAACATGGTGAAACCCTGTCTCTGCTAAAAATACAAAAATTAGCCAGGCGCAGTGGCATGTGCCTGTAATCCCTGCTACTCGGGAGGCTGAGGTAGGAGAATCGCTTGAACCTGGGAGGCGGAGGTTGCAGTGAGCCAAGATTGTGCCATTGTACTCCAGCCTGAGCGACAGAGCGAGACTCCATCTCAAAAATAAATAAATAGCAATAATAACAAAACATAGAGACAACCTAAACACCCAATTGATAAATATATTGTGGCTTATTCTTCTGATAAAATAATAAACAGAAGTTAAAATGAACAAATCAAATGAACAAATGTGGCTACATTGTGAAAAAAACATGTTGACTGGAAAAATGATCCACATAGTATGATGGCCATTGCATAATTTTTTTTTTTTTTCAGGGTCTTGCTCTGTCACCCAGGCTGGAGTGCAGAAGCACAGTCATAGCTCACTGCAGCCTGGAACTCCTGGGCTCAAGTGATTCTCCCACTTCAGTCTCCTGAGTAGTCAGGACTATAGGTGCACCACCACATCTGGCTAATTTTTTATTTTTTTGTAGAGACAGGGTCTTGCCGTGTTGCCCAGGCTGGGCTTGAAATCCTGGCCTCAAGTGATCCTCCTGCCTCAGCCTCCCAAAGTGCTGGGATTATAGGCATGAGCCACTGTACCTGCCTTTGTTACATACATTTTTAAAATACATAATTCTAGACCAGGCACAGTGGCTCATGCCTGTAATCCCAGCACTCTGGGAGGCTGAGGCGGGCAGATTACCTGAGGTCAGGAGTTCGAGACCAGCCTGGCCAACATGGTAAAACCCCCGCCTCTACTAAAAATACAAAAATTAGCCTGGCATGGTGGTGCGGGCCTGTAATACTAGCTACTCAGGAGGCTGAGGCAGAAGAATTGCTTGAACCTGGGAGGCAGAAGAGGGGAATGGGGACTTATATGGGTATGGAGTTTTAGCTCTGGAAGATGAAAGTAAGTTCTAGAGATAGATGGTGGTGATGGCTCCACAACAAGGTGATTGTACTTAATGCCAGTGACCTGTACACACTGAATGGTGAATTTTATTTTATTTATTTATTTGTTTATTTTTGAGACAGAGTCTCGCTCTGTCGCCCAGACTGGAGTGCAGTGGCGCGATCTCAGCTCACTGCAAGCTCCACCTCCCAGGTTCAAGCCATTCTCCTGCCTCAGCCTCCCGAGTAGCTGGGACTACAGGCGCCCGCCACCATGCCCGGCTAATTTTTCTTGTATTTTTAGTAGAGATGGGGTTTCACCGTGTCAGCCAGGATGGTCTTGATCTCCTGACCTCGTGATCTGCCCGCCTCGGCCTCCCAAAGTGCTGGGATTACAGACGTGAGCCACTGCGCCTGGCCAAAATGGTGAATTTTATATCTCTAGTCTGCTACAATTAAAATATAGTAATGCAAAAATTATGGTCTAGAAAAGCTGTATTCCAAATGTGTGAGTGTTGGGGGAGGTGGACAATGGAACTGGGGAGAAAGAAAAGGGGGCTCAAATATATATATATACTTTTTTTTGAGACGGAGTTTTGCTCTTGTTGCCCAGGCTGTAGTGCAATGGCACGATCTCGGCTCACTGCAAGCTCCGCCTGCCGGGTTCTCGCCATTCTCCTGCCTCAGCCTCCCGAGTAGCTGGGACTACAGGCACCTGCCACCATGCCCAGCTAATTTTTTTGTGTATTTTTAGTAGAGACAGGGTTTCACTGTTAGCCAGGATGGTCTCGATCTCCTGACCTCGTGATCCGCCCTCCTCGGCCTTCCAAAGTGCTGGGATTATGGCACTGGGTGGTGTGAGTCACCGGGCCGGCCAAATATTCTCTTTTATATGTAAAAACCCAAAGCAAAAATGACACATTGCTAGCATTTGTAAATTCTGTCACATGATTCTTTGAAGGCCTCTTACTGTTAAAGAAACTTTTCAAAGTAAAAGTAAAAAAACAATTAATGAACATTTTTGTAGGAAAAAAGAGGTCTCTGAAGTAGAACTGCCCTGAAGTGCAGGATTTCTCACCCCACACCTCACCCCAAAGCCACCTGCGTGCTGGGCACTGAGCGTGGGAGACCTGAGAGCTGGTGTTCTGGAGGCTGTACCTGCGCCAGGCAGAGCCTGGCGGGCTAGTGGGGATGGAGATGGTGGGATGCTGTTTCCTCTGACCCAGGGCAGATGAGGCAAAGGCTGGCAGGAAAAGGTGTCTCCGAGAGCCAGTCTCCTTCTCAGGCACCCACTGCACAAGATCTGGAGGGCAGATGAAACATAGGAACCATCGAAACACAGAAATGTGTATTATTAGCAGTGAGAGCAGGCAGTAGAGTTTTTTGAATCTGCTGATGACAAAATATATTGCCTAATCTTTCTGATTATTTTTTTTTTCTTTGACCTCCCTGCATATCTCTGGAGCTCCCACAGCTACGGGCTGTCTGCCTTGCAAAATACATATTTACAGGCCCTCTAAGCCCAGCTAAATATAGGCTTTCTTTTAAAGCAACTGATGATTTGGAGAAATCTTTCCTCTGTCCAACCCCTTCCCCCGCCCCCCAACACACACACACACCCTGACTCCTCCTACCAAGTCTCCCTCCCTAGTCTCCAAGATGTATCTGAACTTTCCAAGAGCCACTGGAGCAAGTGTGGAGAGTGATAGAAAGAAACTGGGTACAGCAGAGGGAACCAGCAGCAAGGCAGTCTCCTAGCTGTGAGAGGACCCTAAGGGACCCCTCTCCCTGCAGGGACAATGAGGGGCTTGAGGCACCCACAGGCAGGAGTGAAAAACCCTTTGGGAAGTAGAGAAGAGAGGTCATCCCAAGAATGACCCCCAAAGATTTGGAGAAGCTGTAAGCAAGGGGTGTTTATATTTCAGAATTTCACATATTGAACCTTAAAGAAAATGAGAGCCCCAAAGTCCTGTGAAGACACACAGAGAGATGCAAACACCGAGTTTCATTCTCAGCCACACCTGCCCACATGTGCATGCAGGCACACACCCCCACATGTGCTTGGATACCCTGCAATCAGTAACAGCCAACACTCTGAGCCCCCTTTTAGTGCCTTATGCATTGAGGACCCATTTATTCCTCACAAAAACTCTATGAAGTTGGTATATTATCTTCATCTTATAGATGAAGGAATTTGTTGAAGCCCCTTAGCTGGGGAGTGGGAGGTTGGAGATTCTAACAGAGATGGCCTGGCTTCAAGGCCTGTGCTGCATGCACAAAAGTGAGGGACACCTAGGGTTATCTATGCTCAGGAAACACTCAGACACTCAAGCTAAGCTTTTTGAGGAAACAGGCTTTGGGAGGGGACACGACTAGCCCACGGTCATCCAGCAAATGAGTGCAGCTAGGACTCAATTCAGGCCTCATGAACCCTAGCCTGGTCTGTTTCCTTTAAAACTAGGTATGTCACTTCTCAGCTTTCGTCATTCTCCCTGTGAAGAGGTCAGCCAAGGGCCACTAAAGGCCCCTCCAACACTGACATCCTGGATTTGAGGTGTACACACACCTTTCCAGCATACCTTTCCAGCATCCTATAACCAGCCCAAATCCCTGGCAGAGGTCAACTCTTGAAGGAGAGCAACTGGGTGGGGACCACTGGCTCACCACAAAAGGATCCAAGTGCAGGGTCTGGGCCAGCCTCTGCTTAGATGACCGTGGCCAAGGAAAAACCGCTTTTAGAAGCTGAGTCTCAAGGCCCCAGGGCTGGAAAGAGAAGCCAGCCTTGGCACCCAGCCCGGGCCTGCGCCCAGGGCGCTGAGGGCTCGGGACTTATCGCTCGTCAGGCCTCTCCCTGCCTTCATCACTATCTTTGCAGTTACACCTGGTGTTTAAAACTAGCAAGCCTTGGGGAAGAGTCCTAACAGAGCATCTTCCCAAGGGCCCTAAGCAGATTTGGGGGGGTGTGGGAAAGCTGTGGCAGGGGGGCGGTTACCAGGAGGAGAGTTGGGGGTGAATTATCTCTGCCTATCGCAGCCTCTGGCCTTTTTAGCACAGGCTGGGAAAGGCGTCTCCTCCCCCACACCCTATCTTCTGTGTCCGAGCCACTCTCGTCCTTTCTGGGCCTTCTTTCATCCTCCCAGGGCACAGAGGAGGATAAGTGACTTGTCCAAGGTCACACAGCCAGTAAGCAGTGAAGCCAAGATTTGAACCCTAGCAGCCTGGCTCCTAGGTCAACCACTCTATGCCAAGGCAAAGGTAAGGAAGGAACTTCCATCCAAAGACCACTGGGCAACTTGGCCATCAAAGTCTCTTCCATGAAGACAAAGGAAAGAGAAAGGGTGGTTAAATTATCCTGGAGTGCTTCCTCACTGGAGGATGTAGGTGAAGATGACAGCCCAATGAATGAAAATTCTATTTAAAGCCTTCAGTTTGGATGGTAACCCTCCCAAACCCTCCTTGTTCCTATCAGGTGCGATTACTGCTCCAGACAGGCAGAGAAGGGATGGAGGGAATGAGACCCCATTCTTCACCCATCTCACAGGCCAGCCGGCTTGGTGCCTGACACCAGAGAACAAGTGATGGTGAAGCACTTACCGCTCCATAAAAGCGTCTTTGGGAATTCTGGCCAGGGTGTTGCTCTGCTAACCAGGAGCCCATGAAATAATAATCCCACTGATTAGCCTCAGTCCCCCAAGCTCTGGCTAGCTCCACCCTCTTGAAGCCCAAACCCCCTAGAAGGGTCTGTTAAAGGGGTTTGTCCGGAGATTCATAATCCTTTGGACAAGGGAGACCCAAGAGCACCCCTGTAATTCCAGTTTGCTCTAAGCTGCTACCGGAAATGCTGGGAGTCCGAGGGTCTCTGGGCCTGGTAGCTGGTTCTCAGCTCCTTCTCCCACCCTCAGAAACTGGGGGCTTCCCCACCTGGCCAGACGCGTGGGCACAGACCCCTTGGGCTGGGACCAGTTAAGATGATCTACCACCAAGGGTGTGGGAGATTCTGGGCAGAACACAGGGGCCTGCGCCCTCCTCCAATCCACACAAGAGCTTCTGAGTACATTGTACAAACTTCCAAACCCCAACTGGGTGAGGTTTCTGTCTTCTCCGGACTTCTATATTGGGGTTGGGGGGCCTGTGGGGAGGGGTTTTCAAGACCCAATCTTGAGTTTGGAAATCTAAGTCCCAAAGCTTGCTCCTGACAGAGGCCTTCTAAGAAGGGTTAGGAGACAGACTTCTTCACCCTGCACCATCCCAAAGTGCAAAACTGGGGAGGGGTAAGTTTCCTGGGCAACTGGGCAAAGATGCAGGTGGCATTTGGAAAGTGTGAGGTCTGGGTTCACTTCCGGCTCTAGCTCACAACCTAGATCTTCCCTCTTCCTTAGCACCAGCCTCAGGATCAGTCCTGCGGTTCCTGGCCCCTCCCGATCCCAATATCCAGGGTTCCCAGGCGGCTTCCCCACACCCCATCCCCCACGCTGTACTCTAAGCTCTTTTGCACATGGTAACGCGTTAATATCCCACAAAACCCACACACACCCCTGCAGTGGAGTGGTAGGAGGGCTCCCTTTGCCAGCCCTTCCAGGCCAGGGGGGAGAGAGTGGGAGATTAGGAAAAGGAGGAAGAGGATGGAGGGGAAGAGGGCGGGGGAGGAGGCAGAGGCCGCAGAAAGGCCTGAGATGCAGGAAGCAGCTGGGAGTGGGGGGAGGCTTTGTGCCTGAGTTGTTCTCTGGGTCCTAGGGCCCATTGTGTTCACCAGTTTCTGGGATGTGTGGAATGAACCAGCTCACCTGGACCTGTCCAGAGGGCGGACTCTCACACCCAGGGCCCAGGCAGCGCCAGCACCCTAGCTGTGTATGCGGGGGGTGCAGAGGGCATCAAACAGCTTTCTGGGTTGCCAGGACAGGGGATGTGTAAGTCACTGTCACCCTCCCCACCCCCCCACCCCAACCGGAACACAGTGGCCAGGATCCTTTAAATCAGAGACCCAAGTTAGAGCTCTCACTGGCGAAACTTTGGCCCCAGGCCTCTCGAATTCCTGCTCCCAAACCCTTCCTTCCGGTTTGAGAGGCAGGAGTGCCAGGGTAGGGGCCTGAAGACGGGTGCACAGCAGACAGGCGACAGGACATCCTTTCCAGACTTCGGCAGTTTTGGTGATCCCCTGCTACTTGGATGACGGGGTTCACCTCCTTTCTTCACCACCCCTCCCCCACCATCGAAAGGTCACCAGCGCTGGACCAAGGTTTCACACCTCCAAGGGGGCCAAAGATTGCCTGTAGTGAAGTGTTAAAATGCAGATTCCTGGGTTCAGCCTCGGAGATTCTCCTTCACAAGGTTCGAGAGAGATCCCAGAAATCTGCATTTTTACCAAGTGCCCAGCGATTCTGATGCTAAAGGCTTGAAGCACACCGAAGAGCTAGCTCCGAGGACACTGAAGAATGAACCTCTGCCCCTCCCTACAAACCCCCTCCCCTCACACTGAGACCATCGTGGATGTACTGCCTCCCCCCAATATTTCATGGAGGTGCGGTTCTGTGGGTTGTGACCGCAGTCAGAAGTTGTGATGGAAGCAGGTTGAAGAGTGCTGGCCAACGTCCGGGGGCAGCGGAAGGCTCTCCGCGAGGGCTGGGGAGGGGAGGGGATCCGTTCGGGTGGAGGGGAAGGGGAGGGCTCACAGGCTCCGGCCCCGGAAATCCGATCCCTTTAGGACCCAGAGGTGCCAGTCCCCCAGCGGCGGCTGCGAGAAGGGCAGCCGCTCGGTCTCCGGCAGCCGCCGCTCGGGCAAAGCCAGAGAAAGACCGAGGCTCGGGGCACGGGGGGGAGGGAGGGAGGGAGGGAGGCGCGGCGGCGGAGCGGCCCGGGCCGGCGGAGCAGCCATGGGCGTTGGGGTGCCGGGCCCCCCGAGAGCCGAGGCCTCCGGCCGGACTGGGGGACGCCCGGGCTGCCAGCCCCGCTGACACCGTCTCGGACGATGTGAGCCGGCGACACCGCGGCTGCTTCGCGGGCAGGGCGCGCGCTCCCACCGGCCCCAGACGCCGCTTTGCTAATTTGGGTGGGGGCGACCGTACCAGGCCGCTCGGGCTTTTGAAGCGGGGCTGGCTGTCTTCGGCAGCTTGATTGGGGGAGGCGACCCACACACAGGGCGCTTGGAGATTTTTTTTTTTTCATTTTTTTTTTTAAAGCGGGATTAACTGTTTTTGGCAGCTTGGTTTTGGGGGGACCCTAAAAAAGGCCTTCGGGGTTTCTTTTATCGGGGGGAGGGGGCGGTGGTCCCGACTTGGCCAGCCGCCTGTTGAAGCGGGGGAGCGGGGAGCAGGGGCATGCGAACCCGGCTCCCCCCACCATGATGAAGACGGAGCCACGGGGGCCCGGGGGTCCCCTCCGGAGCGCCTCCCCGCACCGCAGCGCCTACGAGGCGGGCATCCAGGCGCTGAAGCCGCCCGACGCGCCCGGGCCCGACGAGGCACCCAAGGGGGCCCACCACAAGAAATATGGCTCCAACGTCCACCGCATCAAAAGTATGTTCCTGCAGATGGGCACGACGGCGGGGCCCTCGGGCGAGGCGGGCGGCGGCGCGGGCCTGGCCGAGGCCCCACGGGCGTCCGAGCGCGGCGTGCGCCTGTCGCTGCCGCGGGCCAGCAGCCTGAACGAGAACGTGGACCACAGCGCCCTGCTGAAGCTGGGCACCAGCGTGTCGGAGCGCGTGAGCCGCTTCGACTCCAAGCCCGCGCCCTCCGCGCAGCCTGCGCCGCCGCCGCACCCGCCGTCCCGGCTGCAGGAGACGCGGAAGCTGTTCGAACGGAGCGCCCCAGCGGCCGCAGGCGGCGACAAGGAGGCCGCGGCGCGGCGGCTGCTGAGGCAGGAGCGCGCCGGCCTGCAGGACCGGAAGCTGGACGTCGTGGTGCGCTTCAACGGCAGCACCGAGGCGCTGGACAAGCTGGACGCTGACGCCGTGTCCCCCACGGTCAGCCAGCTCAGCGCCGTCTTCGAGAAGGCCGACTCGAGGACCGGCCTCCACCGCGGGCCCGGGCTCCCCAGGGCCGCAGGGGTTCCCCAGGTCAACTCGAAGCTGGTCAGCAAGCGGTCCCGGGTGTTCCAGCCCCCGCCGCCGCCGCCGCCCGCCCCGTCGGGGGATGCCCCGGCCGAGAAAGAGCGATGCCCCGCAGGGCAGCAGCCCCCGCAGCACCGAGTGGCCCCTGCCCGGCCGCCCCCCAAGCCCCGGGAGGTGCGCAAGATTAAGCCGGTGGAGGTGGAGGAGAGCGGGGAGTCGGAGGCCGAGTCGGCGCCCGGGGAGGTGATCCAGGCCGAGGTTACGGTCCACGCGGCCCTGGAGAATGGCAGCACCGTGGCAACTGCAGCCAGCCCCGCGCCCGAGGAGCCAAAGGCCCAAGCGGCCCCGGAGAAGGAGGCGGCGGCGGTAGCGCCGCCAGAGAGGGGGGTGGGCAATGGCCGGGCCCCGGACGTGGCCCCTGAGGAGGTAGATGAATCCAAGAAGGAGGACTTCTCGGAGGCGGACTTGGTGGACGTGAGCGCCTACAGTGGGCTCGGGGAGGACTCTGCGGGCAGTGCCCTGGAGGAGGACGACGAAGACGACGAGGAGGATGGGGAGCCCCCCTACGAGCCCGAGTCGGGGTGCGTGGAGATCCCGGGGCTGTCGGAGGAGGAGGACCCAGCCCCGAGCCGGAAGATCCATTTCAGCACGGCGCCCATCCAAGTAAGTGAGCCCCCCCGCCCTGCCCCCGCGCCGCCCCTGCCACGTGCACGCGGCCGCCCCCGCTCGCCAGCCAGCCAGCCGGGTTTGGCAGGCTGAGTCAGCCCCTGCCACCCAGCCCCCTTCCCAGAAGTTCCCACCCTCAGGGGGGCGTGGGGGAGTTCCAGCTGTTTGTCAGAGAGGGATTTTCAGGTGTGCGAGGGGGGTGGCCTGCCCCGACCTGCCCTCAGGTTCCTCCGCCTGCTGCCCCGCCCCGCCGCTCCGCGGAACCCGCCCTGCCCCACGCGGGTCCTGGGACACCTGCTTTCCCTTCCTCACCCGGACATTCCTTCCTCCAGAGGCTGCCAGAGGCTGGGGTTGGGTAGTGTGAAGGGGTGTGTGTGTCTTCAGGAGAGACATTTGCCCTTCACTGGGTAGAGAGGGGGCCGGGGTGCTTTCCCCCTGTATGGGAGCTGGATGAGGTGAGAAAGGGGAAAGCCAGGAACTTCTCAAAACGAAGCTGCAGGGGACCGCAGGCAGCCCTTCCTCTATTCTGTTTGTACCCCCACCCCAACTTTGCAGAAGTGAAAGAGGGAAGCAGATCGTGAGGGTGAGCTGGTCTGTGGCCATGTGACTGGCTGGCGCCGTGTTCCCTGGGGGTCCCTGCAGGCCAGCTGCCCGGTCCTCCTTGCACAGGGAGGGGCACTTTGTGTGGTCCTTGATGGGGAGAGGCCTTCTGCAGGCATGGAGGAGGAGGAGGTGGGGCTGGGATCCCCCTGGGTGCCTGGCAGTAGTGGGCATGCCTTTACTCTTGGCTGCTCAATAGGACAGACTCCCATGGCCTTGGCAGGCCCCAAGTGTTCTTGCCACATTCTCTGGGAGCCCTGAAAGAGGGATGGGAGCTGCCCCTTTTGGGGGTCTCATCCCCACGGCCACTATTGGTGGTTGGTTTGTGGGTTGTGCCAGAGCTTTGAGATCCTCAGAACAGCCCTGATGGGGAGGGAACATCCCCTGGGGGGAATCAAAAACCCCAGGCCACCCCTCCCCCCACTTCCCACCACCCTCCACTCTTGGCTAGCACATTCAGCCTGCAGGGTTCTTCCTCACCGCCCCAGGCTCAGCTGCACCCGGCCCCAGGTCCGCCCCATGGAAGTGTCCAGGTCCCTGGACTCTCCTTGGCCTGGACCCTGCCCTGCCTTTACCCTTCCCTAGCCAAAGCACCATCTGTTTGCTTGTCGTTTCCATAACTACTCCTGGACTCTGAAGCTTCCCAACTTTCCTCTCACTCGCCCAGAATGTCAGCCTCTGCCCCTCTCCCACCTCCCACCCCAGCAAGAGGCCTGAAAGGTTAAAAGTGAGTGGCTCTCAGGCCAGCCTCTCCCCTGGGCTGGGACCTGCGGGGTCCTCTCCCAACCCCTTTCCCCTCCTGAAGGCAGTGGGGTTCTGAAGGGAATGGGGGACTGTAGTGTTTCTTGGGACTCTGAAGCAGAGTTTGGATCCCCCCACCCCACCCCCACTAATTTTGCGAGAAGTCCGATTCCCTCAGAGTTGGAGTTTGGTCTGGGCCTCTGACTGTCTATATTTGACGCCTTACCCTGATTTTTCAGTAAAAAATAGCACATGATTTGGAGCAGTGCTTCCCGGCTCCCTGGTGACTTTGGAGCTGGCCCGCCCTGTGTGAGAGCCAGCGTGTGTGGCGGGCCCAGTGTGGCTGGCTTTCAGCCTCACTGGGGATTTCCTCCTCCCCACCCTGGCACAGGGGCCCCACTTTTTCTTCTTCCTGCCCCTGCCTTGATGCCAAGTCCAGGGTCCCGGTCCCCATGGATGACCCAATTGTTGCCCTTCTGGAGGTGGAGGCCTCTGCTGAGGGCAGAGAACCCAATTCCAGCTTGGCCTCAGGGAGGTGGGACCTCCCCTAGGGCCCTCTGCTAGACCGGCATATCATGGTGGGCAGCCCGAGGAGGGGTAGGAGGTGGTCTGGGGCCTCTGAGCCCAGGCCTGGGATTCCTGCAGGCGGCAGGACCAGAAAGGGAACAGGATTTGATAGGCTGAGAGAAGAGGGCAGGGTGCAGCCCAGGACAGGCTGTGAGGTGTGTTTTGGAGGTCACAGCGGGCGTGTGTGTCCATGTGTGTCAGGGAGGGGTTTCGTTGACTCAGGAGACTGTAGAGACTCAATGATGAAGGGACCGTGTCTCCTAGAGCAGAGGGTGAGAGTCAGGGGACTCCAGTGCAAAGTGGGCCAAATCCCACTGCTGAGTCCAGGCTCACATCAGCCCTGTCCCAGAGCCTGGGGCATGTGTGCAGTGGAAACCAAGTCACCGGTGACCCACCCACCTGTCCCAGCTGGGTGCAGTCTCATTCTGCCTGGCCACAGTTTAACCCATGTGACCTTGGGCAGTGGGCCTGGTGCCCTGGACTATGTGCAAGGTAGGCAGCCTGTTTGTTCGAGGGGTGCAATGGACAGATGAGCTTTAAGGGCTGGAGCCAGAGTTTCTCTGATGCTGTGAAATTGAGGGCATTGAGCTAAGTGACCAGAGGGGTCCCTCCCACCTAAGCCTTCTAGTCCTATGAGCACCCCCTCCCTCTCCCACTGTGGCAGTGAGCCTCTCTGGTAGGGGGTGGGGACGACACGGAGCAAACCCAGACAAAGGCTGGGACACGAGAGTGCTGCTGCCCACCAGGGTGCCCACAAGGTCTGCTCCTGGAGGAGACGGGCCCTGACAAGGGCCCTTGGGGGAGATGGGGTCCTAGTCTGACTCCTCGGGGCTCAGACTCAGCCAACTGATAGAGCTGTTCCCCATCCCTCCCCGCCCCCGCCTGGCTCCAAGTGGTGCCAACCTGTCACTGCAGGCGATGAAGCTTGAGCATGTCATGGTACCCCAAATGGTGCTCATTAACCTCCCACTGGGGGCACCCCTGCCTGGGCCCAGAATTAGACATTCCCACAGAGCCCAGCCCCACCTTCTCTGTCCTTCTGAGGGAGTCAGAGCTGAGGAATTCCTCTTTTTGCTGAGAGACATTGGAGAGAGACAACAGAGGGGTACAGGAGATGCCAAGGCAGGGGTGGCCTCGGAGCCCCATGGCGCCTGGGTTCGCTGTGGGCAGTGTCAGAGGCTGTCCCCTCCTCAGTCTCCTGGGCCCCCTAGCACATGGACAGGGGGCGTAACTTAGAGAGCTGCAGTTGTGGAGGGAGAGCGGCCTGGGTGTGCAGGGAAGGCCAGGCCCAGCTTTTTCCCCTGCTTCTGCCACCCGAGGGGCTCCTGGGGATGGAGGGCCTGCCTCTTCTCCACGGGGATAGAGATGGTCTTTCCTGCTTCCCTCCCCTGCTCCAACATCCACTTGAGCGGCAAGTCAGAGCCAGTCCTGGGTACCTCTCCCCTTCCACCCCTCCTGCTCCCCTCCTCCTCTTCTGTCTCACACCCGCTCCCCCCTCTCTCCCCATCTGGCATTCTCCAGCATCTTCTCCATCCTCTCTCCCCTCCTCCTCTTCCCCTCTTCTGCTCAGCCTGTTCCTTCCTCTCTGTGTCTGTCTTTGTGTCCCCTCTCGCCTGTCTGGCTCTCTGGGTCCTATCTCTCACTTTCCCTCTATCTGGGTGTCTGGGTTCCTGAGTTGGACGTTTCTCCAGGATTCCCCTTCTGTGCCTATGGCAGACCATGCTCACGCTGGTTGGAGCTACAGAGAGAATAGCAGTGCGGGTCTGCCAAGGCTGGGTCCCTTTCTGTCTTGACCCTGGGCTCCAGAACTATAAGGGCCTTTGTTTTGCTCAGAGCTGGGGTCTCAGGGGACTGGGTGAGGCCTCATCTCAGGGCTATCATGGGGAGGCATGGGGTGGGTAACTCAGCCTGCCTCCTCGGCCTCCTCATGCCAGTTCTGCACTTGTCCTCCTGCCGGCCTCTCTGACCAGCTGCCTCCCTCCCCAGGTGTTCAGCACTTACTCCAACGAGGATTACGATCGTCGCAACGAGGATGTGGATCCCATGGCAGCCTCTGCTGAGTACGAGCTGGAGAAGCGTGTGGAGAGGTTGGAGCTGTTCCCTGTGGAGCTGGAGAAGGGTGAGAGGCCAGGAGGCCACGTCACTTGCGCACAGCTGGGGTTGACCCGGGTCTCATCTCTGGCACCAGCTCCTGCCCTGTGCCCTCAGGGGCTCCCACAGACTTGCTGGGCCTCTCCCTCTGACTCAGGCCCTTGGTGACCTTCCCCGCTCCTCCCTTGTCAGCACCCAGAGCAAACAGGGCCTCCAACCCAGGCCAAGCCACACCCCCACCACCCCGGTCATGGAACCACATTTGCACATTCAGTTAACAGGTCTCTGTAGGGTACTGTGTGCTAGGTCCTGGGCTCTGTGTTGGGGACACAGTGGTGGGCTCCTGGGGAGATGGATGGGGGAGGCAGACATGGAAGGCACAGTCACATCTAATCTCACCCTTAGGCGCTGGAATAGGGGCTGGGGAAGGTAAGGAGGGGCCACTGTAAAAGCGTTTAACAGGTGACCTAACCAGACTGTGCTTGGGGGCATTCTCCAGGGAAGTGAAGCTTGAGTTGCACTCTGGTGAGGAGGAATTAGGGGAGTAGTCAGGAAAGGGGCTTGGCTGCATTTGCATAGGGAGGGCAAGAAGAGCATGCAAATGAGGCCTTGCAGACCACGTGGTCTTGTTGCTAAGATGGATTGGGAGCCATTTCGAAGCACAGGAAAGGTCTAGAAAGACCACACCAGGCTGTGATGTAGGGAGGGGGTCACAAGTGGATGGAGAAAGGCCACTGTGGCGTGGACAGGAAGATGGCAGAGCGGGTGTGGGTGGACTGGAAAGATCTCCAGGGGTAGAATCCATAGCATCTGGGGGTCATTTGGCTCAGGTGGAGGCTGTGAGTGGGAGGGAGGAATCCAGGTGCCTCCCAGGTCTGGCAGGTGGCAGGTGGTGGTACCATCCCCCATGAGGGAGTGTTTGTGGGGGAAGGTCATTAGTTGGGACATCAGAGGGCCATGAGTCAGGCAGGGGCAGGTGTGGATAGGGGAATGGACCTCAGGGGAGAGAAAATCTGGAGGTCTTTGGTCCTTGAAGCTATGAGTACAGATGAGACTGGCTGAGAGGGAGAAGACCAAAGGCTTAGGGCTGAGTCCCATCCTGGCTACCCCCATCCTGGCTACCCCCATCCTGGCCACACGCCCTGGTCTGCATATGCAACAGTCTTACCTGCCTGTGCCACCCTTGGCACGCTCTTCTGCCCATTGGTTCTTTGGAAGGGACAAAGGGCAGGGAGCGGCTCAGGAGCCATCCTAGTAGACTTGGCAAAGACGGTGGACAGAACTATATCCCTTCTTCAGTTGTGGGACATCCCCTAATGGGGACTGCTTCCTGATGGGGGGGCTGTGCCCTGGAATTCGGGGTGGAGAGTCTCTCGTCTGTCCCCTACAAGCCCTGCCATCTCACCACTCTCTGTTCCACAGACTCCGAGGGCCTGGGCATCAGCATCATCGGCATGGGCGCCGGGGCAGACATGGGCCTGGAGAAGCTGGGTATCTTCGTCAAGACCGTGACGGAGGGTGGTGCGGCCCATCGGGATGGCAGGTACCAATCCTCCCCAGTCTCGCCTGACCCTTTTTCCCTCTCCGACCGGCCATCCTTGGTGGGGTGGGCCACTGAGCAGGGGGTGGGGCGGGCCTTCCCTGGGAGATTTCCGTGCTGTGTGTGCAGCTGAGATGTTCGGGGAGCACTGCCATGCCAGGTGCTGTTCCAGGCCCCAGAAATACAACAGTGAGCACTGTCAGCCCCTATGCCCTGAAGGAGCGTGTGTTCTCCAGGAGGGGCTGGTGACCATGGGGGCTATAGGCGTGTGTTGTGCATCCCGGTCTGGAGTACAGTTTGGGCCCTGGTAGGGAGAAGACAGGCATGGAGTATATTTGAGCTTTTTTTTCGCTGGACATTGAGTCTCTGACAGTGTTGGGCCGGTGCTGGGCCCTGGGAAGTCAATGGTGAGGGCCTGGCGCACTTGAGAAGTGTGCAGTGTGGTGTGAGGTAGACATTGAATAAATGGACACACAAAAGGTAGTGAAATGGAGGGAAATGCAGACTGCTGTGAAGGCATACAACAGGAGGGTTTAATCTCTCTGGGCATTAGGGAAGGCTTCCTGGAGGAAGCAGTGCTGGAGCTGAGAGCTAAGGCTGGAGCAGGAGTTAGCTGTGCTGAGGGAGTGAGTGCAGAGGTTCCAGGCAGTGGCGCCATGAGCAGGCAGGTGTGGCTGGGGCATAGAGAGCAGGGGCCAGGAGGCTGTGACTAGACCCATTGATGGCAGTGGCTCTGGAGACAGGCTGTCTTTGCGCATGTGAGTGTGTGTGCCTGTATTGAGCATCTGTGGTTGCAAGGGGTGAGTTCTGTGGGACAGAAGGTTCAGGGAGGGCATCCTGGAGCTGTGTGCCAGCCAGGGACCCCTGTGTTAGCTGTGTATTCCAGGGGTGTGGGGAGTGGCAGTAGGAAGGGCTGTAGGGCATCCCCCAGGGTGGCTGTAAGTTAGAGGTGACATTGGGGATCTCTTGTGGTGGTACCTCCAAACCCAGACCCCCTCCATGTGACAGAGGTGAGCAGGTGTCCTTTGGGATCTGGGTGACTTTGGGATCTTGTTTCTAGAGATGGGGCTGCCCTGTCAAGGGGCTTCTACCTGTTGTGGCCCAGGTGGCATGGAGAGGGGCCGGGAACAGGATACCCTTTCATTTACCCCTTCCCCTCCCAATGTGAACTTCCAGAGCCTTTCCCATTGTTGCCTGTGGGTTGTCTAAGGAGTGAGTGTGCATGGTGGCCGTGGCCACTCACTCATGCCCACCTGGGAGTGGCATGTGTTGGGGTGAGCTGTTGACAATAGGCCATTTCCTCCATTTCCGTGTGGGAGTCCTGAGAGAAGGCCTGGAGCTCCCAGGGAGGTGGAGTGGAGGAGGGAGGTGTCTGAGAGGCCCCCCACCCTCCATCTCCCTCAGCAGGCCAGACTGAACCTCCCCTTGTATGGAGAACACGGGCTTCAGGGGACACAACTGGAGTGTGTCGGCAGGTGCACCTGTATCAGGTGTGTGTGGGACAGTGTGTGAACTCGAGAGAGTGCCATTCGGTCTTGGGGACTTGGGAGGACATCTGTGCACTCAGTTCTGTGCAGAAATGTACACGTAAGAGGGTGGCATGTCACTTGTGTGCTGTGGGGCTCCTGGCCAGTGTGCATGGCAGAGATGAACTCTGAGAATGTCACACCGCTCAGTCAAGTATGATGAAGGAGGGGACAAGAGTGTGATTGTCACAGGAAGTGTGCCTGCCGCGTCTCCTGGTCCTGGACGCCTGTGTCTGCTTTGCTTGCCTGGCTCTCACTGCCCACACAGGTGGGCCTGGCTGACACTTAATCCTCTGGCCTTGTGAATGTTACGCAGGTAGACAAAGTACCAGGTCCCTGTGAGGACAAAGTATCTGTGAGGTTTTTTGTTGTTGTTTTCTTTTCTTGTTTTTTTTTGTTTTTTTTTTTTTTTGAGGCAGGGTCTTACTCTGTTGCCCAGGCTGGAGTGCAGTGGCGCAAACACAGCTCACTGCAGCCTTGACCTCCCTGGCTCAAGTGATCCTCCCACTTCATCCTCCCAAGTAACTGGGACTACAGGCACGTGCCACCATGCCCAGCTAATTTTTCTTTTTATTGTTTGTAGAGATGAGTTCTCACTATGTACTCAGGCTGGGGAGCCTGGAGTTTCTGATGGGAGGAGGCTACCTCTACCCTCGCTCCTCGGTTCCCCTGTGACCCCTTAACCAATGTCACTCCGCTAGGATCCAGGTGAATGATCTCCTGGTGGAGGTGGATGGAACAAGTCTGGTGGGAGTGACCCAGAGCTTCGCGGCGTCTGTGCTCCGGAACACCAAGGGCCGAGTGCGGTGAGAGCCCAGAGGGGTGGGGCGTGGGAGCGGGCAGGAGGTCCTCGTCCAGGCACTCCGTTCACCTGCCTTAACAGCCAGTTAAGGTTCTGGTGGCCCAGCTCACAGAGGTTCTGCTGACTCCTTGGCTGCAGGAGTTGCTGTGCCTGGAGTCCCTCGCCTCACACCTGCCTTCTCATCCCAGCTCCCTGGCAACAGCTGGCCACCAGTACTCAGCCTTCCTGGCCCACTGTCCACCAGCCCTCCAAACTGTCCTCTAGGGCTTCTTCTCCTTCCCCCTACCTGTCCCTGACTCACTGACTGAAGAACCAGGACGTCCAGGGTGAATGCTAACCATATTGGGGTCCCCTCATTGGGACCTCATGCCCCCCACCCCGACCAGCCCTATGTCATCCTGGGAAGACTCCGCCCCAGGCCTGTAACCAAGGGGACTGGATCAGAAGCTCCCTGTGTCCACTCTACCTTTGGCTTAACATTCAGGGATCACTCCCTGCCCCCCTGCAAGAGGGGTACTACCCCCAGGAAAGGGTGGTGGAGAGAAACAGGATGTGGGTGGCCACCGGGAGGAGGGGCTGGTGCCTGGAAGTTCCACTATTTCCTCTCCATCCTAATCTCCAGTTGCCATCATCCCGCCCCTTCCTGAAGCTCAGGGGCTTGGAGCATACCCAAGAAACACCTCCGCAGCCCATCCCTGCTGGGAGGGTCATCTTCACCTTTCCCTGCCTCATTTTCTCCCCTGTGGCAGGGGAAGAGCCTCCTCAGTGCATGTCCCCTGCAGCACAGCCTAGAGGTGGGCTGACATTCTCCCTCCCGCAATACTGGCCAGAGGGGTGAATGGGCCTTCCTGCCTCCCTTGGGAAGGAAACCTGATAAGGGCCCTCATTCCCCCATTCATTATTAACACTGCAGCCTTCGGACTCAGCCCTCTCATCTCTCCTCCCCTGGGAGGGCCTGAGTTTGGAGAGGGGAGCATCAGCAGGGAGGATGATGCATTACCTGGCTGAGGACAGAGGCAGCGGATGATGCCGGTGCCCCTGCAGGTTTATGATTGGCCGGGAGCGGCCGGGAGAGCAGAGCGAAGTGGCCCAGCTAATTCAGCAGACTTTGGAACAGGAGCGATGGCAGCGGGAGATGATGGAGCAGAGATACGCCCAGTATGGGGAGGATGACGAGGAGGTAGGGAGTCCCTGCCTGGCTGGCCGCGTGGTCGCCCCCTGGTGGCTAGATGAAGCATTACAGTCATCTGCCTCTACTGCTTCCCCTGCCCTAGTAAAAAGCCCACAGTGCCATTCCCTGTCCTCCAGTCACACTCTTTGTCTTCAGAGGCCGGACAAGGAATACACAGTCCTCTCAAAGAGCCCCCAGTCTGCGGGGAGAGCATAGCCCCTAATCTTGGGGGACCTAATCTGAAAGGGAGATAGATCCAGAAGGGGAAAGATAGTACAGGCTGTTTCTTCAGAGACCCAGGCTGATGAGGAACTGACCCCCTCTGTCATCAGGGGACTACCAGGCTGTTGGGGGAAGACATAAACCGTGTCTCTGGTCCAGCCTCAGGCTGAAGTGGGAGGCATGAACCACATTCCTGGGTAGCTCTCTGTCTGGCATGGGCAACTGGTCCCAGCCCTGGTCATCAGGGCTGAGGGCAGCTGGGTGGGGTGGGCCCACAGTCTCCGGTCTCCCTTCGCAGACGGGAGAGTATGCCACTGACGAGGATGAGGAGCTGAGCCCCACGTTCCCGGGTGGTGAGATGGCCATCGAGGTGTTTGAGCTAGCGGAGAACGAGGATGCACTGTCCCCTGTGGACATGGAGCCCGAGAAGCTGGTGCACAAGTTCAAGGAGGTGGGAGGAGGGGCTCCCTGGAGTGGTGGAGGGAAAGGCAGGCAGGTCTCCTGCCCTTGGCACTGCCTGCCCCACCCTGCTGGAGCTGAGTGCCTGCCCCTCTGCCCAACAGCTCCAGATCAAGCATGCGGTCACTGAGGCAGAGATCCAGCAGCTGAAAAGAAAGGTAAGGGTGCGTATGTGTGTGCTTTTGCGTGCGTGCATGTGTGTGTTGAGGAGCAGGGTCCCCCTACCCTCACACCTGCACATGCTGACACTTAGGCACAGGTACCCACAGAACAAGCTGCTCTAAAGCAAGATGATATGATAGATACGATATTAAGAGCTTAAGCTCTGGATCCATCTGCTCCAGCATCACTTGCTTCTCTGTGCCTCAGCCTCCTCATCTATAAAATGAGGTCGTAATAGCACCAACACCAC
The DNA here is from genome assembly GCF_000001405.40 of Homo sapiens. Lineage (NCBI taxonomy): Eukaryota > Metazoa > Chordata > Mammalia > Primates > Hominidae > Homo > Homo sapiens. The sequence continues at coordinate 50,139,008 of NC_000017.11, read as the reverse complement.
AGGATCGTTGTGGGATTAAATGAGATAACACACGTCAAGTCTTTAGCACAATGTGTGACATAATAGGAGCTCAATAAAAAGTCAAAGTAGGCTGAGCGCAGTGGCTCATGCCTGTAATCTCAGCACTTTGGGAGGCCAAGGCAGACTGCTTCAGCCAGGAGTTAGAGACCAGCCTGGGCAACATGGCGAAAACCTATCTCTACAAACAATACAAAAATTAGCCAGGTGTGGTAGCGCACACCAGTGATCCCAGCTACTTGGGTGGCTGAGGTGGGACGATCATTTGGGCCAGGGTAGGTCGAGGCTGCAGTGAGCCGTGATTGTGCCACTGCACTCCACTCCAGCCTGAGTAACAGAATGAGACCATGTGTCAAAAGAAAAAAAAGTCAGTATATTAGCTGTGATACCGAAGCATGCTAAGTTCTGCTCTAGGTGTCTCTATGTTTGTGCTGTCCCACATATGTCTGCTATATATAGGCCCATTGATAAGTACAGACCACCCAGAAGTACACACACTGACACAGCAGCCTGGCCCCAGGCACATAGTACCCACAGACCCCCTCACCCAGACACATAGAGACACCCACTCTACACAGACACAGTCACAGAGACAATGGACCTGTGCTTCACATTACACTCGAGGCTATCAGCCTGGATATGCAGACCCACTCTGCACCCATCTGCTCTGAAACACACAGGCATGGCCATCGATCAGACCACCTGGTCTAGGAAGAGTGTCACAGGGCATGCATATTCTCATCTGGGCAAGTAACACAGAGGTGCTGATGCCGACCCCAGATGGAGACACGTGGCACACACACACACACACACACACACACACACACACACACACACGTAGTATACACAGATGCTTACACAAGCATGTCAGGTGCCAGCACCCTCACAGGCATGCAGATATACAGACTTCATATTAAAAGTCTGTATGGGGCCTCTGCTGGGACCTAGACTATAGGAGTCCCAGTACCTATGGGGCTTCTGCCGTGGTGGGGAGAGACAGATCTATAGGGGTCTTGCAGACATGGGAGTGTGTGTACCCTCCCACATGGGGGTATGCAGGAGAGGAGGCCAGGGTTTGGATGGCTGGGGCAGAAGCAGGGGCATTCCTGGCAGGGAGAGGAGCTCCATGGAGCTTGGAGTCTGGCTTTGAGGGGAGGCCAGTCAGGAGGTGGCAGCATGCCTGTCGGGGAGAGGTGGAGGCAGGGCTGGACTGCCAGGATGGGCTCTGGCTTGCAGTATCCTGCCTCCCCTCTAAAGACTCTGGCCTTGGTCCTACAGATAGCATGGGGTATGTGGCCATTGGGATTTTTCGGAAAGCCACTGCCTACAAAGTGGGAGGGCATGAAAGTGGGCAGTGCTGGGAGGCAGGCAAACTGGTTAGGGGCCCAGACAGTGTCCTGGCAGGGGTAGGCCAGGACTGCTCAGAGTATAGGCAGAGGGTCTGGAAAGGAAGGGTAGGTGAGCGCTGCATTTCCGGGGTCAGAGTGACAGGCCATGTTCCTGAGGTGTATGCAGAGTATGAAAGGGAGGGGCACGCCAAAGGTCTGTTAGTGCATTCTACTTACAGACATCCTCTGGGTACCTTCTAGATGTCCAGTATTGTTCTCATCACCATGATGGGCAAAGCCATAGTTGATCGTTGTTCTTGTGCATCTGCAAACCAGTGACTGTGTCATCATCACACGCTGGCATGGGGCTCTGTAGGAGAGAACAGGCTTACTGAGCTGCTAAAGCAGGAGGAACCTGATTCGGGTGGAGGTGGGAGTAGGGCTGTGCTGTTGGAGGGAGCTGTGGGGGCTTTTTTGGAGAAGTGACACACAGCAGAGAGCTGAAGGGTGAGCTAGAGGGAAATAACTAGGCAAGCAGGAGGGTAGATGGGGGACATTCCAGGCAGAGGGGACAGCACACGTAAAGGCCCTGTGGCAAGTCTGAGGATCTGCAGGAAGGCCTGTGTGGCTGGGGGACAGAGAGCAAGGGATGTTTGCAGCAAATACTGGCCTGAGACTGAGTGCCAACATGGCTATGAGGTTGTGGCGCCTTTTAACAGAGCAAGTCAGGAAAGGAGGCATAGGTTTGTGCAGCTGCGGGGGCCTGGTCTGGGGCATGGTACCTGGGAGGAGCTGGGAGCTAAAGCTGGGAGTTGGGAGCAAGGGTGGGCTGGGACTTGAGATTTGCAGCTCAGAGTGCACAGAGGTAGTGTGGGAGATGGGCCGGTGCCCCAGGGCAGTGAGTATAGAGAGAACAGAGGATCCGGAACTGAGCTGTGGGGGACTGGAGGTCTGCGCTGGGGTCACCTGGAAGCTGGGAGAGAACCAGGATTGTTCAGGAAGCCACAAGTGCAGAGACTGGCGAGCAGGGCTGGGGCTGCAGAGAGGGGACAGAGAGTAATGGTGACCCTCATCTGCCCTTTTACTTCACATGTACTGTCTCACTGGAGCTTTTGTGAGATTGGGAGGCACATATCACTGCCATTTTACAGATGGGATAACTGAGGCTTGGGACATTAGTTGCATTGCGCCAAGTCAGAGTATCAGTGACTAACCGAAGCCTCCAGCCTCCCTGCGAGTGGGGTGCAGTGACAGGGAGTCTGGTGGGAGCTCTGAGGCTGAGCTCTACTTCTTTCCTCTCTGGGTTTCAGTTCTCAGGCTCAGCCAAAGAGGGTTAGTAGTTGGGGTGCAATGGACTCCACAACGGTAGGAATCCCCTGGCGACTCTGGCCCCAGTGCTAGGATGGGGGTACCCTTTGGCTCCTGCTGGCCCCCACCAACCCAGGGCCGTGCCTTTCTCTCTCAGCTGCAGAGCCTGGAGCAGGAGAAGGGGCGCTGGCGGGTGGAGAAGGCGCAGTTGGAGCAGAGTGTGGAGGAGAACAAGGAGCGCATGGAGAAACTGGAAGGCTACTGGGGTGAGGCCCAGAGCCTGTGCCAGGCTGTGGACGAGCACCTGCGGGAGACTCAGGCGCAGTACCAGGCCCTGGAGCGCAAGTACAGCAAGGCCAAGCGCCTCATCAAGGACTACCAGCAGAAGTACGTGGCTGGGGGCTGGGCGGGCTGGGCCCAGGGAGCATTGAGAGGCTTTTGGGGACAGTCCCTCCCCATCCCTCCAGCTGAGTAGGGAGGCACAGAAGTTGGAGGGCCCCATGGTGGGGACACCCGGTCCGGAATGACCAGGCATCAGAGCCAGCACAGAGCCAGACCCCCAGAGGCTTTGGGAAAACCTGGGGCCTCCTGACCTGAGAACAGGGAAGGACAGAGTTGCCCAGGTAAAGCTGAGGACCTGGGTCACCCTGGATGAAAGCCAGACCACACACCCTTACCTGCCATCTGTCCCTTGCCTGTGCCCAGGGAGATCGAGTTCCTGAAAAAGGAGACTGCACAGCGTCGGGTTCTGGAGGAGTCGGAGCTGGCCAGAAAGGAGGAGATGGACAAGCTCCTGGACAAGGTGGGCCTGGGGCGCCCTGTGGGCAGGGCCCAGTGGAGGGAGCAGCATTGAAGCCCCTACCCTGTGGGTCCTGGAGGGAGGGGATGCCATGTCCTCACCGGGGGGCGGAAGGGGCTGGGATCATGCCTGGTGTCCAGACCTGACCCCCTACCCTCCTTTGTTTTCCAGATCTCAGAACTGGAAGGAAACTTGCAAACACTGAGGAATTCCAATTCTACTTAACAGGAATCATTCCATGACTGGACAATAATTAACCCCCCTCCCATTGTCCTCCCTCCCCTGTCCTCAACACCCCACCCCTCCCCCTTCCAGCCTGGGGACAGGTGCCCCGACTCCCCCCACCCCTCCACCCCACCTCCCCCAGCTTCAGGGACCAGAGGGCTCATATCACAGGCCCCCTTAAGATGGCCTGGGCAGACAGAGGTGGCTAGAAGGGCAGCCTCTTTCTTGCCCCATGGGGCTGAGGCACAGAGGCCGAGGGCTGCCGAGGGCTGGCCTGGTGGTCGACGGACACAAGCACCTGCAGATCAAACTGCCAGACTTTACACACTCCAGCTTTTGTCTCTGGACTGGAACGGGGCTGGGGCTCTCCCAGCATCTGCCAACTGGGGGCTGCTCCCTGCCCATGGGGCACCTGGGTGGCCCCTGGGCCTCTTGACTTGAGATTCTACCTTCTCGGCCCTTCCCTCTCCCCCCATCATTGTGCCGTCTCTGTTGCATTCTGACCCTCCCGCCTGGGGGGTGGGGGCGTTGCCTCAACACCTCCCCCATCCCTGTTCCCTGTCCTGGGAGGGATAGAGTCCACCCCAGAGCCCGGAGGCTGGGCCTGGCCCTGGCCCTGCACTGATTTCTCATGTGTCCTTCGGGAAAAGGGGGAGTGAGAGTGGGAAAAAGGGAGAGTTCAGGACACCTGGTCCCCAGCTCCCCATTGCCTGGGGCAGCAGCCCTCAATTTCTCCTTGTGCCTCCCCTCTTCCAGGTGCCAAATAGCCATAACCTCGTCTTGGAACTGTTATGTGGCCTCTCTGGGGTCCAGGTTTCCTGGTCAAGCCTGGGAATGCCAGGGAGGAAAGGGGGTCTGGCTACAGCGACCCTGGTCTTAGGCAAGGGGAACATTTCTCCCTGGAGAGTCAGGTCCTATCCTGTGCTGCCCTGTCTGCCCAGCCCAGGGCGATGCCTGGAAGCCTACTGACATTGCAGGGAGTCAGCCTCGCCCCCACCCCCTACTGGTTTTCCAATGTTTTGACTGGAGGGCAAAATTTTACTACTACTCATCTTTTTGGAGACCAGGGCTGCCCTGCTGGCAGCCTGCCTTCTAAGTGAAATCGACTCTGTTTCCCCACTTTAACCCCAAATTGGGGCTTGGACCAAGGGAGGTGAGACCACCTCCCCCAGGTCCCCTCCCCTTTCAAAATCCATCTCATTTTGCCACTTCATGCCCCTGCCCTAACTGGGTTTTTGTTCATTTTTTAAAAACAGACCACCCATCCCATCCGTTTTGGCTTCTTGTCCCCTGTAAATAGACCATGACTTCGATCAGTATTTCTTGTCCCCACCCCTTCCTATCCCCAGATGTGCCCCCATCCCCTGAAGGAGCTGGCTGTCTCAGTCCTGGGCTCGCGCACTTCACCCCGGCAGATGGAGGGGGCGGAACCGGGTGGGCGGGGCCGCTTCGGGCTGCTTGGGCCAGCGGCCACCCCTGCCCAGCCGTCGGGAGGGCCGCATCTCTGTATATAATATATATATGTATGTATTGTTCCCGGTTTTGTACGGACCATGCCCTCTGTCAGGTCGTCCCCATAAAAGCAGCCCCCAGAGCCTTGCTGCCTGGTTTCTTGATTCACTGAGGTGGGGAGTGGGCAGGGATCAAGGATGCCAGGCTGCCCCAGTGGTCCCCTCCCACCAGTGCTGCCTCTAACCCTGAGGAACTTCCTACAGTGTCCCCCCGTTTCCGGTTCCAGCAAACTGCTTTTCTGCCCCCATTCCAGCCATCAGCACCCATGCTTTTTGTCCAGTCCTCCTGGGCAGGGCTGAGGGTTTCTAGAGAGTTTGTTTAGTCTGCATTCGTTTTTCAGGGCCTCTAAGAAGTTCAAAGGATGGGCTAAATACAGCAAGGTGAACCCCAAGTCCCTCCCCCAGAAGGCCTTTAAACTGTGGGGACACTCTCAAGAGGCACCCGGTGTGAGGCAGGTAAAGGATCAAAGGATTGCTGGGGGTGGGAGGTGACTGCCTGGCAGTTTAGTACCCAGGGTCCTAGAGGATCTGTTTGCCCTTTGGGGCGGGCCAAGTGGCCTGAAATAGCCCCAGCCCCTGTGCTGGGCCAGCAGGCCTGTGTGCTGACTCACCAGCTCAAATGCTAATGGGTCTGGGAGTCTAGGTGCCAGAGTTCCAGGGACAAGCTTTGGTGAAGTCCCAGAGGGGTGAGAGCCAGCAGGGAATGGGGCAGGAGCTTATGGCAGGCCCCAGGGCCAGCCTTTCCTTGCCGGGGTGCTGGTGTGCAGATGTCAGAGACCTGAAGCATGGAGGCACTTGCACTCAGTGGTGTGGCACTAGGGAATTCTCACCTTTGCCATAAGGAATGAAGTCCCAACTTCAGAGCCCTTCAAGGTCACCTTGGTGGGTCCTTAACAACATCCAGATGAGTGGCAGCACCCCCAGGGACAGTCTGCTCCAGAAGCTTCCCTTGTAGATGGCTGTGTCACACAGGTCACATTCATGCTAAGCCAAATTCTGGCTTCCCATAGCTATCCCTCAAAAACCCTAGGTCTACACCTCAGGCCAGTCCAATCCTGCCTCCCACCTGAGGGTTGCCTGGAAACCTGGGGATAGTGAATACTCTTCCCAAGGCATCTTTGCTATGTGGACGATTGTTGGAACACTCTGGGAGCCCTAAGGATGCTGAAGACGGATCAAGGTGTCTGATCCCCAAGATCAGAGACCACCAAACCACAGGGTCAGAGGTCATGGCTCCAGAGTTAGAAGTCACTGAACCCCAGGGCCACCAAGGCCCTGCTCAGGAAACCTAGCCAAGAAGTGAAGTGGCATGACCTTCCTGTAATCTGTAGTCTTAATCTGGGTGGGGAGGCAGGCATGAAGGTTTCGAGGGTTTCTGCTGGGCCGATGGGGGCTAAGCATCCAGGGCGGGGTCCCTCTGTCCCTCCCCCACTCCCCGTCTGTCCTGTGTGTTAGGTGAGGGGCCTATACATAGTATGTTTCAAACAGTGGGCCAAGTAACCCCTCACATTTAAGCCCAAGTGTGTTGTGTGCCTGGAGGTGTGTGTGGCTTTGCTGTGAGTTTCTCAAGCCTGAGCTGTGACTTGCCCATGATACACAGTATGTCCATGTTTGGGACTTTGTCAAGTAGCTGTAAGTGGGCCTGTCACCTTAAACCCTCCTTATCCCCCCACTCACTTGCCCAATTTTGGAAGCTTGAGTAGGTTTGCCAACACTTGCCAATAAGGCAACTTATTGCCAACCCTCAGAAGCTTAGGCCTCACTAGGAATAGGGGAACAGGGGCTCCTCCTGGGTCCTATGGCCTGGCAAACATACCCATCATCTCCCCACCCCCTTGGGATGTACAGGGTCTATATAATCAAGCCCCCCACTACAGCCCACCACTCAGATCTCACCAGATGCCTACAAAGCACAACCCCTTTAAGACAGCCAGATGCAGCCCCCACAGCTGTCAACAGAAACCCCACCCCTTCCCCAGATTTCCACAATCTAGCCTCATGGCTGCCAGAAGATTCTGAAGACACCCAGAGACCCCCAAACTCCTATAAATCCCCTAGGATACCCTCAGACCCTAAAGGCTGTTAATTCTGTCCTCACTCATAGTCACAAGATTGTCCTGGTTCAACAGGCCACTTCCCGGAGGCCTCGGACTGCAGAGTCCTGTGGGCCATCAGGGAACTCTGTCCTATAGACTCCACACCTCTCCTCTGACTCTAGACCCCTGATCCAGCTTCACCACTTGCCTTTTTTTTTTTTTTTTTTTTTTTTTTTTTTTTTTTTTTTTGAGATTTGAGTTTCACTCTGTTGGCCAGGCTGAAAGGCAGTGGCACAATCTCAGCTCACTCCAACCTCCACCTCCCAGGTTCAAGCAATTCTCATGCCTCAGCCTCCAGAGTAGCGCCACCATGCCTGACTAATTTTTGTATTTTTAGTAGAGACAAGGGTTTCACCATGTTGGCCAGGCTGGTCTCGAACTCCTGACCTCATGTAATCCACCCACCTTGGCCTCCCAAAGTGCTGGGATTACAGTCGTGAGCCACTGCGCCTGGCCTTTCACCACTTGCTCTTGAGCAAAGCACTTTCCTTCTTCTAAGTCTCTGTTTTCTCTGAGGCAGTGGGTAATGGAAACACCCACCTTGTGGGTTTATTGTGAGGGTGACAATAGATGATCTGAGAGCGCCTGGCACCTGCCAAGCTGTGACGTGCGGTAGCTGGTTGTGGATCCCTACATTGCCTCCCTGGCTGGCCTGCCACTACCATCAGCGCACTGGGTCCAAGTCTGATCTCATCCGTCCCCACCCCCACCTGCTCCAGGGCTTCCTGCCTCAAGCCAAGGTCCACAGCCATCCTAGACCCCTCCTCCCTCACCTCCTAGTCCAGCAGGTCCCCAAATCCTGTCAGCTTCTTCGGTGTCAGCTTCTTCAGGCCTGCATCCTGAAGGGCTCTCAGCTTAATCTGTAATCTTTATGCCCACTGCCACCGGCCCTCAATAGCCTCCAGCGGGTCTCCCTGCCTTCAGAGTGCCCTCTGTAACCCTGTCTCCAGGGGAGCCAAGGGTGCTTCCTAAATGCACACCTGAGCCCCTCCCTCCTCTTAATTTTGTGTGTGTGCGCGCGCGCGCGTGTGTGTGTGTGTGTGTGTGTGTGTGTGGGCGGCGGGGTGGGCGGCTGGTAGAATAAAGTGCAAGCCCCCTGCACCTCCCCAGCTTCAATTTATCTTCCCCTCTTGCCCTCCCACCCCCAACACCCCCTGGCACTTCCCTACCCTGGCCCGCAGTTGTAGCCAACACATCACATCCTCTGGGAATCCCCCAGCCCAGCTCCCGCCGCGGCCGCCTGGACCCAGGCCGGGCCAGGGGTGCGCTCTCCCTTCCGGCAAGAAGTGCCCTCTGTTAGCTGGGCCCATGGCGCCCAGGCTCGTGAGGGCCTCCCCACTCGTCTGAGCCCCCGACTGGCCCACTGGCCTTGAGCGCAGTTAGGGGGCGGGGGTTCTGTTCACCGCTGTCCCCTCCAGCCTCGGCGCCCCGGCTGCTCGGCGGACGTTTGTTGAATGAATGAACTAATCGGGAGCCCTGATGGACCCGGCAGAGGAGGCGGAAGCCCCGTGGGTCCCGTGGCGGGACCGCCCCGGAGCCGCTCCCACCCGCGCAGACTCCGGTGCGCCGCGTCTCCCGCGGGCAGAGAAGTAGCTGCAACTCCGCTCCCCGGCCCCAGCCGCCTCCTCCCCGCCGCCCTCCCCCGCCCCCGCCCCCTCGCTCCCTCCCGCTCTTTGTCTCCTGGGCGCCCGGCTTCTCCGCCACGCGCCCCCCACCCCGACGCCCCTTCCCCGGAGACCCCCGCGGACCCCTGCCGACGCGACGCCGCGCGAATCGGCCCTGCCAGGCGGGGGCCCCGCGTCCGGCCAGGCCTGGCGGGCGGCAGGGGCGGGGAGGGAGGTGGCGCTCGCTCTTCGCTCTTCTCTCTCTCTCTCTCTCTGTCACACACACACACACGCACACGCACACGCACACACACACGGAGCATCCTCCCGTCAGGTCTCCTGGTCCAGCCCCGCCCGCGCCTCCTGCTTCCAGCGAACCTGTTCCCTCTCCCCACATCCCCCGCCCTCCATCTCCCCCGGCTCTGGGACCCTTCCCGCCGACCTCACCCCCACCCCCGGGATGGAGCGGCTCGAGCCCGCCCGGAGCCCCCCGCGGCCGGGGTGACGGTCCCCCCACCCCTCTCCTGCCCGGCCCCCGCCTCGAGCACCATGGGCCTGAGGGGTTCCCGGGGCGCCAGACGCTGAAGATGACCGATGCCGGAGGTGAGGGGCCGGGCGCCCTGGGGTGGACCGGGAACTGGGGCTAGGGCCACTCGGGCCCGCGGTGGGACCCTGAGTGGGGTTGGGCAGGGCTAAGCGACAAGGGCCTTTCTTCCCCTATCCCTAGGGGGACCGCACGGGGCTGGGGTGCCGGGCTGTCAGGGGAGGGGGCGGAGATAGGATTTATGGCCCTAATCCCCTCCCTCCCGCCCGACGCCCGGAGAAATTAATAAAAAGCTGGTGTGGGGGGAGGGGGAGAGGGCTTAACTCTTTCTTGCCCGGCGGGGAGTTGTGCTGATGGTTTGGAGAGAAACTAGCCACCGGGCTCTGACTGGGGAGAAGGGCTCTGAGAGTGGAGTAGGTGCCCTGTCCCCAACCTCACCCCATCTCCAACAGTGCTTTGAGGGGGTGCCCGACTCCTGAGGACTACCCCAAGCCTGGGGCCAGTGGACGGCCGGCGATATGGGAAGGGGGGACCACCTCTCTGGCTCCACAACTGCCTCCCCGACCGCTAGTCTCCTTTCCCATCCACCTCTTCCCGGCCTCTCCCAGTTGCACTTCTCTCTGTCGCTTTCTCCTCTTCAGGGGCCCTTTCCTATCGCCTGCCCGAAGGGCTTCTCCCTTCTCTCCCACCCTCGGGCGTCACTTAGAGCGGCGGAAGCCCTTGTTCCCAGTGCCAGTTCCCGTGGCCCCACTCTCGGTGTGATCTCTTTCTTCTCAGCAGCCCTGTGGACTCTCCGCCAGTTTGTGTGTCTGTCTCTGCTTCTTCCTACTCCTCACTTCCTTCCGCTCCCGCTCCCGCTCCCTCCCCAGGAATTGTGCGCCCTTTCTTCCTTTCTCCTTCTCCTGGGTCCCAAGAGGCTGTGAGCTCACCTGCCTCCCTTTCTCCCAGAGAAGGGTCAAAGGTCATTGGTGCTCCTTCTCCAGGATTGGAAGCCTTGGGGGGAAGGGTATCCAGAGGAACCGGTTCAATCCCACCCTTGTGCAGTTACCTGGCTGAATGGGGGTGTGTGTGTGTGTGTGTGTGTGTGTGTGTGAGAGAGTGTGCGGGGTGTGTGTGGGAGTGAGAGTGGGGGCGGGTTTGGTGTCTAATTTTTCTAGGCTCAGTTTTGGAAGGAGAGGGTTGGGTGGGAGGGGTCTGGTGACCCCCTGGACACAATGTAGGGAGGGTCCCCCTACACACCCCAGAAAGTTAGTTGTTGAAGGGAAGAAAAGAGAGCAGTTTGTGCTGAATCAGGATGGACCGAGAATGGCTTTGAGCAGGAAACCCCAATCCAGCCCAGAGGGTGCCTGGAAGAGGAGGACTCCAGCCAGCAGAGGATCTCGACCCTGGAATGGGCTCTTGAATAAAGAACACAGGATCTTCATTCTCAGAGGCAGAAAGGAGACAACACTACTGCCCTCAGAGAGCCTCCATTCTGATGGGAGAGGCAGTTCCTGTCTTCACAGTCCCTAGTCTGACGGAAGAATACGTGGACCCTTTCTTCTCTGGGCTCCCATCTGATTGGTGGGGGGGAGATGAGACCTATTTAAGGAATCAGTGAAGTATGAAGAATTCCCCATTTCCCAGTAGTTGGAGAAGGGTGGATTTAGAAATTACGAAGACAAATGAGAGGAGGGAGGGCTACCTAGGACAGCTTCCTGAAGGAGGTGGCAGCTGGGTCCTAGCCAGATAAGGCTTTGTGGTTGAATCAGGAAATGTGGTTAATTCTTAGGGTCAGCCTTCCTTCCCATCTGGCCTGTCAGGACAGGAAGAAATGTTCTAGATCTTTGCTAGTAGCCCCTGGAGTTCAAGAATGGCAGGAGGGTTCTCGGAGAGTCTGCTTCCCTGATGACCCCTTCCCACACCTCATTTTCTGCTTTCAGCCCCAGGCATTTATGGAATCTGGAGGTGGTTTTGTTTTTTGTTTTTTTTTTTGAGACAGAGTTTTGCGCTTGTTGCCCAGGCTGGAGTGCAATGGCACGATCTCGGCTCACTGCAACCTCCGGCTCCCAGCTTCAAGCGATTCTCCTGCCTCTGTCTCCCGAGTAGCTGGGATTACAGGAATGTGCCACCACACCCGGCTAATTTTGTATTTTTAGTAGAGACAGTTTTTTCCATGTTGGTCAGGCTGGTCTCAAACTCCCGACCTCAGGTGATCTGCCCGCCTCGGCCTCCCAAAGTGCTGGGATTACAGGCGTGAGGCACTGCGCCCAGCCTAGAGGTGGTTTTGATGCTTCTCCCAGTCCTGGTCAGTGTGGAGCAGCTTCCCTCCCTCTATGCTTATCTCTTCCTCCACCCCTAAACTGAAGATCATCACCTAGGATAGCGCAGAGGGGCAGGAGCCCTGGCTCAAGGCTGAGTTCTGCCTCTTTTATTATTATTATTATTATTGCTTTTATTTATTTATTTACTTATTTACTTAATTTTTTTTTTTTTGAGATGGAGTCTCCCTCTTGTCACCCAGGCTGGAGTGCAATGGCATGATGTCGGCTCACTGCAACCTCCACCTCTCAGGTTCAAGTGATTCTCCTGCCTCAGCCTCCTGAGTAGCTGGGATTACAGGTGTGCACCACCACACCCAACTAATTTTTGTGTTTTTAGTAGAGACGGGGTTTCACCATGTTGGCCAGGTTGGTCTCAAACTCCTGACCTCAGGTGATCTGCCCGCCTCGGCCTCCCAAAGTGCTGGGATTACAGGCGTGAGCTATCACGCCCAGCTACTTACTTATTTTTGAGATGAGGGTCTCACTATGTTGCCCAGGCTGGTCTAGAATTCCTGGGCTCAAGTGATCCTCCCACCTCAGTCTCCTGAGTAGCTAGGATTATAAGCATGCACCAACTTTGCCTGGCTTCCTCTCATCTCCTGTTTCTCAGTTTTCACATCTGTAAAGTGGCGATATGTATCTGTAAAGTGGGGATATGAAAATTCCCAGGCCAGGCGCGGTGGCTCACGCCTGTAATCCCAACACTTTGGGAGGCCGAGGCGGGTGGATCACGAGGTCAGGAGATCAAGACCATCCTGGCTAACATGGTGAAACCCTGTCTCTACTAAAAATACAAAAAAATTAGCCAGGCGTGGTGGTGGGCGACTGTAGTCCCAGCTACTCGGGAGGCTGAGGCAGGAGAATGGCGTGGACCCGGGAGGCAGAGCTTGCAGTGAGCCAAGATAGCGCCACTGCACTCCAGCCTGGGTGACAGAGTGAGACTCCGTCTCAAAAAAAAAAAAAAAAATTCCCAAGGCTGGCCACAGTAAAGGTAGATGATGTCTATGTAATAACAGAAAAGAAGAGTTGGAAAAGACCCCAGCAGGCATGTGGCCTAGCCTTCCTACATCTGACACATGTATGATCTAGCTCAGTGCCTTGCCATTCTCCTGGGGACCTGAGTGTTAGAAGTAATTGGAGGTCATGTCTCAGCCATGCAGCGTCCCCTTGCCTTAAACCATCAATGGCCCCTGGGCTTCCTCACTCTCCCCCCAGCCAGTATCCCCTGGCCAGTGGGCTCCCTAGGGCTACTGGAATCCTACATCTGCTTGAAAGCCTATTCAAATGGTTTCAGCTATATATATCCTTCCCTATCTGCCCTCCCTTCTTGCTTCCCACCAAAAAACCTTGAACCAAAACAAAAAAAACCCTACCCATTCACACTTCTTCCCAGAACATAGTTGCATCATAGAGGTTTGGCTGTCCATTGTGTGCTGTGTGTATTCCTCGTACCCTCCTACATCTATGAGTCTGTCAAGAACTGTGAGAACTGTGTCTGGAACAGTGGCCCTGCTGATGGTGCCAGCTTCCTGAACAGCTCTTGTTCAGAAAGGCAGGTGGTGAGGGCACCAGTGATGGGGGTGTAGGGAAGGGGGAGGCAGGATTGGAAAAGAGATGGAGAATTGATGGATGCAAAGATAGGTGGATGGACAGATGGCGGCAGGTGTTGGGTGCATGGGAGCAGATGTGGGATGGACGGATGGGTGGATAGATGGGTGAGTGAATGGATGATGAGTAGGCAAGTAGATAGGTGGATGAGTGCATAGGTGGGTAGACGGATGGTAGAACCTGGGTCCTGGTCCTGATTTTGCCATTAACTTGCTATGTGATCTTGGGCCAATCACTCCCCCTTCTGTTTCTTCATTTGTAACATGAGAGGATTGGATTTAATAATCTCCATGACTTCTCCCAGATTTGATTGGACAGTTGATGATTGAAAGCTTTTAGGGGATGCTAATGATGCGAAGGCCCAAGACAGTGAAGGGGAGAAGTTCAGTGACCCACGTGAAGGCACACAGCAAATCAGTGGACCAGGATACCAGGACCACAGGGCTCAGCCTGTGTCTGTGCCTTGGTTTTGCGTCTGCCCCCACCCTCCTACTATACTGCCTGCCCCGGCGCCCACCATCTGGGTTATGATTCCAGTGGCTTCTCTTCCAGGGGACAGAAGAAGGGTTCTAAGGTAAGGGGAGGGGCCAACAGGCCTGGAGCAGGTAGCCTTCCACATCTCTTCTGCCTCGGTCAGCCTGAATCTCTAACCCAGGCTCTCTTTTTCTTTCTCTCCCCTCTTGTCCTTCCCAGCTCTCTTGAGTCATGGCTTCTTCAAAGCTCCGAGAACCCGTGGATGAAGTTTTTGGTAAGTTCTGTGTGGCTCTATCTCTAGCCAATAGACACAGCCATAGAGTACTTCCTTCCTGGGCCACCAGGCATTGAAGGGGATAGGGTGCTTCTTGGCAGCTTCAGAGTGTGTGTGTGTGTGTGTGTGTGTGTGTGTGTGTGTGCGCGCGCGCGTGCACGCGTGCAGGTATTGTGGCCTGACCCTTTGTCACCACTATCTTAGTGGACACACCAGTTATAACAATAAGGGTCTCCATTTATTAAGTGCTTCTCTTATGCCAGATACTAGGTTAAGCACCCCCATCTCACATGCACTGTATTAGTTAACCCTTACAATAATGTAAGCCCAGTTTACAGACCAGGAGTGTAGGGTACAGAGGGCTGAAGTGACTTGCTTTCAAGATCACATTGCAAGTTAGTGGCAGGGCTGGGACTAGAACCCCAAACTGCCAGACTTCCTGCTCTTAGTGACTATCCTATACATCTGTAAACTCCAGCCCAGATGACACACGTTACCTCCAAGTCACATAAATAAGTGCAAGGGACCTCACCCTGCTTGGATGTGTGCTGAAATCAAATGCATAACATACACAGCCTCAATACCCCCAGGCTGGCCCCCTCATGCTGGCCTGCACGCCCACGTCCTCAGTACACACTGGGGTGCATGCACACACCACGGTACCATCATTTACCCCCTGCAATCTTCTCTTGTGTGGACTGGAGAAAGAAACCACCCCAGCTGGGCAGAGTTCCCAGCATGCACTGGGGCGGAAAGCCGGTTTCCCAGCGGGATTCCGGTGGAGGAGTCAGGAGGAGTCCTGAGCAAAGGAACTTGGAGGAATGAGGGAGAGGGTGAGAGCGGCCTGCTCCTCGAGGGGCTCCTATGCCAGAGGGTCCCCAGCTTCTCCTCATCTCTCCCTTCTTCCCTCTCTCCCCTGGTCATGCCAGGAACTGCTGCTTCCCATCCCAGTCTCCTCCAGCTCCCCTAGCCTTGAACTGCCTCAGGGCCTCAATCTCAGTGTCTGTCCCTACTCAGGCCTGACTTAAGCCCAGGCCTGACGGAAACGAGCTCTCCCTTCCCTGGGCTTTTCTGCCCCTACTCCCCAACCTCCCTACCCTCTACTCCCCACACCAACCCCTGCCTGTTTTCCTCACTGCTGAGGTAGCTGCGTCCTCACTGCTTCCTGATGTGAAAGGCCATTAAATATTTATGAATTCCCACTGCCCAGGGCTGGGAGGAGCAGGAAGAGGGGGAGGAGGATAGGGAAGGAGGGCAGGAACAGAGAAGAGGGAAGAGATAGAAGCTGGAGGGAGAGCCTCATAGAGCAGAGGACCCAGGACAGGCTGGCCCACCTTGCCTCAAAACCACCAAGCCCCTTAGGAGTCCCCTTGCTCCCCAGCCCCTCCAAGGTAAGATGGCCATGGTGCTGATATGGCCCAGAGTCAGGAGCAAGGGACCCCTCTCCCTGTTTTGAGTTGGCTGGGCACCAGCTAGGTGCCAGAAGGGTAGAGGATGCCAGATCCCTGGCCTGGGAGCCACTCTCCTTAACTCCCTCTGTCCCCTTGGCCAAAGGTGTCCTCCTGTCCTCCTTGAGCCTCAGTTTTCCCATCCATACAATGAGAGGTTGGACTCAAAATTCCTTCCCATCTCTGCTTCAGAGAGGGTGTAGCATGCTTAATGCTTACCAACAGAGCTAGACCGTCTGTCTGTAACCCTGACCGGCTCCTCACCAGCTTTATGCCCTCGGGCAAATTAAGGCTGCCCTGGGGATTCCTGGAGTCCCTTCTTTGTAGGGCTGTGGGGAGGCTCAAATGAGATAGTAATTGTAAAGCACTTAGAACAGTGCCTAGCACAGTAAGAGCTCAATAAGGATTAGCTCTTATTTTTCTGTGGTTCAGCCTTCAATCCTTGCTGCTGCTTCCAGGCAGTGCCTGGAGATTCTGTGTCAGGGGGCTGGGAACAGAGGGCTCCCTCCCCCAGCTCAGCCCCAGGGGCTGGAAACACCAGCAGGTTGCCCCCTGGACAACTGCAATCTCCTCTCGGTGTCCACCCTCCCATTTCAACCAGACCCTTCCTTCCCCTCGCAGGCTGTGCTGGCCCCCTCGCTGCTCCCCAGATGCTCCAAGCCCAAGGCTGCACCATTCTCTCTCCTTAGAATGCTCTTTTTGTTCCTTCTGCAACCTCGGCTCTTTATGGTTACCCAGACCTCAGCCTGGCTGCCATATTTAAAGAAGTAGCCTCCCAGTCTCCCCGTCTTTTCATCCATTCGACAAATATTTATAGAGCTCCTAATATGCATCAGGCTCTGTCCTTGGCTCTGGGGAGACAGCAAAGAACAAGCCAGACAAAATCACTGTCCTCATGGAGCTCAAATTTTCGTGCAGGGGCAAGTAGGGGGACAGATGATCAAAGCACACACAAATAAACAAGGAACATACTAGACGGTGGGGAGTGCTGGGCAGAGGATTGAAATGTGGACGTGATGGGATGTGGGCATGGGCATGGAGGTGACCTTCATCAGCACCCGTGTGTGTCTGGAGTCCATCTCCGCCAAAGCATGCACTAGTCCATGGAAGTGTGACTTTGCTTCAACACTTCCTGAACACCTGCTCCTTGTCAGGTGCCACACCAGGCTCTCATGATACACAGTGGACAGGGAAGGGTTTCACCCTCTGCAGGTTGCAGGCCAGCATGAGGAGACAGTCATTGGCGACCATATCCCGACCGTATCGTGACCATATGGTAGTGTGGTGCGGCTGTCAGACGGTGCTGTGTCAGAATTGATCAGCCGGACAAAGAAGGGCTGGAGAGAGATGGAGCATAGGGATGGAGGTGGGAAGTGAGGTAGAGGCAGGTACACATATAGGTATCAGTATAAGCAATTCAGTTGATCCCACAGACGCCATCACCAGCGAGCGCCTGTTGAGCTCGTACTAAGTCATAGCATTATGGCAAAGTACTGTATATGGATTATTTTATTTGATGCTCACAACCACCCTATAAGGAAGATAGTGCTAGTATAATCCCATTTTACACATGAGAAAGCTGACACCTAAAAGGAAGTAACTTGCCCAGAGTCACCCAGCCGGCAAATGATAGAACTGGCTTCAGCCTGGCCATCTGGGCCAGGGCCAGTGCTCTTAGCCATAGTCATGTAAGAGGAGGAATCTGTTGGGAACACAGAAAGGGTGGGCTGGGCCCCTCAGGCCTTGAATAGAGAGCTGAATAGCATGGACTTTATATTGTTAGCTTTGGGACCCCTTCTGCGAGAGTTTCAAAAGCAGGAGAGTATGGGACATGGTCAGAAATGTGCTTCAGGCCGGGCGCGATGGCCCACACCAGTAATCCCAGCACTCTGGGAGGCCAAGGCGGGCAGATCACTTGAGGCCAGGAGTTCAAGACCAGCCTGACCAACATGGCGAAACCCCATCTCTACTAAAAATACAAAAGTTAGCCAGGTGTGGTGGCACACACCTGTAGTCCCAGCTACTTGGGAGGCTGAGCCAGGAGAATCGATTGAGCCTGGGAGGTGGAGGTTGCAGTGAGCTAAGATCATGCCACTGCACTCTAGCCTGGGTGGCAGAGCAAGATTCTGTCTCCACAAGAAAAAAAAAAAAGAAAGGTGCTTCAGAAAGTTTCTTCTAGTCACATGGAAGGTACGAGGAGGAGCCAGACAGGAGGCAGGGAGCGAAGGAGGGATAGTTGCATGTTTTGGGGTGGCAGGGGGTGGGAGGTGGGGGCAGCTCCCCTCCACTCAGGTGAAGGCCTGAGCTAAGGCAGTTCGGTCCAGAGGAGAGGAGAGCCCAGGTTCCATGGGTGTGAGGAGGCCAATCAACAGAACATTTTTCTTTCATTAAAAGGGTGTGCTAAGCACCTACTGTGTGCCAGGCACTGTTCTCTGCCTGTGGTAGAGCAGTGAACAAAGCAGAAACCTGTCCTCATGGAGCTGACATTCTAATGGGTGGAGAAAGACCATAAATGATATAAGCAAAATATATAGCATGCCAGAGAATGAGAAATGATATAGGAAAAAAACAGGAGTGGAGTTTTGGAGTGGGGGGGCTATTATAAATTGGGTGGTCAGGGAAGGCCTCAGTGAGAGAAAGCATTTAAGCGAAGACTTGAAGGAAGTGAGGGAGAGAACCACGCAGAAATCTGTGGAAAGAGCCTTGCAGAAAAAGGGCAGAGGAGGTGCAAAGGCCCTGCAATGCAGGCTGGCTTGTGTGAGGATGAGCCAGGCGGCCAGGATGGTTGGAGTGGAGGGACAGGAGTAGTGCTCAGACAGGCAAGGGAGCATAGGCTGACTCTGGAAGGCCACTGGGAGAACTTTGACTCTTAATCTGCATAAGATGGAAGTCACTGGAGGGTTCTGAACAGGGGAGTGATATAAACTGACACGTTTGATCAGGATCACTCTGGCTGCTGTGTTGAAAATAGACTAGATGGGAAAGGGAGACGGAAGGAAGACCAGCTAGGAGGCTGTTTGTAATAATCCAGGCTAAAAGATGATGGCAGTTTAGACCTTCTGGTCTAAGAGACTGTGAATTCTCCCTCTCACTTCCCTCCCTTTCCTCCCATCCTCTCCCCTCTTTTTCTTTCCTCTCCTCTCCTCTCCCTTCCTCTGCTCTCCTCCCTTTCTCTCCATATGTACGCATGTATAGGAGTATGTGTATACATTCGCATACACAAACAATAATTTATTAAGGAAAATCTCAAACAGATTCAAAATTAGAGATTACAGCAAAGTGTAGTCTATCATGCACTCAAGAACTCATTACCCAGCCTCAACAATGACCTAGTCATAGCCAGTCTAGTTTCATATCTATCCCATCCACGCCCTCCCCCTATTGCCCTGGATTATGTGGAACCTAGTCCAAAACATCATATCCCTTCACCGTAAATATTTCAGTATGTCTAGCTATTTTTTGAAAGTAGAGCTAACAGGAATTGTGGATGAATCCGTTTGTAGGATGGTAGGGAAAGCAGTGAAGAATGACTCCAGGGGTTCAGCTGAGCAACTAGAAGAATGGAGCTACTGTTCACCAAGACTGGGAGGAGCAGCTCTGGGGTGGGAGAGATCAGGAGATTGCAGCACCTGTAGGCTGAAGACCCCTGGTGGACATCAAAGTGGAGGTGTCAACTAGACAGTTGGACATGAATTACCAACTGGGTCTGGGGCTGAGAGAGAAGAAGGGTAGCTTAGGGCTGTCTGACTCGGGCGACTTGGGTGGACAAGGGGGCTTTTCACTGAGTCAAGGAAGAGAGTAGAAGCTGGTTTGAGGTTACATGATCGGTTCATTTTGATGAGTTGAGCTTGAGACACCTTGGGGTCTTTGACGTGGTAACTTCCTTGGCAGGTGCCTGAGTGCCCACACTCAGAATTCAGGGGAGGGTGTCAAGGCTGGAAATAGAAATAGGTGGTAGTTAAGCCAGGAGAGCAACTGGGGTGGCTTAGGGGTTGTCTACAGAACGAAACAGGAGCAGACAAGGCAGGGTGGGCATGAGTGACAGAATAGGGCCCCTGAGATCATGCTGGGTGGAGTGGGGAGGAAAAGTCTTGACCCATCTTGAAGCCTGGGAAGACTCTTTCTGTTTGGAGACCCCAGTGCCAAGCTCAGCACTGGTACAGCATGAGGGCTTCATTCCGAGGTGCAGCACGTGACAAGTGGAGCTATGAGCAATAAGGACTTTAACGCTGGACCCACTGGGTCTGCCCACTCTTCCTCCATGTCCTCATGCAAGATCTAGCACAGGGCCACAGACCCAGGACAGAAGAGAGGTTTCGGGGACTATGGGGCTTTCCTTCCTGCCACTGCCAGTGGATTCTGGGGGTGTCCCTTTGCTCCACTCCAACTGCAAGCCCTCTAGATGCTCAGCAGTGCTATCTCTGAGTGAGACCCTGCGCGTGGCACAGCAAGCCAGTGTCCCCAGTAGGGCCAGTCTCTAGAGCCAGCCTAGCCAGGCTCAAATCCTGGACCATTGCTAGCTGGTGGCTTTAGTCAAGTGACTTAACCTCTCTGAGTTTTAGTTTGCTCAGCTGTAAAGTATGCATAGTAACTGTCCTAACCCCACCGGGTTGTTTTGAGTGAGAGATGATGTATGTACACTGTCTGGTGTGTAGTAAGTGTTTCTTAAATGGTGGCCATTATTTCCATCATCTCTCCAGCCTCATCCCTCAACCCTTCTCTCCACAAAGCTACCCTCCAACTGTCCCTGGAGGTACCACCCTTGTTTCCCTACTTCCTAGCATTGCATATACCTGTTTTGCCCACCTCATCTCTTACAGACTCCTACCCAGACGTTAAAACCCAGCTTTGGTGTTTCCTCCTCTGATGCATCCAAACAGGGCTGCCGTTCCTCCGTGTCTACAGGAGGGTTCATCACACGGCGCTGTATTTTAGCGCCGGCATTTCTGCTTCCCCTGCACACCCGCCCACTCCCACCTGAGACGGGGAGACACCCTGTTTTTCATCTGTCTGTGCTCCCAGCACTCAAGAACACGGGTTGAATGCCTGGGGTGTGGGTGCAGGTGGCCCCTGAGGTGGGCCTCTGGGCTTGCCGTCACCTCTCATGTGTCTGGTCTCTGCTCCCCTCCCCCGGTTCGCAGACCTGGACTTGGCTGTGCCAGAGACGGCCAGACTGGACAGCAGTTTACACAAGGCCCGGGCCCAACTGTTGGCCAAGGGCCGGAGACACCGGCCATCCCGCTCCAGGCTTCGGGACAGTGCCAGCTCCGCGGAGGATGGTGAAGGCTCGGATGGGCCCGGAGGCAAGGTTGGGGCAAGTTAGGAAAACACATATACACCCTCCCACCCCTCCCTCTCCTCCCACCCCTGGATAATCTCTCCAGAGTGCTCTTCCAGGGAAACCACATCCCCAGACTCCTGACCTAGTAATGCTGCCAAGTGTTAGCTGCAGTTCACTTCTGGCTCATTTAATCCTGTGTAAAGAAGATATTATTAGCCCCATTTTACAGCTGAGGAAACTGAGGCCCTGAGAGGTCCAGGAGCAAAGTCACAGTAAGTGAAGGAGGGGGAATTCAGCCCCAGCCTGTGTGACTCAAAGTTCCTGTTTCCCACCTCTCACTCTCCAGCCACCCCGCTGCCTAAGGCATGAGGAAACCCTCCCTCTAGGCCCCGGAAGGACCCTCAGGGCCCGCAGTTTACAGGGTGAAAGTCTCCCAGCTCCTCCGGGAAGGGAGGAGGAGGGTTCTCGGTGAGCGGCTGCCCCCTCGTCCAGGTGACCGATGGCTGCGGGAGCCCCCTGCACCGGCTGCGCTCGCCTTTGCACTCAGGCCCGGGGTCCCCGGCCGGGGGCTCTTTCTGCCTGGATCCTCCGGGGTTGCGGCGCAGCCTGGACGAGGACGAGCCGCCGCCCTCGCCGCTCACACGCTACCGGCCCCTGCACAACGCTGCGTCGCACGAGGGCCTGGCCGCCGCCTCCTGCTCTCCGCCGCGCTCCGCGCCCTCCTCCGACAGCTCCCCCAGCTTCGTGCGCCGCCACCCGCGCGCAGAGCCGCACAGCGAAGGTGAGAGGCGGCCAGCGCCGCACCTCCTGCTGGTCGCTCCCGGGCGCAGCAGCCCTCCCGGTCCCGGCGCGCACCGCAGCCGCGGAAGGGGCAGCTGAGCAGGGTGGCTGGGGGAGGTGAAGAGTAAACGCCGCCGCTCACTCATTCTTTACCGAGCGCCTACTAAGTGCCAGATCCTGTGGGCTCTGGGACACCCAGGTGAGCAAACACATGCAGTCTTTATCATCATAGTGGTTTAGTGGAGAAACAATCAAATCAGGCCTGGCTGGCGGCTCACGCCTGTAATCCCAACACCTTGGGAGGCCGAGATGGAGGATCGCTTGAGCCCAGGAGTTCGAGACCAGCCTGGGCAACATAGCGAGACCGTCTCCAGAAAAAATTAAAAAATTAGCCCCGCGTGGTATGCACCTGTAGAACCAGCTACTTGGAAGGCTGAGGCGGGAGGATAGCTTGAACCCGGGAGTTTTGAGCTGCAGTGAGCTATGATCACTCCTTGCCTCAAAAACAAAACAAAACAAAAACCCAATCAAATCATCCCTTAACTAAATGTCTAGTTATAAACTATAACAAGTGCTATTTGGGAAATGTGTGCGGCAGCATGGCGGGAGAGCATACACCAGGATGCTTGGCCTGGCTAGGAACATCCTGGAAATGACATTTGAGCCAAGTTTGGAAGGTTGGTTAGATGTTGGCCAGGATAGGCCGAGTGCAGTGGCTCACGCTTGTAATCCCAGCACTTTGGGAGGCCGAGGCGGGTGGATCACCTGAGGTCAGGAGTTCGAGACCAGCCTGGACAACATGATGAAACCCTGTCTGAACTAAAAACACAAAAAATTAGCCGGGTGTGGTGGCGGGCGCCTGTAATCCCAGCTACTCAGGAGGCTGAGGCAGGAGAATTGCTTGAACCCGGGAGGTGGAAGTTGCAGTGAGCCAAGATCACGCCATTGCACTCCAGCCTGGGCAACAAGAGCAAAACTCTGTCTCAAAAAAAAAAAAAAAAAAAAAAGTTGGCCAGGATAAAATTGAGTAAATGGTAGTGATTCCTACCTTTTTGGAACGTTTTATAGTTTGTAAAAGGCTGTCATAAGCATCCCATTAGGTCCCATGAAGCAGGTAGATGTTATTATCCCCATATTTAAAATGGAGGAAGGCCAGAGAGGTAAAGTGGCTTATCCTAGGACACCCAGCTAGTGAAGGCCACCAGAGCCAGGATGCCTGATTCTAAGTCAAGAGAATTTCTACCACCCCACACTGGCAGCCGAAGGAGGCAGGCAGGGCAGCAAACAGGCAGTTTCCTTCCTTCTCTCCCTGGAAAGATGACAGCCGTGACGCCAGTCCTCCTGAGCCCGCCAGCCCCACCATCGGCCTCGATAAGAAGACTCGCCGAAAGTTCCTGGACCTGGGGTGAGTGGAGGCGGGGCTAGATCGCAGGGCTTGGAGCTGCTGGGGTAAGGGGTAGCACAGTGGGCAGCCCTGCCCCACTTCCTGCTGCCTCCCCACAGGGTCACCCTGCGCCGAGCATCCACGGGCAAGAGCCGGAAGGAGAAAGGCAGCAACCGACTGTCCATGGGCAGCAGGTGAGAGGTGCCCATGGCGGCCCACCCACAGCTCCCGCCCCTGGCTCCCCATGTGCTCTGGTCCTCCCCTCTGTACCCACACCCATGCTGGACACTCTCTCTGCAGGGAGTCAGTGGAGGGGTCCGGCAGGTCAGGGGGCTCCCCGTTCCTGCCTTTTTCCTGGTTCACGGACAGCGGCAAGGGCTCAGCATCCTCGGGTAGCACCACCTCCCCCACCTGCTCCCCTAAACACGAGGGCTTCAGCCCTAAGAAGTCAGCTTCCCAGGTAAGTCCATGCCTTTCTTGTCCCCAAACTGGCCCCCAGTCTCAGGTGACATGAGGGCGTACTTCACCTTGGCTCAGGCTGGGATTCAGACATTCCTGGAATCAATTTGTCCATCCATGGAGCCATGCAGTGATCCGTTACTTCATGCATTCTCTGAATTCATTCGTTCACTCTTCCACTCCTTCATATTCTGAGTAGTTCATTCCTTGATTCAGTCAATGCTTCATGCATTCAACAAATCACTAAACACTGATTCCCTACTGTTCACCCAGCTGGAGACTTCCTTCATTCCTGCTAACTCTTCTGCCTGGTTAAGTTCTAACCCCACTCCTGTGTGAGGAGCTGGGCCACCTGCTTGGTAGGGTGAGGCCTGGGGGATATAGAGACAAACAGGACCCCAACCTAGTGGTCTGAAAGCTTACAACCCTATGTGATGTGAGACGAGTAAGAGAAGCAATGATGAGCAACTGCTTATGTTCAGAGCGCCCTCTACAGTTTACAAAGCCCCAAATGCGTTTCTGCTTTACTCTCACAAAGGCTCGGTGAAGTAGGGAGGGAAGGCATGCTCATCTCCATTGTACAGATGAGCAAAGGAAGGCCCAGAGAGAAGGGGCTTGCCCACAGACTGGCACAGATATAGGTGCCAAGCTCTACAACCCCCAGCCCAGTACTTGTTCTACGGTTCTGTTTCTTACGTGCAGCTGGGCAGAGGAGAAAATCAGAAGCTGGGAATTCTGGGAAGAAAGAATCCCTTCGGACCTGGAACTTCCTTCTTTCCTCCTTCTCTTTCTTCCTTCCCTTATGCTGGTCACTGGGACACCATGATGAACAAGATACAACCCAGGCCCTCCTAGAGCTCACAGTCCAGTGAGGATAAAGACCTCTAATCAGGCACTTATTAGCTGGGGTACTAAGGCCAGGCGGGAGGCGCATAGCAGAGACACCTGACCCAGCCTGGGGGAATCTCGGTGGTCTGCCTGTAGGAAGTGACACCTTGCCTGAGACCGCCTCCATTCCTACTAACCTGGCTTGGTTCTAGCCCCATGTCCTCCAGATGGCTGCCTGCTCTCCCAAAGGCTTCAGGTCCTGATGCCTGACATGAGTTATCATGTCCTGTGTGCAGGCCCAGCTCCTGGCTCATGCACAGGAGGCACTGAGCAACTCCTGGTGCCTAGTCCAGGACTTCGGCTCCACCCAGATAGGGATGGTGGGTTGGGGGTGAACTCTCCTCAGTGGCATGCACCTTTTTCTGTCTAGGAATCCACTCTGAGTGATGACTCCACGCCCCCCAGCAGCAGCCCCAAGATCCCCAGTGGGCCCTGGCAGGAGGCCAAATGTTCTTACCCCTACCACACGCTGTCTCAGTCTTCAGATGAGGTGAGCAAGGCTGGCCCAGGGTGCCCACGGAGTCCTGACCTCTGACTCTGCAAGGTGCTCAGGTCACAGGCCAAGCCTCCCCCTCACTCTCCTTGGTCTCTGCCCAGTTCCTGGATGAACCCCTCCCCCCTGTCCACCACTGGACCAGCCAGCAGGTGGGCCAGTGGCTGCAGAGCCTCAACCTGGAACAGTATGCTGCTGAGTTTGCTGCACGGCAGGTAGACGGGCCGCAGCTGCTGCAGCTGGACGGAAGCAAACTAAAGGTGGGTCAGAGTGGAAGGGCCATGACCCAGCCCAGTTACTTGAGGTGACTTTCAAGGATTTGAAGTCCCTCATCCTGACCTTTGACCCTCAGCCCAGCCTCCTGGGCTGACCTTTTCACTCCATCTGTGGCCACCACCCTGACCTCTGACCTCTAGGCAAGGTCCTTGGTCTAATCTTTTGAGTTGTAGCATGAATCCCTAGTTTGACTTGAAACTCTAGTCCATGACTTCAGTGTGACCTTCAAGCTCCAGCCCTGGTCTCCAGGCTGACCTTGCCCTCTAGGATGACCCTTGATGCATATGAGTGTCCTGGTATCATGGGAAGCCACATCTCCCCCTGGTCAGCTTGGTCTGATTCTGTCTCAGAGGCTAGTGGTAATAGTGGGCAGGGGGAGGCTGTAGGAAGGGGGTGGTGGCCTCTGACCTATAAGCTGGGAGGTTCCTGGCCTGTCTCCTGCTCTCTGCTGAGTTGCTTGGGGCAGGGATGGTGAAAAGAGCCCCCAGGAAGTCTCTGGAAGTGAGGAGGGTCCTTGGGCACTAACTGTGTGACCTTGGGCAAGTGACTCCCCATCTCTGGGCCTCAGGAGGTTGGGCAGGTCCGGGCCAAGGCTGAAATACTGAGTGGAGGAATGGTGGGGGAGGAGGAGGAAGCGCCTAATACCCCCAACCCTCATCTTTCCCAACCACACTCATTCCAAATTCTTGCTCTGGGGGTTCTGATCCATGGGCAGGTCACGGTGTGGGAGGCGGAGGCTCCACTCCAGGGAGGATTTGGAGCTCCACAGAGTACACCTGGGGCAAAAGGAGCCTGGGCGTGGGAGGCCAGGACTGGGAAGGTTCTGGGACTCTCTCCCTCACCCCGGACTCCTCCCCAGAGCCTGGGGCTCAGCAACTCTCATGACCGGGCACTGGTGAAGCGCAAGTTGAAGGAGATGGCAGCAGCTGCCGAGAAGGAGCGCAAGGCCCAGGAGAAGGCTGCGCGGCAGCGGGAGAAGCTCCGGCGCCGAGAGCAGGAGGCCAAGAAGAGCTAGGGGAGGGTGCACAGGCGCTGGCACCCGGCAGGGGCAGCCACTGGCTCCGCGGGCACAGGCCTCACCAGGGAGGCTGGACCTGGGCGCTGCACTTGGGCTAGCCTGGTCCCACGCTCTCAGGGGGGACATGCTCTCTCTTACCCTGTCACTTGGTCTAGACCCAGAGACCCCAGAAAGGGAGACCCCAGGGAGAGGGCCTAGTAATAAATCCTATTTTGAGGACTTGTTTGGCACAGAGTTCCTGGGGGAGGAGCAGATGAAGGGGAGAGGGCAGAGAGGCCAGGGCTGAGGCAAGTCTGGGAGGCTGGGTCAGGCTGTCCCATTGCCCTCAGGCCATCGTGGGGCTGGGGTGGAGGGGAGCTAGGAGGCCTGCCTGCCTGCTTGCCTGCCAGAGGCCCTGAGGCCGGGCCCCAGGGCTCAGAGCTGGGCTGGGCATTTCAGCAGGAGCCCATGTGGGAGCGGCTCCTCTCCACTCTTCCAGGGGGCTGTGTGGTGGGAGAGCTCTGTCCTGCTCCCCCAAGAGGCCAGTGGGCGCTGCAGCAAGTCGCACTCAGGGTAGACTCCCAGCCAAACTCCTCAACAGGAGCGCAGAGAAAGCAGCCTGGGGCGAGTGCAGTCTTTGCCAGGACTCAAGAGGGGAGGATGAACATCCCCTTCTCCCTCTCCCCTCCTCTGTCCTGTGGGTCCCAGGGGGCGAGATGACACCACACAGGTCTGCCTCTCAGGGCCCATTCAAGACCTGGTCTTTGACCCATTCTCCAAGCCAGGACTCCCTTCACTTCCTGCTGCTTCCTCAGAGGGCACCTAAGTCCTCTTTGGGAGCTGAGCAAACAGGAACTGATAGGGACAGAGGACACCACTTCCACCAGCCAAGGCCTAGGAGCTGCTGACCTGGTCAGCCCTCACCCCAGCCAGGCAGAGAGGCAAAACCTGGGGGTCCCCGGCAGCTACGAGATTGGAAAGGTTCATCAGCCCTCCCCCATCTGCCCCAGGCATTGTCAGGGAATCAGTGGGCTCAGAACTGGCAGGCGGTGCAAGCTCTGCTTCCCTGGGCCACACTGAGGGCTGGGGCCAGCTCCCTGGATGGGGGTGGAGTTTACCAGCAGCCTGGGGACAGCATGTGTCCTTTTTAGGAAATGTCCTTGGAGGAAGTGTTCATGTGTGGCGCTGGTCAGCAGCTAGTCCCGCTTCCAGGACACTGGTCAGAGTTACCGATGAGGCCTGGGGGCTCCCGCTTGGAAACCCCTCCAGCTCCTCCCATCTGCCCAGACAGAGCGGCAGATGGCACCAATGCATGCTGGCTCCCTCATTCCTGCCCAGGGGCTGTGGCTTACGGCCAGCACCCTGTACCTGGGACTCAGCCCTTATCCCCCCTCTGCTATCTGTGCTGGGAGAGGGGCTTCGGAGGGAAACAGATATGAGGACACTGGCACCATCTGGGCCTGGTGGCAGGGCCATGGGAGGTTGGAAGGCACCCACATCCTTAAAGCCATCAGTAGCTATAGTGGGTGCCCACCTGCATGTGAAGGGGAGGCAGTTCTCAATTTATTTCAATAAATCCTTATGATGTGCCAGTGACCAGAATTTCTGTCTGCTCCAGTTGTTGGGTTGGCCGGACTCTGCTGGGCCCTGAGTATGGTGGGACAACAGGTCTGTCACCAGGTGCTGGGCCATCCGGCGTTCTGAACAGATGGCTTTGCCCAGTGTTTTACTCACAGTCCTGAGCTGGGCCGGACGTCCCCGGTGCGTCATGTGGTGGTCACAGGGCACCGCAGTGTGCGTGTGTACGTGCGCACGTGTGGGTCCCCTCCCCCAGGGATGCAGCCAGGCCAGTCTCATTCAGTCTCCTCTTTACTGTGGGTGTGGGTGTCACTGTCACTGCCACAGCCACTGGGAGGGACACACAGCTTTAACCCCTGTGTGCTTAGGGGAAGGGTGGGGGCATTCAGGGTTATAAAACTAACTATATACACAGAAGGTCCTAGGGAGAAAGCCACCCTGAGCACACATGTCTGGGCACAGTGGGGGCTGGGGGCTGGAGCTCAGGCAGGATGGACTAGGCTTGTGGAGGAGCGGGTGGGCATGAGCATGTGAGGACATGCTGGGAGGGCTCAGGAGGTGGCACAGACATTGCCAAGGCCACTGCAGGGCCTCGAGCAGCTTGGCTGGATGGCAAGCTCTCGGTCTAACAAGGTTCTTCCACTTTAGAGTTGGGCCCTGTGAGAGCCACCCCCTCCGCCACCGACCTTCAAGCCCTGAGCGGAGGGAGAGGCTGCAGGACCAGCCTCATTCCCCACTCACGGGTGTAACTCCTTTCCCCACTCAGTCCCCAGGTCTGGAGGGCACCCACCCTCTTCCTAACACTTCAGCAGGCCAAGGCCAGGGTGCCTTT
The DNA here is from genome assembly GCF_000001405.40 of Homo sapiens. Lineage (NCBI taxonomy): Eukaryota > Metazoa > Chordata > Mammalia > Primates > Hominidae > Homo > Homo sapiens. Next base: position 50,110,500 of record NC_000017.11, on the reverse strand, counting down.
GTGGGCTGGGGGAATAAGGCAACGGGACATCCACTTGGAAGGCCTGTGCTGTGGAGGGTGCTGAGGGGGACCCAGTACCCCTGGCAGAAAAGTGACAGCCCTGGTCTCAGAGAGGAGGACTGCCATGGGAAAATGTCTCTGGGACACCCCATCAGGGTGGAGACATCCCTAACCCTCAGGCATCGCCCACAGAGATAGGGAGGCCACCGAGGGGTCTCCACAGAGATGGACTGGCACTTAGGGACCATCACAGACCTATCACCGCAGTGACTTCCATAGAGACAGAACCTGGTCATCAGGGAGAACCCACCCCCTGCTCCCCCAGGAGGATGGTGAGGGGCACCACGGTGGGGGGACCCAGAGGCGGCAGTCCGTCCTCTCAGGTGCAGATGCACGGCGGCCCTTAGCTGACGCGGTACGTGGACGTGTTCTTGGGCTCCGTGCTGGGCACACACCAGTCGCCGGCCTCCTGGATGGTCTGGTAGTGGCGCCAGGCTGACTTGTTGTAGACAGGCAGGCGCTCCACCGAGTCCGTGGACAGGGCCTGGGGAGTGTCAGGGTCAGCCCCTCCCACCTCCCTGTGCCTTGTCCACTCCTCAGCAGACCACCCCACCCCAGCTCAGCGGCAGCCCAGCTGCCAGACACGGGGGCCTGGAAAGACCACAAAAGGGTGGTCCCTCCTGTGTCCCGCTCCTGCCCATTCAAGCAAGCAGCTCCCTCTAAGGGAGGGAGAGGGAGGGGGAGGAGGCTGGGCTGTGTGACCCTGAGCAAGTCACGGACTCCGGGCCTCAGTCTTCTCCTCTGAACTGAATGGCAAGACCTAGGGTGTCCCCTTCCTTCTGGGTCTAACAAGTCAAGGGTTCCCAGCACAGGGGTCTTAATCATAGACCACAGACTCCCCTAAATTCCCTGACAAGCAGTGCGTGTCTGGGGGTTGAGGGTTCTTCAGGTTGAGGAACTGTAGCTTTGCTTGGATTCTCAGAGTCTGGGGCCAGGGAAGGACTGGGGGGATGGAAAGGAAAGCTCGCAGCTGGCCAAGGCTGCCCAGGTCCTATCAGCAAAGCTCTTCTCCAGCTGGGCTCTGCGGGAAGGGCCCTCACCTTGAGATAGATGACAGCATCGGTCCCAAAGCCTTCCATGGAGAAGAGCTGCAGGTCTCCCTGGAAGTACTTGGCGTAGAGGCGGGAAATGGGGAGCCCATAACCAAAGCCAGCCTGCAGCGGGGCAGGAAGGCAGTGAGGATGAGGAGGCTGGCAGGGGCCTCCTGGAGCTGCAGGGACTGATGCAGGGAGGGAAGGGTGTGGAGCTGGGGTCACATGGCAGGGGTCCCAGAGCTGGGAGGGGACATGTGGGAGGGGACACTGAGGTAAGAAGTGTGTGTGGGGTGAATGGGGCAATCATGAATGCGGGAGGGAGGCTTGGGCAGAGAGAGGAGTTCCGCTCAGGGGCCAGGAAGTCAGAGCAGGCCCCACGGCTCCTTTGAGTCTCAAGTTTTCTAACAGGGAGGTGCTGACAAGTTGGACAACACCAGGAGAAAGGTAGAAATTGGGGGTTTGGGAGCTACAGAAGAGAGGGAAGATGGAGGAAAGGTGACAGAGAGACATCCGACAGGTGAGATCTGTGCAGACTGGGGAGATGTGGGAGGTGCGGGGGCCCAGATTCAAGACAGGTGACTGTCACAGACGGCCACACAGAAGCTGAGTGAGCAGGGAGATAAGGAAGTGAGTGAGGAGAGAAGCCTCCCTCAGGAGGTGGGAGGGGCTGGGGTGAAGCCATCTCACCAGCGGCGTTCCCCCGGTGCCAGGCTGGGGGGTGGGTGCTGTGGAGTACATGTAGCTGAAGAGTCGCTCAATCTTCCTCAAGGGAACACCCCCACCTCGGTCACTCATCTGGGAGAGATGGGATGTGTCAGGGATTCTTTACAGCTCATTTTCCCCACCCCGCCCAATACCCCTGACCTTCTCATGGTCTTCCCCACCCCCAGGATCTGCCCACCATGTAGGAGAAAAGGAAAGCCCGTCTCCTGGCAGGAGGGAAGCCCCCACTACTGCTCCCTGGTCCCCAAGGTCAAAGGGTCACATACCTTGATGGACAGATCTTCCTCACCCAAGGCCACCATGACCTTGATGGGTGGGAGAATGAGGCTGGACTCATGGCTTTCCACAGTCGCCCTCATGGCATTCTGCGGAGGGGCAGAGGTAAGAGATGCATGGGAGAAGCCAGCCCTACTCACGCTCCCCGCAAAGCACCGGCTCCCAGCCTCCTCACCTTGAAGAGCTCAAAGAGCATGTGGTAGAGGTGGGAGGGGACGTAGACCATGTGAATCGGCTGTTTGGAGTTGGCTGCTACAGGGCAAGTCAAGACCAAGGGTCAGGAAACCGTCAGGAGGTCACTGCTCAACCACCTTACCCAAAGGAGGCACCCCCTCCCACAAAGTTCTGAGTACATGGCTGCCCAGCGAGAGACTAAATCCCCAGCCTCCCTTGAGCTGGGGTAGCTGGTGACTCATGGAAGTGATGCATTCAATTCTTGGGCCCTGCTTTCCACACCCTTGTTCCCTTCCTCCAGGCTAGAACTGAATCAGGGGTGGGGAGCCAGCCCTGACCTGTCCAGCAAGGGGCTGGCGAGAGGGAAACCTCCCTCTTAAGTAAGCCACTGGTATTGGGGTTCTAGGAAAGCAGCCAAGCTGATACACCATCTAACATGCCCCTCCTCCCTACCCCTGTTGAGTTACCCCATTTTATTTCCTTCCCATCACTTGTCATGATCTGAGATGGTCTTGTTTATTTACTTGTTAATTGGCTGAAGGCTCCATTCCGCAATCTCCCTAGCACCAAAAATGTAAGGTCCACGAGAATGGGGACCATTTCTGTCTTGCTTACTCTTTCATTCATTCATTCACTCAATTTCTTATTTGTTTGAGATGAAGTCTCGCTCTGTCACCCAGGCTGGAGTGCAGTGGTAGCATCTCAGCTCACGGCAGTCTCAGCCTCCCGGGTTCAAGTGATTCTCCTGTCTCAGCCTTCCAAGTAGCTGGGATTATAAGCATGTGCCATCATGCCCGGCTAATTTTTGTATTTTTAGTAGAGACAGGGTTTCACCATGTTGCCGAGGCCGGTCTCAAACTCCTGACCTCAAGTGATTGGCCTGCCTTAGCTTCCCAAAGTGCTGAGATTACAGGTGTGAGCCACTGTGCCCAGCCCAAATATTTATCAAATGAATTAATAATATAATAACTCTGCTTCTCCCCTGTCTAGAAAACAGTCCATCTCCTGACTCCCCGTCTCACCTTGCCCTGCCACGTCCCCAGCCCCAAGACAGACACATACACAGCCCCGCTCACTCACCATTGATCTCCTGGATCTCCAGGTCAGGTGAGGCCATGTAATACTTGTCACACAGGAGCTTAGCCATGTCGTAGGCATCTGAGAGAAGATGGGGTCATTCAGGGCATGGGTGGCCCACCCAGCAGGCAGTCCTCCTGACATTGATACTGGGGACCACCAGCATTAAATCCATGGCACCCCTTACTGAGGAACGAGTCACCCTCTGGCCAGGTAAGCTTGGAGGGGTCCCCGGGGCTTCTCTGCGGGCCAGGCACCGTGGGAATGGCTCACCTTTGACCACCTCAGAGACGTTGCAGTTGGGGTCGATGCTGCCGATGTGTTTGGGATGGGCTGGGTTGGTGCTGCCATCAAAGATGAGGGCTGCAGGCAGGAAGGGAGGATGCTGTTGGCTGGGCTGCAGTCTGTCCCAGCGCTCCCTCTTCCCCCGGGCTTTCCTCCTCTTTCTACTTTCACCTCCAATGCCTCTGTAGGCTCCAGTCCTAAAGCTGCCCCACTCCCCCGCTTCTGTCCTCCCTTCCCTGACCCCTGACCCCTCCAGCCCTGGCTTAGGCCGTTTTTAAACCTTTGCAAACCTGAAACAGACGTCTTTTCAGAGGTCTCTCCCCACATCACATCTCCACATTGCATTTATTCTTTTCTTTGACTATAACATTCTAAGAGAACTCTTACCACCTTGCTTTGGAAATTATTTGAGCATGAGGAACTTGTTTAATTTATGACTGGCTACAACTTCTCAAAAATCATAGTGAATCCTCCTGGAATAAGAAACTCTAAACAACAAATTGTTTTTGAACATAATGAGAGTTTTTATAAATACTAAATTAAACATTCTTTTAAAGATGTGACATAATTTTACATTTTGCAAACACTGAAAACAAAACGTTTTGAAATGGAAAATCAATGAGAAAGAAAAATTTTATTTTTCCATGTTGGAGCCATTAACTCCATAGTTACTGGAGTAACTATTCAAAGACTCCCTTTGTGGGGTTCTGAAGAGTGGTCTAGGTCCCCTCAGCAGCCCGGCCCTGGGCCCCAGCACCGCCCCCCCCACCGCCCGCTCCCCGCCGCTGTGGCCGGCACCCACTGTGCTGGTTGATGAGCATGCGGATGGAGATGCGGCTGAGGTAGAAGCGGTCCAGGAAGTACTGGATGTTCTGGTTGGAGACGGGGTCATCGCCGTAGGTGTCCTTGTACTCAAGCACGCCTTGTGCCATGGTGGGCACCACGTCGTTGTGCCGGTTCCGGATGGTGACCAGGGCGTCAGTGAACCTGTGGGGCAGGGCAGATGTTCACATGGGACACCCCCAGACTCTTCTCCGCTTCTGACTCCCCTCTCCACGGTGTCTTCACCCGCTCTACCCTTCCCAATCCGATGGACTCCCAGTGCCCTCCCTGCTCCTCCCAAAGCCCACTCTGATCTTTTAGCTGCCTGCCGGCAGGCTTCCCACTCGAAAGCCCAGAGTTCTCATCCTCCCCATGGCAGGGCCTGGGTCTTGCCCACCGGGCTCAGGGAACAGTGAGAATGGAGTCCATGTCTCTCCCATCAAACTTGGGGCTCCCTGAAGCAGAGTCTGTCTCCCCACTCAGACTGGATGTTTCTGAAGGCAGGGGTCTTTTCTTCCATCCTGCTGTACTTCTGCCCCAGGGGCTGCAACCCCAGATGCCCCTGGCCAACACCTGCCTTCCTGCCCCACCCAGGGCCCCCACTCACTGGCTCAGGGTGCGATGGTCCTCGGGATCCTTGTCCAGGAACTCCATGATGTCCAGGAGGCTCTGGACATACCTGTGTGGGGGCGGGAGGGGACACAGCCTCAGCTTCAGGTGGCTAGCCCCTCCTCACCCACTTCATTCAACTGGGCCTTGCTCTTGTCCTGCTCCTACGCGGGCCCCACACAGAGCTGCCGACAAGCCGCCTCACTATTTTTCTCCATCCATTTCATTTGTATGTGAGTCTCCCTGACAACCCAGTCAGTTATGCAAGAAAACTTCAAATTTGCTGGTCCCCCGTTTAGCACCTTTGCTTTGGAATCCTAGAATAGTCCTCTCAGAAGGGGCTTGGAGATGATCCCATCTAAGAGGACTCACAGATCAGGAGACTGAGGCTGAGATGGGGCAGGGAGACTGGACCTAGCGCCTGCAGTGGGGGAAGGCAGGGAGGTGCATCAACTTCTCTGAGCCCCAGTGTGGAAACAGCTCCTAATGTTTCTCCCCGCCGGGGTGTTGTTGCATCCAGTGGGCACAATGGCAGAAGGGCCAGCACAGGGCCTCCTGGAGTGACCCCCGGCAGAGGAGACAGCACGGGGCCTCCCAGAGTGACCCCTGAGCTGGGGTGATCTGGGCCAGGCACCTGCCTCGGCAAGTGGATTCTAAAATGGCAGGTGGGAAGGACCCAAAGGTGGGGTGGGCGTGCCTGGCTCTGTCCCCAGGTGGGGCTGGGGCCCATGGAGAGTCCAGAGAAGCTCACTCTACTGCAAAAGGCCAGGTAGCAGTGGGTGATGCCCTGCCACCTCCTCCCATCTACAGGCCTGATGGGGAGGCCAGTTTTCCCTGGGCTAAGAGAAGAGCTTGATGCTCTAAAAGGAGCATCAAGAATCCCTGAACTTAGCCAGGTGTGGTGGCTCACACCTGTAATCCCAGCACTCTGGGAGGCTGAGGTGGGCGAATCACCTGAGGTCAGGAGTTCAAGACCAGCCTGGCCAACATGGCAAAAACCTGTCTCTACTAAACATGCAAAAATTAGCTGGGCATGGTGGTGCACGCCTGTAATCCCAGCTACTCGGGAGGCTGAGGTAGGAGAATCGCTTGAACCTGGGAGGCAATGGTTGCAGTGAGCCGAGATCGCTCTATTGCACTCCAGCCTGGGTGACAGAGCAAGACTCTGTCCCCCCAAAAAATAAGCCCTGAACTCAGGGACAGCAGCAGGCCTCCTTCTGCAAGGGAGTCAGGTCCACCTGTGGTGGCAGATGGTACCAAGCTGGAGCCACTGTGCCCCGTGCCCTGGGGAGCCATGACCTGTTTCCCTGCTAACATGTCCAGTCTGTGGCTTGTTCCTTTGGGGAAGGCAGGAAGAGCCTCTCTCTGGCAGAAACACTTATAACCAGGAGGAAGGGGGGGCGCTACCTAGAGCCCTGCAGTGCCAAGGGCCCCAGGGGCCCAACAGTATTTCTAGAAAAGGCCCCTCCACACGAGGACTCATTCCCATGTCCACAGTGCTCTGGCCTTCACTGTAACCTGTAACAGGCAGACAGGCAGGAATCAGCCCCACGCACAGCCTCCCCCAGGGAGGCGTAAGCAGCCCCATAGCTAGTAAGTGGGATGATGAAGCCCCCGAGTCTCCAGCGCTCTTGCCACTCCAGAGTGCTGATTCTGCTCGACTCTCACCTCCACGCTTCTGTTCACACAGTGCCCTCTGCTAGGAATGCCCTTCCCCTTAAACCTAGTATTGCTGCTCTTCTCGCTCTTGCCTGACAGAGAAGAGAGTGAAAGAACCAGCTCTGGACCCAGACCTGGCTCTTTAAGCACTTGGAGCTGTGTGGCTCTGGGTAAGTCATGGAACCTCTCTGGGCCTGAGTTTGCTCATTAGGAAAATGGGGATTGTTATATCTATTTATGACTGCTTTGTGGTGAGAATTCCATGTGATGATTAGCACAGTGCCTAGCACATAGTGAGCACTCTCTAATGCTTGCTCTTATTATGGCTGGTGGCTCAAACACTGTCAACAGCTGCATGCATCCTCTGAGCCCCCAGGCAGCATCTGATACTCTCCCACTGCTTGTAGGCTCTGAATCACAGCATGTTGGAGCCCCTGTGCCCTGGAGACCTGCCCCACTGCCACACGAAGGGGGCTGTCTCAGGCCCAGAGCTCACCGCCCACCCCTCCCTACCCAGAGCTCTGCACAGAGCCCGATAGGAGGAGCTGTGGCTGCTGATGGGGCTGGGGGCCCCAACAGCAGAAAAGATCAGCCTTTCTCTCAGCCCCCATCACCATCCCTGCCACCCCAGCAGACAATCAGGCTGGCACTCCTAAGACCTCACCTGTCTCCCTGGAGAAGAACATAGCGACCACTAACACCCACTTGTGCCGAGTCCCACACAGGGTCTCTCATCTGCCAACAGCCTTGATGAGCACAAGGTATTTCCCTGTTTTTGCAGACAACGAGACCAGCACTGAGAGGTTAGTGATATGCCCCAGGCCACATAGTAAGCAGCAGGTTGGGATTCAAACCTAGCTCTTGCAGACTCCAAGTCTACACCACGTGGCCAACGGCCAACACGGGCCCTGACGGTGATGCCGCTGCTGATGGTGATGGTGGCATTTACTGGGTACCAATAGCCAGGTCCACCCTGTGCTTCCCTCCTGCCCCACTTTCACCTCCACAAGAACCCCAGAGGTGGGCGCTACTGCTGGACCCATTTTACAGATGAGGAAGTTAACACACAGAGCTGAGATTCTCTCATCCAGGCCTATGTGGCTCCGAATCCCTTGCTCCCTAAACGCACCCAAAATAGACCTTCATGCTCATATGATTCTTAGGGGAGAGAGGGCCCGCACACAGGCAGTGCTAGGGGCAGGTGGGGAGAGGAGGGGGAGGAGACCCACTGCAGAGTGGGGCCTGAGGCCCCTTCCCAGGAGGCAGGTGGGGATGAAGCGGGTGGGAGCTGGGAGGCTAAGCCACTTCCTGACTGTGCTGGGCAGTGGGTGGGGGTGGGCATGGTCAAAGTCCCAGTCTCACTTAGGGAGAGTGCCCCAGCTGCTGGCACCACCCCTTTTGTGGCTGCTCAACAACCCTAGAGGGCAGGAATGGGGCCTGGTCACGTGGCCACTGAAGTGGAGCAAAGGGCACCGGCATGGAGTGACAGCGGGCAGCGCCTGCCAGCCTCCCTCACAGGGCCAGGGCTCCTCCAGGGCAAGGGGCCCAGGCTACTCTTGGAATGGAGGGGAGAGGATGAGGATTTTCCCCGAGGTCCCTGGCCTTGCCCTGAAGCCCCTCAGGGGCCTGGTGCACCAAATGTCAACCTTGGGCCGGTTCTTGATCCTAAGAAGGGAGATTGGGGACGAGTGGCGCTGGCCTCTGGGCTGCCCACCCCTTGCAGGCCAGAGAGAGAACTGGGCTTATATAAGGGAGGCCTGAAGCAGTGGTGCAGTGACAGACAGGCACCAACAGGCGGGAGAGGCATTGCCCCCACCCCTCCCCAGGACCTGCAGGGAGGCTGGGGTCTCTGGGCCTGCTGACCTCTGCAGTAATCAAGGCCCCCAGGAGTCCCTTGGTGAGATCCGGAGCTCCCAAGCCCAGCCCAAGGTAATGTGGAGATCCACCCAAACCCTGCTTTCCAGGGCTCCAGAGCCAGTCCAGAGCCCCAGGAATGAGAAGGAGGAGGGGTGGATGCAGGCAGAAGCCAGGAGGCTTGCTGAGAGTGTGGGGCTGATAATGGGCGGTGGGGGCGGGAGGAGAGGGTGAGTGAGTGGGAGGAGGGCCCTGCAGCCCTGTGTGGGAGCAGAGGGGGTGCTGAGCCAGCGGGGGAGTGTGTGTAATTGTGTGCATGTGGCATGTGCATGCCTGTGGGTGTGTGCGAGGGTGTGCCCTGTGCACTCGTATCCACAGCTGCTGGGGAGCAGGGTGTAAACAAGGCAAAGGCTGGGGAGGAGGGTGCTCGCTGCACTTGGGGGAGAGGTGGCGGTGTCCCGCCTCCGGAGCCTCTGAGCCAGGCAGGTTTGGGTTCCGCTGCTGATTGTGCCCTAAAGAGGCCACCGAGTCCCTCGGGTCCCCATTTGCAAAATGGGGTTCATGGGAGTAAGCACCTCATGGGCCTGGGTGTACAGAAAAGATGATGCCTCGAGTACATGCGCAGTAAGTGGTCGGTCCTGCTCGGTCATGCAAGGAGCGGCTGACGGGTTTGGAGAGCTCGTGTGGCTTTAGCAGGTCCTGGGCACCCAAGCCACACCCCCTGTATGGGGTCCACACACCTTGCTGACGGGCAAGGGAGGTTTGTGCGAAGGTGCCGGCCATATCGCCTCCCACCTACAGCCCCCACAAAGAGCCTGTTAGTGACAGCAGTGAGTCATTGTCATTTGATTCTACTCTGCAGCTCCTGCTTAACCCTGCATTTTCTGGAAGCACATCCCCACAGACTCCACGCCTGGAGAGGAGCCGGGGTTGTCCCTTTCCGTCTCTAACAACACCGGCTGTCAACAATTTTGTAAAGTGAGTTCTGCTCTCCCACAGACTTGCACCATGAACTTGGAAATCTCTGACTCCACATCACTGCCCAGAGTGCAGGCTCCCTCCTTTCCCTTCAAGAATCCAGTCTCCAAATCCAACAGCTGGGTTCGAATCCCAATTCCACCACCTAGTCCCTGGGTGATCTCAGATAAGGTTCTTCACCTCTCTGAACCTCAGTTTCTCATCTAGAAAATGGGATGATAGCAAAGACTACCTCATAAGGTTGCGAAGATGAAATGAGTTAATACGCGTAGACACTTAGGACAGCTCCTGGGACACAGCCAGCCTTTGGAGGTGTTTGCTTTTGTTATTATCATGATTTATTACTACCTTGCCCAAGAAGCCACACCACAATTACATCCTCTGTGGGCTGGAGGTGTTGCTGCCCGGCAGCCTGGGGATATGCCTTGTATTGGTAGAGTTCTGCACACTTTTCACATCTAGCACTGGCCTTTGGCCCTTACAAACACAATGGGTCCCCCTTTTACACATGAGGAAGCTGAGGCTCAGAGATGCCATGTGGCTTGCCCAGGATGAAGCTTCAAAGTCACACATGCTGAGGCCAAACCTGGGACTTTCCCTCCCCGTCCAGTCTCCACCAAAACAGGGCCCACTATCACAAGTCTGTCCAGTTGAAATGTATCAGGTTTATTTAGAACCAGGAATTCTCACCTTGCCCAGTGACTCTGCCTAGAACCTCTCCCCAGCTGAGTAGAAACTCCATTTCTATGACCACAGATGAACCATGACCACTAATAACTGCATCTGCCGAGGGCTCTTGTGTTTTCCAGAAAGGAGGGTTTGCTTCTTACTCATCAAACTCAGGCTAGAGGCCCTCTTGCCAAGCTCCCTGGTAAAGTCTCCCCCCTCCTCTCAGGCACCTAGAACCTGCCCATCTCCATCATTCCAGCTGGCAGGCTGTTGCTCCTGGAGAAAGAGGTCTCCACTCTCTTACAGGCAGCCACCTCAACCCTGTCGGGAAGTCCTTCTTGTCTTCACACCTCAGTCTCTCTTGCTGTAGCCAATGCTCATTCTCTCTGGAAACATTCTTGGCAGGCTGTCTCTTCAGCGCGTTGGGATGCTTTAGCAATCCCTCGGCCTGCTCTCCTCTAAGCTGAATCTTTCTTTCTTTCATTTTTGAGACGGAGTCTCGCTCTGTCGCCCAGGCTGGAGTGCAGTGGCACAATCTCAGCTCACTGCAAGCTCCGCCTCCCGGGTTCACGCCATTCTCCTGCCTCAGCCTCCCGAGTAGCTGGGACTACAGGTGCCCGCCACCGCGCCCGGCTAATTTTTTATATTTTTAGTAGAGATGGAGTTTCACCGTGTTAGCCAGGATGGTCTCGATCTCCTGACCTTGTGATCCGCCCGCCTCGGCCTCCCAAAGTGCTGGGATTACAGGCGTGAGCCACCGCGCCCGGCCTAAGCTGAATCCTTCATTGAGGAAGTGTTCTCTCTTGTCTAACTTCATTCCCTCCTGCTGTTACTTGACATTACTTGCAAGCTTTGCGGAAGAATAAGTCAGGCCAACCTCTTATCTGTGTCACTGAGTTTCAGGAAGGGACTCTGCAGGGGCCCCTGGGGGAGTCATGGGAAGCTCAGCAGGCCCCTGCCCTCCTCCTGCATCCCTCAGCTCTCCCAGGAACACGGTGTCCAGGGAGGGGCCTGAGAAGTCCTGCCCTGGAGTCAGGGACCAGGTGGAGAGGCAGCCAGGTCAGGCAGCCGGATAGAGCCGGAGGAGGGCCAGGGAGAACAGATGGTACCTTCTGTCTCCTTCCCACCACTCCACACCACCCACGATGGGAAGTGTTGGTTGGCTCAGAGGTCCTGGACCTCCGAGAGGCAAGGCACAGCAAGGGGTGACCTGGTTGGGCTCCATGAAGATCAGGCTCTGTGCCTCATGCCTCCACCCCTTCCTCACAGCCCACACTAACAGCACAATCTCCAGAAAGTCAGTTCTCAGCTCCCTTAGCCAGGCCCCTTCCTGTCTCCACACCTTTGCCCAGGCTATTCCTTTAGCCTGGAATGCCCTTCCCTTCCTTTTAGCTCTCAGCTTGCCTAGGTACCCTGTAAGGTCCAGTGACAAGTCACCTCCTCTGCATGTCCATAGCAACTGCCCCACAACGTGTCATTCAACAAACATTCATGGTGCACCCACTACACCCCTAGCCTTGTGTGTACAACACTGCCCCTCACCATATCTCATTTAATTAGAATAAGCCCCATATCCACAGGTCCATGCATAGAAAACAGCGCTGGAAAGGCACCACTACATCTGACGAAACTGAACTGTGTTCGGTTAGGGGGTGGAGGGGAGTGGTTGGCATTTTCTTCTATCTACTATTGTGCATTTTGCAAGTGTCAAGTGAACCTGTTACACTTCCACAATGAGGGAAAAATATCAGTGTTCTTTTAAAATAATGTTTGGATTCCTAATTTAAATAAAACGAACTCTTTGGCAGCTCCCTGCTCCTAGCACTATGCTGGACTCAGTTCACCCTGCCTGGGTGAATATTATTTTTCCCTCAAGATCACAGGCCTCTGAGGGCAGCTGCTGTGACTTCGCATGGCTTTGAGCTCAGAATACATGTGGGCACGTGCTCCTCAGTCTACAGGGAAATCACAACTATATCATACTGCAAGTCCAAAAGAACCAGCCCAAGATTTCTGCAAGGGTGCCACCAAAGTCAATGAGGATTAGCTATTTACATGCCCAGTGACAAGGGACACCCTTGTTTATTCTTCACGTGACTGGCCTTTGGCTAATTTCATCCAGTTACTTAACTTGAGTTCTTGAGTGAACTCTGCTGAGCCTTTCCCTCTGTTCCTGCTGCAGTGCGCAATAAACGTTTGGTCTTTGCCCCTCCAAAGCTCTTCGGGAAGGTACTGTGCCATCCTTGTGTGTATCTGAGTATTTTCCAACATCCAAAACAGTCTGTCTTGCAGCTTGGGTTATATAATGTATTTGAAAACTTACTTCTTGTTTCTGCTTCCCAAAAAGTTACCCCCAAATAAATACTGCCTAACAGTTACTGGAGTTCCAGGTCTGGGCTGCTGGCTAATGCTGACATCAGCCTGAATTGGGGTTTTGGCTGTGAAAACCATGCTTTCCTAGGTGGATCCTGTGTTTCCAGAGAAAGGTGGGTGGTAAGAAGAGGGCTAGACACAGAGACTAGGAGCTTGACCTCAGTCCTGCTCTGGCCTCAGATTCCCACGTGACCCTAGGCAACTCCAAGCGCTTGGGGCTTTGGTGTCTCCTGTCTGTCCCCACCCCACCCTCAAAGCTGCTAAAAGCTTGGAGATGCCATCCCTGAGCCCAGGGACACTGGCGATGGAGTGGGAGGTGCAGGGACTGAGCCAGGGGTCTCACCAGCTCTGCACCAGCTGCACGGAGGGTGTGCTCAGCACTCGGTCGGGAAGCAGGTTGATCTCTTTCATGATGTTGGCCAGGCGCACAGGCAGCTCCTGCCTGAGGAAGGTGAAGGAGGTTTTCTCACAGGCATTGCTGGATCCTGGCAGGAGAAAGAGGGGTGAGCCACAGAGCCACAGACTATGAAAGCCAAAGGATGTCTCGGCCAGGTCAGCTAAACCCTTCATTAACAGGGGGCTCAGAGAGCAAGTGACCTGCCCGGGGCACACAGCAAGGCTCCCCATCCCCTGCAGGGCTCAAACACCTACACCCCATGCCTAACACTTCAGGAGGTGTCATCCTCTCCTCATCCCCAGCTGAACCCTGCTTGCCTTTAACCACAGTGGACAGGGCCACTCCTGGGCCCATTTGGAGCTGCCTCTGGCCTCAGTCACCTCACTTCTCTTTCCTTCCCTCCCAGCACACTCACTTTGAGGGGCTGATTCCAGGGGACAAAGGAGCCTGGGAAACCCATCCCTACCTAGGACTGGGCTCTGGCTGAGGGGGGCTATGGCTAGACCACCACTGCAGGCTCCCAGTGTTGTCTCTGGCCAGCCCACCTCACCCAGCCTGGCCTGAATGCCCATGTGGGGCTGCTGTGTCTTAATGCCCATCCATGGGGCAAACGGGCCTGAGAACAGGAGTCCAAATGCCTCGGTCCTTGTCTGGTGTCAAGATGGAAAGGGTGGGGGACCGAATATGGCCTTGGCCCAGGGTCAGGGGCCCTGGGTTCCAGTCCATCAGGCTCTGCTTCCAACTCTGTCACCCAGGCCATGCCATCATCCTTTTGAAGGTCTCAGTTTCCCCCATAGTACTACAAGTTGACCAAACTCTACTGTGAGCCCCTCACAGCTGTGATGTTTCTGTAATTAGGGTGCAGTTTGTGGGGACAGCTGCTGGGGGCTAGGGGTGGGCCCAGGAGGCTTTCCTACATGGGGGAGGCTCAAGACTCAGGCAGGGCAGGGGTGCAGGCAGACAAGTCCTGAGGAACAGGTGCCTTATGTCTCGGCTGCCACCTCTCTGTTCCCGTCCCATCATTGACGCAGCTGCAACCCAAGCTAGGCACTATCAACTCAACTCTTGAGAGACTGCCCCCCACCCCCAGTCCCCAGCTGGCACCATGGAAATACCACATAGACAGACAGGGCCCACACAATGCCCATTTCAGCTGCCACGTTGGCACAGCCTCCCTCCTGCCCCAGGGCCACCCCCAGGTTGCTGGTAGTGGGCGATCCTGACCTAGCAGCCCTGGGGCAGCCAAGGGAGGTATAGGCGGCTTGACTCCACATCACGGTGCCTGGGGCCCCTGCCCAGCTGGGGAGAGGCTGCCAGGCCGGAACAGATTTGATCTTCAAGTGTCCTTGCCCACTGGGGCAGCTAGGGTCCAGCTCCTTCTGTGGGTGGATGTCTACCAGTCAGGGCACTGTCTCCCAATGGCATCTTCTGAAAGAGCCCCCTTCCCCAACTGCCCCTGGCTTAATCTCACCCTCTGCCCAGGGGTGTCTGACCCTTCATGCCCAGTCCAGGTCTCTCTACAGATGGCTGCACCTCTAAACCCTGCCTCCTCACTCCCACCAGCAGACCCCCGGTTTCCTCTGGTGGGAGGAGGGGCCCCTACTCCTCCAGTCATGAGGACAACTCCCATTAACCCTTTCGCGTCTGGATACCACCCTACTCCCTTCCTGCAGTAACATCACAGCTTCACTGCCCCTTACTCTTCAAGACCCTTCATGAGGCCCACGAAGAAACCTCGGGACCGTCCTTGTAAATGCCCCCCATTCCCATCAGCAGCCCCGTCGAGAGGCCCCGGCCGGTTCCTGCTTCCCCATTAACTCTTTCCTGCCTGTACCTTTCCAAACAACCCTTCTCTGTCACTCGGGGCCTTTCTTCTCCTCCGTCCCCCTAGCCCCCGGCTGCCCCTCCCAGCGCCCCGCCGGCCTCCGCTGCCAGCCGCCTCCCGCCCACTCCGTACCGAAGTCCAGAAACTGCTTCATGGACAGCGGGGACGGGGAGAACTTGCTGAAGTGCTCTATGTACTTGGGCGCCCCTGCCAGGGACGCATTCTTCAGCAGCGCCCACACCCAGCGCATGGCTGCGGCGGCCGCGACTTTGGTTGTGGTCCCCGCGCGGGCAGCGCTCGCGCACCTTTCGGCCCAGCGACGCGGTTCGGCCGCCTCCTCCCTACCCTTGCCCTGGCGGGCATTCCAACGCCCAGCCAATCGGCTCGTCATGGCGCCTCGACGTCGCCAATGGCCACTCACAAACAACTCCGGGCGAACCAATAGCCTTCCGCCCCGGCACGTGGCTTCCCCCGGGCCCGCCCCCTTAACCCACGCTTTGCCGGGGCGGCCTGTTGTTTTGGGGAGGCCGCGCCGAGTTCCCACCTCCCCTGTGTTCACTCCTCCCTTTCCTCCGCGGGGCGAAGCCCGGGTTAACCCCTTCCTTCCCAGAGCCCCGCCAGCCCTTTCGCTTCCTCTTCCACGCCTGCCTTTCCCTTGCTACCCCCTCGCATCTCCTTCACCTGCAGGCTCCTTTTAACCCTTCCTTTCCAGAGTTGTCTAGGTAGCTTTCAACCAATCCCTTTTCTCCAACTCAAAGGTACCTGTTTCACCTGTCATGATCGTTACCTATCCTCCCTTAACGGGTCTTGGGGATTCCCAGTCCGGATGACAGTGACCCAGACTGCGAATATTTGCAAAATTCGGAACCAGGGTGCAAGCCTATACGAATCCGTCCTGTATATATGCAGCCCACCCGCTTCCACAAAGATCCAAGCGGCTCAGGAAAAGGCGGAGTTTGCTTTTCCAACTGAAAAACATCCAGAGTAAAAACCATCACTACTAGTGGCGGTGGAGGCAGCAGCTATCGTCCATGCCAGTTAACACTTTCATTTTATTATACAGCTCATCTGACCGAACATAAAGCCTTGGACATCTAGCGCGACCACCTGAGAAAGCCACCTCCTTCGCACCGGGCTTCCTTAGAGCAAGATCCCAGGAGGTGAAGTGTCTCTGGGAGGCCCGGAGCCCGTCCTTCATCAGCGGCCCAGCTTCTCTTGGAGAAAATGTGACGCGCCCTCTTGTGGCCGAATGTGGTATCTCCCATCGTGGGTTTAGGGCCCGACCCGCCACTTTGATGCTTTCTTTGCTCGGTGACATTAGCCTAATACGTGTTAGGCTTTATGCTGGGAACAGGGAACACAGACAGGATCAAGAAATGGCCTTTTTCCTCGATGATTTCATTTCTAAGTTTCAGAGATAGCTACATAAGTAAATAATTAGCTATAACTGAATGTGATTGTAATACAGACCTCACAGAGCAAAGCTTCACATATGGAAGGGCCTCTTAGCTGGATGAATAATAAGCTATATGCCAGGCACTGTTTACAGGCATTATCTCATTTAATTCTCTATTTTATTATTCTTAGCCTCATTTCATAGATAAGAAAACCGAGACTCAGGGATCATTCTCAACTGCAAATCTGACCTTATTACTTCCTTGCTCACAGCCTTTCAATGGGCTATTTTTTTTTTTTTTTTTTTTTTTTTTGAGATTGAGTCTCCCTCTGTCGTCCAAGCTGGAGTGCAGTGGCACAACCTTGGCTCACTGCAAACTTCTCCTCCCAGGTTCAAGCGATTCTCCTGTCTCAGCTTTCCAAGTAGCTGGGATAACAGGCATGTACTACCATGCCTGGCTAATTTTTGTAATTTTAGTAGAGACAGGGTTTCACCATGTTGGCCAGGCTGGTCTTGAATTCCTGACCTCAAGTGATCTGCCCGCCTCAACCTCCCAAAGTGCAGGGATTACAGGTATGAGGCACTGTGCTAGGCCATCAATGGCTCTCTTCTTCTTACTGGAGCCTTTCCAGTTGTCACAAGTCGATTGACTTTTGCTTAATTCTCCAGACTCCTCTCTCTACATTCCCCCATGCAGCTCCCAGCCATACCTGTCTGCTGCCTTGAACCAGCCTCTAATCTCTAAGCCACTGCAAATGCATCTCTTCTGTCTGGATCATTCTTTCTTCCCACCTTCACCTGCCCATTCTTCAGGTCTCAGCTGCTTAGTCATCCCTTCCTCCTGGAAGCCTTCCTTGATCCTGCCAAGCTGGGTTATAGGCTCCCTTCAAGGGCTCCTTAGATCTCCTGGTCTTAGCAAATATTCGCAGTCTGGGTCACTGTCATCCAGACTGGGAATCCACAAGACCCCTTAAGAGAGGACAAGGAAAGATCAGGACATGTGAAACAGGTACCTCGTCGAGGAAAGGGATTGGCTGAAAGCTACCTGGACAAATCCAGGAAGGAGGGGTTAAAAGGAGCTGATGGTAGCTCTTATCAATTGAGTGAAAATTGTTTGCCAACTGATCTGTTTTCCCGCTAGACTTTAAGCTCCGTGAGGGCAGGGCAGGGGTTGTATCTGTCTTATTCACTGCCCTATCTCTAGCATCAGGCAGTACTCAGCACCTAGTAGGGAGGACAGGGTGAAAAAGAAGACAGGGCAAGCAGAGGAGCACACCACAGAGATATTCCAGAGAACCACCAAACATCCACTGGGCTAGCAATTAGGACGTGATTGATGATGCTGGTGAGTGCAGTTTTCAAGTGCACAGAATAATATATAGAATATTATGTACAAAAAAACCTGGCCCTCACTTTGGGAGGCTGAGGTAGGAGGATTGCTTGAGCCCAGGAGTTCGAGACCAGCCTGGGCAGCATAGCAAGATCTTGTCCCTACAAAAAATATAAAATTAGCTGAGTGTGGTGGCATGTACCTATAGTCCCAGCTACTTGGGAGGCTGAAGTAGGAAGATTCCTTGAGCCCCAGAGGTCAAGGCTGCAGTGAGCCAGAGCCATGATTGTGCCACGGCACTCCAATCTGGGTAACTGACTGAGACCCGGTCTCAAAAAAAAAAAAAAAAAAAAAAAAAAAGGCTTATTTCTGTGCCTAGCAATAAATGGTAGCTATTGCTGTTATTGTCAAAATTAAAGTAACAAGGAAAAGGCCGTGGCCTCTAAGGCTAGGTGTAGGAGAGGGAAAGAGATTTCCCATGACCCTCACCTTAGGCTGGACTTCCATAATGTGGGCTCTGTGCTTGGATAAGAACTCTTTCTGCAGAGCCTGCTGCAGGGTGCTAACAGCAGTGGTGTGATGTGGTACATCATAGTCAAGTTTGGTTAGGTGATGCCGAGGTAAACTGCACCCCCACCGATTCCCAAATCTCCCACTATATGTACAGTGTGGGTTGGTGGGGGGGGACTCTCCAAGGAGCTCAAGAAACTTGGCATTGCAGAGGGTTCTTTTACAGTGGGCATTGCTATATCTCTGCCAGTTATGTTTCTTTCATAATATGTAGCTCACGCTAGTTCTGAAAATGACCTATCCTCAAGAGTGTGTGTGTGTGTGGGGGGGGTCTTCCTCAAGCAGTGGCTCACAGGAGACTAGGGGGTCTGTGAAACTGGCCAGAGGGATGTGTCAACACCCCTGTCTTAAGCAGGAAGTGGCTGTAAGGACAAGACTGGGCCGAGCTTTGACAACCCACACATGTTATGCCCAAAGAACTGGATCCCAGATTCTAGAAAATAAAGTGTGGTCTCCATTCACTGGGTTCTGAGAGCTTGGCAGCTCCGGGTAGGGGCTAGGGTTTTCCTTGGGAAAGTGGACATTCCATTGTCAGTCACCCTGGGAAGGGGCAAATCCCGGCACAGAAAGTGAGGAGAGGGAAAGGGGCGGACATTGGGCCCAGAACCCTGTTGTGAGCTGAGCGCTGGTGGAGGGAGGTGGGGCAGGCAGCTGCCACCACAAGGAGGCTGGGAGGCACCCAGGCATCAGGTGGGTCTCCCAGAACAGCCTGGGTCTGTGAGCTCTGAGCATATCTGACCTGGCTTCTACCTCTGCGCTTCTCTGGGTAGCAATTTCCAGCCTCCAGTGAAGTCTTGCCAAAGTTCACAGCCTTAAGGAAAATTAACAGAAGGACCTAGGCCACATTCCAGGTCACAGGGGGAACAGCCTTACTCCATTCCCCAGGCCTGTGTGGAGGGGACAAACCGAGGGCAAAGGAGGAAGCTGCTTTGGGAACCCAGGACATGGCAGGAAGCAAAGCGAAGGCTTGATCCACGTGCTGTTGCCATGTAAGCCAGGCGCTCAAACACTCCCAAGGAGCTTCTGAAAGACCAGAGCTCTCAGCTCCTGGAGGCTGGACCTTGTGACAGTTCAGTCTCTGCAGCCTTGGATCAGTGGTTTACCTTCTGATCTCTTATTGGCGTCTGGTGGTGGTTGTGGGGAAACCAAGGCAGGAAAGCAGGCTCTTACCTGAATTCAGCCCGACTAAGGGCTCTCCTCTCTCCACCCTTGCACCCAGCCTCCCTCCACAGCCTGCCAGGACTGCCTGTTCCTACAGCTGAGTAGCTTTTACCTCTTCCCGACCCTGCACACTGCCACCTCTGCCTGCTCGTCCCTCCCCAGGGTCAGCACGCTGTCCTCCAAGAAGGCGTTCTGGGTTTCATCCAGGTCTCCCAAGGCTTACCCCTCATCTTCTGTTCTGGATCTCTATGACTGACCCTTAGATGAGAGGATTCCTGAGAGCAGGGGCCAGTGTCACCTCCATCAATCTTTTTATTTTTCTTTGAGACAGAGTCTTGCTCTGTCGTTCAGGCTGGAGTGCAATGGCACGATCTCGGCTCACTGCAACCTCTGCCTCCTGGGTTCAAGTGATTCTCCTACTTCAGCCTCCCAAGTAGCTGGGATTATAGGCATGCGCCACTGCGCCCAGCTAACTTTTGTATTTTTAGTAGACACAGGGTTTCACCATGTTGGCCAGGCTGGTCTTGAACTCCTGACCTCAGGTGATCTGCATGCCTTGGCCTCCCAAAGTGCTGGGATTACAGGTGTGAGCCACTGCACCTGGCCACCTCCATCAATCTTTACCCTCAAACCCGCAAGTCCCCAGACCTGGCTTCATCCTACCTAGGTGTTGGCTGGATGATATCATCATCCATTGACCTGGGGTTGGTAAAGGCTGGGGAGTGGGTGGAAGCAGATGCAGCTGCATACAAACTGGGAGCTGTTTATTGGTCGCCGTGAGAAGCCTATATACAAAGAAGGCACAAGGAGGGGGAGGGAATTCCCCTGCTACAGTACCATGGAAGGGGCTGGGGCTGGGGAGTGGGCCTGCCAACAGGCAGGGGTCAGGAGAGGTTTTCTGGAACTAGCCTCAGCTTCTCAAATGGGCCTTAGGACACAGCCCATGGGGGAGGGGGCAGAGCCAGGCTGGCTCTGAAAGCCAAGGATAGCTAAGAACTCCACCTCTAGGCCCCTGACGCATGGTCAGCGTGGGGTCTGGCTGGATGGGGTGGGGCAGGGCCCCCTGCCTATTCTACATTCAAGTGTCGCTCCCTCCGTGGTCTTGCAGGGTCTCTCTGGGGCCTTCTGAGGCTGGCTGGTAGTGGTGAGTGAGAAGTGGCATCTCCTCTGTATCCTCCCAACATCTGTCTGTCCAGAATTGGTCCCCTCCTCTCTGTGGAGGATCCCGCCGTGCCCCAGCACAGTGAGCCCAGGCTACGTTGCCGTTTGCCTGTCTTTGTTCCTTCCTGCTGCATTCCCTGCGAGTTCAGTCTGTGGCCAAGGAGAGAGGCTTCACAGAGATGCAGGAAAGCAAGCCGTTCTGGGTCCTTCTTTCTAGTTCCTTTGCTGTTGGGTCTGAGCACGCCAGGTCCTCCAAGTGCCCCCGTAGACAACCTTAGGCAGGATCCCCACCTCTCTGGCATGGGTGTCATTGGGGGCCCACCAGCCAGCGGCCCGGGGGCTGCTCCCTGTCAGTAGTTTTGACAGCAAAGTCAATCCAGTGACTGTGGCTCAAGATGGATCCAGTGTGAAAGGGGGAGGTGTCACCACATTGCAGGGGCCTTTTCCTCCCGGCTCTGGTGGGAGGCTCTTTGGCTTGTTTTGGCGCTGGCAGAGGCTGAGACACGGCGAGCCCATGCACCATCCGTGATGCACCAGCACAGTCCACGAGCAGTGGGCCCCACGTGCATCTAGGGCACAGGAATGCAGTGCACTCGGCGTTGTAAGGTCCACAGCGCTGGCCCTCCTGTGGGAAGATCCCCAGGGCCAGACAGCATGTGCATGCTCTTGACGAGGTGTATGTGCCTGAGCCTGCTGCTACCAGCCAAAGGTGGTGGCCCCTGTGGACTGTCAGAGGCATAACTTATGATAAATAGGAAGAAAGGGGACACTGGGGGAGGAGGGGGTGGGATCAGGGAGGACGTCAGTAGTATTGGTCCCGAGTCTGCCAGCTGGTCACCCAGTGCTTCTTGGTGGGCAGGGTGCTCCCTGGAGGTGGGTAGCGCTCCTCCTCCCGGATCCGCACTGCGTGGTACTTGGGCATGATCTGATAATAGCGGGTCCGCTTAAAGAAGTCACACTGGAGTTGGAGGGAGAAGAGAAAGAACATTAGCATCCAGAGTTTGAGCCACCAGGAAGGAGTGCCAGGCCTCTCCCTCTCCCACCCAGAACTCCTCAAAGCCAGAACTCTTGACCGAAACGCATCCCATCTCTCTGCACTGAGATACGGAGGATGAGTTTCTCCACCCCAGGCCCCAGAGGAAGAAGGAGTTGAGGAAGGCAGAGAGCAGAGGAAGAGGCAGATGGAGACCGAGGGCAGCTGCAGAGACAGTGGATGGAATGGCCAGGAAGACTGGGCAGTCTACCCTGACCACAATGTTGGGAATGGGTCCATTTGTTATCCTGGAAGGGTTGCTCAGGAGGAAACAGGCTAGTTCCCAGGAGGAGGGTCTCTACTGCTCCCCTCCTTCCCTAGGGGTGGAAATGGGAGTGTAGAATTATTCTGGACATGGCTGTGGTTTACAGAGATGGGGCCTGGCCTTGCCCTTGACCTTGTTCCAATCCCCAGAAAGCAAGGTCATCACAGAGAGGATTTATGCCTCCCTCATGGGGTCCCAAGTCACCAAGGGGCTTAGGGGGAGGCTGATGAAAGCCAGACACCCAGGGGGCTGGAGGGACAGTCAGAGTGACCTGATCTTTGGGGTGGTGGTGGGGACAGAATGAGGTCAGAGCAGGCCCATAAGGGAAGAGGAGCAGATAGGACAGAGTCAGAGGCCCGGCCAGCTGTGGGGCTCGGGGAAGGGGGCCCGGAGGCCGTGTTACCCAGGTGGGCCGGGGGCGGGGGGCTGCCCCCTCAGTAGTCGTCGGTCAGCCTCTCTGTCTCTGACGGCTGGCTCTTCATCTCCGCCTTCTGCCTCTTAGCTTCATACAGGGCGCGAGTGCGGGCTCGCTTGAAGAAGCCGCACTGCGGAGGGGAGGAGGTGGGGACGGGCCATCAGGGGGGCGCTGGGCTATCCTCACCAGCAGCACTCGTGGACCAGGGCTTTAGGGCTGGGGAGCCTGGGGGCTGGGGCTCAGTCCCAGCTTGGTGGTGTGGTCAGAAGCCAGAGCTCCTGGGTCCCCCTTTCCAGCTTGCAGCTCCCCCCACTAACCCAGGCCAGGGGTGAGACTGTAAGCTGGTGGTAGAAGGTGGAGAGGACAGGGAGGAAGGGTGGGGGTGAGATGGAAGGGAGGACCAGGATGGGGAGACGTGGGTTGGAGGAAGGGCTGGTGAGTGTGCTGGTGGAGGTCCCGGAGCAGGAGTGGGCTGGGCTACTAACCTTCCACAGCAGGAGGATGATCAGCCCCAGCAGCAGCAGCCCTGCACCCACGGCCACCAGCACCAGCCACAGCTCGATTTCGGCCGGCAGCTCCTCCACCAGCTCCGAGTCAATGTCCACAGAGAACTGGAGCGGGGAGAGGAGGACTCAGCCCTGTGTCAGCCTGCTTAGGCCCATCCTCACCCTTCCTATCCTAGCTGGGCCCAGGCACCTGCTGTTTGTCCTGCTGCCAGTAGGGGGCAGCCTGGGACTGGAAAAAGCCTGTGCCTGCCCCACTGACAGCAGGTCCAGTGGTCCTTCCTGCTTCTCCCAGGCACAGACTTGACTCCAGAGGAGCGGCCTCAGATCTGGGAGGTGGCCTGGAGTCTGGGTGTGTGACCCACACATCTGGGCCTGGGTACCAGCTCCTTCCCTGATGAGCTGTGTGACCTTGGACAAGTAATTGCACCCCTCTGAATCTCATGCTTTCTGCTTTCTGATGAGGGGGATCATAATGACTACCTCATAGAATAGCAGAACGACCAAAAGCAGGGGTTCTGGAGCCACATTACCTGGGTTCTAGCCCAGGTTTGCTATTCACGAGCTGTTTGGCCTTGGCAAGTTACTTAACCTCTCTGTTGTTCATCTGTAAAATGGGAATATTACCTCTCTCATAGGTTGCTGGGGAGAATTAAGTGTGTTTGATATAAGAAAACTGCTTAGAGCAACACCTGCTACACAGCAAACACTCCATAAATATTCACCAAAAAAACCCCACAAAGAATTCATAGCATATATTCCCATTCTTTTTATTTTATTTTATTTTATTTTATTTTTTGGAGACAGAGTCTTGCTCTGTTGCCCAGGCTGGAGTGCAATGGTGGAATCTTGGCTCACCACCAGCTCTGCCTCCCAGGTTCAAGCGATTCTCCTGCCTCAGCCTCCCGAGTAGCTGGGATTACAGGCACGCACCATCACGCCTGGCTAATTTTGTATTTTTAGTGGAGATGAGGTTTCACCATGTTGGTCAGGCTGGTCTCGAACTCCCGACCTCAGGTGATCCGCCCACCTCGGCCTCCCAAAGTGCTGGGATTACAGGCGTGAGCCACCATGCCCGGCTGATAGTCCCATTCTTTTTCTTCCCCTACAATGGAGATAAATACGGATGTGTGTGTATATGAGGTTTTTTTTTTTTTTTTTTTGAGATGGAGTTTTGCTCTGTTGCTGAGGGTGGAGTGCAGTGGCACAATCTCGGCTCACTGCAACCACTGCCTCCCAGGTTCAAGCAATTCTCCTGCTGCAGCCTCCCAAGTAGCTGGAATTTCAGGCGTGTACCACCGTGCCCAATTAATTTTTGTATTTTTAGTAGAGACAGGGTTTCACCATGTTGGCCAGGCTGGTCTCAAACTCCTGAACTCAGGTGATCCACCTGCCTTGGCCTCCCAAAGTGCTGGGATTACAGGTGTGAGCCACTGTGCCCAGCCGTGTTTGTTCTGACTATACATGATTTTCACTTCTTTTAAAATTATTTTGATGATTTTTTTAAAAATACAGATGATATAAAGAAAACTAAAGGTTCCCAGTTATATATATAATCTAATATATATATTATACATGTATAATATATATAATCTAATATATATATTATACATGTATAATATATATAATCTAATATATATATTATACATGTATAATATATAATCTAATATATATATTATACATGTATAATATATAATCTAATATATATATTATACATGTATAATATATAATCTAATATATATATTATACATATTCTATATATATTATAAATCTATAATATACATAATCTAATATATATTATAAATCTATAATATAACATAATCTAATATATATTATAAATCTATAATATGTATAATCTAATATATATTATAAATCTATAATATGTATAATCTAATATATATTATAAATCTATAATATGTATAATCTAATATATATTATAAATCTATATGTGTATAATCTAATATACATTATAAATCTATAATGTATAATCTAATATACATTATAAATCTATAATGTATAATCTAATATACATTATAAATCTATAATGTATAATCTAATATACATTATAAATCTATAATGTATAATCTAATATATATTATAAATCTATAATGTATAATCTAATATATATTATAAATCTATAATGTATAATCTAATATATATTATAAATCTATAATATATATATTTTTTTGAGACAGAGTTCCATTCTGTTGCCCAGGCTGGAGTGCAGGGGCACAATCTTGGCTCACTGCAACCTCTGCCTCCTGGGCTCAAGCAATTCTCCTGCCTCAGCCTCCTGAGTTTCTGAGATTACAGGTGCCCACCACCACAACCAGCTCATTTTTGTATTTTTACTAGAGACGGGTTTCACCATGTTGGCCAGGCTGGTCTTGAACTCCTGACCTCAAGTGGTCCACCTGCCTCGACGTCCCAAAGTGCTGGGATTACAGGCGTGAGCCACCATGCCCAGCTGGTTCCCAGTAATTTTAATATCTAGAAATTACGATCTCTGTAATCTCTGGTGAATCTCTTTCCATAGTTTTAAATATGGAATATTAATATGATCTACATAAATGGGATCATGTCACATACACCCTTCAGCAACCTCCCTTCCTCCCTCTCTTCCTTCCTCCCTTTTCTTTCTTTTTTTTTTTTAAGACAGTCTCACTCTGTCGCCCAGGCTGGAGTGCAGTGGTGCGATCTTGGCTCACTGCAACCTCTGTGTCCTGGGTCCAAGCAATTCTCCTACCTCAGCCTCCTGAGTAGCTGGGATTACAGGCGCCCGCCACCACCCCAGCATTTTTAGTAGAGCCGGGGTTTCACCATGTTGGCCAGGCTGGTCTCGAACTCCTGACCTCAGGTGATCTGCCCGCCTCGGCCTCCCAAAGTGCTGGGATTACAGGCGTGAGCCACCACGCCCGGTCTCTTTCTTTTCTTTTTAAGACAGGGTCTCACTGTGTTGCTCAGGCTGGAGTGCAATAACACAAACATGAATCACTGGAGACTCCACCTCCTGGGCTCAAGTGATTCTCCTGCCTCAGCCTCCAGTGTAGCTGGGACCATGTGCCACCACATCCAGATAATTTCTTGATTTTTTTTGTAGAGATGGGTCTCACTTTGTTACCCAGGATAGCCTCAAACTCCTAGGCTCAAGCGATCCTCCTACCTTGGCCTCCCAAAGTGTTAGGATTATAGGCATAAGCCACCATGCCCAGCCAGCAACCTGTTTTTTTTTCACTTAATATCATCATCTTTTCACGTCAATTGGTAAAGATCAGCCTAATCTCTTCTGAGGACTGCACAGTCATTGAAGGAAATGTACCATAATTTATTGAACCAATCTCCTACTGAAAGACATTTAGATTGTTTCCAACTTTCTGCCATTATAAATAATTATCTAAAATATCCCCATATATTTATCTTTGTATACTTGTCCTATTAGCTCCTTACAATATATTCTCATGTACTGGATCTAAGGAAATGGGCACTTTAAATTTTAATAGATACTGAAAACTTCGTCTCCTAAAAGAATCTACCAATTTATCATCCAAATCAATAGCATTTCTCTCCACCTCATCAGCATTAGACAGCATTATTCTTTTTTTTTTTTTTTTTTTTTTTTTTGAGACAGAGTCTCACTCTGTCGTCCAGGCTGGAGTGCAGTGGAGTGATCTTGGCTCACTACATTTCTCTCTTAGGTTCAAGCGATTCTTCTGCCTCAGCCTCCTGAGTAGCTAGAATTACAGGCATGCACCACCACGCCCAGTTAATTTTTGTATTTTTAATACAGATGGGGTTTCACCATGTTGCCCAGGCTAGTCTCGAACTGAACTCAAATGATCCACCCGCCTTGGCCTCCTAAAGTGCTGGGATTACAGGTGTGAGCCACAGCGCCTGGCCAGCATTATTTTTTTTAATATTTCCCAATCTGATAGGCAAGA
This sequence comes from Homo sapiens, assembly GCF_000001405.40. Lineage (NCBI taxonomy): Eukaryota > Metazoa > Chordata > Mammalia > Primates > Hominidae > Homo > Homo sapiens. The sequence goes on along the minus strand of NC_000017.11, from coordinate 50,083,913 downwards.
AAAATCTTGTTGCTATGATTTATATTTCTTTATGAGCAAGATGAACATTTGTATTTCACCCTATGTACGCTGCCAATTGATATCCTTTATATATTAAAAAATACATATCAATATTTTGTCATATATGCTGTAAACATTTTTAAAAAGCAGTATATCATTTGCCCATTTAGTTTCTTTTTTTTTTTTTTTTGAGGCAAGATGTCACTCTGTCACCCAGGCTGGAATACAGTGGCATGATCACGACTCACTGCAGCCTCAACCTCCTGAGCTCAAGCGATTCTCCTGCCTCAGCCTCCCAAGTAGCTGGGACTACAGGTGTGCACCACCACACCCAGCTAATTTTTGTTTTTATTTGTAGAGATAAGGTCTCACCATGTTGCCCAGGCTAATGTGGAACTCCTGGGCTCAAGCAACCTGCCTGCCTCAGTCTCCAAAGTGCTGGGATTACAAGTGTGAGCCACCGTGCCCAGCCTCTTTTAGTTTCTTTACTATCTCTTTTGCTGTATACAGATTTAAATTTTCATAGAGTCTAATTTATCAAAATTTTCCTGTGACTTCTGGGTTTATAACTCACTCTTCCCATAATTAAAGGTTACTATTAAAGTGTTCTGTATATTGTATCCTGGCATGTTAGGTTTTAATTGCTACATGTAGATAGTTAATCTAACTGTATTTTTGTTTATGTTGTGAAGTAGAGGTTTGTCTTTATTTTCCAAATGTGTTCTCCCAACACTACTTAATAATCTACCTTTCTCCACAGATTAAAAATGCCATCTGTACCATAAAGTTCTATTTTGTTCCACTGATCTTTCTGGCCCTTCTTCTACCTCTTCTATACTACATTAATTGATCTTAGGAAATGTACAATAATGTACATAACCAACCCTGCATTCATCTCCCTATAAGTATCTCCCACGTATCTTCACTTATATCCTTTTCACAACAAATTATTAGCAATTTTATATTTATTCTTCTAGATGCAACTCAGATTCAAGATTGGGAACTTCTTTTTCAAGTTTCCTGAATCCTACTGAGACTGGAATAATTTGGGTGGAAGATCTGACAACTTGATAATACAATATTGACTTTTTTCTAATCATTTCTCAAGTTTTTGCTGCATATTTGTTATATTTATTCCCAGATGCTCTATCACTTTTCTGATGAATTTGAATGGGATCTTTTCAACTATCCTTTTGATTGGTTATTGCTAGCATGTAGGAAACCTAGGGGGTTTGGGTATTTTGATCTTGTTTTGACCTCTTGGACTTCCTGAATTATCTTATTGGGTCTAATAACTTTTTGGGCCAGGTGTGGTAGCTAATACCTGTAATCCCAGTGTTTTGGGAGGCTGAGGTGGGAGGACTACTTGAGACCAGGAGTTCAAGACCAGGCTGGGCAGCACAGTGAGACCTCATGTCTACTAAAAATAAAAAATTAGGCCAGGCACAGTGGCTCATGCCTGTAATCCCAGCACTTTGGGAGGCCGAGGCAGGTGGATCACAAGGTCAGGAAATTGAGACCATCCTGGCTAACAAGGTGAAACCCTGTCTGTACTAAAAATACAAAAATTAGCCGGGCGTGGTGGTGGGCGCCTGTAGTCCCAGCTACTTGGGAGGCCAAGGCAGGAGAATGGCATGAACCAGGGAGGCAGAGCTTGCAGTGATCACGCCACTGCATTCCAGCCTGGCCACAGAGTGAGGCTCCATCTCAAAAAATAAATAAATAAATAAATACATAAATACATGAATAAAGAAATAAATTAGCTGGGCATCGTGGTACATGGCTGTAGTCTCAGCTACTCAGGAGGCTGAGGTGGGAGGATTTCTTGAGCCCAGGAGTTCAGGACTACACTGCATTCCAGCTGGGGCAACAGAGTGACACCATCTCTGAAGCAAAATAAAATAAAATAATAGCTTTTCCATTGCTTCTCTTTTCTGCCACGTAGATGATGACATCATCTGTCAATACTCACCAGGTTCTCATGGCTGAACCTCCCTCCATTCTGCCTTGATATCCTGCCTTTCTCTCTATACATACATATTGCCCGTGGCGGGAAGCTCACAGGTCCATAGTGGATGTGACAATGGGTGAGATAATCAGGAGACCCACGTTCCAGCCCCTGACAAGCTGTGCCACTTTGGGGAGGCCACTCAAGTCTCTCTAGGCCTCAGCCTCTCAGCCATAAAATAGAGAGGCAGTCCCAGCCCTACTCTTCATGGAGGCGTTGTGCAGATCAAGGAAGCTAATGCAGTGGTTCTCAGCCCTGGCTGCACATTAGCATCACTTGGGGGACCTTTAAACACAGCAATCCCGGAATCCACTCCCAGGGACCCGGGGTTAATTGCTCTGGGTGCAGTCCAGACACCAGAACTCCTCCAGATACTCTTACCGTGTGGCCAAGATTGAGAACCATATGGCTGAAGTGCGTCAGTGTCCTCTTAAAAGATGCCCTGTACTCTCAAGCTCTGGCTGGAGACTGCTGTCCTAGTGAACATGCGCACTCACCCACGTGGTCTTGTTCTCCATGTTGATGGTGGGGATGCTGGTTCGGAGGAATAGGGTAGCCCAGCCATTTACCCGGACTCGGTCAAAGTCTCTGTAATCCTGGATTGGGAGTGGGGTGGGTCAAGGGGAACACTTGACACTTCTCTGAGCCTACCTCCGACCCTAAGCTTTCCCACCCCATCACCCTCCCACCAAGTAGCATCCTTAAACAGCACCCCAAAGGATCTGTCAGCCAGGCCTCCCCTCCACACACAAATGCGCATCATTCATTTATTTGTTCATTCATTTCTGCGTCAGGTCCTGTGCTGGATGCTGGGGACAACCGAAACAATGAAGGTCACAGTCTAGGTCAGGCCTGTGGGCTAAATCTGGACTGGCACCTGCTGTTGTAAATGAAGTATTTTTGGCGCACGGCCACACCCATTCATTTGTCTATGGCTGTTTGTGTGGTGCAATGGCAGTACTGAGTAGTTGCAACAGAAACTCTATGGCCCGCCAAGTTGAAAAGATTTCTAATCTAGTCATGTACAGAAAAAGTTTGGTCTAGATGGCATGAGAAAGTGGGCACGTGAGGCATTGCAACCCAGAGTCGAGCGTGATAAATGGCATGTGTGGCTTCTGAGAAAGTTAGGTGGGTGGCCATTGGAAGAGAGGTCATTTTCAGCTGGAAAAGCCAGAAAAGAGCTCACTGATGGTGAAGCATCTGACAGGGACCTTGAAAACAAAATAGGGGTTTACACGCAGAGATAAAAGAGGGGAAATGAGCATTCCAGGGTTAAGGAACACCCTGGGGAAAGGCATGGAGGTGGGACAGTAATGGACACATAACAGAATAATGGACACGAGAAAGGTCATTTTGGCTGGGGACAAACACATACACATCCATGCAAAGACACGCAAATCACACACACACACACACACACACACACACACACACACACACACCCATGCTATGACCCTGGACTCGCCCTCTCCCTGTTGTTCTCCCCCTCAGGGTGGATGGTAGGAGAGACCTTCAGACCCAGGCACTGACCTCGATGAAGGTGCTGTTCCACACTCGTGCCTTCACAGTCACGTTGGTGACAACGGGGGCATCAGGGATGGGGCACTCTAGCCACACACAGTGGGCACGCCCTGTGGCACAGGTCTGAGGCGGGCAGGGAACGCAAGACGTGACATAGTCTGAGTCTCCAGATTCTTCATGCCTTGCTCCTTACCTCCCGCCCCTTCCAGGCTTTGTCTCACCCCTGGGTGACCCAAAGGGGTCTGACTTCCTTTCACTCATGCACACGTCCCCCAACCTCACAGCTATGCATTTCAGACACACTCTTTGGGCCAAGCTCATATAATGCCAGGCACATGGATAACATGGAATCTGGCCCCTGCTTGTGTAAACAGGGCCCAACCGCCTACACCTGCTTCCCAGCCAGCTCCCTGCCCCTGGGACACCACCTCCCACTCTCCACCCAGCTAGGCTTCAACCGGCTTGCCAGGCCCGCTCTCCTCTCCTTTCCTGCAGAGGGCACACGCACCACCCACCATTGCCCTGCCCGACACCGCCTCCTGCCGGCCAAAGCTCTGAGCAGCTCTATCGCCCCCAACAGGCTGGGGTTCCTTGGAGCAGAGCCAGTGCCTCCTCCTTTGGTCCCTTGTCTTCAATCCTCCCCCATCAGAGTGGAGAACCCTCTGAGGGCAGGAGATGAGGCTCCCTGCTCTGTCTGGAGGCTCCCAAGAGCAGGGGCCTCATCACCTCATCACACTGAGGTCTCCCTTGCTTTGTGTGCCCCTGGTGCCCAGGCACCCTGTGATGGGGTGGATGCAATCCCCTCCAACCTCGCCCTGGCCACTCACCAGCACAGTCTCAGACTTGGCTTTTTTGGCAGCAGCCAGAGTGACAGGTGGGGGGCCCTGGCCTCCCCCTGGATCCAGCTGTCGCCGCCTGCGCTGTGGGGATGATGGCCTGTCCCCAGGGTCCTGGAGAGGAAATAGGAGATTTGCTGGCAGGGCAGAGGAAGAATTGGGAGCAGGGTTGCAGGAAAGGAAAGGGTAGGAGAGACAGCTTGCCAAAGGGGTATGAGGGGAGGGAGGGGAAGACACTGGCCTTTCTGCCCTGTAGCATGCAAATGAAATATCCCTGATAGTGTCCTTACAGAAAGAGTGAGGTTGAGAGGGTTGATAAGGTCTCCAGGTGGTCGGCAGGGCCAGGACCCATTGCCATGGACGGTGATCTCCGTGGGATACAGCAGCCACTTGCCATTGCTGACTTCGTAGGGCCACTCCAGACCTAGGACCAGGGTCCCCAGGCCCACCAGCCCCTCCCCCATTGGGCCCACCTGTGGGCACAAGATGTGTCATAGTCATTATCTCCTGGAAAACCACCTCCATCTTACCAACCCCCAACCCTCCCACCTTCAGACCCCAGAGAAAATAAAAATAATCCTTCCTAGAAGTCCCCAGCCCAGGACTCTGGCGAGCCCCTTACCTGGAATTCATACTTGAGGGGGCTTCCTACATCCTCCACAGTTTTCATGCCAGACTCACCCATCACTGTCCCCCCAAAGAAGCTTTGTAGCCGGTGATTTACCCTAGGGGTAAGAAGGATGCTGGAGTCACGGGGGACAAGAGACCAGGGCCCTGGCAGAGGGGGGTGGGCACCAAAGCTGGCTAACTATAGCCCCTCTGACATCAGTCACCTCAATAGAAACCTCAGCTCTGCATTTACAAGCTTTATGGACTCAAGCAAGCTATTTATCCTCTCTGAGCCTCAGTCTCCTCATCTGTAAAATGGACTTAATCATAGCTGTTGTATCACAGGGCTGCTGTGAGAAGTCATTGAGATGATGTATATAAAATCCTTAGCACAATGAGCTCTTATAAAATGGTAGGGACAACACCTTAGCCCCGGGGTTGCTGATTCCTCCATTTCTGCCTGCTTTACAGGGGGAATAGTAACGGTAACGATAGTGATTGTTGTTGTTAAGAAAAGGATGATCCAGGGAAAGTGGAGGCCTGAGGACACTGGGCCAAGAGAGGGGTCAGAGGAGTTTGGGAGATAGCTTGGGGATAGGGAACCCTAGCTTAGGCACAGCAGGCTGGGGTGGGGGTGGTGGAGAGCGGTACCCACATGCTAAGCGAGGTCTGGAGTGTATAGTCCACCAGCAGAGTGAGGATCATGGGCCACAGGTTGTCCTGGTGACTCGACCTTGGGAGGAAATGCAGGGGTTAGGAAGGTGATCCAAGATACCTCAGCCCTGACCCAGACTGGCTTTTCGAGGTCACTCACGTGGAGAGCTGCAGCTGCACCTGAAGGTCCCTTGTGTGCAGGGTCACCCCGATGACCTCAAAGGCGATGAGCAGCTCCATCTGCCACAAGGGTCAGGGAGGCAGAGAGTGGCATATGGGGCCTGGCGGGGGTGATGTCATGGGGAAGGAGGGGATGCACACTATTCTAGTTGGCTTTCTGGCCTTCTCCTCCTCCTCCTATTCTGGGTGAGGGGTCTCTACCTCCCCACCCCACCTCTGCCTCCCTTTCCCCCTTTCTCTCCATCAGGTCACATCTCTGCTACTTTTGAGCTACATAACCTTGAGCAGGTAACTGAAACTTTCTAAGTGTGTGTTTCCTCTTCTGTAAAAGAGCATCTACCTCCTCAGAAGGCTGTGAGAATTATATCATATCAAAGAAGCACAGTGTTGGGCTCAGGGGCTGGCACACAGTTGGTGCTTGGTCAAACTGGTTTCCTCCCCTCCACCTGCTCTAGCTTTGTGCACAGCTCCCTAGCAGCCCCATTTGTCTTAGTTTCTGGGCCTCTTCTCACCCTCTACTGAGTCTCTCCTCCCGCACTGTGGCTCTCCACTTCGAGGGAGCCCAGAAAGCAGGCAGGCAGAGGCTGGAAGGACAAGGAGCTCATCAGAGGTGCAGCCAGGGACCCAGGAGGACTGGGAGGATGTGGCCGGTGCTCACCCTCTGGTTCCGTTTGAAGGGGTTCCCCAGCTCGCAAAAGATGGTCTCATTAGCTTGGCAGGCCCCGGGCTGAGGAAAGAAGGCGAATAAGGTCAGGGTCGGGTCAAAGTAGGGCTTGTCCTCCCTCCTCTGTGGTGCAAGGTCAGAAGCCCTAGAGCTTGAGAGCCGGATTCTCCAAGCAGCAGAGACGCTAAGGCCCCCAAGAAGGCCCAGACCAGAGGAGGTGGGCACGTGGCAGACGACAACACCTGCACAGGACATGGATATGGGGATGCAAAGACGCGGGGAGCCCTGCTTGGGCTCTGAGCCGGCCGGCGGGCACTCACGGGGCGCACTGAGGACAGCAGCAGGGCGGGAGGCACCACCAGGGTGAGCAGCGCCTCGTGGGCGTCCTCCCCGGAGCGCTCCGAGGTCCGGGTGTTCGTCACGTTGATGCTCAGGAGCAATTTCCGGACGTCTCTGCTGTACTGGAGCCTGAGAGCAGGAGCCCAGGACTCAGCCAAGAGCCCCGCCCCCAGGGCACTCCCGGATCAACTAGGCCCCGCCCCTGGGGTCTCCTAGGTGAGAAAAGCCCATCTTGGGACAGCCAGGCCCCGTCCTCTAGTCGCACCTGGAGGAGAAAGCCCCGTTTCTGACCATCCCACCTGTTCCCGCTAAAGCCCTGTCCCTGGGCTCGCCTTGCCATGAGGCCCCGCCCCCACCCTGCCAGTTAATGAGGCCCCGTCCCACCCTTGGCCGATTAACGCGGCCGGCGGCCCACAGCCACCTGCTCAGCTTCTGCTGCTGCTCTGACACGAAGGCTGCCCGCATCTGCAAGTTGCTCTCACACTTGTTGTCAGGCCCGCACTCCTTCTGGAACTGGACCTGGGGGGTGGCCGGAGGTGTGAAGGCCGCACCACCCCCCCCAGTGCCCTCTCGCCCCACCGCCCTTCTGGCCCCTGGTCTTCCAGTCCAGGCGCCAGCCCCACTCACCTCAGTGTGGTTCTCCAGAGCCTGTGCCTGGTTGAGGATCGGGTAGGCGTCCAGGGACCGCAGCCCCAGCCGGGGGCGATCGGGCATCCGCAAAGGTAAAGAGTAGTTCATGGAGATGATGATGGGGCGGAGTTTGTCACGGAGGTTGTCCTGGGGAGAGAGGGTGAGCTGAGCCCGGCCCTGCACTGCTCCCTGCCCCAGCTGAATCCTCACACCACCCTGAACCCCAGAGAAGAGCTGGACCCGCCCCCCACCCTGAAAACCTGACAGTTAGGCTGAACTCCCTCCAGTCCGGTCGCCAAATTGCGACTTCCTACTATCCTGACCCTCCAAGAGGAGAGACAGGGCTTCTCCTCCTCAAAAGTCCCTTCACCTCCCCATCCACAGGGTCTCCAGGTTGAGCTCTCCCCTTCCACCCTGATGTCCCAGAGAGGGACTGACCTTGCTCCCTACTCAGGGACCCCTTTTCCCAGAGGTGGGCTGAGCCAAGAGCTCCCACACTCCTCACTTTCCTTGGAGGTAATAAGCCCTTTGGCCCCATCCCCACCCCAAGGGTCTCCATCACTCCTCATGTGTGGGTGCTGTACACTGTACTCCTACACACCAATAGCCTTCCAAACCGATGTCCCCAACCTCTGTCTCTGGGGAGACCCCCGTCCCTCACCCTTGATCTAGGGGGACACTGGCCACCTCCTCCAGGGACCTGGGAGCCCTCATCCTGACCCTTGCTCCTCCCTCACCATCAGGAGCAGCTCCAGCTTCTGGCAGCGCATCTCGGGCATGGAGAAGAAGCCGTGGAAGACAGCGGACTCACTGCCGGCAAAGCGGAGCCGGGGCGGCCGGCGGTCCCTGTCAGCCTCCAGAGTGTAGGCCAGGGCTACAGGTAGACAGGGTGGTCAGCAAGGGGACAGGGGAGCGTACCCCTTTTACGCTGCACCCCAGCACTCACTGATGTTTCGCCTGTAGTTGGGGTTCCCGGCACTCTGGTTGTAAGCAAAGCACAGCTCCACTTGCACACTGTTGGAGGGATGTACAGGAGGGCGGGTCACAGTGGGACACACACGTCCAGGCCCTAGCTCTCGCCTCTGTACTGGGCAAAAGGAAACCGAGGCCCTTCTGGAGAGAGGCAGGGACAAAACTGGGGAGTCCACAAAGCAGGTCTGTGGTGTCCCTGACCCCTTCCCTTCCACTCCCCTTAAAGCCAAAGAGAACAGGGTTAGAGGTCACTAATGGGGAAACTGAGGCCTAGGGCCCAGAAGGACTTGTCTGAAGTCCTCAGTCAGTTGGTGGCCCAGCCCAGTCTTGAACCTAGGTCGGCCAATCCCCAGTCCAGGTCTCCTTGCACCAACCACCCCATTTCCCTGCTCTGTCTGCCTTTGTCTTCTGATCCAAAATCCTCATTCACTTAAAGACCTTGGGGTCATCGCCATCATTACTGTCACTTTCTTAGCAACTAACATTTTTTGAGCACTTAGGGTATACACAGTGCTGTGCTAAGGACTTTCTGTATATTTTCTCATTTAATTATCACAACAACCCTGTGAATCAGTTATTATCAATTCTGTTCTACAAGCAAGAAATCTGAGCCTAAGAGGGATTAATAATTCACCTGAGGAGACTCTCCTCCATATCCATCCACTTAAATGCGTCCCCCTTTCCAGAGCCCATCCCCACCCCTGCACTGGCATAGCTGGGATTTGAACCAGGCCGTCCAGAGCTCCCACCTTGAACCACTATACTCTACTGCCCCCGACTTCATCCATTACCTCTTACAAGGAATTTTGCTTTTTAATGAGGTTGGGTAGAGAGGGCAAATGCTGGCCCCAAGAATCAAATTTCTAAAGGTGGGATGTCAGGAGGCCAGGGGAGGGGTTTGGGAGCTGCAGCCCCTCCTAGCCTCCCTATAAATAAATGAGGAGTAGGTGGGCAGAACAATCTCACCAAGAGGTGGCCGTGCAAAGTGCAGGGTCCAGCACAGCTGGCCTGGGCACCAAGGTCTTGTGGACGATGTTGATGACGGGCCGGGCCCTGCAGAGACAACAGAGCCAGACAGATATCAGTGCCTCCTGCCTGCCCCAGGCCAGAGTTGGGGCCCAGGCTTCCAAGGAGCTAGCGCAAACATGGACACAGATGGGAATCTGTGCAGACAAAGATGAAGAAGAGAAAGACCCTTATTCACTGGCCTCCTGGCTCACCGCAGCAGCACAATGTGGTCTGACAGGCTTCCCACTAGAAGGTCTGGGTAGAAGTTCTCATCCACATCCATCTGCCCACTGAGGGAATAGCCGAAGGTGGCCAACCCAGGCAGTCCCAGCTTCTCTCCATGGATTACCTGGGGGCAGGGGAAAGTGGTGGGGGCAGGCTCTGGGGAGCAGGGCCCAGGGGGCTACAGGGAAGGGTTGGGTGAAGGAAAGCAAGGAAGGCCCATCTCGGCTGGTGGGGGCAGCAGACCCATCCCCGTCTCTCTGTACCTGCTGGGGCTGTCTAAGGAGCCCCTTAGAGCTACTGTGATAGATGTACACTTTGCCCAAGCCTTCAAACGGAGCTCCCACAGCAATATCTGCAGAAGAAAAGGCAAGACAGGGTCACCCAGGTACTCTGGGCCCCACGTCTCCCTAACTCTTTGCTCCAGGCCATACAGCCCAGCACAGAACTGATCTTGGCCTGATTGATGGGCAGGGCTCAGAGCATCAGGGACAGAGCAGAGCTCTGCAGCTCAGGATGAACACTGGGACCATCTGGAGCCCAGCTTCCTCCTATCACGGGTGGGAAAGTAGGTTCAGGAGATGACAAGTGACTCTACCAGACAGTTGTCAAGCATTCAGTGTGTGTGCGTGTGTGCGTGTGTGTGTGTGTGTGTGTGTGTGTGTGTGTGTGTGTGTTTATAGACAGTGTCTCGCTCTGTGACCCAGGCTGGAGTGCAGTGGCACAGTCATAGCTCACTGCAGCCTCAACCTCCTGGACTGAAGGGATCCTCCCACCTCAGCCTCCCAAGTAGCTGGGACAGGCACACACCAACACACCCAGCTATTCATTTAATTTTCACGAGAGTGCTGTGGGGTGGGTACTATTATCCCCCCACTTTATAGATGAGGAGACACTCCAAAAACCCAGAGTTGTACAACTAATGAGTGTAGAAAAGAGAAAATTTGAGCCCAGGGCTGTCTCACAGCAGGGGCTGGGATTTTAACCACAACACTACAGTGAACTTCACTGAAAGTGTCAAGGCTTTTTACATTCTAATCATTATCTCCACAAATAACCCCCAAGTATTTGGTTATCTTCTTAAACTGAACTCTTTCCAGTTTGCAGCTTTGGATCAGATAAGGCCTAGGGAATCAGCAAGCCAAGCTTGTTAGTAAGGCCTGTAAAGGGAGCAGAAGCAGGTCCCAGGCCGAAACCAAATGATTTCCACAGTGCACACTTGGCCTCTGGTGACTGAACTTTCTGGCACCTATTTTGGGTCTTCAGAGGCTCCTTTGCCTTCCTCTTGGTTCTCAGCTATGTCCTGGGAAACTGAGATTATCAGAGAAGTGACTTTCAGATAAGCCAGGTGCCCCCATGGCACTGACTCCAGCCCTGGGTCTGCCCCTGTCCCTGATACCCCAGGTCCGATTGGTCCCCAAGTCCTGCAGAACACTTATGAGGACCCCTATATCCAGGGCTCCCACCTTGTCCCATTCCTTATCATCTCCCACCTGAGATATTACATTCTTGATCTTAACTCCCCTGGCCTTGCTCCATCCCTGCAATCACTCATTCCATACCCCTTCCAGAATCATCCTTCAGGGTACAAAGTTATTATATCACATCCCTGCCCTAAAACTTTCTCTGGATGCCCCATGACCCCACCATCACCATTACCCAAATATAAATCCCTAAGATACTCTGCCTGGCTTTCAAAGCATCCATCCTCACCCCACCCCACCCCACTCCCCCTCCAGCCTCCTCTCTGATGTGAACACTCTACACCCGCTAGATTTGGGCACACCAGGCCAGTTTCCACACCCATGTTGTGCCCCATCAGTTCTCTACTGTGCACTCTCAGCCCAGCCTTGGCTGCACAGTGGCATGCAAGCTCCTCCAGGAGGCCCACTGAGCTTGCCTCTGTGCTTCCTCTGCACATCTGCACATCCTCTCTCTAGTACTGCTGCGAGCTCCCCAGGTCCGGCCCCATCCTGTCTCATCTGTGGGCCCTGTCAAGCCTGATGTGCAGCTGGTGCTCAGTCAGTAGGGGTGCTGGGAGGAGGGGTGCTGGAGGAGGGGTGCTGGGGGAGGAGTGCTGGCTCATACCCTGAAATCCATCCTGGTTGATGTCACCAATGCTGGCCACAGATAAACCAAAGGCAGAGCCACTGGGGCCATGAAGAAGGAGTGAGGGGTGAGCAGGGAAGGAGGTTCCCGCCTGGTTCATGAAGACATAGATGGCACCCCCTACTTCCTCTTTCCTCTCGAAGTAGTAGGGGGCGCCCACCAGGAGGTCCTGCCACCTACACAGGAGAGGAGGGAAATGGGAGTGTGAGGTCAGCCTCCAATATGCAGCATAGTTCTTGTTTGACAGGTGTGACTGTGCCAGGGCACAGGGCTCTGCAAATGGCTCTTCCGGCCACAGGTCATGGGTGGGAAGGACATGTGCATGGGAAGGACATGGAGATGCCAATATGACCCACCAAATAGAAGACATATGTCATGGAGACGCCATGCAGGCACAAATCAAACCCAAACAATCCACATCCACTGGAGCATACAAATCCCAAGCAGAAACAAGCAAACGCAGGGGTCCCACAAATGCCATGTGCAGGTGCTCAGACTCCCATAAAGCCTGACTGCAAACCTCTGCAAACAACATGCAGACAGCCGCACAACTGCAAATCCTCCACTCCCCTCACCTGGCTTAGGTAAGCCTTCCCCCGCCCATCGCTCTCCCTGGCCCCAGAGGATGTCCCTAGATTCTCACCCATCATTGTTCAGGTCTGCCAGGGCAATGGCGCTGCCAAAATAGGCGCCCACCTGCGAGCCCTCCAGCACCTGCCTCCTCCGCAGGTCTCCGCCTGCCTCCTGGCTCAGCAAGAACACCGCGCCCATATGTCGGTGCCGTGGGGCACCTGTCACAATGGTGATGTTTTTGGGGTGCAGGATGAAGCTGCCTACCTGCATCGTGTACCCTGGGATAGAGGGAAGATGTTCAACCAAGGTCCCAGTCAACTTCGTCTCTTTCTACTCTGGACCCATCTCCCTATTCCCTCTCTTGCCCCCCACCATGATGTTCTATCCCACTATTCCAAGTAGGGCAAGAAAGTAGACTCCAGATGGCCAGCAGCCATGGCCCAGTTCTGCCTGGACACTGGACTGTGAGCATCCTGAAGTCAAGAACTTTGCATCTTGGGAGCTTGGAACAGGGCCTGGCATACAGGTGCCGGCCAATCCGTGTGTGCTAGTTTAACTAAATGCCATTAGTCACAACTGCACTCTGGCCTCACCTTTCCACCAGGGACTAAGCCCCCTTCCCCTCTACCACTTGATGGGCTACCACTACTGTACTCACCAATATAGAGGTTTCCTTGGTCCTCTGGGTCCTTGTAACTATACTCAGATAAGTCCCACTCCTTGCGCTGAATCATGTAGCTGTTTCCTTCACAGGGATTGAGGGAGGGAGAGTAGGGAGTATAAGTCACCACCGGTTTCTGGTTTCCTCTACCATGTCCAGCCCACCCCCACCCCCACCCAACAAGGATAGTAATAACCCCTTTTATTGGTGAGCATTTTGCCATTTATAAAACACATCCTCTTTAACAATTCTTTTTTCCTTTTTTTTTTTTTTTTTTTTTTTTGAGACAGTCTTGCTCTTGTTGCCCAGGCTGGAGTGCAATGGTGTGATCTTGCCTCACTGCAACCTCCGCTTCCTGGGTTCAAGCGATTCTCCTGCCTCAGCCTCCCGAGTAGCTGGGATTACAGGCATGCGCCACCATGCCCGGCTAATTTTTGTATTTTCAGTAGAGACAAGGTTTCACCATGTTGGCCAGGCTGGTCTCAAACTCCTGGCCTCAAGTGATCCATCTGCCTTGGCCTCCCAAAGTGCTGGGATTACAGGTGTCAGCCACTGTGCCTGGCCTATTATAACAATTATTTGAGGTTAAATTATGACCCCCATTTTGCAGATAAGTGAGGCTCAGGAGGGAAGTTGACTTGCTCATAGTCCCATGGGGAGCTGGTTGTAGAGCCATGGCTAGAACTTAATCACTCAGGCTCCTGGATATTAGATGCTAGATGGCTTTCCCCACTCTCTAGACACTGAGGTCAGACTCCACACCATTATCTCTTTCTGGTCCTGACCCCAAACTCGGGCTGCCTAGCTGGACCCTGCACCCAGGGCTGCTGCTGGAGAGTATCTGTGACTTTGCCAAGGTGCTACATGACCAGGGGGTGGGAGGCAGGACCAGAAGAGGGGGCAGAGGCCTCAGCCTTCGGTGAGCCCAGAGCTGTGACTATGCCTGGGGCTACATGTTGGTCAAGAGGAGATTCAAGGCTCCTCTGCCTGCTGATTCTACAACAATAAAGGTTCAGTAAGGGAAAAGGGGTCCCTATTGCTACAACCTGTGTGATGGAGGGAGGCAAAGAGATGGAGGGAGTATAAGCTGTCAGACACCCCCTGTGAGACCATGTGTAGTGTGGTCTTTTACAAGCATGGTCTTTTACAAGAAAATACCCTTCATCCTCTAAAATGATGGTCCTATATATATCAACATGAAAAAGTGCCCATGACTTTTGATAAGAGAAAGAGAGAAAGTAGCGATATTTATTTAGTTTTTTGAGATAAGGTCTTGCTCTGCTGCTCAGGCTGGAGGACAGTGGCACAATCGCAGCTCACTGCAGCCTCAACCTCCTGGGCCCAAGCGATCCTCCCACCTCAGCCTCCTGAGTAGCTGGGACCATAGGTGTGTGCCACCACACCTGGCTAATTTTTAAATTTTTTGTAGAGACAAGGTCTCCCTACGTTGCCCACGTTAGTCTTGAACTCCTGGGCTCAAGTGATCCTCCCACCTCAGTTTTCCAAAGTGTTGGGATTACAGGCATGAGCCACTGCACCTGGCGATAACTATTATTATAGGACATTGCCTACTGTACTATGTAGTGGTTGTACCAGGAGCATGTTTTATTTTTAGAATTAGTTTGTAAATGGTTAAACTGAAGTCAGATGGACCTGTATTCCAATCCAGGTTTCATAACTTTGTTGGCCTTGGGCAATTTACTTCTCTAAGTCTTAGTTTTTGTTTTTGTAAAATGGATATAATAATACTTGCCTCATAAGAGTATTTTAAGAATGATTAGGCTGGGCGCGGTGGCTCACGCCTGTAATCCCAGTACTTTGGGAGACCGAGGTGAGCGGATCACGAGGTCAGGAGATTGAGACCATCCTGGCTAACACGGTGAAAGCCCGTCTCTACTAAAAATACAAAAAAATTAGCCGGGCATGGTGGCGGGCACCTGTAGTCCCAGCTACTCAAGAGGCTGAGGCAGGAGAATGGCGTGAACCCTGGAGGTGGAGCTTGCAGTGAGCCGAGATTGCACCACTGCACTCCAGCCTGGGTGACAGAGTGAGACTCTGTCTCAAAAAAATAAATAAATAAATAAATAAATAAATAAATAAATAAATAAATAAAAAAGACTGATTGAGGCTGGGCATGGTGGCTCATGCCCATAATCCCAGCACTTTGGGAGGCCGAGGAGGGTGGATTGCTTAAGCCCAGGAGTTCAAGACTAGCCTGAGCAACATGGTGAAACTCCATCTCTACAAAAAATACAGAAATTAGCCAGGTGTAGTGGCACATGCCTGCGGTCATAGCTACTCAAGAAGCTGAGGTTGGAGGATCACCTGAGCCTGGGGAGGTCGAGGCTGCAGTGAGCCATGAATGTGCCACTGCACTCCAGCCTGGGTGACATAGTGAGACCCTATGTCAAAAAAACAACAAAAAAGATTGATTGACATAATATGCGTAAGGCCCCTGGCACATAGTAAGTGCTTTAAAACAGTAGAAGTCATGGTGGTTGCTGATACTGGCATGAGGTCCTGTTTCTAGTGTGGATGGTCTAGGCCAGCTGTCCCCGTGGCTAACTAGGGGTGGGTGGTCTCTGCTCTTCCTTTCTTCCCCCATGGCCCCATGGTCCCCACCTTTCCAGTTGTAGGCACCGGGGGCGCCGAAGTACACAGTGTTCTGGGTGAAGCCACCGCTGGTGCCCAGCTGGCACATGCCCGTCTCCAGGTAGTCTGTGTTGCTATTGCACATCTCGTTGTGGTAGGTCTGCCAGTCATCACTGGAGTCCAGCTCTAGGTCATTGCCTCGCACGTAGCACTTGCCCACCATGCGCCGCTGGTCTTCTGACCCTGACCACAGCACCTGGGTGTAGCGGTGGGCACAGACCTGGGGACCCCCCAAACACAGGCAGCCTTAGTCAGGCACAGGGACCCGGGTCAGCTGTCTCTTTTACCCTGTAAGCCTCTGGCTTTGCCAAACAGGAGTCAAAGGAGATCTCCTGGCTTCTCCTTCTCCCAGTGATACTTAAACCTGCATCTCCTTTCCAGAATTCAGAAATCTGCTCTGAGGGTCAGGAACACTTTTTGGAAAGCTGTAAAGTGTGGATCTGAGAGTGGCTTAGAGATCTCAGCAAAGGGAAAGCAGGGAAGGATGAGAGACTGTGGGGTTCAGGCTCTTGGTCTAGAAGGGGTTAGTAACAGAGAGATTAAGGGACTTGCTGCTCTGCCATCTCCAGATGACCCTGTCCTCTTAATGAAAGGACCATTATTAAAATAATAATTACAATGACGGTAATAATAATAGCAGCAGCTAACACTTCATGAGTGCTTCCTATATGCCAGGCACAATTCTGAACTCCTCACATATTAAGTGTTAAGCCTGCTAGTGACCCTATGGTGTAGGAATGATTATTTCCCCCATTTTAGATAAACTGAGGCATGGAGAGCTCAGTAACCTGCATAAGATCTCATATCTAGAGAGAGGCAGAGAATATTCAAACCAAGGCTGTCTCCTTCCAAAATCTGAGCTCTTAAGCACATGCTGTGCTGCTTCACGGAGGGGAGAATCTATGCGCAGCCTCTCTGGGTGCACTTTAGCTGCTCAGTATATATTTATTGGGCAAACTGATGGGCCAGAATAGGGTGACTTAAAACAGCCTGGAGACAGGCAAAGTCCAGAAGTAGGCCCTGGTTCTTGTTTACTTGCTTTCTGTGGTCCCTTCTAGCTGTGAGCTCCACCAGCATGTTACCTGAGCCTGTCTTAGTCACTGCTAAGCTTCTAGGAATAGCACAGTGTTTGGTACACAGTAGGGGCTCACCAAATATCTGTTGAATGAACAGTGAGTAAATAACTGCTAAAGGATCCAGGGTGCAGAATCACTTTAAATGGGCTCCTAGACCACAGCCATCCATAACAGGGTTATCAAAAAGGCATTTCAGTGAACTGATGCCAACCTGGAGCTTAAAACAGTGTTCAAAGGTGACAGAAATCCCAGCAGTGGTGGCTTATGGGGTGGCAAATGATTAGAAGGGGTTACAAGGGCACCTTCTGGAGTGATTTTAAGATATATCTTTGGTTATACAGGTACATACATTTGTAAAAATTCATTGAAGTTTGAAATCTGTACATTTCACTGTATGTAAACATTACATCAATTTTTTCCTTTTTGAGACAGGATCTGACTCTGTCACCCAGGCTGGAGTGCAGTGGCATGATCTCAGCTCACTCCAACCTTTCTCTCCGGGGTTCAAGTGATCCTCCCACCTCAGCCTCCCAGGCAGCTGGGATTACAGGCGCATACCACCATGCCGGGCTAATTTATATATTTTTGGTAGAGATGGAATTTTGCCGTGTTGCCCAGGTTGATCACAAACTCCTAGGCTCAAACGATCCTCCTGCCTCATCCCAAAGGAATGAGCCACCGAGCCTGGCCACATCAAATTTTAAAATGAGAAAAAAGCCAGGCATTGTTGCTCTTGCCTATAATCCCAACTACTTGGGAGGCCGAGGCAGGAGGATCACTTGAGCCCAGGAGTTCAAGGCTACAGTGAGCTATGATCATGTCACCCACTCCAGCCTGGGTGACAGAGCCAGACCTCATCTCTAAGAGAAAAAAAAAAAAAAGAAAGAAAAAGAAAAATGGGGCCACATACGGTGGCTCACGCCTGAAATCCTAGCACTAGCAGTTTGGGAGGCCAAGGCAGGAGGATCACTTGAGCCCAGGAGTTTGAGACCAGCCTGGGCAACACAGTCAGACCCTGTCTCTATAAAAACTTTAAAAATTAGCTTGGGAGGCTAAGGCTGGAGGGTCGCTTGAGTCTGGGAAGTCAAGGCTGCAGTGAGCTGAGATGGCACCACTATACTCCAGCCTGGTTGAGAGATGGAGTCTTTTTTTTTTTTTTTTTTTTTTGAGATGGAGTCTCGCTCTGTCACCCAGGCTGGAATGCAGTGGTGTGATCTTGGCTCACTGCAACCTCCACCTCCCAGGTTCAAGCGATTCTCCTGCCTCAGCCTCCCAAGTAACTGGGACAACAGACGGGCACCACTGCACCCGGCTTATTTTTTATATTTTTAGTAGAGACAGGGTTTCACCATATTGGCCAGGCTGGTCTCGAACTTCTGACCTCATGATCCACCGGCCTCGGCCTCCCAAAGTGCTGGGATTACAGGCGTGAACCACCACACCCAGCTGGGAGTCTTCTATCTTGAAAGAAAGAAGAAAGAAGAGAAAGAAAAGAAAAGAGAGAGAGAGAGAGAGAGAGACAGCCTCATTCTCTCTTTGCCTGCTGCCATCAGCGTAAGATGGGACTTGCTCCTCCTTGCCTTCCACCGTGATTGTGAGGCTTCCCCAGCCATGTGGAACTATCAAGGCAAGAGAAAAACCTGACATCAAAGCAACACATTCTAAGACTGAGTTTATGTGCCTATCTGGATACTGATAATTCATGTCTGAAGAAAGTATAAGTATTGCATTCTCTTGGTCACAGTAATTGTTTCAGAGAGGAGTACCTGAAATAGTCAGAGCTAATGAGTTGTAGTCAGATATCTACTGGGACTATAGAACTTGAAGGTCAAAGAAGATAAAGCTGAAGCTGTTGCATTCATCTTGGCACTACGAAAAGAATGCCTATCAAAGAATGGAGGCAACACGAAGAACACAGAGTTAAGTGCTTGAGATAAATCACATCCTGGTGGCATCATATGAGCACCAGGAGCAAGGCAAGCCTTAACCAGAACTCTTCTGTGTGTGAAGCAATAAAATCAAAATCCTTTTTGGAATATAACAACAACAACAAGAGACAGAGAGAGAAAAAAATGCGGGGGGAAATGTCTATCTGGGACCCAGAAATGGAGAACTCAGGGGCTGCCACTATAGAATGTGGGCAGGAGGTGACACATTTGATTAGCCCCCAGACCAGAGCTGGGTGAGCCGGGGTCAGCAGGGCTGGGCCTCTTCCGGCAGTCAGCCTCCCAGGAAGGAGCGCCAGCCAGCGCTGAGCTGCCTGGGGCCCTCTCTGCCCTTTCTCCTCCTTGCAGTTCCCTCGGCTCCCTCGGCTTGTTCCCACGAAGGCTGAGCACCCAGTGTAGGCATGCGGAGGAAGTGGATGAGTCAGAGAACTCAGGCCGTGCGGGGGTTTGGGAGAGCACAGGATACTCACCCCCTCCCCAGGAGTGCAGAGAGCGAGGGACACACAGCCACAGGAAGGGACATGTGTGCAGGCCCCAGCACACACGCGCCGTGGACCCCCCTGCTGCCCTCTTCTTTCCTCCCAGCTCTGGAGATGAGGGGAGAGCCGGGTAGAGGTGGAGGAGCCAACACTGAGCACCCACTTACCAGAACTCTGCCTGCAGGGCCCTGGCTGGCCACAGTCACTCCAAGCCACATGTCCTCAATAATGTGATGGCCAGGGTCATCTGTGGGCACCGGAAGGATCATGAATCAGAGCACCTCACCCATACTTCAGTGCCCAAAGTCTCCAGAGGGCAGGAGTGGGTCCCGCTTGGGCCCTCCACCCACAGGGCAGCCCTCCCAACTCCCCTTCTCCAGCTCGTCATTATTCTGAGCTCTACCAATCCCATCCAGCCCCACTCTCCTCTAGGGCACCCTCTTCCCAGCTGGACAAGAAGCGACTAGAAGCCGTGTGAACAAGCCTTCTATCTCCTCCAGGCCATTCTCTCTGCGGTACCCCCCTGCCAGACCTCTGACCCAGCACCCCTCCCCAGCCCCTTCCCCTCACTTTTCACTGTGATGTTCATCCGCTCACAGTCATCCTTGTGGGCAGTGAGTGGGCACAGGTACACAGCACCAGTCCGGTTGGTGTAGCCATCGGGCACAGCGAGCTCCCGGGGGGCACCAGCCAGGAGCCTGGGGATAGGGACGGAGGTGGGTCCGGGTTCAGACTCCCCAAGCCCCACTTGGAACAACTTGTTATTTATTCAACATACATTTACAGATTCTTGGTGCCAGGAGACCCCCAGCTCCTGCCCTCCAGAAGTGCCCAGTGTAGGGTAAGGCAGGCAAGGAAAAAAGACACTAGAAGGAAGTGCCCCGGGAGTGGGAAGCAGGGAGCACAGTAGCCCAGGCTCAGGGCTGAGGGGGCAGTGATGGAGGCCAGCAGAAGAGGTGACCTAATCTGAGTCTGAGGACAATCACCAGGGTTCTCCAGGTGAAGAAGGGGAGGAAGAGCACTTGGGCAAAGGCACACATGTGCAGGGCCAGGAAGCAAGAGCCAGCAGGGTGAATCAGAGACCTGCAAGGCCCTCAGCATAGCTGGAGTCCAGGAGCCTCTGGGGAGGCACACAAAGGCAGGCTGGGAAGGTCCTTAGGGGAACCACAGAGGGATTTTAGGCAGGGGCATGACATGGCCAGATCTCAGTTTTGGAAGGAATGCTTTGGCCTTTGAGATGAAGGTAGACCAGAAGAGAGCAAGATGAGGAATCCTGGCAGAGAGTTCAAATTCTGGGGGTTCAGAGGGGAGAACTTAGGGGACTGGGTTGTCAGAACGCTGGGTTTTTCCTCCTGAAGCCATGTGGAGACTCAGATCTTGGAGACCTGGGCCCCTAAGCGACCTGGGTGATGTCCAACATCCTTCCCCAGTTACCTTAAGACAGGCACACAGGTAGGGGTTGGGATAAGTACCTGACACTTTGGACAATGTGGCCCCAGAGCAGAGTTCCCAGTGGGTGGGCAGCAGGTGGGGAGGGAAAGGGCTCTTGCCTTGCTCCCAGCCTGCCCAGAATCCATCTTTGGGGATGCAGACAGCAAGTTCCTGCAAGGATGCTTAGGACCCTGGCAACCCGTCCCATACCAGAGGGGTGGCTGGAGCAGAAAGAGGCAGGGGTTGGCCCTGAAATGCCATCTTAGAGGACAAGCCTTGGGCCATCAGAAACCCCGGGGATCTTTGTTAAAAAGGTAGATTCCTCTGCCCACAACACACCATCTGGTGGAATCTGGTGCACCCCAGTTTGAGAACTCAGTTTTAGCAGATTTTCTCCCCACATCACCTCCCTGCAGCCTCTAAATGTTCTGCCAGGAGCCCCTGCTCAATCCTGATGGCCCTGGCCTTCTCGGGTGGCAGGCACCTCCCAGGTGCCCCACCATTTGGCCCCAGCAACTCTATCACTCTACAGCTCCCAGCTCAGAACTTGGGCTCTGGGCCTCCTGCCAGTCTGGAAGTGCCAAGCAACAGCCACGCCTGTAGCTTCTGCCTGGGACCTGTGAGTGTGGGCTACAGGGAGTGGGCTGGGCAGGGCAGGGCAGTGCAGGGCCTGGGCATGCCAGGGCCTGGGGTATCTCCACCCACTGGGAGTCAGGAATGTACTGCCTGCGGGTGCTGGGAAGGGGGTGGGACCTTGCCTATACTTCAAGACAACAGCTCAGACCTCACCCTGGGGAAGTGTTCCTGGGAGAAGGGGTGAAGCTTCCTGGCCAGGGAGGCTGGCAGGGGGCCAGGGTGGCAGCCAGGCCTGGAGAGTCACTTCTCTCTGGGCTGGGAAGGCCTCGATGAGTCCACTGCCTGACCACCCATGGACATCCGCTCTCTGGCGTGCCTGACAGATGAGAGAAGGGACCCACAGCCTGCGGGAAAGGAGCATCTCAGCCTGAGAACCCACGGACCTGGGTCTAGGGTTTGTTCTGCCTGAAGGGGCAATTTCCTTTCCTTCTCTGAGCCCTGAGTGCCCCATCTGTAAAATGGGGGCAGCCCCTCTCCTGCTGACCTCCAGGGTTGCTAGAGGAACAAATAGGTCTATTCTACAAAAAGGTGTTCTGATATGAAGCCATAGCTAATGTGAGCATTGTTGTTCCGATTTGTTGTGGCATCAGGACTGGTCTAGCATGCCTCCAGCCCTCCCTCCAGGGACCCAGGAATTTCTTTTTTTCTTTCTTTTTTTTTTTTTTTTTGAGACAGGGTCTTGCTCTGTCACCCAGGCTGGAGTGCAGTGGCACAACCTCGGCTCACTGCCACCTCCGCCTCCCGGGTGCAAGTGATTCTCCTGACTCAGCCTCCCAAGTAGCTGGGATTACAGGCATGCACCACCACGCCCAGCTAATTTTTGTATTTGTACTAGAGATGGGGTTTCGCCATATTGGCCAGGCTGATGTCGAACTCCTGACCTCAGGTGATCCACCCGCCTCGGCCTCCCAAGTTACTGGGATTACAAGCGTGAGCCACCGTGCCTGGCTGGACCCAGGAATTTCTGCCCTGGCATGTTAGGGAACCTGGAGCAGAGGGAAAAGAAGAGACTCCTTTGGTGGTTTAGAGAGATCAGCAGGGAGACATAGGAAGACTTCCATGGCTTGAGGATACCAGGTGATCACTGGGGTCAGGGTGGGAGCGCTGGCAGCTAGAGTCACTCTACAGCGGGGGCTCAGATCTGGCTGGAGGTGGAGGTTGGGAATTTTCTACAGTGACACTAAGGGGTCCGGGCCTCAGTGGGAGGCCGGGCCTTGGGCACGCCTGTAATGGAAGTGTTGCCCCCTTGTTGCTGCTGCTGCCCTGCCCATGTTGTCATACAGGAGGCAGCTGAGCAAAAGGGTCTCCATGCCCTCCCAGCCCCCTCAACTCAGCCAGGAAGGGGCTAAGGGACTCCCTCCTCTGAACTTCCCAAGGTACTGAGCAGGCAGAGCTGGGCACGCATGTCAATCAGATTGAAATACTTCCCCTTACCACCAATACCCTCCTGCCTGTTGCCTGGAACCAGCCTTATGCCTACTGATAGAGGGCAGGGCAGGGCCAGTGCCCTAATCCCAGCCCTACATCCCAGGCCCCTCCCTCCTCAGAGATTCCAGAGTGAGCCCCCGCTTCACCCCCCCAGAGTATTTTTAGCTTCCACTTGGCCCACTCAGAGGCCCTTTAAGGCCCTCTGGCTCCCAGCCCAGGATCCAATGGGTCTACAGCCAGAGGCCTGCACATGGATGGGGGAAGGCGGGTGTGCAGAGGGTGGTTCCAGCTTCCTCCAG